>NC_000007.14:136256779-136881779 GCF_000001405.40 Homo sapiens | reverse complement strand
AACTTGGTAAACAAACCACTTAAATCTTTCAACAGAGAGAAGTGAAAGATTTTTGTTGTCTGAATTTAAAAAATCATGTAAAAGATATAATCACAGGAAAGTAAAGACAGTTAAAAACTACAAGATGCTAAGAAACAATGCTCTTTTCTAAGTACTGAAATGAGGATATGGTGGGTTAAAGGAAGATGAAAAAGAGAATTAAAATATTCAGAGCAAGAGTTCTGTGACCAGTTTTAGAAAGTTCTAGAGCTTAAGAATATGGAAATGTAAGATTAGAGAAAATACAGAACAAGAATAAAATAATACAATAGCAAAAAGAAAAAATATTTCTCTAATGCCTGGCTAAAATTTATCTTCAAGAAGCATGGCAAAACATTTACTGATTTAATGAAAATCCCAAAGAAAAATGAATGCAATGGACTGTCATTCAGTGCTAAAAAGAAGGGAACTATCAAGCCATGAAAAGACATGGAGGAACCTGAAATGATTTGAATTTACACACCAGGTGAAAAAAGTTGTTACTAAGTGAAAGAAGTCATTCTAAAAAACTACATACTGTATGATTTCCATTACATGACAGTCCGTAAAGGCAAACTATAGTGACAGTAAAAAAATCAGTGGTTGTCAGGAGTTAAGGTAAAGAGGATACTAGATGGAAGGGGCACAGAGGCTTTTTAGGGCAGTGGAAATACTTCGTATGACGCTACATGCATACAGTGGCATCTACATACCATTATACACTTGTCCAAAGTGTATAATTTCATTATACACTTTACTTGACCTTATGTAAAAGTTAAATGAACAAAGATGAAGAATAATATACCTCATGAAACTAAGTAACATTCTGGATAATTTGCCATGCAATAGCCTTAGCCTTACTCAAAAGGGGAAGGAGAAGTACTACACTTAGGATATCCCTTAGGACATCAGGGAATGCAAAACACCAAGCAGGAACCCTAATGTAAACTATGGGCTCTGGTGATACTGATGTGTCAATGTAGTTCATCAATTGAAACAAATGTATCACTCTGGTGGGGGAGGTTGATAGTGGAAGGGAGTAGGTGTGTGTGGGGCCAAAAGGTTTGTGGAAACAGTTCTTCTCAATTTTGCTGTGAAATTAAAACTGGCCTAATAAATAAAGTCTATTAAAAAAACTATTGCAGCAAGAAAAAAATTCTTTCAATAATTATATATAGTAACAGAAAAAAAGCTAATTGAATTTCAGATAACTGACCTCGGTATCAAATTTCATTTTCACATGTATTAGAAAAGTAAAGTAAGAACACTCAGGAATTTGGGAGAAATAATAATTTTAAAATGTAGTCAAATGTTTACTGCAAGTGAAATGAGTAAGTCACACTAATATAATTAAAATATGCAAACCAAACAGGAATGACCTTTAGCAAATCTGACCAATATTTGGTGCAGGGATTTCAATGATCTGGATTCCCAAGTCTTAGGGGATAAACTGAATGAATTTAGAGTCACCACCAATTATTTCTGAAAGTGCATCTCAGACACCAAGAGATGCCAAAATATAGGAACGGGGCAATAGCTATTAAAGGAGAAGAGAGCAAGGCTGCCAATAATTGCCAATACTCTAGAATCCCATGTCTACTCAAATAACGGAATTAAACCGGACCAGAGAATGTAACAAACCTTACGCACTAAGATAAACCACAGAGAGGCAAGAGCAATTGCAGCTGAGGAATGGAAGTGGAAAAAAAAAAAAAGATCCAAGAGGAATGGACCACGGGAACTTGCACTGTGATGAAGAAGCTAGAATAAGCTGGTGAATAGCAAAGGGGAGTCATTTGACAATCTTGTTTTTTTTCCATGAAAACGACCCCTGCGGTTCAAACTGAACATTTCAATGATAGGAAAATCTCATTTTATTTGGTTTGAATATGAAAACTTGCTAAAAAATAAAGATGGCCGCCTTTCTTTCCTAATGCTAGATGATAAATTTATTTGAGTTTTCAGTAAATTCTTACAGAGATAGAAGCCAAGGTATCTCCTTATAAATGAGAGAAATTTAAAGAGGAATTCTAAGGATGTGAATTTCCTGGAGAATGTGTTATGTAACTAACAAACTGCGAGGGAGAGGAGTAATTATCACTTTAATTAATTAGGGCCCTGTTACAGCTCCCCTGTGAAAGATAATCCTTGATTAAAAGTGTCAGTATGTAAAAATATTGATGGATATTGAAATGTAAGAGTGTAAAATTTCAATTAATTGTGAAAAAGAAATTAGCTGGTATTATCATTTCCCAATAGACAGTCATGATTTCCAGAAGATATGGGGGCATGCAAATAAATGGTTAGTTAACAATGGACATGTAAACAGGAACAGAATTATTCCAAG
Source organism: Homo sapiens (assembly GCF_000001405.40). Classification (NCBI taxonomy): domain Eukaryota; kingdom Metazoa; phylum Chordata; class Mammalia; order Primates; family Hominidae; genus Homo; species Homo sapiens. The sequence goes on along the minus strand of NC_000007.14, from coordinate 136,879,414 downwards.
CAGGTTTATCCCTTAGGACATCTAGCCTCTTTGGCCTTTTGTTTGTGCATCTGCAATGCAGAAGTTAAGGTTAAGTAATGGCAATTGTTTTGCAGAGGAAGGAAATAGATATAACAGTATGAAATAGAAGGAGATCAAATAATGACATTTTACTGATACTTAATGTTCTCCTAATCAACAGAAATGTTGCAACATATATGTTATATAAACATCAATAAATATTGTATGCCTTGGAAATTTCATACCTGAAAGCCTTGCTGAGACTTTTTCCACCTCTGTGCCTAGAAAGAGCTCCCAGGGAACTACGAAGGCTCAAGCACTTTTAAATTCAAATTATGCTAAGCCAGGAGGTTAGTTGCCAGGAGACAGATTCTAAACTTCACCTAAGACTGATTCCTTTACCATGAAGTCTGTTTTCATGACTTCATTTTCTGAACACTGACTAGAAGTGAGACTTGCTTCTATTTCTTTTTCTTCTCTCTCTCTTTTTCCTTAGCCTTATCAGAATTAGATGCCAAATAATATAGTGAGACATCCTCTGAAAGAACTGCTTGTGGTATAGTAAACCAAAACAAAAAACATTAAAAACTGATCCTTGACCTTAGATGTGGAAATAATGCTGAGCCACATACTCACTCTTAGACCTGGAATAAGTTGTTTAGTGTCAACAAGCCAAGGTTTCAAGATTTAGAAAGAAAAAGGAATAAATTTACCACATCGGGTGGGCATGAGGTATAGAAACAATACATGTAAAGAAATGGCATAGGTTCTAAAATTTGGTAAACACTCAAAAAACAGCAGCTGTCATTTCGTGGTTTTTGTTGCCATTATTATTGTCACAGAAGAGTATCTCACCCCAAATTCTGAAATTTCCCCTGATAAGGATATAACTAGCCATGGAAAATATCCAGTCAGGCTTATTTTAAAATAAAGCAAAACTGAGATTGCTTGTTTACTGTTGAATGATACCCAGTTGCCAGAGAGAATAGAAATTAAACCTATATCATCTACCCTTCCTCCTGCCTTCAGTACCTCCATCCAGCATAGCACAAAGAAAAATAAAGTCTTTATTATTTAGGCTTACATGCGAAGACATAACTGCCTACTCCACTGATAAAATCTCATAGAAAAGTAATTTTGAGGATAAAGCAAGAAAACAGTGGGCATATCTGGGAAACATGCTTTGGCCCTGGGGCTGCTCTTTATCTTCTCCCTAAAATGAAACCAAATGCCCTGATGCTCTCCAAAGAACACAATTAAGTAGAATTTTCTTATCACTTTCTATTTTCATGCTGGTTATGGTAGAAGCTCTTCCCTTTGTAACAGTGCCAAGGAAGGCAGAGTATTAGAAAATCTTCATCGTGTTCAACAATGTAAAACAGGTTGTGAAATGTATTTTTTTCCTCTACCAATCAAATTATTCTGTGCTTATCTTTTATAGAAAGGAAGAAAAATTAGGCTTCAGGTAATTATTTAGCTCACGATCACATTCCTCCTAAAGAGTTCCTTGGTAGTTAATTAAATAAGAAATAAGAAGCTTGTTTTCCAACATGATTCTGTCTTGTTTATTGGCTTGGCATGAATGAGGAGGTGAAGAACAGCTTATTTGCTTTATTCAAACAGAAGAATCATCAGCATGACTAAGGGTGAACAATAACATCAAGAAAAGTCATTATAACTTTCTTATTCCTAGAGGAGGTATCATACCCGCCTGTTACTTGGGATCATCAGAATGCAACAACATTTTGCAACAATGACAGTGAAATGTATCAGCATTAACATTTAAGACAATTCTCTCACTTTCTCTAACTCCTCCACTAGAGTTGGGAGAGAAGAAGAGGAAGAAGTCCAGGTGCTTGATCCAGCTACATTAGTAATAAGAATCTACACAGAACACCAGATAGAAGAATGCAGAGAGGAGCTCTGGAATCATGAAGATATATATGATCTGTGAAGATATTAAACGAATGAAAGGAATTTAAGAAGGAAAAAAATAAGAAATAGAAAAGAAATCAAGTACTTATTTCTTAAGTAGCCGAGACTGATTTAACTCCAAGGACATATTGTATGCAAATGGGACTGTGTCCCATCTAAACACACAGGTATCTAGGTTTCCTCTACATTGAAAGATGTGCTTCTTAATCTATAGCTGTCTTCCTGAACCGTTATTCATTGTTCACACTAGAATTTGCCTAACAAATCAAAAAGTCTCCGGCTACAGCAAAGCTCTCTGTCCGGGCCCTAATGGAAAATACATATAGTACTATTGGCAGCAACATTTTGAGTTGTACATCCTATCTTCTTTCCTCCTTGATGCCTTCTATGTTCCAGTTCATCAATCTGTTATTTAAAATGTAGTCCTGTGATTTCCCACCTCAGTATCATGGAAGGGGCTGGTTAAAAATCTAGATTCCTGTCCCTAATTCCCAGCCTGACTCAATGTCTTTACAAGAGGAATAAAGTGTCTCAGATACTCAACCTGTGAATTAATCTCTTTTAAATGACTTCTTAGAAGATAGTAGTTATTTAAGTAATTCAGAATCTTATCATTTAAAGCACTATACCTGGTGACATGAATATTGACTTTTGAAAAAGTGGGCCCAGTTCTGCCAAGAGGTCAATATTCAAGGATATTTAGGATTCTCAGCCTCAGAAAAGAGAGGTCCTGTTTTTCTGAGCCCAATAAATACAGATAGCTTCAAAAGACTGCCTCGTTACTACAGTTTTTGTTATGTATTTTGCACTAATCTTAAAAATGTAGATCCTCAGTTTTATTGTTGCTGTTACTCATTGTCCATGTGCTGGAAATTTGAACTTAAAATAGCCCTCAGCCTATGAAGTTGCCTACAGTTTCTTTGATACGATAAAATGGAGGGGTACTGTGGGTATCTATGCGGTTGCACACTATGCAATAAAATAATAGTAAAATTATTTTGAAAATAGAAAGTGGTTTTAAAAATTCCACTTAATTGTGTTATTTGGAAACATCAGGGCATTTGGTTTCGTTTTAAAGAGAAGACAGAAATACAAATGTAAGTGTATATTGCCATCATTTATAAAATATGGCCTCTATTCTCACGTCATCTGTATCCCTAACAAGTTCTAGCTGTTACTCTACTACCAGCACCAGATAAAACCATCCAAGTTGCCTAGCATTTTTATAAGTTAACTCCTTTGTAAATAATTTGTTTTTTAAAATAAAAACACCCATGGCTTCGCCTTCCAAAACATGTTGCTATGAATAATAAGGGCTAAAAATGTCATTATTATTATATTGATTAGGTATATAAAAATAACAGGAATATACTGAGCACCTAGTGGGCACCAGGTGGTGCACATGGCTGTGAGAGATTAAATGAGATAGAGGATGCCAAATATTCATTAACTTCATCATATTATATCATACCTTTTCATGAGTATTATTATTAGTTTGAGGAATGGCTAGAGTATAAGTGTGAAGCTTATCATTGCCTGTTAGTATTATAATAATAATAAATTCCACGAAGAGGAGGAAGAGGAGGAGGAGAATAAAGGGGAAATAAATATATTGGCTAGTATTTATTTAGCATGTACACTGTACCAGTCATTACACTAAGCTATGTGCATGGATTCTTTCCTTGTGCAGTTGGAGGATGAAGAAATGCCTGTGAGAAAGATGGCTGGCAAAACAGCTCTATGAGCTATGGAAGCTCTCACATGGGTTTGATCTCAGGGTTTATCCTAGACTGTTGAGAAACACTGAAGAATTTTAAACAGGAGAACGACATGTTCAGATTTGCATTTTAGAAAGGTCACTCTGGCAATGTGAGGAGTAGCTTGTACTAGAGAAAGACTGGAGAGTGGGAGACCGGTTAGAAGCATATGGCTCTGGTGATAGTTCATGTGAGAGGTGCGAAAGGTCTGAAAAGATGCCCGGATGGAAAGAGGGGGATGGATTCCAGGGAAGCCTCTGAGGGAACAGATTTAACCTGGGGTCTGATCAGAGGGCAGCAGTGGAATTTGGAATGAGAAAGAAAGAAGATATGTTTATAGCATATCAACCTCACTTCTAGTTTGCCATGTATTTAGGGATTAATAAAAATGTGCAGCTTGATATTATTATTCACACAATCATGTAAGTAAGAGTAAAACGTCTACGTTTCTCACCTAACAAATACCTCCACTCTTTCTTTCTCACGCGTGTGTGTATGTGTGTATGTATATGTATATATGTATATATATTTTTTTCTTGCTGGAGATATATATATATATATAAAATTCATGTGTGTGTATGTGTGTGTATATATATGTATATATGTGTGTATATATGTATATATGTGTATATATGTATATATGTGTATATATATACACACATACACACACATGCATTTTTTACATATATATATATATATTCAGCAAGAAAAATGTTTCCATTCTAAAGATAGAAGACTTCCATTTAGAAGTCTTAAAGACTTAAATGTGCAGAATATTCTATCAGACTATCCTCCCAGGGATATCTCGGTGGCATCTCTTTTTCTTCCATAAGAACATTTTCATAACAATGTTAAACCTGTAAGGGTATAAATATCCTTCCCACCCCTTTGCCATAACTGTATACATAGTAAACAACATTTGACATGCCCAGACAACAAATGTATTCTACTAATCTCTTTGCTTAAAAACATATTAATTCAAAGTCCTTCTTGCTTAGGTCCAGTTGAATTTTTGTTTGAAATTGAAATTCTCCCTAAGCTTTAAAACGGATGTCCTTGTCCTATCCAATCCAATGTGCTTCCAGTTATTGAACACCAGAGGGCATCATTCAGTGAAAGCTTGGATTTGGGAGGGAAGAGGGGAGAGAGGGGGGGCAGAGAGAGAGGGAGGGCATGGGGGAAGACAGAGAAAAAAAAGAGAGACAGAAGGAATTCCATTACTAATGAAAGAAAATGAGAAAACTGAGTTTTTAGTGTGTACCCTTATCTACCATGAAACATTACCATGGTAACAGCACCAGTTAAGATGATTGTATATTTAGGTCATAGTATAAAAGAAGGAGCTAGAACATGTGAAGAAAAAAAAAGAGAAATAAATAAAGTAAGACAAAGATATATAAAGAGTGGAAAGAGGCAAACCAACTGGAACCTACCTCATTCTTTGCTAATAGCAGTTTACAAAGTAACATTATACTTTTCAAAGCACATGTGGATAATAAATACTAATTAAAAGTAAATGGGGCCATTGAAATTCAGAATCTTAAGTGCCAACAATCTTATAGAAAAAGAGAACTCATTTAGCATGAAAAAATGGAGAGACAACTAGACTGGGATTGGGATGTGTGTGTTCTTATGCAGTTCTTGGTTAGCTGTGTCACCTTGAAAAAGTCTCTTGATCTGCTTCCTATCATGAACTCAGCTGAATGATATCAAAATTATCTTTTATTACTATGCATCAGACAAAAGAACTTCTGTTTAATAATGTCTTAGTATTGCTGAGAGGTGAAAATGGCATCTGCCAAAATTTTGGTGCCCTCGTTTACCTCTGCCAGAGGCAATCACTGACTAAACAAGACAAGCACGTGCCAACTAAGAGCCTACTCAGCACTGCCTCTTCTTTGCTTAAGGTTTGGAGGATCTAACAAAAACATGCAAAGTTGTATTAACAGATGGGGAGAACATCATTGAACTTCTGAATGCCATGGTTTTGTTTTCCCCAAACACAGGGAAAACAAGTGCCACAACTATTTATAGCGAACCGATTGACACACTATAAGAACTAAGACAGTGGAGTCCAACAAGCTTGTGTTTGAATCCAGGGGCTGCAACTTACTAGCTGTATGATCTCGGGTCATTACCAGACCCCTCTGAATGCTGATTTCTTCCTGTAGAAAATAACATCTACTACATAGGATTGTTGCAAAGATAAAATGAGAAAATTGATTGCTGTATTAACTCATTCAAAAGAGATTTAATATGTTTCTTAGGTATGCCTGGCTGTATTTTAAGCAGTGAGGCTAAAGCAACTGACAAAACAGAAAATATCATATGGGAAGATGCTTAGAATAATGCCAAGGACTTAGAATACACACAGCAAAAATACCTGCCTAAGGAAAGGTGACTTGCATCTCTTTCCCCACATACCACCTCCACCACATAGGCCAGGTGAGCTGTGGGATATGCAATCAGTATACTTATGCCATTTATCTTAAATGAGAGAAGTCCTGATGCCTGCTCAATGAACCAAAGGTGGACAGAGTGGGTACAGGAAGCAAAAGCCAGTTGTTAGTAGTCACAAGGTGGACATTGGTGGCTTTCGATACATAGGAGTCTCTTGGGAACTATGCCACGGAGAGTCCATGTCATAAAATCTCAAGCAAGTCAAATATAAGTTTAAATAAAGAAAACCAATTCTTCAAGAGAACTGTGTGGCAAAATGTTTCTGTCAGTCTCTGTCCTATTGAGTAAAGTGGGAAAAGTTTAAGACAGGATTGAGAATGGTGTCTGGGTGATCTTGTGAAGATAATAGAAAGGGTTCGCTCACATGCATATTCTAAACAAAGGCTGACATCAGTGATGGAGGTTGAATCCAGCACGATTATTGATATACCTACAGATTCTTGTCCTCATTTTTCTCTCTCCCATTCCGTCTTCATTTCCCTTTTGTTCTAATTTCTTCTCTTCTCCCTCTTTTGTACTTGTTTTAACTTTACTCATTGTTGTGGGTCAGAGAGACATAGGACTCCTAATTAGCCAGCCTAACTTCCATTGAAGACAGTGTCATTCATGCTTTTTGTGCCTTCCCTACCTGCCAGCAGTCTGGGACTGTTTTCTTTGGATCTCTGAAACCACCCATTCCTATTGGCCCTGGGGAATGGCTGCTCTGGAATTGGAATTGGAAAATTGTCCAGTAAAGACACATCTGGATGCTTGACTATCTGGACTTTCTGGGCAATGAAGGCGATAGGGTCAAATTTAGAGCAATATGTGTTTTTGTTTGTTTGTTTTTTAACATGAAGACAACAGTCTCAGCCTCCCAAAATTGAAGGACCATGGGAACTCACTCCAAAGGGACTTTTACCAGTATTTCACCTGCTAGTTCTTTCCACATCTGACTCTGAAGTTAGTTGAGAGCTGAAAACATGCTCTTTGGGTTCCCTTTTACTGGAACTATGACAGTATTCAAATCCACCTATTTGCTCACTCCAATTTGCCTCCAGGCACCCTCAAGCACCCTTCTACAAACAAACATGCCTCTTTATTTTATAGGAAAATGAAGCATCTTTCAGACAGTCTAGCCCTGGGAATTTGGAGTCCCAAAACTTTCCCCCATTCCCACCCCACCTCATTCACAGAGCTTTATTTTAAAATGGTAAACAGATTTGGCTGGAGTTCTCACCTCTTTTTAGGGTCAGGTTAAATTTTTTAAGTTTTAATTGGCATTATTGTCTAGCCCAGGAAAGCAAATAGAGTCAATAGGAAGTTGCTTATCCATTGTATTGCTGCAACTGGAACACATTTTGATAATAGTAGTAACAATAATAATTCACCTGGCATTAATTTGTTACTTCTGAGTCCTCAGCTGCCAAGCCTGCAAAGCTGGGACATTGTTGGCACAAAATTCTTCCATTCGTTTGACAAGTCTCAAAAGTCCACTTTCTGAACTGCAGCCGAATACAGTTCCCAGCTTAAAATTGTCTCTTGGCCAAGTCAATTGTTCTTACTCCTGTGATCATCAGTGCCTTTATTATTAGCTCCCCAACAATGGCACAGGTATGCCTGTTTGTGGCTTCTGTTTAAAAATACCATCATCTCTTTTTTTCTTATCAATGAAAATGCATATATTTCCTATCATATGGTTGCGCATATTTACCGATTGCTCACAAAGTGCAATGCGCGGCCTTTGCCGCACAATCCCGAGTTCCTTACTCTGGAGTTTATTAAAAGCTTCATTTTGAGAGCCCTCTCATTGGGAGACGCCAGGATTGCCAGAAGCGAACAGAAGCGCTGGCGCATCCCAGCACCAGGCATCGAACTTCCCTGGGCAGCATGGAGAAAAGCTGCCGCCCGCGGGTGGGCTCCTGGCGGGGACGCCCAGCGGCGGGGCGGGGCGAGACGCGGGCGGCCTGCAGCGCTGCAGCCGCAGGAGCCCTCAGGGCTCCGCACAGCCCGGCCCGTTTTCCCCAGAGACTCCCTCCCCTCATGCCTAACCCCAATTCCAGTTTTCCTCAGGCCTTTCGGGTTGCCCCAGGGTTTCTCTCTGGAGTCTAGGCTGACTTCCCCTCTCCACCCGCAGAGCCCTGCGTGGGCCATGGCCATGACCCTGGCGGTGGCTGCAGGCGTCCCGGGCTGTGGAGCAGGGGCTGCGCGCCGGACCGCTGGAGGGTGTGTGGCACAGCGTGGGGACTGGTCGCTGTGTGCTTGTGTCGCTGGCTGCGTGTACTAGGGGATGGGCAAATCACACGGCTGCCGCATACCCACTGCCACCCAGCGCTAAGAAAAGAGCAGGAAAAGCAAAACAAACAAAAAAGAAAAGAAGACAGGGAAATAGAAAGTCGATGTGGGGGATTCCGGAGCTTGAGGAGTGGGAGGCGCCGCGCTCTTCTTGGCTCGCGGCGCCTGGGCTGGCAGACTTGGAGCCCTGGGTGGCCGCAGTCACAGACGTGCTGTGGCGGTGAACTGACTTAAAGACGCGGGAGGGCGGCCTGGGTGAAATGTCCACCGACAGTTCTGCTGGCTTTACGCGTTTACCTCCAATTCTCTGTTCTCCTCCAGCCTCTCTGCCCCTGGCGAACCTCCCTGCTGGTATTTCCGTACATGCAAGAGCCTTGGCATCATCGCCAGGGACTGGCGGGTCGGTGGACTCAGCCTGGGACAATTCTGTATCTCAGGGCAGCCTCGAGGACGGCAATGGGCAGGAAGATAGAGAAAGGGATGCGGATGCTGGAGGCGGACGGAGGCAAAGGGTGTGCCGCCGTGTGTGTCAATAATTCTGGGGAATTTTCACCTCTCCCAGATGAGTCTCTACTTACCCCGTGAGGGGCCCCAGGGGCGCCGGGCAGCGCGCACAGGTGGAATTTCTGCGCGTCTACCGGCACCAGGCATGGACCGCACCTGTCCGTGTCCGAGAGCTACAAGTTAGCGGCGATTGCCTGGGACCTCAGGTGCGGACTCCAAGGGACATTGCGGGCGGGGAGGGGTGCAGCGGTCCCCAGTCTACGACCCCGGGGACTGCCCGGGCGGTTCAGGACCCATTGTGAGTTAGGTGGCGAAGCCCAGGCACTGTCTGGTACCTCATGAGCTTCGGGCTGAGACCTTGTCCCCCAGCCACGGCGGACAGTCCAGCTCCTGCGCGGGGCTCAAATAGGATGGGATTGCAGAATGCTTCCCTCTCCTTTGTCTTGGGACCCTTTCCCCCATTCTAATTGCTTCTCCTCCTTGGCCATGACCTGGAGACCGCAATGGGAAACCTCTCCAGCGCCCAAGGGCTGCTCCGAAAGCGGAGCCGGGGGACAGCTCGGAGCCCGAGCGAGCCGGGCCTCCATCCCACACGCACAGAAGACGCGGTCAGACCCCAGCAGGAAGGAACCCGAGGGGCGGGAGGGACGAAGCTCTCCTTGTCTTGTCCATGGCTGCATCTGGAGTGGGTGGCGGGAGGGGGGTCAGCAACAGTAGAGGGAATGGGGGGCTGGAATAGGGAGCGACGCCGGGACAGCGCAGCTCCCAGGCTGCTTTCGCCACATTCGGCTGGACTCAGTGACCGTCGGAATCGTAGGGGTACCTCGCCTCGCGCTGTGCCTCGTTTGCCCCTTCCTTTCAGACCCGCCATCACTGCTCGCAACCCTCCAAGCCCCAGGATCCAAAGTTTCCGTTTGAGAATCTGCACGTGGGGAGGACCTCCCTCCAATTCCCCCAAGCCCCGACCCCTGAGCCTCCGGCTTGGGGGGATATGAAGGGAGAGACCCCCTGGTGCCAGGGCCCTTGGAGTGGGTAAGCGGAGAGCTGCACAGCGCGGGGCCCTTACCTGTCGCTGGTTTCGCTCCAGTTGCCTCCCCGGCTGCGAGGTGGTGGAGGCTTGAAGGAGCGAGGAGTCCTTTGTGGGTTCAGGGCCGATCCGCTCGGGCTGGAGCTGCGCACCGCTTAGAGTCCGAGGCCAGCTGCCGGTTCTCTTTCTCCCTTGATCTTGCAAAAGAAAAGGAAAAGATTAGTTGATGCCGAGACACTGTAGGGGTGGGGCGGGAGAGGCGGGAGAGGCGGGAGAGAACCGACCCCAAGGCTCTGGCGAGAGCTGCGGGGCTGGCGCGCGCGCAGGCAGAGTCACGCACCCCACACTCGTCTCAGCCACTTGGCTAGTCTGTGACCTGTTCGTGGTTTAGACTGGAGTTAAATTGACGCTGCCCCCGCCCTCCACGCCAAACCACTAAAGGAGAAGCAAACAAGACTTTCAAACCTGGCTTTCACGAAGAGCCTGGAGACCAAAATAGAATGGAGACCTGGATGCCTCGGCGAGCTGGGCTGGATTCATTTCTTCACCAAAGTGCTTGGGGAAGTAGGAATTAGTTTTGGGAGGCAACACCTATTCGGGTACCTCGGCGATTTCCTGGTGAAATCTGCGATTTCCAGGCTCTGGCCAACCCGCAGCCTGGAGTGTGTGAGTGTGTGTGTGTCTGTGTGTGTGTGTGTGTGTGTGTGTGTGCCCGCGCGCGCTCCCTAGGTCTTTGCGCCCTGGCGCCTTTAGTACAGCAGGAGAGCGTGTCTGTATTCGTGCGTGTGTGTTCGATTAGCTGCAATGGGCGGACAATTTCTGGAGAGAACATTTACAATTTTCTTTCAGTATGACAGGATTAGTTGCTGTTGAAGGCGCTCCTCCAATGAAATCTTCTGTGCTCTCTGATTTGGCGGTTCTTCTGAGCAAATATGACAGCCGTTTCTCCAGGCTCTTTTTCGCTTCTCTCCATTTCCATCCCCAGAGCCCAGCTCTCCATCTGCAATTTCTACATCAGAACCACCCCCAACCCCGAGTCCCTTCCCTGCAAGTGTGTGAGTGCTACAAAGGTGACATGGCATATTGGGAAGAACGCAGTATTGCTTTTTGTTTGTCGGAGATACTTAAGCCCAGTTTTTCCAGGTGGGAAAATGTTAGACTAAATCCACTATGCTTTGTAAATATATAATTGTGCTGAACTATTCACAGATTGTTTATTTCTTTGGAGCTTTGACAAATGTATCCGAAGGAGAAGTAATTTTTTTCTCTTACTTTAAATATGAGCCAGTGACCATGTTTTCTTCAGCTAATGGGCAGTAGACTACAGAATATATCTATATCTATATCTGTATCTATATCTATATTCAGAATATGTGTATATCCAGAATATATATATCTAGAATATATATATATATGTCCAGGATATATATATCCAGAATATATAGATATATATATCCAGAATATATATATATATATCCAGAATATATATATATATATCCAGAATATATATATATATCCAGAATATATATATATCCAGAATATATATATATATATATGTCCAGGATATATATATCCAGAATATATATATATATATATATATATATATATATATGTCCAGGATATATATATCCAGAATATATATATATATATCCAGAATATATATATATATATATGTCCAGGATATATATATCCAGAATATATATATATATGTCCAGGATATATATATCCAGAATATATATATGTCCAGAATATATATATATCCAGAAAATATATATATATCCAGAAAATATATATATATATCTCAAAAATATATATATATATATCTCTCTCAAAAAAAAAAATATATATATATATATATATCTCCAGAATATATATATGTTTGATGCTTCAGGGAATTTGTGATCTCCATGAAAAAAGATTTAGGATGCAAACTTTCTGTGTTCAGACCTGCCTTTGATGTTTATTTCTTTATTTTAATGAGAAATTTCTGCCAATAATTGTATCTATTATTTTTAGATACTAACCTCATTTGATAAAAGTACAATGATAGGATTCTAAAGTGTAGCTTAGGCCAAAACTTGCTTTTGTAAAAGCATATGTGTATGTGAATATAACATCAATATATTATATATTACATAGGCTTTATTTTCTCTCATCCAACTTCAATCAAATAAAGAGCAAGAAGTGGAAACCTTAAATTGAATAGCCCAGAATTGGACACATCACTTTTTGGGTCACAGGGATAGACAAAGAGCAAGTTAAAGATACATTGATATAATATAATATAGTCAATTAAATTCAGTTCAGTTCTTGACGTCCAGGGTTTTGCTAGGTATTAAAGGCCATCCACAAGAGCAAAAACCACTGTCCCTGTGTTTTTATAAGCTTCTATTCCTATTGACAAGAAAAGACACTTCATTTGAAACATCTATGTAACAGTTGACAATCCAATGATTAATTTTATAGCAATGTAAATTTATTGATAAATGGAAATGCTGTAGCTGAAAGTTTCTGCCCTTTTTGTTAACTCATAGCTATCACCAAGCAGGACTTGACACAAAGTTGATTTTGCTTGATTGAAGTCATCCTAAAATGCAGCATTACAATACTGTGTCTCTGCCTTCAACCTCCATACTTACATCCCACCATCACTGGGTGATTATAAGATACCTGTGAGAAAATCAAAACAGCCCTGCTAAGTCTTGTTCTCAGCCTCTCCCAGCATTTGTTCCACTACATTAAATATCTGATTTTGTCATCTCTCCTCTCTTAGACACTCTTTTCAGAATGAATTCACATTTTCCTTTTTTACTCCATTATTTCTGTCTACTGAGCCTCCATAAACCCATGAAGCTGCTTGAGTCTTTTGGAACACACACACAGACACACACCCATCAAAGCAAAAAAGTGAGGAGAAATAGATCCCTGGCCAGCAATAGACAGGAAAACCCAGTGATTTGTTACTTTTTTGTTCCTTTACATCATTAAGAACACTAAGCCCCCTTTTACTAATAAAGCTGCACATTCCAAAATGAGCAACCAAATAAATAACCAATGAAGGCAAACGAATATTTTTCTTAAACCTCAATAAAACAGAGTCTATGTGTGACTGAAGTGCTATGTTTAATAGAAGTCAGTATACTTAAGGCCTTTTGGAGAGGAGTTGCACAGGGAAGCATCATTTTTAGCCAACGGTCATCAATTATGTCCATTTTCTTTTTCTAGGTCATCACTTAGAACACATCTTTATATAGACTTGTAACTCTGCCATTCACTGTGATTTTAGGGAAGTTGTTTAACTTTTCTTTGCCTCAGCTTCTTAAACCATAAAATGGGTATAGCATACATGTCGGGGTTGGTAGGAGGGATAATGGAAGTAATTCATGTGAAATTCTTAAAAGAGCATGTGACACATAGCAAATTGCTATAAATATAACATTGTCGGTCAAGACTGAAAAATACAGTTTCTTGGGTCACACCTGTGACCTCTGAAACAGAGTATTAAGGAGTGATTCTTGACAATGCAAACCATAATGCTCATCACCATCATATAATTAACAAGATAAACATAATCCATCAGCATTCTGACCCCAGGGAACTTAATTCTTTTCTTCTTCTAGTTGCTGTTTCCATACAAGAAATGATCATGTGTATTCTGAGTGTTTTATTTTAATCTCTTAAGCCAGTTCGTTTTCTGAGGAAAAAAAAAAGAATACTCCCCACCCAAGGAATATAGCATTTATATGATTAGTAACTCTTGGTGTGGAACATTTTCGTTTGTCTGTTTTTCGTGAGATGGAGTCTCACTCCGTCGCCCAGGCTGGAGTGCAGTAGCATGATCTTGGGCTCACTGCAACCTCTGACTCCCAGGTTCAAGCAGTTCTACTGCCTCAGCCTCCCAAGTAGCTGGGATTACAGGCACCTGCCACTGCGCCCAGCTATTTTTGTATTTTTTGTAGATACGGCGTTTCACCGTGTTGGCCAGGCTGGTCTCGAATTCCTGACCTCAAGTGATCAGACTGCCTCGGCCTCCGAAAGTGCTGGGATTACAGGCGTGAGCCACCGTGCCGGCTGGTGTGGAACATTTTCAAAACTGCTTTTTAAATACTTTGTAAAATGCATCTATGAGATTTTTTTTTTAATCTACATTCCTCTTTTCCACCTCAAGGAACTCTAATAAATTAGTAATTTCTACTTATTAAGCCAAACTTCATTACATATAACCTTCAGACACACACTGAAGAGCTCTCAATGCCTGTGAAGGGTGACTTTGAATCTTTGACAAAGCTTTCGTTTGAATAAGATTATAAATAAGGTCACCACTAACATGAGAAGAAGGGGAAGCACAGGTCTCATTCCTGGGAGTGTGGCGCATATTTAACATGCCACATTGATTTCACTGCAGCAATAATTAGGCTTCAATAATTAGATGCACAAATCAGCACTCTATCATCATAAGTGGATTAAGAGGGTGACAAGTTCAACTCCAGTGATTTCCCACCAGGTATGGCAGTCATAACATTTTTAAAATTTTTTTTCTATTTTCAAGGAACCAAGAAAATGAAGTTGAGGGCTTTGCCTATATTGGGAAAATGAGCCAAGAGCAGATCTTGCCTTGTCCTTCATCTTCTACTCACACAGACTGTTTAAGAGTTAAATCAGGGAAGCACCGTATTTATCAGCAGGAGCTTTGGAAAAGGTGGGCTGATTTATCTGATGGATGCCAAAGAAACCTTTCTTTTCCTTGACCTCAGTTTGAAATATAACAATCCTGGGTTAAAAGTAGATCTCCGCTAAATGACAATCACTACTTACAATGGGTTCTTCAATTGTCTCTTACTGTTTTGAAATCTTAATAATGGTTTCATAATACACACATTATTCTTCCTAGAATTATTTATTTTTTCCTACAGACCTTCCCAGAGAGTAATTTAAAAGCTTCTATTCTTTAGCTTAAAAAGATGATCTGTTTTTATTCTAGAAAATCCTGAGCTTTTCTTTTTCAGACCCTGCAATTGAAGTTTTCATATACAAATAGGACTGATTCTGAGGGATAATGTTTAGTGACAGTGTGACAAACAATGCTTTGTTATTTTTTTTCTTTTCCACGAAGTTTGGCATCACAGATGTTTTCAACTCTTTTCTCTCATAGCAGCGATAGTGTTACCCAATGCCTGAAAACATTTACTGCTGCTGAGTATAAAATATTTAAAATACAGGGCTCTTTTGCAGACAGGGACTATGAAGAAGGGAGAAAAAGCAGAGATGGGAGGGGAAGTGCACCACCCTGCAAAATGCTAAACAGCTGCAATGGTGATAAATCAGTGTTAAGAATACAGAAGGAAAAGGTCACATGGGATGCTTGTCTCCTTAGAGAAGCATTTAGTGTATGTGTGTTCCTCCTACCAGGAGGTAAGCTGAGCGCTGCTTCAGAAGCGAACCTCTAAGACAGGGTGAACTTGAAAGTTTCAACAACTACCTCAGTGTATATTTTCACAAACAGCCTACATTTCCCCTTTTTACAGGCAAAGTTAAATGCTGGAATCTCAGATGAAGATAAGATTCTAGCAAATTCAAAGTGAAAGTCTTATGATACTCTTCTATATGCATGAGGTCTCAGATTATTTGAATCAGTAATCTTTGTGCAGGAAAGAGTCATCTAGGAATACTTAAAATCTTTTGAGTCTGTAGAGAAACCTGTGCTTACTCATGGGAATTCACATAATTGCTCAGATCATACAACATACCAATTTCTTAAGCCAACTAAAGGGAAAAGCTAGAAATGCTAACACATTCTAAAGAAATAAATCCTGGGTGCCATCACAACATTGGACCACTTCCTGATTAAATTTGACCTACCTCTATTTCTTGAGAGTGACTGGAATAATTGTGATGCAAAAGCTGCACGTTGCTAAGTAAGACTTAACTGAGTGTGTCTGATACTGTAATATCACTTCATATAGATCTTTTCACTTTAAAAACACACTCCCCTAGCAGTGTGTCCAAGGCAGCATACTCTAAACCATTCCGTGATTTACTGTGCCTAAGACAAATCCTGTCTTTTCATTATTTAACCAGCAAAGTGATGGCGTGTTAGGCTTAAGGACCTCATTTACAAAATCTCATGGGCAATATTTCATAAATCCCTGCAGAAAGGAATGAGGCAAGGCCCTAGGCATAGTTATTGTGTGTGTTCCATTCCTACAAGGCTTTTATTGGCAAGTGTTTTTCTAGAAATTGAATTGGTTTTGAAAGCATGCCCAATAAGCATGTATTATTTGCAATCATTGAATGTCTTCAATAACAAGCACTCTAAATCTACCTTGAGAGGTCCAGAGGTGGCACAAGGTACTCCCCTTTTATTATGCCAGAATATGGAGTAGACAGTTTCTCTCACTTGATAGCAAATCCTGGACAAATTTCTTTCTTAAGCAAGTCTCACATAAACAAAATGCCTGTGCTTTGCTTTCCTTCTACTATATTGTAAGTTTCAGTGGGTCCTCGTGAGAATGCCAGATTGCATCTCTGAGAATTATGTTTCTCAGCAGCCCACCACAGACCAGACTTGAAGCATCAGGATTTGTCCAGCAAATATTTATATATCATTCAATATTCTCTTAGATATTAGGATTAAGTCTGCAAAAACAAGGAAGCTTTCCTGCCCTCTGGAAGCTAAGTTGGAGAGAACAAACAAAAATATATATATATTATTATTATTAGGCACCTCCAATAAAATCTGTGCTGTCATAACCCATGGGGGATTCAGTAAAGAGCCTTGACTCTTCATTAGGGAACTAATTCCAGAGGTAGATTATAGCTGAGTTACACTCTACCTAGAATTTGGAAGCTATGCTAAGTTAAATCTGTGGGTAAAATACTCTGGATGATGAAGCAATACATACAATATTTAAGGCAATCACCAGGAAATTACTGCTAAAACTGAAGACATCTATTAATGACCAACTAGCAAAACCTTGGGCCCATGCTTTATAATATCCAGAGTGGGAAAAAGTATCCAAAAATTATTGAATATTATGTCTCATTTCTGAAGTTAATTAATGGAGAAGCCTAAGAAGGGCAATAACACTCCCACACACTCTTTGTCCAGAGTGCTATGTTCTAGGATGTACTTCCAATCGCCTAGTTTCTCTGTAGCTATTTATTTATTTATTTTTTCTTTTTACTTTTGTGTTTTGGAAGCAATTAAGCTGACTGCAAACTTACTTAGCAATGTGTGTCTCTGGCACATGGTCACTTCTGTAATTTCTTGAGAAGAAAACTCTTGGCTGTGGCTGTTACAGCTTATTCTAATTACATAATGGCATTGGGATAGGGATAATGTAACTAAGAACTGGAATGCAGTTGCTGTTCACAGCATTGACTGAAAGGAATAAAAACCCGTTTTGAGCTGTAGTATATACCTTCAGCTTGCAGAATAACAGTAGGCTTATCTCTGGGAATGTTCTCTCGGGTTTCTTTGCAGCATGCCCCAGAGCTGGTCCATAGTGATAAGTGAGAGAATGGGAAATGGGCAGGGATGCAAACTTTCAAGGTGAAAGTGGAAAAATAAGCCACCCAGTTTCTAAGAAGAGCTGTGCTGCATAGAAAGCCTCTGTGCTATTATCTCTAAATTAGGGTCACCTGTGCAATACTAGGAGCGGTGAAGAAGATGGACAAATGGTAAGGTATAAATGATAGAATTGCTTTTAGGGCCAAAACTTTGGATAGATGGGATCATCTATCAAATAAAGAAAAGGAAACACCAGTGATTCCTTCATCTGTGGGGTAAGGATATACCTATATTATTTTCTGGTGTCATTTGAGGGAACAAGATTAACTCTTGCCTAAAACTTTCCTTATCTCCAGATACATATTGCCTTATATTGTTCTAAGTAGATTCTCTCATCAGCTCCTGGTATGAAATATCATATCAAGGTACCCCTTGTCTTTATACAACTTTCAATGAAGAAAGATGAAAATTCTACTCTAAAGCAAAGATTCCTGTTCTGCCTGAAGTCAAGTGCAGAGCTCCAGCAGTTGCTTAATTCCGGCTTCCAAAGCCAAGAGCAGTGGTATCTGTAACTATAAAAACTAGCTTCTCAAGCTCAAGACCATGACTGTGTTCCGATAACGAGATGAGATAGACTGACTCCCTATAATTCTGTGCATTTATAGAAGAAACTCTGATTTTTCTTCTTGACCACCTAATTCAGAACCATTTTCTCATTCTAAGCCTTTTTGTCTTTAAATATTCTTTTTGGCTCAATTGCTACTATGTTCTTATGCATCCCAACTACCAGCTGGAGATTTACCAAATAATCTTGACCTCAACTCTATGTACTAGTGTTTCTGTGTAAGTTTAGACCTAGACTCCTCCTTCTTAAATTAAAAAAATAATAATTCTGATCTGCACTGTGATCCCATTGTTTTTAAACCTGATAATACTTCTTATAAATTGGGGTGTGGCCAATGCAGCAGGCGTGCAAGCATAGTGGACCTTTCCCCCGATGGCTGAGTCAGTTTTAAGTATATTCAATTTCAACTCTAGTTTGATGTGGTTACTTGCTTACAACTTGTTATAACAGTTATAGGGAACATTTCTTAGTATATCACTAGATGAATATGATGATGATTCTCATGGAAGATTTTTTCAAACTTAAATTATGAGTTGTCTTTGTCATTGGGCTTATTATTTTTGGCCAGAATACTAATATACATATTAACGTAAATACAATGTTTATACATAATTAAAAATAACCCCATAACATTAAAAGCATTTTGTACTATGACTGCTTAGTGATGATAACTTTCCTGGAAAGTGAGAGTTAGTTGGTAAAATTTTTTTTTTTTTTTTTTTTTTTGAGACAGACTCTTGCTTTTTCGCCCAGGCTGGAGTGCAATGCCGTGATCTCGGCTCACTGCAACCTCTGCCTCTTGGGTTCAAATGACTCTCCTGCCTCAGCCTCCCGAGTAGCTGGAATTACAGGTGCCTGCCACCACACCTGGCTAATTTTTGTATTTTTAGTAGAGACGGAGTTTCACCACTTTGGCCAGGCTGGTCTTGAACTCCTGACCTCAGGTGACCACCCACCATGGCCTCCCAAGGTAAATTTTCTTATTGTATTCTCTCTTCTGTACAGAATTTCCGATTGCTATTTTTGTTTCTAATCTTGATCTATCTTTCCTGCAAGTAATTTAGGAACTAAGCATAAAGCATTGGATTAAAAGACTAATAAAGATGGTAAAATAAAAGTAAATTTTAAAAATGATTGCATCACTTAGTGAAATTAGAAGTCCTAATGGAGTCAACACTCATGATCTAAAAAAAAAAAAAAAAAAAAAAAAAAGACTAAGAATGAGATTCCTATGCTCACCCCAAAGTACATCGATGGAAGCATGGGAAACCAAGATAAGAGCTGTCAGGAAAAGGAAATGAGACACTGCTGTTTTGTAACTCCTTCACTAAACTACCAGAAACTACAGCATGGCTCTCATACTAAGCTGAAAGTTCTCAGCTCCTCATATGCAGCTTATAAACCTGTTCTATTTAGCTTTTAAGGAAACTAAGTATTGAAAACAAAAATAGTTCTGACAAGGCTTCTATTTCTTTCTTTTTGCTTGCTTTCTCCCTTGTGTGGTGACAGTTCTCTCTGTGAGCCTCTTTAGAAACCTGATGGCACACACAAAAAGAATTTACTCGAAATAGTCTGGGGGTGTTGTGATGGAGTGGAGGGAATCGAAATGTATAGCAGTCTAGTTGCTAAGGATAAAGGTCAGAGTCTAATACCCAAAACCGGCGTGTCACAGTGCCTCTCAAAATGAATCTGTGGCAAACCATAAAAATTAATCTAAATGCTTTATTACAAATATAAATAGCACTGTCTGTGCCTGTTTTACAAAGCACAGAAGTGCAAGGGGGACAGCATTTTTAAAGCATTTCTATGTGACTGTGTATAAACATGCAGAGTGTTTGTTTAGCTTTCAGTTATCCCTGAAGAATAAAAGCTACTCTCTAGTACAAATAAAACTTCAAAATACAATTTGAAACCACATAAATTTGAAGGTGAATGGTTACTTAGGGGCAAATCTTAAGTCTGTGTTCACCTTTTCCTAAGTCTATACCATCATCACAAATGTTTATATTTTTCCTCCGTATTGACCATCTTGACTCATTTAAAAATAACTCCCGAAATATTTGTTCATTTAAGTGCGCAATTCTGCGTAATGAGATCAGCAAATGGTGAACTTCAGCTTCTTACAAAAAGAATGTACTTTGTACACATTACACAGTATTGCCCTATTACAATGGAATGAACTGGGTGAATATGCACCTGGTCACATCTGAAAACAATTTCTTAAATTAGGTCACCTGGAGCATCAAAATACCCCTTGCATCACATACTTACAGGAATGTCATTTGGCCAACATCAAGCAATAAACTTATTTAATATTTTCAGATTACCCTGGTAATGTAAATTTATCACCTCAAGCTTTATGAATTAAAAAAAAGTTAACCACGTGATAGATTTTTCTAATTGTATTACAATATGGCCTGTCTTCCCAAATGGAATGCAATAGTGAAGTCAAGTAGAAAGTGCCTGTATCCTCATGTCAATTATTCTATATTATATGACCTTGACTAAGTAATTTAACCCATCCATGCCTCACTTTATTTATCCATAAAAAGATATTGCATCCATCCTGATTCCAAGATTATTTAAAAATAGTTTAATATCCCAAGATTTATTATTATATATATCTTTATATATGTGTATATATATCTTTATATATATGTGTATATATATACATCTTTATACATATGTGTGTATATACATATATATATACACACACACACATAAGCCACTTGTTCATCAGGTTTTGATTAATTTTATGATAACTTTTGTAATCTGAAATGTTTATATTTACTGAGTTTGATAGGCAAATAATGTCCCCTTCCCCAAGATGTCCACATTTAAATCTTTAGAAACTATGAATGTGTTACTGTATATGGCAAGAAAATAATTTACATGAAAAATAGACATAAGGCTGCAAATCAGCTAACCTTAAGATAGACAGATTATCTTGTCTTAGTCAGGTAGGCCCAATGTAATCAGAAGTGACGATAAAAGTGGGTGACCAAGGCAGAAGACTCTGTATCAGAGTGAGGGGATATGAGAATAATATGACCGGCCATTGCTGGCTTTGCAGATTGAAGGAGCCATGAGCTAAATAATGCATGCAGCTTCTAAAAGCTGGAAAATATCACAAAACTGATTTTCTCCTAGAGCCTCCAGAATGAATGCAGGCCTACTGGCACAGATTTTGGCCCAGTGAGATCTGTGTGAAACTTCTGAACTATAAGATAAGATAATAATTGTGGATTTTTAAGCAAACAGCATTATGGTGGCCACAGCCATAGGAAACAAATATACGAAGTTTCTCCCATGATCATAGAAAATAATTTAGGTACTGTATGCTATTTATCCAAATTTCCACGTGGGTACCTTATGTTAGTGATAATATAATTGTGCCAAGTATTTTCCCAAATGTCTCAGTCAAGTATAGTTGTTACACTAACCATCCTAGGATGGGGCAGGAGGAATGCAAAAGTTTTGAGGAAGCAGTTTATTGATACTAAAAATTCAGCACTTGGGACAGTTCAGCCATTATTTCTAGTTTTGAGTCAGTACCTTGGAGAGTGGACAGGACACATTCTTTCATAGATTATCAGAATAGACCTAGATGGTCACTTATTCTGTGGACTAAACTTCTGCCAAGATCACCGAGATGTGGGGAGTGATTATGCTGATTGTAACCTGAGAAAAAAATATGAAGTTGCCTCCACTTTAAAGTAGTTCTTGCCGCAAAATCAAGTCCCTTCATCTGAGCTTTGCCAAACCCAGCTGGAGCCAAAATGTTAGATGATTTTTGACCCAATGCTGCACTTCACATGCAGGTTCTGTGAAATTTCCAAGTTGGAGTTGCCTTTTCTGTGTCTCCGCATGTGCTGGTCTCAGTCCCTGCCTTTGCTTATAATCTATCTTTACTGTTGAGTAAGGATCTTGACTTAGAATAAAGCAAACTGAGCTCACTACTAGAAGGGTTGGATAGATGAAGGTATGAGCCAAAATAGGCCATCACGATTTATTCACTCATTCACTTAGTAAACAATATTGATTTACTGCTTTACAGATACCATGTATGATTCTACATGCTAGAGATAAAGGCTGACTAAGACAAAGTCTTGCTTACATAGGCCTCTTGTGGGCAGAGGCAGAAGGTGAATAACATCAAAAATATATAATGTAATATGATGTAATAATGTCAAAAAATAATATTTACTATAAAATGTAAAAGTAAATAAAGAAACTATTCTAAGTTGTTACATATTATGCTTTTTTTCCAAATATTCATAGTTCTCCCTCTTTGCAGGTACAAGGTAAGATTGCAGATTGCAGTTGTGGTGAGATAGGGCCATGTGAATAGTTTTCCTTGTGAGATGTGAGTGGCACGTTGATGTGACTCCAAGTTGAGCATCTAATTACCAGCATGAGAGCTTCTCAAGCTCTCTTTTCTCTTCCGTACAGCAACAGCAATATTTAAGATGGTAGCTTGAATCCCTGAATTATTCCTGCAACCACCATGGAAACAACATAGTGGAAATGTGAATAAAACTTTGTTGTTTTCTGACACAGGTATTTGCTTTTCCTATCACAGAATAATGTATTCTATTCTGACTTATAATCAAGGGAGGTATGATACTAGGATCTGAAATTGTAGCAGAGACCTGAGTGATGGTAATAAGTGAGTGATGCTAAATTCCTGGGGGAAAATATTTCAGGCAGAAGAAAAGCGATAGTGTAAAAAATTACAGATAGGTTTAATACAGATCCCAAGAAGGTGATGCACCACCCTGAACCAAATGCAGACATGGATCCTAGCTCTAAAAAATGCCTGGTGCTTTCCTTGCCCTATTTATTGTCTAATCATATCCATTTCTTTATATGTTAATATTGCTTTTGAAAAACATGGCAGACATTGCAACCAGTATTAAAATTTTTATAAACCCAACTCTAGACTTCCAGCTAAGGATCTAACTTATTTCTTACCTATAAAATTATTCTATTCACGTTTTTGCCACTCTCTTTACACCCTAACCAAAATTATTCTTATAATTTTCATTGTAACCCTGGGGACAATGCTTAGGAGCCCAGGTAGTCTGTGAATCACTGCAATCTCAGTATTTTCATTTATTCCTTTAGCAACTATAATATCCTTGATTCTAAACAAAACACTTCGGATAAAATAGTAAACAAAGATAGAACGTACAGTATAGTGGAGGAGACAAATATTCAGCCAATAATCACACAAATTCAAAGGAAAATTACAACTACAAAAATATAATGGAAGGAAGTCACATTGTTTTGAGTATACAGTAGGGAGATTTGAGTCTCCTCTGTAAGAGAAGGCTTGCCTGGGGAAGTGAAGCCTAAATTAACATCTCAAAGATGAGAAGGAATTAATCAGGTGAAGACTGGAAAGAAATGTTTGCTACAAAAAGGGAACAGCAGGTCAAGTGTTCTGTGGCAGTAGGAGGATGGAAAGTAGAAAAAAACTATGAAGGACCCAGAAAGACGAAGGAAGAAGATTTGTGGGATATTTTTCATGAAAAGGAATGGGTCAGGCAGGTATGGAAGAGGGAGGCCATGCAAAGTTCTCTAGCCATGTTTAGAAATACTATCTTTTTATTGAAATTGGTGGGAACCTATAGGAGGGTTTACACGGGCATGGGAATGAATAACTATAATCAAATGAGTTTCAAAAAAATGTTCTGACTACAGCAGGGAAATTGGGTTGGAGGAAGGCAAGAGCAAATATAAATAGATCAACATGTAGATTCGATAAAGAAAATGTGGTACATATACAGCATGGAATACTATGCAGTTATAAAAAGGAGTGAGATCATGTTCTTTGCAGGGACATGGATGAAGCTGGAAGCCATCATCCTCAGCAAATTAACACATGAACCGAAAACCAAACACTGCATGTTCTCTCATAAGTGGGAGTCGAACAACGAAAATACATGGACACAGGGTGGGGAACAACACATACCGGGGCCTGTTGGGGGTGGGGGTGAGAAGAGGGAGAGCATTAGGACACAGAGCTAACGTATGCGGGGCTTAAAACCATGATGACTGGTTGATAGTTGCAGCAAACCACCATGGCACACATATACCTATGTAACAAACCTGCACGTTCTGCACTTGTATCCTGGAACTTAAAGTTAAAAAAAATATAGATCCACATGGCCATAGTGTAAGTTCGATTAACAGATAATGGCATAATGGTAGGAAAGTTCGATTAACTTTGCTGGCATAATGGTAGGAATAAAGGGGTGACTTCCAAAGTATTTTATGAGTTGAATTTTATGAAATCTGGTGTAGATTTGTTATGGTTGGAGGAAGAGAGATTTGAGGATAACACCCTGCAACCTGAAGTGGTCATACCATTCACTGAGAATCCTGGAAGAGAACAAAGCTCTCAGAGGAGGTCTCATGTTGGACACATTGAATTTGAAAGACTTTTGGGAACATTAAGAAGGAGTGTCAACTAGAGAGTTGCAAATACAGACCCGGAGCTCAAAATAGAGGTCTAAGCTAGATGTATGACCTTGTGATTCGTTTGCTCCTAGGTGGTAACTGAAGTTGTGGGCAAGGCTGACTGCCTAGGGGGAGATCATAGAAGGGACAGGAAGCTAGGGAGACAAAAGGAAGATCAGCAGAGCAAACAGGGAAGGGTCAGCAGGTGCATGGGTGGAACTCGAGCTGGATCAAGACAAATATCAGAAAATCAGGGTTCTGCCCACCATTGTCTTGGGATAAGGTTTTAAAGAATTTGTACCACAGCACACAAGTTCTTCATGAGAGAATGTACATCAATAAGTCTTTCAGATGATCTGATTAGAGAATAAAGGATAGCTATCTTCAAATTTGGCTACTGTTCTTTTCCTCACAATTTGTCCCAAAGTTGAGTGATTATAAGTCAGAGTTGTATTCTATGAACAAGATCATCCCAAACCTTCAGTGTACTGAGACATGCAGTCTGATGATTAGCATACTTGTGGGAACAGGACACTGGCTGATCTTATGTTTCAGTACTAAAATAAAGCAATATCCCGCTTAGTCAGAAGACAGACTTCCAGCAAATGCAACACTCAGAACACATCTATAAACCCGGAAAAGCAAACAAGCAAACAGACATCTCCTGAGCTTTAAAAATAGATATTAAAAAATACCATAAAATATGTTTTGTGAGGGAATTCCTCAGACACGTACACACATTCATTTTTTTTCTTATTTTATATAAAACTCTTACAGACTCTATTATCTGATTTCTCAACCAGTAGACAATTAACTGCATCCAATTATAAGGAGTAAGGAACTGTTGGAAGCAGACATACAGACAATAAGGAGAATGGACAAGTAGAGTCCTGAAAAGAGTTAAAAAAAAAAAAAGAATAAAAATATCAATAACAAAAAGTCATCCCAACAACTCAGGAAGCAGAGCTCTCTGGGGCCGTAGCCAGAGCACACAATCATTCTTGCCCTGGTGGCCTTTTAGTCGTTTATATATATTACAAGTTGGCAAAATACTTTGAGTCATCCTGATAATCCCAAGGCTGATTATGCTAAGTACACTCTTTAAGAGGGCAAAAAAGCTCATATACATTTAATATTAATATCCTTAGTTAAGAAAAGGACAGTACTTGAAGAGATAAACTTTAGTCATCTTTAAAATTAACCTTTTTGAGTCTCTCATTTCCATGTGAGCTAGATAGATATATAAGCCTGGATTAATCACTGCATTAGCTAATAGTCCTTCTTGCCTTTAGATAGTAGCTGGGAGCATATTTAAACAGTGTATTTGTTTGCTAGAGCTTCAGGAACAGAGAATCACAAATTGGGTGGCTTAAACAGCAGAAAAATGTGATCTCACAGCTCTGAAGGCCAGAAGCTCAAAATCAAGGTGTTGCCAGGATTAGTTCCTTCTGAGAGCTATGAGAGAAGGATCTGTTCTGGGCTTCTCTCTTTGGCTTGTAGATAGTGGTGTTGATGTTCATCTGGTGTTCTTCCTGTATGAGAGTCTGTCTCCAAATTTGCCCTTTACATAAGGACACCAGTCATATTGGTTTAGGTCCCATTCCAATGACCTCATTTTAACTTGGTAAAGATCCTATGTCTAGAAAAGGACAGATTCTGAGGCACTAGGGGTTAGGACTTCAACATTTAAATTTTAGTGGGGAGGCAAAATTTAACCCATAACACTTGATATCTGTGCAAAAAATACAAAGTAATTAAATTATATTTTAATAATATAACTTTTAAAAAGTAAAAAAATTGTATTTTCTACCTGCTGTTAATGTTAGTTAAAGGTATGCTCTTTAAAGTTTACTTTAGTATTGCTGATGGATTGCCTTAAATTCACTTGCCTTATCTTCTTCATGATCAAAGGCATAATAGTCAATGATTAGCCACTGTGCATCCATAATATTTAATAATCAACGATTAGCCACTGTGTTTCCATAATATTTATCAAAGTCAGCCTCGTGCTCTATTCTTTCTAAAACATCACCTCCTCTAATTCTCTTGTAATGTTCTTGGAGACATAAACCATATATTGATCATCTTAGTAAACCTGTTGCATAGCACTGTGCTTTGTACATGATCAGTCATTAGTAAGTTTTTTTGAGGTGAATGTAATTGAAATGTTAGTTGAGATTATAAATTTGCTCAGTGACTATGGAGCTGTGTGAAGTTAATTGACTCACATAGAAGATTGCTTTCGTCTCATTCGCCAAGTTCTAATTAAATAAACTAATGAAAAATTGACAAATGGTGGCTCAATTAGACTAATTCCATCTATCTTGTTCTGTGCACATTCACTGGCCTTGTATTCCTGGCGTAATTTTAAGGAGCTGAGACAGGTGTAGACTCTGATCAAAAATGAACTCAAGTAATTGGTGGTCCAGTTCTCTTCAAGAGTCAGTCCAGTAGTATCTTGATTCCACCTAACGAGGTTGGCACAATTAAAGTTTATTATCCCAGATTGAATTTTCCAAAAGATCACGTGCTATTAACTGAAATGGGAGAAAAAAGGTAAATTTATATAAATTGTATATTGTTTCTACATTGTTCACTATAGACTCTGATGTCACCCTTATGGGACTCAGGTCTCAGTTCTAATATTGCCTTTCCAAAGATACCTTCTGGAGCATTCAACCTAAAGATACTTCTCTACCTCATTCATTTCTAACACATTTTAAAATAAATGCCCTTTTTAGTGTGGACCACGACTGAAAATAACCTTTCACATTTTTGTTTACTATCAACTGCCTCATGTCCCCACCCCCTCTAGAATTAAACTCCAGGAGATCAGGAGCCTGGTCACTCTGGCTTACCAACATTTTGTTCTTCAGGGCCTGGTCATACTAGGAACCCGGTTAATATTTGGTGGGTATATGCCTCTACCTGATGCCCCTCTCCCTCCATACCAGCTCTCTGACCTCACCTCTTACACATCTTCCCTCTGTTCATACCACTGAAGTCTTGGTGATCCCGTGCTGTTCTTCAAACACACAAAGGAACCACATTCTGCCTCAAGGCCTTCACGGATCCTTCCCATCTCCCTCTGCGTGCGTCACTCCTTCAGTTATCTCAGGTCTCTGCTCAGTATGTTTCTCCATGGCATCAGTCACCATCTGGCACAGCATATGTTTACTTATCATACTATTATGCCCCACACAGATAGCCCTTCATGACCTAGACACTCATTCCCTGAGCTGTGGGAGCATTCCTGCTCACAGATCATACCTTATAAACCCACTCCACTTGAAATAGCCCTTGGCTGATGGAAGCTGCAGTCTACATTGAATATCAGGTCCGTGTGGAGGCCTATCCTGGCTCCAGTGCTGCCTCTGGGGCTTGCTGAGGCCCTCATTGCCGTTAAATCGCAGCTTAATCTTTTCCTCTGCCCAAACTTGCTTCCCTTGCTCCGTCCCTCCCTCCCTCCCATGCATTGATCATTAATAAATCTTCCTGTACACAAATCCTCATCTCAGAGTGTGTTTTCCTGGGAATACAATCTAAGACATGAGCTAAGACTTACATGGAATGTAAACTTCATGAGAACAGGGCCTTCATCTAACTGATCCAGTCTCATTCACTATTGCATACCCAAGTGTCTAAGAGATGCTTGGTTAAAATTTGTTGAACAAATAATTGAATAAGAAGTCAGGCATCTCTTCTCCCAGAGGTGAAAGTATGGACATGGATGAATTCTATACGTTTTCACTGTAAGACAATATAGAACAGCTTTCAGGAGATTTGTCGAACTTCTCTGAAGAAAGAATACTGCCACACCATGAATAATCTGTGTGGATAATTTATCTTGCATAGCATAATTTTCAGTTTTTAGTGTTTTCATGTAGATATCCAGAGTCACTCCAATTTGATCTCACAGCTCATTTGACTCTTCTGAAAAAAATATAAAGAAGATATGTGAGCAATTATCTCTATTTTCTAAATGAAGAAACTGAAGATTGGAAAGGTTAAAATGGCACACCTAAGGGCACATGTTATGACAGAACTATCAAATTCAGGTCTTCCTCTGCATTTATGTGCTGCGTTCATTTGCATTCTTTTATTAAGTAGAAACCCAGTACTAATGACTAAATTGTATTTTAATATAAGTATGGATATTTACAGATATACACTTAAATATTTACACATACCACTTGCTGAAGCTTTACTTAAAGCGAGATTTGCTTGTGTAAGTGACCAGGGGTCCCTTTTTGAGTATGACTCAAATTTCTCTGTAGTTTTGAAACAAGTAGAAAATTAAATAAAAAGAATCGATTGCTTTTAAATTCATTGGTAAAGTTCTTAACAAACACTACAGGAAACAGTAATCATTATGCTATTGATCTCAGGAAGTCTTCCCTCCCTCTATGAGCCACCAATTAGTCCTGCTTCTATAGAGATGTCAATATGGCTTGTTAGTAGAATGTTCTTATACAAAGTCTGAATTTTAACAGAGCATATGCAGTAAATATTTAAATATAAGAATATGTTTTATATTTATTTAGAGATCTATCTTTATGTATACATGTACAAACACACACACACAAAAACAAAAAGTAAATTTAACCAAGACATGCACAATAATTCTAGTTAAATTGTTAACAATAAAGCACAGTAAAGGGTTCACTTCAATCTCATGGCCAGTCAGACTGAGAACAACTAATGATATTAAGACACCAAATATTTTTTAGAACAATATTTTTCAGGGAAATGAATAACACCAATTTTCAGTAGCCATAAAAATGTACTTCTCACGTTCCTTTCTGTGGTGCGCACAGTTGACTGGTGACCCTGGCTACTACCCCCCCACATCCACAAAGTCTTTTTTTTTCCATAAGGCTGCTCCTGATGAATGGCAGAGGTACCAAGACAGGCCCATGCTAGTGAAATGTGGGACTGCTCCAGCTAGTGGCATTGGCTAAAAGACTCTGTACTAACCTGGCAAAACCTTTCTTGGAACTGTGAAACAGCCAAGATATTTTTTACCCAATCCCCTTGCTTCTTACCTTCCAAAAATGTTACATCCATATGCCTGTCTAAAGGATTTCCCTGTCTTCTCCTCCTTCCCCTGGTAAATCTAGCATGGTCATTTAAACCTATATCAGCATTTGCTTCTCAGAAGATCCAAACCAATGCAAATGATAAAGAGTATATGTATTGCAGGATGTTCCACCTACACCTCACCACTCCCTACACTCAAACACAAGATGCAGTATCATTTTCAAAGTGACTATTCCTCTTGAAGTGTTCAAGAAACATCCAGAGATCCCTCCAGTGGAATCTCAACTGTCACATAGGCTACATCCAACCTCAGGATGTGCAAAGAGAATGCTCCTAATGTGGCAAGGCTTCATGGTTAATTTTTGAGATAATTACAATAGGAAAAACAGCCATGGTTGAGATTTCCAGATATTGTTGCATGATACACATCCAAATAGAGAAAAGTAACACTCTTTCTTGGAGGAAAAAAATGATATTGAGCTATAGATAAATGAAAGAAGATATGGGAGAATGATGAGACTTATGCCCGCTATTACAGACTAGGAGAGCAGTCATAACTACTAGATGACATCCTTGCTGGGCACACTAGAGAGAGAAATAGATCTTCCAGGTGATCATCTGAATCTGCAGAGATGGACATATGCAACAACTAGGCTACTGGTATATAGCTAGTTACATTATAGACCTTATAATACAATCATAAAAAATAATTTTTTTCCATAAAACATTTACATTTATCTTGATGTTTATGAAAGGATCTATGAGGGACTACTCTTTGGTAATCATTGCATCTCAGGGCCTATTGCTATCAGTGTAAGTACATTGAAAGAGACCTGGGCACTTAATCCAGCTCCACCACGGAGCAGCCACATGGCTTTGGGTAAATACACCATAGGCTCTCTCAGTTAAAGTCCCCTTATCAGAAACAATATTGTGATACCCAGCATTCCCAGTTCAAAGGGTTGGGTATATTCAAGGGGGTCGATGTGTTTAGAAGGGTTTTGTAAATTAGAAAGCATATACAAGAATAAAACTTTTTTTTAACAAAGGAAGTCTGTATCATAAAATGGGCAACATTTAAACCTCCAGTATTGTTTTACTTTTAGAACCAAACTTGTACAATGTAAACATGGAGGATAGAGAGAGCTTCTTTTAATTCTTCCCATATGGTACATGCATACTCTGTGGTTCTTATCTTCATGAAG
Organism: Homo sapiens; assembly: GCF_000001405.40. Classification (NCBI taxonomy): domain Eukaryota; kingdom Metazoa; phylum Chordata; class Mammalia; order Primates; family Hominidae; genus Homo; species Homo sapiens. The sequence goes on along the minus strand of NC_000007.14, from coordinate 136,848,612 downwards.
TGTATTTCTGTTGGCTAATGTTGGGCAGATCATTCTATTTCAATGTATAGGCAAGAATATAGATTTTGAAATGTGTTTCCTATAGTTTAAAAATCAGCGACCAAGACACTAATAAACATTACCCAGAACTTAAATTTAACCCCCCGTTTTTCCACAACAGGGTTCTAAAGTAACATTCACATTTCTGTTTAACATTTTTTATTCCCCATACTGAAATATCAGGAACAAAATTACATCATTTAATTCCAGGACTCCATTTTCTATTCTAACACCAGGTCCTAGATTTCTCTTTTTCTCTAAATCCATGGGCAATAGCCAATGAAAGTTATTTTTATCTAACATTTATCTATTGACAAGACCTCCAAATAGACCTTCCCTTCCTTTAAGTCCTCTCTTCCTTCATATCACTTCCATATTATATTTTTAAAGCATCAGGTAGGCAATGTAAGTCTACTATCCTGAAGTCGTCAGTGATTCCCCATCAGATGAAGCCTGACATTCAAAGCCAACAATACATAAAAGATTTATTTTGCCTTATCCTCACCAATTTGGATGTTTTCGATTTTTACCTATCTGATAGATGCAAATGCTAAGCTATTATAATGTGTGCCTGTATATGTACATAAATTGAATTTATTTATTTATCTCTTGGCTGTTTCTAGGTTATACATTTTCCTTTTTTCCATTTTCAACACTGCTTTGACTCCCTTTCTGAGTTTTCTTTATATATTTTGCTATGAATTAGGTTTGGTAGATGTTTGCCTTTATTTAAAGTTAGAATGAGAGATTAGATCCAAGGTTTTCCAGCTTCCTTTCCTCAGAATTTTTTTTACACAGATCTTGCACAAAGTAGGAATTTAATGAGTGTATGCAGCTTGGCTTTCTGTGAGACTGTCTAGCTGTCAATTCTGAAAAGTTAAACAGAAGTGAGGGATAATTATAAGTGGAGATACATTTGAATTATGGGGTTGAGAGGACTGGCTTGGCTTTGGGACAGTCTTTCTCCAATCTGACATGGTGTTCGTCAAGGCAGGAGTGGAGAGTCTATTGACTGGACACTATGTCTGTTCACATGATGGGCTACGGAGGGAGGTAAGCTGTAAAAAGTTCGTGGAGTTAGGAGTATTCATCTCCTATATTCTGATTTGTGAGACAGAACTGCTTAGAAAACAGTGACCTTCTTCATTATTTTATTCCACTGCCTGTATTATTCTCCACTCTTTAATCATCCACTTCCTTAGGCTCCTATTTTGTGTCTACATATTTTAAATTCACAACATGTTTTCTTACTCTCAGGAGAATAAAAAATAAAACAAATAGACTTACTGGGTAGCAAGAGGAGGGAAAACACAATCTGTATCCTTCTTATGACCAGACGAAGCTTGCATCTCTCTCAAGAAAGGACTTCGTATCATGGTGTTAGCTGTCTGCGACTCAGACTAAAGCTACTTCTCTATACAGCTTGAAGAAGCAGCTACCTATTAGCTGTCCAATAGAAAAAGAAATCTATGAAATCTAACAGAAGTGTCTTTTAAGTTGGATATTCTTTCTGTTCTTTCAATGGAAAGTATGAAAATAACTCAGAAAGATTTCCTTGTTTCAAGTGTTCAACATCCTGAGCTCTCTCCAACACGTCAAGAGTTCCTGAGTAGGTTACCATTTCTCAGTCTTCCCAGGGAATACAGACAGACATCACTGCTCTTCTTCCCCATCATTTCCTCTGCATCCCGATTCCCACATGACTAATTTCTTCCATTCCATAATAAGAACCACTGCCCAATTACTCCTCCCCACTCATTACCTTGCCTTCCTGACCCTCTTCTGTTATATAGACCAACAACCCAAGGATGGAAATTGGTAGCTGTATATGTGACTATATCTGCTTTACTTATTGCTAAGTAATATTTAGAGAAAGTATATAGCCCTTCTGTTCACCGGAAGAGTGAATGCCTGAACTTATTTCTTCCTGTGGGTGCAATCTCTTCCACTCTTTTCCTGAAACATCTTTACCCCTCTTTGAAAACAGTGTCTTGTTCTAACCCTGTCCTGATATAACGCTCCTCTATATTTTTCTCATACTCATCGTTTTAAAAAATTATCTAAATATTTCCCTCTGATATCCTTCCTCTTTCTTTCTTTTTTCCCTTATTCTTCAGTACTTTCATGGTTGTTTTTATTTTTGTCTTTTAAGAATTATACATCCATACCTTACTTCCCAGAAGCCTTTGAAGGCAGCAGTCCTTGATATTTCTTAGGCTGACTTGTTTCATAAAGATTTCTAAAAGAGTTTTTAGAGAGCCAGTGAGCCCCGTGATTTATGATGATTGCTCAAGCAGTGGCAGAGCTGGAAGAATTGAACAAAACACAAGAATCCTGAGGGAAACCACAAGCTAATGTAAAATGCCATAGACTTCTAGTTTCAAAAAGATCTGTACAATAATGTAGTCAAACCTCAGTACTTTAAGGAAGAAGACACTGCAGTTCCAAGATGATAAGTAATTTACCAAAGGCCACACCCTAGTGTGTAGCAAGATTGAAAAAAGGGAACCAGACCCAAGTCTCCTGCTGCCACTTAGGTCCCTTCCTTTATTCTTTCCATTACAATCACTTCACTCTTTTTAAAGTTCCAGAACTAAGCACAAGTTATGTGAGCCCTCTCTCATTAATCTGGGGGTACAGATCTCTGGCATACATCAAGGGAGTTACTTTCCATGGAAAACAAGTCAGTCTGACAATGGCTCAGGAGCTCACAATTGCATTGTTTTAAGAGCAAACTGCCTCTCTGTTCTGCCTTCTAAATTACAGGGAAGGGAAAATCCAAGCTCCTAAAAACGTTTTAAATAGACTGCATCGAGTGGCATGCCAACACTGAGTAACTGTGCCATCCAGCAGAGCATTATCATCATTCTGAAGGGCAGGGGTTCGGTGTTAGTGTCAGAAGGGAGCTAACCACTCTTCATGTCCTTGTCTAACATTTAGCTGAAGAGGAAGACGGTCTCAAATTGCTTTCTTTTAACATCTTTACTAGTTTTATGCTTACAAAAAGAAGGAACTCTTTATTCTGGGTAGTTCATGATAGCCACTTGCAAGTAATTGTATTGGTTTTTCATAGCTACTGTCTTCAGATTTATTTCAAGATTTCAATATGGTGGAAAAAGGCAAGTGGGACAGAGGTGAGAGAAGAGGGGTTCTCCTTAACTATTTTTAAGTTTGGCCCATGTTTATAGAGTCCTTACTTCCATAAGGGCACCCTTTCTTGGAGGAAATACGGACCCTGTTTACTTTAGGGTACCTTATACATTCTATGATTGGTGCCTTATTTTTTTGTTTTGTTTTTTAGTTTGTTTTCTCTTCTCAAAGTATTTGGAAGGGGGATTAATAAGAACAATTTCTGGCGGATGGAAGTAAACATTTTTAATTGTACATTTTAGATGTTCTTTTTATACGAACAAACTCAGTAAGCAACATTTGAGATAATGTCTTATGTTTCTATTTGCTTGGGACACAAAAGATTATCTTTCATCGGGGGAGAGTCTCTAAAACTATATTGCTTTAGTTTAGATTAGGCTTGCCAGATAAAATACAGGACACTCAATTAAGTTTGAATTTAAGATGGAAAGCAAATAATACCTCTAGTATTTGTTTTCTCAACTGTTTCATGAGGAATACACATCCTAAAAAATTGTTTGTTGTTTATCTAAAAGTCAAATTTAACTGGATATCCTTCTATTTTTATTTACTAAATCTGGCAACCCTAGTTTAGATATCAGTATTGAACTAACTGTGGAGTCCCCTGCCTCTGGAATTTTAAAGAAGAATAAACTTGTAGAAATTGTTTAATACCCTAAAGAAAATAAAAAGAGTAAAGGAAAAAGACTAAAGTACTACAGAAATTGTATGCTCAAAATGGAGCTTCACTGTACAGATTAGAATTATGATTTTTGCTATCAATGTAAGGTTTGATTTTACAAACCTGGTGGTTGGAAATTTCATCATTTATTACTGCAGTGGTGGTCAATGTAGAAGCAAACAATTTCACACACTTTTGAAGATGACTAAAGAGGGAATATTTTATGGTTGTCACACTTTGGGACCCTGAACTAATGCAGTATATGTTATCCAGGATAAGTCACTTTTAGCAATATAATGTTGTACGAATCTTTTATGTGTTCTGTGCCTCAGTTACCTCATTTTAAAATATGGGCTAACAATAGAGTCTCTTTCATAGGTCCTTTGTGGGGACAACTGCTAAGCACAATGTATGGCAAACAAGTGCACAACAGGTAGTAAAGACTCTTCTTCCACCTTCCTCTTCATCCTTCAGAAATAGTTATCAAAATATTAAATGTAGGATAAAAATGTGGTTGATTCAACAATGAACTCCTACTTAACAATAGAATGAAATGGCACACACAACACCAGCATTATAGGATATTATGAATATAATTTTGAGCAGAAGTAGCCAGACCAATGAGAATACATTGTATATTAGTGGCATATTTAACATCAGGAGTGGGCCATTTTTAATGTATTTGCTCTACACAATAAAAGTATCCTCAGTAATAATCATAAAGTAAGTGAAAAATAATAATTGACCCAGGATAAACAAAGCAAACTAAAAATAAATTTAAAATGTTAGTAAAATACTTAAAAATAAATATTACAGCACAAAAAAAGGGAAAAATAAATAATAGGTATACTTGCCTGTATTTTTTAGTCTACTCCCTACATGTTTTCAAAATTACATGGAAAAATGTCTGAAAAAATATATTTACCAAAATGGTGACTGAGACTATCATTTTGTAGTGGCATGGTGGGGAATTCTTTCTTTCTTTTTTTTATTATACTTACTTACCTTCAGGAAAGTATAATAATGAAAGTATACAGCAATTATAAAAAATCAATAATTATTTGCTGTATTTATTCCAGTGAATATATATTTTTATTTATGATAATGAAAGATAAAACTACTTTTAAAAAGACAGCATTGTCTCCTCTTATTCACCTGGCTGAAATCACTTATTTACCTGGCTGAATCACTTATTCAATATCAACAGGTGAACTCTGATGCTTTTGATTGACCTCATGGATCATGTGACCACACTTTCTGTTGATGTGTTTCATTGAGAAACAGGAGTGTGGAAAATGGGGTAAAGAAGTGATGAGAGAGAGAAGGTCAGAGAGAGAGAGAGAGAGAGAAACAGAGAGAGATCATTCTACTTGGTTATTTCAAAAATCTCTTTAATATCTTTAATAAAAATCAAAGCATAAACATTGTGATGAAATAATTACATAAAAACTGAAATACATAAGTATGTCAAAATAAAATACTTCACCATTTTCCCAGTCTTTAAATGTTAGCTTTTATTTTTATATCCCAAGTTCTCCATCCAGATTTGAGCAGCTTGTATCCCTTCTGGTAGAGTCAAAACTTTTCTAGGGTGCCTTGAAGACTCCAATATGGATGGCTATCTTTGGATGACAATCACATGCTAACTTGACTTTGGATCCTTGCTCTTTTAAGGACAATGATTGTCAACCATGATGGGGCATTATCACCTCCAAGAGAGTACTATCACCAAGAGGTGATAATGGGGCATTATCACCTCCAAGAGAGTACTCCAAAAGAGTACATTATCACCTCCAAGAGAGTACTTTAAACCTCCAGATATCTGAGCTGGATGCCAGTCCTACTAATTCAGAACCTCTGTGGGTGCACCTTTGAAATTTTTATTTTTAAAAGTATCATTGTCTGTACTGATGTATAGCCAGGGCTAAACACTGTTGCTCCAGGCAGAGGGACCTACACTGTAAAATAAAGAAAATCAAGAGAAGTGCCTTCCTATATTTCTAAATCAGCTACAACTGAGTATCAGGTTTTTGGCAAATGTAGTTTACAAGCACAAACTAGAAGACCTATTATTCTCATAGCATCTTTACATCAGCAAAATAATGTCCCATAACTTTTCTTAGATCACATTTTTTCATTTAATTACATCTTTTATTCATAGGTATTTGACCTTTGAATTTTGCATACAGTAGGATCAAAATTTTTTCATAAATTTGAATGTTTGTTGCTGAATTTTTGGTCCCTTAATTCTGCATTTCAAAGTTCACTAATAAATGTAACATTTGTAAGAGTTTCTGGCTAAGAAACAACCAATATAGTTTTTATTTACAAATTGACTTATATAGAAACACAGCTTTTCTTTTTTCATGAGTTATAGGATAATTGATATATAATGAACTACATTGTACAGTCAAAGTATACAATTTATTTAATTTTGACATCTGTTTACACTTGTGACACCACCGTCACAATCAAAATAACGTTTTCATTACTCCCTAAAGTTTCCTTCCACCCTCCTTAATCTATCCCAATCTTTATTTAACTCCATCCCTAGGCAATCACTGGTCTGCTTTCTGTCACTGAAAAATAGTTTCACTCTCTAGAATTTACAAAATGTGGAATTATGGAGAAATAGTCTTGGTTTGACTTTTTTTTTCACCATTTATTTAAGTCTCTTCTGAGTTTTTTAATCAGTAATATTTAGTTTTCCATATACAGATCATACAGATTTTTTTTAGATTGATAACTTTTTTCTTTTTTACTATTGTTTAAAACTGTTTTATTTCTATTTTAATTTCTAATAATAGTATACATAAATAAAACAGATTATTTTGCATACCTATCTTGTATCCCATGACCTTGAACTCATTAGTTCTAGTAGTGTTTTAATACAGAATATTAGAGATTTTCTACATAAACCATCATTGATCTTCAAGTGAAAGTTTATTTTTTCATTTTATATATGCAAGTTTTTAATTTATTTTTCTGCTCTGATTGCATTGGCTAGAGTTTTTAGTATGATAGTGAGTAAAAGTGGTGAGAGCAGACATGCATGCTTCGTTCTTGATTTTGGGGGAAATACATTCAGTCTGTCACTGTTTATATAATTTTACCTGGGTTTTTCTTTGTTGTTGTTATTGTTTTTTGGCGTATACGTTTCACAAGTTGAGAAAGTTCGCTTCCAGCTTTGCTGACATTTTAACTTTGATGAATGTAAAAAGCTGTTAAATGTTTTCCTTCCATCTACTGAGATGATCAAACTTTTCTTTCTATTTATGTTGACTTGGTAAATTACGTTGAATAATTTTCAAATGTTGAACAAATCTTAGATTACCATAAACACACTATATGTTCTGTTTCTTGTTGCTTTATTTCTCTTTCTTCCTGATAGCATTTGGAGTAATTTTGTTTCATAAGAGTTTATTTAAATCTCAATTTATAGGTTATTATTCATATCTCTTTAAAAATTTAATTTGTACCCTAAAGTTTACAATATGCATCTTTAATTAATTATAATATTGATTTGAATATTATATGGTTTTGTATATATTATAAGATTCTTACAGATCATTTTGCAGCTTATACATGTGATGACTGGGTTTTTTAACTCATAAGTGAGATGTGCCTTTCTTACATCTTATTATGACATTAGTACATTACCCATTTGATATGAAAAAATTTAAAAAAAGAGAAGAGAAAAAACCCAGAATTTTACAAATCACAGATTTCTCTCTCCTATTTTTTGTGCTATTTTTGTCATCTATGCTATTTTTATATACTTATAAACTTAAAATACATTTAAGTAACTTTACATGTTAGGCAGTAAAATTTCTTTTAAAAGCCAGGCATGGGGGCTCACACCTGTAATCCCAGCACTTTTGGAGGCCAAGGCAGGAGGCTCATTTGAGCCCAGGAGTTCGAGACTAGACTGGCCAACAAAGCAAGATTCTGTCTCTACAAAAGAGAAAAAAAAATAAAAAAAATAATCAGTCAGGCATTGTGGTGCATTCCTGTAGACTCAGCTACTTGGGAGGCAGGAAGATTGCTTGAGACTGGGAGTTCAAAGCTGCAGTGAGCTATAATCATGCCACTGCACTTCAGCCTGGGCACCAGAGTGAGACACTGTCTCTAAAAACAATTAAAATATATATTATATATAAAATAAATAATAAAATATATTTTACAGCAATTAATGCATTTTAGAACATCTTTTATATTTACATTTGTAATTAATCATTTCCAGAAATTTTTATTTATTTGTACAGATATAAAGTTTTTTTGATCATCCTGATTTTTTTTCTTTATTTCTTCTAAAAAAGAAAAAAACAGGATACATGTACAGAATATCCAGGTTTTTTACATAGGTATACGTGTGCCATGGTGGTTTGCTGCACCTATTGACCCGCCCTCTAAGTTCCCTCCCCTCACCCTGTCACCCGCTACCAGGATCTGGTGTGTGTTGTTCCCCTCTCTGTGTCCATGTGTTCTCATTGCTCAACTCCCACTTATGGAAGAGAACATGTGGTGTTTGGTTTTCTGTTCCTCTGTTAGTTTGCTGACAGATCTAAATTTTTTTCTGATATATTCTGGTCTTCCTGAGGGCATTTTTAAAAATGTTTCTTATAGTGCAGGTCTGCTGGCAATGAATTATCAATTTTTGTTTGTCTAAAGTTATCCCAATTTCTTTTGCATTTATTAAAGGTATTTTCACTATGCATAAAATTTGGGGTGCACAGTATTTTACTTTCGGTGCTTTAGTCATGGTGATCATTTTACTTAAGGCTTGTATAATTTTTGACAAGAAGTCTGCTGGAATTCTCCCTTTTCTTCTTGTGTATATCTTTTACCACTTTACCCCCTGAATGCCTTCAACATATTCCCTTTATCTTTTGGTTTTGAGCTACTGGAATATGATATGTTTAAGTGTGTATGTGTGTTTTATTTCATTCGTTATTTATCCTGCTTGGAGTTCCCAAAATCTCTTATATCTGTAGTTTGATGTATTTTGTAATTTTTAAAATAATTCTCAACCATTATCCCTTCAGATATTTTTCTGCCTCACTCTTTTTCCTTTTATTTTGGGATGGATTACATGTATGTTAAACATTTTGATATTGTCCAACAACACGAGATGCTCTTTTTTTTTTTTTTTACTTTTTTTTCCCTTGGCTTAAGTTTGAGTAATTTCTGTTAACAAATCTGCAAATTCCCAGATTCTTTCCTGAGTTGCTTTGAGTTAGCTACCAAGTCTGTCAAAGTGAGTCTTCATCTCTGGTAACATGTTTTTTATTTACAGTATTTTAAAATTATTTTTATGGTTTCCATTTTTGTTGTAATTTCCCACATAATATTACATGTTATCAGTTTCTTCTACTAGAGACTTGAACACATTACTCAGTTATTTTTAAATACCTCTCTGAAATTCCAACATCTCAATTATCTCTGAGTCTGGTTGTGCTGATTATTTTGCCCCTTGACTATGTATTGTTTTCTATCTGCATTTTGGGTGTCTCATAACTTTTGGTTGAGTATTGAGCATATAGTAGAACTGAGAACTAAAATAATGAGTATTTATGCCTGAGATGTGCATGCTTCTTCTGATAGACTTTCAGTGTGGCAAGTTAAGTTAATCTAGGCAAGTGTTGAGCTGTTTTCAGGTTTCATTGTCAGTGAACCACTGCTTTCAATTTCTTTGGTGTTATTTTGTGCTTAATGTGAAGATTAGTGTGCTTGTGAACTTTTTTTACTGTTTTACTGGATACAAGCATTATTTTAGCTGCATCCAACATGTTTTTTGATGTTATGTTGTCATTTTTATTCCATTCAACATATTTTTAACTTTTGATATCTTCTTTTACCCATAAATTATATAAAAATTTGTTGTTTATTTTCTATATATCTGGGATACTCCATATATCCTACTGCTGTTGATTTATAATTTATTATTTTCCAGTCAGATAACACACCACATGATTTCAATCACTTCAAATATATTGAGCTTTGTTTTATGGCCAATATCATGATCTATTTTAGTTAACATTCCAAAAAGAATATGAGTTTAATATTCTAAACTCTATTAAGTCAATTTTCTTAATAATGTTATTGTTCTCTATATTTTTATTTTTACTAATTGTCATTTTTGTGATGTGTCAGTTAAAAGAGAGCTGTTGAAATCTCCAAATGTAGTTTGGCATATGTCTATAGCTCCTTTTATATCCATTTTTAGTAGTTTTAAGGTTTATTGTTAGGTGCATAGACATTGAATTACTATTTCCTCCTGACGAATTAATGCCTTTATTATGAAATGACCTCCTTTACCACTAGTAATAGTCCCTGTTCTGAGTTATACATTGATTTTAACAAAATTATACTGCCTTTTTTGAAATGTATATAAGCTTAGAATTTATTTTGTAATTTTACTTATTGTAAAGTTATATTTATGCTTATGTTTAAAGTGAGTTTATATATACTCATAAATATTAACCAATTTATAATTGAGTTGAGTTTTATAAATGGATTTTGGTGAAGTCTAGATTATTTATCCAGCCTTTGGTGAATTTAGACCATTTACATTAATACATTGTTACTCTAAGTGTTAGTTGTACCAGCATAATCGTTTTTTATGTTTTCGATCTATTCCTTCTTCCTGTTTTTTTGTTTTTATGCTTTGTCATTGGTTATCTTTTATGATTTCATTTCATATTCTGTACTAAATTATTATATATACCCCATTGTTTAATTTTCTTAATAGGCCCTTTAAGGTTTGCACTGTACTTCACTAATGCATACCACCTTATGTATTATACAGAGATCCTACAACAAAATATTTCTCTTGTTCTTCCAACTGTCATTGTACAATTGTCATATTTTTTAAAAAATATTTTTTACTTTAAGATGAATGTATATATACATACATTTATAGGAAACATTACAGAGAGATTCTGTGTAACATAAACCCAGTTGCCCCCAATTGCAACATATTGAAAACTATACTGCAATATCACAACCAAGACATTAACACTGGTACAGTCAAGATATAGAACAGTTCATCACTACTATTACCTCATTTTTCCCTATTCTCACTTCCCTCTCACACTTGACATTTTTTTAAACCCTGGCAATCACTAATCTATTCTCCATTTTTATAATTTTGACATTTCAATAATGTTGTATAAATGGAATTATACAGTATAAATGGAATTATACAACACAAATATGACCATTTGGGATTGGACTTTTATCCCCTCTCTGTCGTTTTCTGGAGAGTTATCCAGGTGGTTGTTTGAATAATTCATAACCATTTATTGCTGAATAGTACTTCATAATATGATATACCATGGTTTATTTAACGATTAACCTATTAAAGGACATTGGAGCTGTTTTCAGTTTTTGGTTATTACAAATAAAGCTGCTATATACATTTGTTTACAGGTTTATATGTAAAGATAATTCTATTTCCCTGGGAAAAAATGCCCAGGATTGCAATTTCCAGGTCATATGGTAGTTGTATGTTTATTTTTGATTTTATTTTTTATTATTTTTTTGGTTTTTTTTTTTATTATACTTCAAGTTTTAGGGTACATGTGCAAATTGTGCAGGTTAGTTACATATGTATACATGTGCCATGCTGGTGCGCTGCACCCACTAACTCGTCATCTAGCATTAGGTATATCTACCAGTGCTATCCCTCCCCGCTCCCCTCTCCCCACCACAGTCCCCAGAGTGTGATATTCCCCTTCCTGTGTCCATGTGATCTCATTGTTCAATTCCCACCTATGAGTGAGAATATGCGGTGTTTGGTTTTTTGTTCTTGGGATGGTTTACTGAGAATGATGATTTCCAATTTCATCCATGTCCCTACAAAGGACATGAACTCATCATTTTTTATGGCTGCATAGTATTCCATGGTGTATATGTGCCACATTTTCTTAACCCAGTCTATCATTGTTGGACATTTGGGTTGGTTCCAAGTCTTTGCTATTGTGAATAATGCCACAATAAATATACGTGTGCATGTGCCTTTATAGCAGCATGATTTATAGTCCTTTGGGTATATACCCAGTAATGGGATGGCTGGGTCAAATGGTATTTCTAGTTCTAGATCCCTGAGGAATCGCCACACTGACTTCCACAATGGTTGAACTAGTTTACAGTCCCACCAACAGTGTAAAAGTGTTCCTATTTCTCCACATCCTCTCCAGCACCTGTTGTTTCCTGACTTTTTAATGATTGCCATTCTAACTGGTGTGAGATGATATCTCATTGTGGTTTTGATTTGCATTTCTCTGATGGCCAGTAATGATGAGCATTTTTTCATGTGTTTTTTGGCTGCATAAATGTCTTCTTTTGAGAAGTGTCTGTTCATTTCCTTCGCCCACTTTTTGATGGGGTTGTTTGTTTTTTTCTTGTAAATTTGTTTGAGTGCATTGTAGATTCTGGATATTAGCCCTTTGTCAGATGAGTAGGTTGTGAAAATTTTCTCCCATTTTGTAGGTTGCCTGTTCACTCTGATGGTAGTTTATTTTGCTGTGCAGAAGCTCTTTAGTTTAATTAGATCCAATTTGTCATTTTTGTCTTTTGTTGCCATTGCTTTTGGTGTTTTGGACATGAAGTCCTTGCCCATGCCTATGTCCTGAATGGTAATGCCTAGGTTTTCTTCTAGGGTTTTTATGGTTTTCGGTCTAACGTTTAAATCTTTAATCCATCTTGAATTGATTTTTGTATAAGGTGTAAAGAAGGGATCCAGTTTCAGCTTTCTACATATGGCTAGCCAGTTTTCCCAGCACCATTTATTAAATAGGGAATGCTTTCCTCATTGCTTGTTTTTCTCAGGTTTGTCAAAGATCAGATAGTTGTAGATATGTGGCGTTATTTCTGAGGGCTCTGTCCTGTTCCATTGATCTATATTTCTGTTTTGGTACCAGTACCATGCTGTTTTGGTTACTGTAGCCTTGTAGTATAGTTTGAAGTCAGGTAGTGTGATGCCTCCAGCTTTGTTCTTTTGGCTCAGGATTGACTTGGCGATGCGGGCTCTTTTTTGGTTCCATATGAACTTTAAAGTAGTTTTTTCCAATTCTGTGAAGAAAGTCATTGGTAGCTTGATGGGGATGGCATTGAATCTGTAAATTACCTTGGGCAATATGGCCATTTTCACCATATTGATTCTTCCTGCCCATGAGCATGGAATGTTCTTCCATTTGTTTGTATCCTCTTTTATTTCCTTGAGCAGTGGTTTGTAGTTCTCCTTGAAGAGGTCCTTCACATCCCTTGTAAGTTGGATTCCTAGGTATTTTATTCTCTTTGAAGCAATTGTGAATGGGAGTTCACTCATGATTTGGCTGTTTGTCTGTTGTTGGTGTATAAGAATGCTTGTGATTTTTGTACATTGATTTTGTATCCTGAGACTTTGCTGAAGTTGCTTACCAGCTTAAGGAGATTTGGGGCTGAGACAATGGGGTTTTCTAGATATACAGTCATGTCATCTGCAAAGAGGGACAATTTGACTTCCTCTTTTCCTAATTGAATACCCTTTATTTCCTTCTCCTGCCTAATTGCCCTGGCCAGAACTTCCAACAGTATGTTGAATAGGAGTGGTGAGAGAGGGCATCCCTATCTTGTGCCAGTTTTCAAAGGGAATGCTTCCAGTTTTTGCCCATTCAGTATGATATTGGCTGTGGGTTTGTCATAGATAGCTCTTATTATTTTGAAATACGTCCCATCAATACCTAATTTATTGAGAGTTTTTAGCATGAAGGGTTGTTGAATTTTGTCAAAGGCTTTTTCTGCATCTATTGAGATAATCATGTGGTTTTTGTCTTTGGCTCTGTTTATATGCTGGATTCCATTTATTGATTTGCGTATAGTGAACCAGCCTTGCATCCCAGGGATGAAGCCCACTTGATCATGGTGGATAAGCTTTTTGATGTGCTGCTGGATTCGGTTTGCCAGTATTTTATTGAGGATTTTTGCATCAATGTTCATCAAGGATATTGGTCTAAAATTCTCTTTTTTGGTTGTGTCTCTGCCCAGCTTTGGTATCAGAATGATGCTGGCCTCATAAAATGAGTTAGTTAGGGAGGATTCCCTCTTTTTCTATTGATTGGAATAGTTTCAGAAGGAATGGTACCAGTTCCTCCTTGTACCTCTGGTAGAATTCAGCTGTGAATCCATCTGGTCCTGGACTCTTTTTGGTTGGTAAACTATTGATTATTGCCACAATTTCAGCTCCTGTTATTGGTCTATTCAGAGATTCAACTTCTTCCTGGTTTAGTCTTGGGAGAGTTTATGTGTAGAGGAATTTATCCATTTCTTCTAGATTTTCTAGTTTATTTGCGTAGAGGTGTTTGTAGTATTCTCTGATGGTAGTTTGTATTTCTGTGGGATCGGTGGTGATATCCCCTTTATCATTTTTTATTGTGTCTATTTGATTCTTCTCTCTTTTTTTCTTTATTAGTCTTGCTAGCGTTCTATCAATTTTGTTGATCCTTTCAAAAAACCAGCTCCTGGATTCATTGATTTTTTGAAGGGTTTTTTGTGTCTCTATTTCCTTCAGTTCTGCTCTGATTTTAGTTATTTCCTGCCTTCTGCTAGCTTTTGAATGTGTTTGCTCTTGCTTTTCTAGTTCTTTTAATTGTGATGTTAGGGTGTCAATTTTGGATCTTTCCTGCTTTCTCTTGTGGGCATTTAGTGCTATAGATTTCCCTCTACACACTGCTTTGAATGCATCCCAGAGATTCTGGTATGTTGTGTCTTTGTTCTCGTTGGTTTCAAAGAACATCTTTATTTCTGCCTTCATTTCGTTATGTACCCAGTAGTCATTTAGGAGCAGGTTGTTCAGTTTCCATGTAGTTGAGCGGCTTTGAGTGAGATTCTTAATCCTGAGTTCTAGTTTGATTGCACTGTGGTCTGAGAGATAGTTTGTTATAATTTCTGTTCTTTTACATTTGCTGAGGAGAGCTTTACTTCCAAGTATGTGGTCAGTTTTGGAATAGGTGTGGTGCGGTGCTGAAAAAATTGTATATTCTGTTGATTTGGGGTGAAGAGTTCTGTAGATGTCTATTAGGTCCACTTGGTGCAGAGCTGAGTTCAATTCCTGGGTATCCTTGTTGACTTTCTGTCTCGTTGATCTGTCTAATGTTGACAGTGGGGTATTACGGTTTCCCATTATTAATGTGTGGGAGTCTAAGTCTCTTTGTAGGTCACTCAGGACTTGCTTTATGAATCTGGGTGCTCTTGTATTGGGTGCATATATATTTAGGATAGTTAGCTCTTCTTGTTGAATTGATCCCTTTACCATTATGTAGTGGCCTTCTTTGTCTCTTTTGATCTTTGTTGGTTTAAAGTCTGTTTTATCAGAGACGAGGATTGCAACCCCTGCCTTTTTTTTTTCCATTTGCTTGGTAGATCTTCCTGCATCCTTTTATTTTGAGCCTATGTGTGTCTCTGCACGTGAGATGGGTTTCCTGAATACAGCACACTGATGGGTCTTGACTCTTTATCCAATTTGTCAGTCTGTGTCTTTTAATTGGAACATTTAGTCCATTGACATTTAAAGTTATTATTGTTATGTGTGAATTTGATCCTGTCATTACGATGTTAGCTGGTGATTTTGCTCGTTAGTTGATGCAGTTTCTTCCTAGTCTCGATGGTCTTTACATTTTGGCATGATTTTGCAGCGGCTGGTTCTAGTTGTTCCTTTCCATGTTTAGTGCTTCCTTCAGGAGCTCTTTTAGGGCAGGCCTGGTGGTGACAGAATTTCTTGGCATTTGTTTGTCTGTGAAGTATTTTATTTCTCCTTCACTTATGAAGCTTAGTTTGGCTGGATATGAAATTCTGGGTTGAAAATTCTTGTCTTTAAGAATATTTAATATTGGCCCCCACTCTCTTCTGGCTTGTAGGGTTTCTGCCGAGAGATCCGCTGTTAGTCTGATGGGCTTCCCTTTGAGGGTAACCTGACCTTTCTCTCTGGCTGCCCTTAACATTTTTTCCTTCATTTCAACTTTGGTGAATCTGACAATTATGTGTCTTGGAGTTGCTCTTCTCGAGGAGTATCTTTGTGGCGTTCTCTGTATTTCCTGAATCTGAACGTTGGCCTGCCTTGCTAGATTGGGGAAGTTCTCCTGGATAATATCCTGCAGAGTGTTTTCCAACTTGGTTCCATTCTCCCCATCACTTTCAGGTACACCAAGCAGACGTAGATTTGGTCTTTTCACATAGTCCCATAGTTCTTGGAGGCTTTGCTCATTTCTTTTTATTCTTTTTTCTCTAAACTTCCCTTCTCGCTTCATTTCATTCATTTCATCTTCCATTGCTGATACCCTTTCTTCCAGTTGATCGCATCGGCTCCTGAGGCTTCTGCATTCTTCACGTAGTTCTCGAGCCCTGGTTTTCAGCTCCATCAGCTCCTTTAAGCACTTCTCTGTATTGGTTATTCTAGTTATACATTCTTCTAAATTTTTTTCAAAGTTTTCAACTTCTTTGCCTTTGGTTTGAATGTCCTCCCGTAGCTCAGAGTAATTTGATCATCTGAAGCCTTCTTCTCTCAGCTTGTCAAAGTCATTCTCCATCCAGCTTTGTTCCGTTGCTGGTGAGGAAGTGCGTTCCTTTGGAGGAGGAGAGGCGCTCTGCGTTTTAGAGTTTCCAGTTTTTCTGTTCTGTTTTTTCCCCATCTTTGTGGTTTTATCTACTTTTGGTCTTTGATGATGGTGATGTACAGATGTGTTTTTGGTGTGGATGTCCTTTCTGTTTGTTAGTTTTCCTTCTAACAGACAGGACCCTCAGCTGCAGGTCTGTTGGAATACCCTGCCTTGTGAGGTGTCAGTGTGCCCCTGCTGGGGGGTGCCTCCCAGTTAGGCTGCTCAGGGGTTAGGGGTCAGGGACCCACTTGAGGAGGCAGTCTGCCGGTTCTCAGATCTCCAGCTGCCTGCTGGGAGAACCACTGCTCTCTTCAAAGCTGTCAGACAGGGACATTTAAGTCTGCAGAGGTTACTGCTGTCTTTTTGTTTGTCTGTGCCCTGCCCCCAGAGGTGGAGCCTACAGAGGCAGGCAGGCCTCCTTGAGCTGTGGTGGGCTCCACCCAGTTCGAGCTTCCAGGCTGCTTTGTTTACCTAAGCAAGCCTGGGCAATGGCGGGCGCCCCTCCCCCCGCCTCACTGCCGCCTCACAGTTTGATCTCAGACTGCTGTGCTAGCAATCAGCGAGATTCCGTGGGCGTAGGACCTTCTGAGCCAGGTGTGGGATATAATCTCGTGGTGCGCCGTTTTTTAAGCCTGTCTGAAAAGCGCAATATTCGGGTGGGAGTGACCCGATTTTCCATGTGCGTCCATCACCCCTTTCTTTGACTCGGAAAGGGAACTCCCTGACCCCTTGCGCTTCCCAAGTGAGGCAATGCCTCGTCCTGCTTCGGCTCGCGCACGGTGCGCGCACCCACTGGCCTGCGCCCACTGTCTGGCACTCCCTAGTGAGATGAACCCCGTACCTCAGATGGAAATGCAGAAATCACCGTCTTCTGCGTCGCTCACCCTGGGAGCTGTAGACTGGAGCTGATCGTATTCGGCCACCTTGGCTCCTCCCTGTATGTTTATTTTTTAAAGAAATTGCCAAAGTGTTTTTCAGGCAGTTTCCAAAAGACTATACCATTGTATATTTCCACCGGCAATGTATTAGTGATCTAATTTCTCTCCATCCTCATTAACATTTAAAAGTATGTTCTCACTTTTTAAACAATTTTAGCCATTCTGATTGGTATGTAGAGATTTCTCATTGCATACCCCTACTGGATAAGGATGCCGAACATATGTTCATGAGTTTATTTGCCATCTGTACAATCACGTTGGTGAAATGTCTCTGTATGTACTTTGATAATTTTCTAACTGGACTGTATGTTTTTTATAACAGTTGAGTTTTGAGAGTTTTGAGGGGACTTCAAACAATTTTTGGAAATATGGAAATAAAAGATAAAATATAATAAAATATGTAAACTTTATTCCTCAACATAACCCCCATTAAATTCAAGACACTTTTGTAAGTGATAACATTAGTTCATTCCTAAAGAACTGAGGATTCTGGGGATTTAACCATGTTGAAGCAGACCTTTTTGACATTATTAGCTGAAGAAAAATGGATTTTCTTTAAAGATTTTTTTAAAGATTAGGAAAGAAGAAGAAGTTATAAGGAGCCAAATCAGGACTGGAAGGTGATAGCTAATGATTTCCCCTCAAAACTTTCACAAAATTGCCTTATTTTATGAAAATAATGAGCGGGAACAATGTCATTGTAGAGAAAGACTCTGGTGAAGCGTTCCCAGGCATTTTTCAGCTAAAGCTTTGGCTAACTTTCTCAAAATACTCTTATAATCAGCAGATGCTATTGTTCTTTGGCTTTTCAGAAAGTCAACAAGCAGAATGCCTTGAGCATCCCCCAAACGGTTGCTGTGACCTTTGCTCTTGAACAGTCTGCTGTTGCTGTGACTGGACCACTTCCACCTCTCAGTTGCTACTACTTTGATTGTGCTTTGTCTTTAGGATTGTATTGGTAAAGCCATGTTTTTTTTTCTTCTGTTACAATTATTTGAATAAATGCTTCGGGATCTTCATCCCATTTGTTTAAAATTTTTATTGAAAGCACTGCCTTTGGCTGCAGCTGATTCGGACACAATGGTTTTGGCACTCATTGAATGGAAAGTTTGCCCAACTTTAACTTTTCAGTCGAATTAGTGTAAGCTGAACCAGTTGAGATGTCAGTGGTGTTGGCTCCTGTTTGTACTGTTATTTACCAGTCCTCTTCAATTAGGGTATGGCAAGATTAACAATTTTTTAACAATATTTTCCACTGGTGCCTCCTGTCTATTTCAGGACCAGAATAACTGTTAAAATCTGAATAAACTCTCTACTTTAGTTATAATATTTGCAAATAGTAATTTCTTAGTTTTGGTAAAGGTACCATAGTGATATAATTTGTCAACATTAGGGAAGCTCAAGTAAAGGGAATATGGGAACTCTTTGTAGTATCTTTAAAACTCTTCTATAAGCCTAAAATCATCTCTAAATAAAAATTACAAAAGCAAAACCCTTTAACATTTGTCTACATGACAAAAATGACCTCCATCACTATCACTCTTTGTGCTGCAGCCAGCATGGTTGTCCTCTCATTTCCAGGACTTGGGATGCTCCCTCCTACAGAAGGGTTTTTGCACAAGGTACAGAGGTTTCTCTTCTGGCTTAAATCTCATTTCCCTTTTTTGGAGTAATAATCCCCTACTTACCCTTCAGATCTTGGATTAAGGATCTCTTTTTTTTTGCTTTCACACCTCTTGATAGAACAAATCCTTCACTTACAGGCTCTTGTATATCATAGACCACTCCTTCATAACCCTAGTCACAGTTGCAATTGTGCATTTCTTTGTATGGTTATTTGTTAATATTTGTCTCTTCTACCAAACAGTAAGATCTGTTGTTAAGTACTACACTTTAACTTAACCAGTGCCCAGCACAGGCTCTGAGGCAGAGTAGGCACTCGATAAATAATTGTTCAATAAATGATAAGTCTCTTACGTATCTGAAGCATCTGAATTGTCCTACCACTTGCTCACAGAAGGGGGAAGGAGCGCTTCCCTTTCCATCAAATGTGTTGGCGGGCAAAACATTCTAATTATAAACACTTTATGGGAAAATGCTTTAAAGGAGGAACTCTGAGATCTCACAATAAGCAGCAGAAATGTGGCTGTTCCCGTAGGTGCCCCCTCTGTGTAACCCCCACCACAGGAGCATCTCGAGCTACCATGCCATGCAGTGTGAAGTCTTGTGGCTCCCTCAACAGGTACTTTTACTCATTGGATAAAGAAAGAGGGATTTCAGACATGCCTATTGTGCGAGCTAAGCAAGACTCTGTCTCTCTTTATTTATTTATTTATTTTTGGTTATTAATTTAAAGAAGTTAAAACCCATTTTGCGATTTGCTGTTTATCAGGCAAATGATTATTTAAGGCAATTCCCAGTGGGACTTGCTTTACATTTTGAGGACATTCCAGTTCAGTGATGGCAGATGGAACTCATAGTTAAAATTTTTAGAAGAGAGACAATGAAATGGGTTCCAGAGAGATAATAAGGCTGCGGTTTCACAGGCAGAAAAAAAACCCTAGAAAAATTGCTATTTGGAACTAAAACCTGTACTCAGGGAATTGAGAGAGGGGAGACTGCAAGAAGGATGTTAACTCTTTGTTAGTCTGGGTTATGAAGTGTGACTTATGATGGACCTAACTCACTGAGAATGGGAATCCTCTTATGTTGATTTAATTTCTTGCAGCATCCAATATTGTCTTTAGTGAGCTGGGGAAAAAAGAGAGAAAACCCAATTCCTTCTTGCACTCAGAACAGACCTTCAGTGTGGATATGATATTTATTATTTGCCTCTCTGTGATACTGTGACTGGACATTAGTTGCCCTAAATACAGAAAAAACTAACTGGTCCTTCATTAAAAGGATGCCAGATGTGAATGAGTTTATAGAAAAAATTTTAGGCAACAAGTGTTCCCCTAAGTTCATAAACAACACCCCACAGATACGTAAAGCTCAGCTCATTATGCATGAGTCATGTTGACTAATTTATATAAGGCTTGATAGTTAAATGGATTATAAAGAGCCCATGATTGAGAATTTATCTTAAATAACTTTTCTTTTAAAATAAAAATGATATTTATGCACACATCCCATGTTCATGTTTAAAAAGAAGGTAGAATAAACATTACTAACCTGTAATCACACCATCAAGAGGTAATGCCTGCCCCTCCCTCTTTTAGTAGTTATAATCCAAAATAACAATTATGAACATTGGCTCTTTTTATTTATTATATCTTAAAAATTTCCTCATATCATTAATGATTCTTCCTAAATAAAAATAGGATTGGGTGTACAATATACATCAACTGGCTGTTCGATATAAGAAATAGGATTCGAATATCTAGGAGATTTCTAGTTATAGTCCAATGTATATGCTGGGTGGGAACTGAGTAAGGTGACCTAACAAAACCTTGTAGTTTCTCTATTCTATCATATGCCAGGCTCAAAAGCTGAATATATGAATATACGGTCGCAGATGCAGTTTAAATAAAGTGGCAAACATATTAAATGGTAAGAATTCATCTTACCAAAGACCCTATCCTCTATTGGAATGTTTACCAAGGATTTCCTTTAGAGAAATGTGAAGTGAACTTCCTCCACTTTGGATGTGATTTTAATGGGTGCTACCAAATGGCCATTGCCGCCAGATTGCTCCAGCATTCTTCTCTATGATTTTATTTGAAATTCTCAGCCTTTACATAGATGTATTGAATTAATCATTGCCTGTTCCAGGAAGTCCTCTGTTACAAATGCAAATATTAATACCACATTATACAGATGAAGCATTGAACTTATGTTTTGGTTAATGACCATATTGTCACATAAGTCCTTGAAGGGATGGGAATCACAGGAATGATAAATTTTAATTGGGTCCAGAGGGTAGGATAAAAGATATGGAGGTGAAATTCATAACCAAGAGTATTAGGCTGTTCTTGCATTGCTATTTTAGGTGTTCTAACATACCTGGGGCCAGGTAATTTATAAGAAAAAAGGTTTAATTGGATCATGGTTCTGCAGGCTGTACAGGAAGCATGGCACCAGCATTCTACTCAGTTTTGAGTGAGGGCTTCAGGAAGCTTACAGTCATGCTGAAAGGTTAGGGAGGAGCAAGCATCTCACATGGCAGGAGTGGGAACTAGAGAGAAAGCGAGTGGGGTACGGGGATGCCACACACTTTTAAGCAACCAGTTCTTTTGAGTACTCACCCACTTCCATAAAGACAGCACCAAGTCATGAGGGATCCACCCCCATGATCCAAACACCTCCCACCAGGCCCTACCTCCAGCATTGAGGATTACAATTCAACATAAGATTTGGGTGGGGACAAATATCCAAACTAAACCACCAAGTTATGAATCATGGAACACTCACCGAAAAGACTGGGCCAGTGAAGTGGGGATCATTTTGTTGTCCTTTAAGGACTGACATGTGGGATTTGTAGAGCCAGAGGAGCAGGTACAGTGTGAAGAGAAGGCATAGGCAGGAGGACATGGGCATAGCAGCTGCTTGATGTTTGCTGGAAGTGGGGAACTCTAGGAATTATGAAGTATTCAAGTTTAATAAACTCAAGGCCAAGATATTTTTTAATTTTACTTATTTATTTTTAATCTGCTAGCAAGATGGATAACAGTTATGATTACTGGCATGTTAAACAGCTGACACTACCTGGCTCTTTGGTCTTGTTGAGTATTTGGATTATCTAAGCTAACTTCATGTTGTTAGTTTATTCAATGGAAGAGAAAATGCTGAAAGAAATGATAGATAAACAATCAACTACCTCAGGATGCTTCCACACAGCCCCCATTGTGTGTCTTCTTGTTTGTAAGAGCAGACAGGTTCTTACAAAGTATTACAATTCTGCATAATATATTCTCCTAACATAAATCTTTACGGAAAAGGATAAATGCTGTTTAACCATCATTTACTAAAAACAGTTTTAAAAATTAGCTAAGCATATTCCCACACCAACAACTTAAGGAGTAAAAATGGCATTTACAAAACAAAACAAACCAAAACAACAAAAACACAGCTTTCTCATGCACAGATTGGGAAAATGTAGAAGATGGATATTATATTATGGATATTATATTTATCATAATATATATAATATATTATATTTATCATAATATATATAATATATTATATTATGATATATATTATATATATTATGATATATATATTATTGATATATAATATATATTATATATCACATAATATAATATATATATTATATTATATTATAATACCATTATATATTATATTATATATTATATTATAATATCATTATATATTATATTATAATATCATTATATATTATATTATATATTATATTATAATATCATTATATATTATATTATATATTATATTATAATATCATTATATATTATATTATGATAAATATACGTTAGTAGATCTACATGTGTGAGCACATAGTTTATTAGAATAAACATTGGTTTATGTTTCCCTCTTTTCCAGTCCTATAAAAATCTTATCCAGGAGGTAACTTCTATCAGATTTGTTAAGGAAACGGAACCAGCCAGCTGCAAAGCCTCCTATGGCTTGCCTTAAGCTTTAAAACTAAGGACAGTCTGATAATTATCTTTCAATACTTACATCCAGTGCTTTGCTGGTAAATGTTTCACAGTTAGTTCTCTCAGGAGGGAGAAGGGAGCCCTGATTTGTAGCATTTACTAATTTCTATGGTGTAAATAATCCCAATATGGCCAATTTCAAGCTACCAACATAATAACAATTGGCTTTCAAAATTCCTGAAAATTTAACAGTTGTCCCTCCTGAGCTATTATGACCTCGCTCCAGCATACACCTGCTTTTTTGCAGCTCATATATGAGAGGTATTTATATCTTATTAGCAAATATTCAGAAATAAAAATCTATTTTTCCATCTCCCTTCTGCCGCCGCATGAGTCAAAAGCCAATCTCCAAGTGCAGTGGCAGAATAAGCACCAGCGGGCAGGTAGCTGGTCACCTTCCTTCTTTCTTTATCCCCGTATGCTTCGAATTTTTCTGAATTATGATTCCACCTGGGTTGAGGAGGTCAAGAACCAGAATCACTTAAGAAAAATGTAGCTTATGCTTTCTAACATGTATAGATGAAAAGATTGAATGTAGATAAGCTTTAAGTTGCATCCCAGCATTGAGTTCTTATAACAGCAATTCTCAACTTTAGACGTATATTGAAATCAGGTGGGAAATTTTTAAAAAATATCCAAGACCATTTCCAATCTCCAGAGATTCTGATTTCGCTGAGCTGGGGTGGGGCCTGGGCATCAGTATACTTTAACAGCTCCCTAGGTAATGCATCCAGTTTATAGGTAATGATAGTTATGTTTCTAGATAGACGTCAATGAGCAGAAGCAAATGTGTGGAGAGGCATTTGAGGGTAAAGGGTTAAAGGTGTATATGTATGTTTTCAAAACATATTTATGTTATTATATGGAAACACCTAATAAAATTAAATGGTGATATTTTGACAAATTGATGTAAAAGAAACCAGGTTAAAATAAGGTTTTTTTTTTTTTTCTAAAATATGTATTCATTTGGGAATGGGAAAGGGGGATTGTAATTCAGTATGCACAGAGTGGCACACCACAAGTGCACCTGGAGAGGGCAAGGTAAAGGAATGCTTTTATTAGCAAAAACAAGAAGTTCACATAAGCTCCTCAGAAACAGAGTTTATTGATTCTAGAGGCTCAAAGCCAGAATTATCATCAGTTCATTGGTAGAGATGCTGTTACTGGGCAAGTGTTTCTTTGAGAGCATCTTATCTGAATTATTGCAATTCTAAAGAATGTCTGGTGATAAGCCTTCTCACTTGTGCAATGTGCCAGCCATGCAAAGTAGATGATGTGTGAAGGACATGAAGAGTCTTGTGGGGTTTTTAGAAAGTCTTTGGAAATAGTTCTTATTTGAGGTATACAAGTATGTGTACCCCTTCTCCTTCGTTCCTTTTCTGGCCTTATTTTGTCTGGGTCTGACAAAAGTTATTTCATGCTGGCATCTACAACATTCATACCTCTCTAGTGCTGTCTTTCTTGAATGACAATGACCCTCTTTCATCATAACGTAGATTAATCATATTTCATTTTTGTCTAGAGCTGTCTTTGCATTCACTGCTTTTCCAGGGACAGTTTCTAAAAAATCTGGTTTCTAACCCACAGGTTTCATATACCTTCAAGTTTTCAGGTGGATTCCTAAATATAAGAAGAAAAACAAAAGAGGGCTTTTTTTTTTTGGTCTAGGTTTTATAATGGCCCAAAAGTCAAAAAGAAAACAATAAAGGTCAACTAATTACACCGTTCCAAAGAAGCGTTAGACCACCCATGCAGAATTTGAAAGGGAAATAGGTGACACCTACTTCCTTCTTCCAGGCTGTAGAAAAGAAGTTATGATTCTTCTCAGAAAGGGTTTTTTAGGGGTCAAAGTTTACAATGGTTGTGATATTTTCTCTCATCCCCCCCATAAAGAAAGGAAAAAGAGTATTTTATTCTCACTTCCAAACAAGGGAGAGAGATTTGATTTTCAGTCAAAGAGCTTGAGATATGTCCCTTGCAATTTGGGGGACACAAGAAATAAATTTTCATCGTGGGTCTCAGCAGTTTATATCCAAAAATTGAGGCTAGAGGAGATTGCTTGATGGGAGGGGAAAAGAGAAGTCTGCATGGAAAGTCAGCTAAGCTGCCACCAGCAGCAAGGTGATGATGGGGTGTCTCTGCTTTACATAGGGTGAGTGCTACGCGGGAAGGAGTTGGTCTGCCCATCATTTTAGAATAAAATTCCTCCAAGAGAGCTACTTTTCAGAGAGAAGCTATCTCAGCAGAGGGAAGCTGAAGGTGGTACCCTCAGATACAGAGAAGAGGGGATTGTCCTCAGTGGCTGGCTGGAGGAGGGGATGTTGCTCAAATTGAGGGAGGTTGAACCTGATATTTCCAGTGGGGAATTTTGGGGGTAACAATAAAGCACCAAGCAGGGAAGTCAGCTTTGAACACTTGCTAAACCCAGAGAGACATTAAATAAACTCCTTTCTCCCCCCATTTTACTCCATACTTCCCCACTTATGCTTCCAGACAGGAGCCATCAAGAGCCCCCTATGTGGGGATAGAGGGTGGGTAAGAAGCAAAAAGCAATCAGAGATTTTGCAGTACGCATCTTCTGTCTTCACTGAAGGTTGCCTAGCTTGAAGCAATATCAAACTAAGGAAGGACAAATATTTAACCTAAATCAAGTTTAGAGTTAGCATTTAAACTGGACCAGGCATTTTAATTACGAAAATGAACAAACTTTGCATGTGATTAATGGGACTTGAGGAATTTTTTTTAAATATCCAGGAGAAAGTAAAAAAGTGATTAGATTCACTCAAGAGCAGTGACATTTGAAAAAATAATAGTGGATTTAGAGGAACAATGACAGAAAAGAATAAAGTTATATTAATAGTTTGCTGCACCCTACACAAACCTGCCCCTTTCAATGTACTGTTTTATTCTACCAAAGCCCAGTGATCCCGAGAGACTTTCTGAGGTCTAAAAACTCATTGGAAAATAATTCTTAGCACTGTAGCTATATGTTTCCCTGCAATTTGTGTTGCAAAGTTGCATAATGAAGATGAATAATAACAAAGGCCAGTCACACTACAAGGTGCACACGGTGTGGTAGAAAGAGAATTATGGGAAGTCAGGGAACGAAGACTAGTCTGGGTTGTGCCATTGTTAAAGTGCGCAACTGGAAGAAAGCAGCTTAACCTCTCCTGACCTATGATGTCTCTGCAAACTAGAAATAATGATTTTTGCCCTTCCTGCTTCCCAGAGTTGTGGGGAAGATGATAGAAGAAAATGCCTTGAAAAACAGCAATTTTCTACAAATGCATGGTGTTATTGTTGACCATATTAGGCCCCAGCATATAGTGCACAGGTGAGACACCCATGCCTTTGCTGCTATTCTTAAACTATGTCCATTGCCATTTTGCATCCGAGGAATAATACCTTTTTTTCACAGGATGCTACTCTGTTGATTCCAGCCAAGGAAAAATAAAACAAAACGTTAGTTCTCTGGCTTTTGTTTGCTCTAGTGTATTTCCCTTGAGAGGCAGAAGTCAGAAACAAATTTTAGGCAAGACATATTTCTTATGTTTTTTTTAAAATTTTTATTATTATTATTATTATACTTTAAGTTTTAGGGTACATGTGCACAATGTGTAGGTTAGTTACATATGTATACATGTGCCATGCTGGTGGGCTGCACCCACTAACTCGTCATCTAGCATTAGGTATATCTCCCAATCTATCCCTCCCCCCTCCCCTCACCCCACAACAGTCCCCAGAGTGTGATGTTCCCCTTCCTGTGTCCATGTGTTCTCATTCTTCAATTCCCACCTATGAGTGAGAATATGCGGTGTTTGGTTTTTTGTTCTTGCGACAGTTTACTGAGAATGATGATTTCCAATTTCATCCATGTCCCTACAAAGGACAGGAACTCATCATTTTTTATGGCTGCATAGTATTCCATGGTGTATATGTGCCACATTTTCTTAATCCAGTCTATCATTGTTGGACATTTGGGTTGGTTCCAAGTCTTTGCTATCGTGAATAATGCCGCAATAAACATACGTGTGCATGTGTCTTTATAGCAGCATGATTTATAGTCCTTTGGGTATATACCCAGTAATGGAATCGCTGGGTCAAATGGTATTTCCAGTTCTAGATCCCTGAGGAATCGCCACACTGACTTCCACAATGGTTGAACTAGTTTACAGTCCCACCAACAGTGTAAAAGTGTTCCTATTTCTCCACATCCTCTCCAGCACCTGTTGTTTCCTGACTTTTTAATGATTGCCATTCTAACTGGTGTGAGATGGTATCTCATTGTGGTTTTGATTTGCATTTCTCTGATGGCCAGTGATGGTGAGCATTTTTTCATGTGTTTTTTGGCTGCATAAATGTCTTCTTTTGAGAAGTGTCTGTTCATGTCCTTTGTCCACTTTTTGATGGGGTTGTTTGTTTTTTTCTTGTAAATTTGTTTGAGTTCACTGTAGATTCTGGATATTAGCCCTTTGTCAGATGAGTAGGTTGTGAAAATTTTCTCCCATTTTGTAGGTTGCCTGTTCACTCTGATGGTAGTTTCTTTTGCTGTGCAGAAGCTCTTTAGTTTAATTAGATCCCATTTGTCATTTTTGTCTTTTGTTGCCATTGCTTTTGGTGTTTTAGACAGGAAGTCCTTGCCCATGCCTATGTCCTGAGTGGTAATGCCTAGGTTTTCTTCTAGGGTTTTTATGGTTTTAGGTCTAACGTTTAAGTCTTTTGTTTTAAACTAACATTGATTTACGTTAAACATACATATGTATTGTAGAAAATTTGGAATTTTGTGAAACGTATAAAAGTCTTCCATCACCCCAACATTCCAAGAAAAATTACTGTTTGAATCTCACCTTAATTCATGCTTGAGGAAAGCAGCTGTGTGTCCAGTTCACACTCCTATATTCCCACGCTTGGAACTGTGTGAAATACATATTAATAACAAGCGCTCAATACATATTTGAATACTGTGTGTTAAGATTTGGAATAGTCATTTTAGTTCATCTGTGGGATCAGTCAATATTAGACTGATCAATGAGACAGAAAATTAACAAGGATATTCAGAACTTGAACTCAGCTCTGGACTAAGCAGACCTAATAGACATCTGCAAAACTCTCCATCCCAAATCAACAGAATATACATTCTTCTCAGCACCACATCACACTTATTCTAAAATTGACCACATTGTTGGAAGTAAAACGCTCTTCAGCAAATGCAAAAGAATGGAAATCATAACGAACAGTCTTTCAGACCACAGTGCAATCAAATTAGAACTCTGGATTAAGAAACTCATTCAAAACTGCACAACTACATGGAAACTGACAAACTGCTCCTGAATGACTACTGGGTAAATGTCGAAATTAAGGCAGAAATAAATAAGTTCTTTGAAACCAATGAGAACAAAGACACAACATACCAGAATTTCTGGGACATGGCTAAAGCAGTGTTTAGGGAGAAATTTATAGCACTAAATGCCCACAGGAGAAAGCGGGAAAGATCTAAAGTCAACACCCTAACATCGAAATTAAAAGAACTAGAGAAGCAAGAGGAAACAAATTCAAAAGTCAGAAGAAGAGAAGAAATAACTAAGAGAAGAGCAGAACTGAAGGAGATAGAGACATGAAAAACCCTTCAAAAAATCAATGAATCCAGGAGTTGGTTTTTTAAAAAGATTAACAAAATAGATAGACCGCTAGCCAGACTAATAAAGAAGAAATGAGAAGAATCAGATAGACACAATAAAAAAGATAAAGGGGATATCACCACTTTTCCCACAGAATTTTAAAGATAATTTTCTTATTGTTAAATATTTATATTGATTCATATTCTCACTATTATGAATAGTATTGAAAGAATTGTGTTTGAAAATTTTTAAAAAAATTATTGCTTGTGATTAAGTTTCCTCTTGGCTGTGAAAATTCCTCAGATTTTCCTGGCTATGATGACCTTAACAGTTTTGAGGAGTATTCTTCAGGTTGCAATCTTATTTTTAAGTGATAGATAATAATCCTGTTTAGAATTTAACAGAATATCAAATTTACCAATTCTCTTATTATGGTCATTCAGATTGTTTCTACTTTTTACCTACTAAAAAAAACATTCAATCTTTTTTTAAAGTTGTTTCATTATCTTCCTAGGTTTATTACTGCAGAGGATGAATCTGAAGTCAGATTGCTCTTTCTTTACTTCTAATTAACCTGTTGGACTCGTCACTTGTTCATCTTTCTGCCTTCGGGTACGAGGCTAGACATATTTACTCCCTCTCCTTCACTGTACATGAATACAGCAATAAATAAAAATCATGTTCTTCCCAGAATCTAGTTCTTGCTTTGTAAATAGCTAGCTATTTTTGTTTTATTTTATATTTTTTATCATGTTACTTCTGTAATTGTTTACTGTGATTTTTACTTAGATTTAAGAAAAAATACTACATTTCAATAATTTTAACTTACATGCATTTTCTTCATCTTTAGAATTTTTCTCCTTTTCACTATGTAGTTCCTGCTTCACTTTCATTTGTTATTTTCTCTATTTTTTCAGGGAGTCAAACTATCAATAATTTATACCCAATATGAAACGGATTTATCAATTGTTCTTTTTTTTAATTTTACTTTAAGTTCTAGGGTACATGTGCACAACGTGCAGGTTTGTTACATATGTATACATGTGCCATGTTGGTGTGCTGCACCCATTAACTCATCATTTACATTAGGTATATCTCCTCACCATGTTTTGAAACTTGTGATTTTTTTTCTGGTAGTATGCTTTACTTCCTTCCCTTTTCTTTTTTGTATACCTGTGGCATGTTTTGTTTTGTTTTTTAATTTGAGGTTTCCATGAGCTTTGCAAAAACTTTAAATTTTTATACTTACTTCTGAAATTATTGTTTTCTAATTTTTAAATTTTTAATTTTTAAGATTTGTGGCCACATAGTAGGTATTCCTATTTTACAGGGTATGTGAGATCTTTTGATACAGACATACTCTGCATAATAATCACATCAGCATAAATGGGGTTTTCATCACCTGAAGCACTAATGATTTCTTTGTGTACAAAATATCCAATTATATTCTTTTAGTGATTTTGAAATGTAAAACAAATTATTGTTGACTTTAGTCACCCTGTTGTGCTATCAAATGCAAGATCTTTTTCATTCTAATAATATTCTTGTACCCATTAACCATTTCCCTTTTCCCCTGACCCCATGATCTTTCCCAGTCTCTGGTAATAATCATTCCACTCTGTCTCCATGAGTTCAATTATTTTAAAGTTTTTAGTTACTATAAATAAATGAGAACATGCAAAGTTTGTCTTTTTGTGCCTGGCTTATTTCACTTAACATAATGCCCTCCAGTTCCATCCATGTTGTTACAAATGACAATATTTTATTATCTCATTCCTTTTCAATGACTGAATATTAAATAGCACTCAATTATGTGCACATACCACACTTTATTTATCCCTTCGTCTGTTGATGGACACTTTGGTTGCTTCCACATCTTGGTTATTGTAAATAGTGCTGCAATATACATGGGAGTGTAGATAAATCTCTAATACCCTGATTTCCTTTATCTTGGGTATATACCTAGGAGTGGGATAGCTGAATTGTATGACAGCTCTATTTTTAGTTTTTTGAAGAACCTCCAAACTCTTCTCCAGAGTGGTTGTGGTAATTTCCATTCCCAACAACAGTGTATGAGAGTTCCCTTTCTCCACATCCTCACCAGCATTTGTTATTGCCTAATATTTGAATAAAAGCCATGTTAACTAGGGTGAGATGATGTATCTTATTTTTTGTGAATGCTTTCCCTTAATTTCTCTCAATTGTTTTCATTTGCATTTCTCTTATGATCAATGATGTTGAGCACTTTTTCATGTATATCTGCTTGCCATTTGTGTGTCTTCTTTTAAGAAATACCTATTCAGATCTTTTGCTCCTTTTTAAATCAGAATTTTAGATTTTTGTGCAATAGAGTTGTTTGAGCTCCTTATATATTCTGGTTCTTAATCTATTGTCAGAAGGGTAGTTTTCAAATACTTTTTCCTATTCTGTGGGTTGTCTCTTCACTTTGTTGATGGTTTCCTTTGTTGTGCAGAAGCTTTTCAAGGTGAGGTGAGGTGATTTTGTTTGTCCATTTTTGCTTCGGTTTCCTGTGCTTGTGGGATATTACTTAAGAAATCTATGCCAAGTCCAATGTCCTAGAGAGCTTCTCCAATGTTTTCTTGTAGTAGTTTCATAGTTTGAGGTCTTAGATTTAAGTCTTCAATCCATTTTGATTTGATTTTTGTGTATGGTGAGAGATAGAAGTCTGGCTTCATTATCCTGCATATGGATATCCAGTTTCCCAGCATTTATTGGAGAGACTGTCTATTCTTAAGTGTATGTTCTTGGAACCTTTGTCAACAATGAGTTCACTGTAAATGTATAGATTTGTTTCTGGGTTCTTTGTTCTTTTCCATTGGTCCATGTGTCTGTTTTTATGCTAGTACCATGTTGCTTTGGTCTCTATTGCTCTGTAGTATAATTTGATATAAGTTCATGCGATTTTTCCAGTTTATTTTTTCCGTCTTGTTCAAGACAGCTGTGGCTATTCTGGGTCTTTTGTGGTTCCATATAAATTTTAGAATCTTCTTCTTTTTTTGATGGATTTTTGCTGTTGTTGCCCAAGCTAGAGTGCAATGGCATTATCTCTGCTCACTGCAACCTCCCCCTCCCGGGTTCAAGAGATTCTCCTGCCTCAGCCTCTCGAGTAGCTGGAATTACAGGCGTTACAGGCACACACCACCATGCCCAGCTAATTTTTTCTATTTTTAGTAGAAACAGGGTTTCACCATGTTAGCCAGGCTGTCTCAAACTCCTGAGCTCAGGTGATTCACCCACCTTGGCCTCCCAAAGTGCTGGGATTACTGGCATGAGCCACTACACCTGGCCAAATTTTAGAATTTTTTTTCCAAATATAAGATCATATCATCTGCAAACAAGTATAATTTGGCTTTTTCCTTTCTTGTGTTGATACCCTTTATTTCTTTCTCTTATCTGATTTATCTAATTAAGACTCCAGGACTATGCTGAATAACAGTGGTGAAAGTGGGTATCCTTATTGTGTTCCAGAGGTTGTAGGAAAGACTTTCAGTTTTTCCCCATTCACTATAATACTTGCTGTGGGTCTGTGATAAATGACTTTTATTGTGTTTTGGTAGGTTCCTTCTAGACCTAGATTTTTTTTTTGTTTTTATTCTTAAGGGTTTTTATCATGAAAGGATGTTGAATAGTCTCAAATGCTTTTTCAGCACCAGTTGAAACGATCAGATCAATGAGACAGAAAATTAATAAGGATATCCAGGACTTGAACTCTGCTCTGGACTAAGTGGATCTAATAGACATCTACAGAACTCTCTACCACAAAGCAACAGAATATACATTCTTCTCAGCACCACATCACACTTATTGTAAAACTGACCACATAATTGGAAGTAAAACACTACTCAGCAAATGCAAAAGAATGGAAATCATAACAGTCTCTCAGACCACAGTGCAATCAAATTAGAACTCAGGATTAAGAAACCCCCTCAAAACCACACAACTACATGGAAACTGAACAATCTGCTCCTGAATGACTACTGGGTAAATAACGAAATGAAGGCAGAAATAAAGATATTCTTTGAAACCAATGAGAACAAAAACACAACGTACCAGAATCTCTGGGACACATTTAAAGCAGTGTATAGAGGGAAACTTATGGCACTAAATGCCCACAAGAGAAAGCAGGAAAAATCTGAAATCGGCATGCTAACATCAAAATTAAAAGAACTAGAGAAACAAGAGCAAACAAATTCAAAAGCTAGCAGAAGGCAAGAAATAACTAAGATCAGAGTAAAACTGATGGAGATAGAGACACGAAAAACCTTTCAAAAAATCAATCAATCCAGGAGCTGATTTTTTGAAAAGATCAACAAAATAGATAGACCACTAGCCAGACTAATAAAGAAGAAAAGAGAGAAGAATCAAATAGATGCAATAAAAAATGATGAAGGGATATCACATCAATCCCACAGAAATATAAACTACCATCAGAGAATACTATAAACACCTCTACACAAATAAACTAAAAAATATAGAAAAAAGGGATAAATTCCTGGACACATACACCCTCCCAAGACTAAATCAGGAAGAAGTCGAATCTCTGAATAGACCAATAACAAGTTCTGAATTTGAGGCAGTAATTAATAGCCTACCAACCAAAAATGTCCAGGACCAGACGGACTCACAGCCGAATTCTACCAGAGTTACAAAGAGGAGCGGATACCATTCCTTCTGAAACTATTCCAAACAATAGAAAAAGAGGGAATCCTCCCTAATTCATTTTATGAGGCCAGCATCATCCTGATACCAAAACCCGGCAGAGACACAACAAAAAAAGAAAATTTCAGGCCAATATCCCTGATGAACATCGATGTGAAAATCCTCAATAAAATACTGGCAAACCGAATCCAGCAGCACATCAAAAAGCTTATCCACCACGATCAAGTCAGTGTCATCCCTGGCATGCAAGGCTGATTCAACATATGCAAATCAATAAATGTAATCCATCACATAAGCAGAACCAATGACAAAAACCACATGATTATCTCAATAGATGCAGAAAAGGTCTTTGACAAAATTTAACAGCCCTTCATGCTAAAAACTCAATAAACTAGGCATTGATGGAACGTATCTCAATATAATAAGAGTTATTTAGGACAAACCCACAGCCAATATCATACTGAATGGGCAAAAACTGGAAGCATTCCGTTTGTGCCGGTACAAGACAAGGATGCCCTCTCTCACCACTCCTATTCAACATAGTGTTGGAAGTTCTGGCCAAGGAAATCAGGCAAGAGAAAGAAATAAAGGGTATTCAAGTAGGAAAAGGGAAGTCAAATTGTCTCTGTTTGCAGATGACATGATTGTATATCTAGAAAACCCCATTGTCTCAGCCCAAAATCTCCTTAAGCTAATAAGCAACTTCAGCAAAGTCTCAGGATACAAAATCAATGTGCAAAAATCACAAGCATTCCTACACACCAATAATAGACAGAGAGCCAAATCATGAGTGAGCTCCTATTCAAAATTGCTACAAAGAAAATAAAATACCTAGGAATACAACTTACAAGGGAAGTGAAGGACCTCTTTAAGGGGAACTATAAATCACTGCTCAGGGAAATAAGAGAGAACAGAAACAAATGGAAAAACATTCCGTGCTCATGGATCGGAAGAATCAATATCGTCAAAATGGCCATACTGCCCAAAGTAATTTATAGATTCAATGCTATCCTGATCAAGCTACCATCAAGTTTCTTTAGAAAATTGGAAAAAAACTACTTTAAATTTCATACAGAACGAAAAAAGATCCTGTATTGCCAAGACAATCCTTAGCAAAAAGAACAAAGCTGGAAGCATCACGCTACCTGACTTCAAACTATACTACAAGGACACAGTAACCAAACAGCATGGTACTGGTACCAAAAACAGATTATATATAGACCAATGGAATAGAACAGAGGCCTCAGAAATAACACCACACAGCTACAGCCATCTGATCTTTGACAAACCTGACAAAAACAAGCAATGTGGAAAGGATTCCCTATTTAATAAATGGTGTTGGGAAAACTGGGTAGCCAATATGCAGAAAGCTGAAACTGGACCCCTTCCTTACATCTTTTACAAAAATTAACTCAACATGGATTAAAGACTTAAATGTAAGACCTACAACCATGAAAACTCTAGAAGAAAACCTAGGCAATACCATTCAGGACATAGGCATGTGCAAAGACTTTATGACTAAAACACCGAAAGCAATGGCAACGAAAGTCAAAATAGACGCTATTCACAATAGCAAAATAGGCACTATTCACAATAGCAAAGAGTTGGAACCAACCCGACTGCCCATCAGTGATAGACTGGATAAAGAAAATGTGACACATATACACCATGGAATACTATGCAGCCATAAAAAGGAATGAGTTCATGTCCTTTGCAGGGACATGGATGAAGCTGGAAACCATCATTCTCAGCAAACTAACACAAGAACAGAAAACCAAACACCACATGTTATCACTCATAAGTGGGAGTTAAACAATGAGAACACATGGACACAGGGAAGGGAACATCACACACCTGGGCCTGTCAGGGGGTGGGGGTTTAGGGGAAGGATAGCATTAGGAGAAATACCTAATGTAGATGACAGGCTGATCGGTGCAGCAAACCACCATGGCATGTGTATCCCTATCTGACAAACCTGCACGTTCTGCACATGTACCCCAGAACTTAAAGTATAATAAAAAAAAAGGGCTAAATGAAAAGAAAACAAAGATCATACGGTTTTTGTCTTTCATTCTGTTGATATAATGTGTCATTGTGATTGATTTGCATATGTTGAACTAGCCTTGTATTACTGGGCTAAATCCTAGTTGGTCATGATGAATGACTTTTTCAATGCGTTGTTGAATTCAGCTTACTAGCATCTTGTTAAGGATTTTTGCATCAATGTTCACCAGAGATATTGGCCTGTAGTTTTCTTTTTTTAATGTGTCTTTTTCTGGTGTTAGTATCAGGGTAATACTCACCTCATATAGTGAATTTGGAAGTATTTCCTCCTTTATTTTGCAGAATAGTTTGAGTAGAATTGGTGTCAGTTCTTTAAATACTTGGTAAAATTCAGCAGTGAAGCCATCAGGTCCCTCGCTTTTCTTTGCTGGGAGATTTTTTTATTACAGCTTCAATCACATTACTTGTTATTGATCTGTTCAGTTTTTGGGTTTTTTTCATGTTTCAATCTTGGTAGGTTGTATGTGTTTAGGAATTTATCCATTTCTTCTAGAGTTTTCAATTTATTGGCATATAGTATATGTACTGTCTGTGTCTTGAAAACTTGTTGTAGTTATTTATTTTTGATGAGTTAATCTTTTAGCCTTTCTATTCAATATGAGTAGTTTGCACACCACAATTACAATGTTATAATGTAATGTGTTTTTCTTTATATTTACTATTACCAGTGAGTTTTGTGCCTCGACATTATTTCTGATTGCTCATTAGCATCCTTTTCTTTCCTACTGAAAAATTCATTTTAGCATTGCTTTGTAGGACTTTTCTTTTTTTCTGGGAAACTTTCTTTCTCCTTCAACTTTGAAGGGTATTTTTCCTGGATATGCTATTGTAGGAGACTTATTTTTTCTTTCAGTATTTTAAATATGTCATACCACTGTCTCCTGGCCTATAAGGCATTCACTGAAAAGTCTGCTGCCAGATGTATTAGAGCTCCATTTACGCCATTTGTTTTTTCTCCCTCGCTGCTCTCAGGATCCTCTCTTTATCCTTGACCTTTGTGAGTTTGATTATTAAATGTCTTGAGGTATTCTTATTTGGGTTAAATCTTCTCTGTGTTTTACAGCCTTCTTGTACTCAAGCAATGATATGTTTCTCTAGGTTTGGAAAGTTTACTGATATTATCTCTTCAAATAAACTTTCTACCTCTATCTCTCTCTCTACCTCCTCTTTAAGGGTAAAAATCTTAGATTTGCCTTTTGAGGCTGTATTCTAGATCTTGCAGGCATGCT
The DNA here is from genome assembly GCF_000001405.40 of Homo sapiens. Lineage (NCBI taxonomy): Eukaryota > Metazoa > Chordata > Mammalia > Primates > Hominidae > Homo > Homo sapiens. Next base: position 136,811,965 of record NC_000007.14, on the reverse strand, counting down.
TCATTCTTTTTTCTTTTGTCTTGTTGGACTGTATTTTTAAAAGCCTCTCTTCAAGCTAATTCTTTCTTTTGCTTGATCAGTTCTGTTACTAAGACACTCTGATGCATTCTCCAGTTTCTTAAATGCATTTTTCAGCTCCAGAATTTCTGCTTGGTTCTTTTTAATTATCTCAATCTCTTTGTTAAATTTATCTGATATGATTCTGAATTCCTTGTCTCTTTTATCTTGAATTTTGTTGCGTTTCCTCAAAACTGCTATTATGAATCTTCTGTCTGAAACGTCACATAAGTCTATCTCTGCATGATTGGTCACTGGTGCCTTACTGAGTTGATTTCATGAGGTCGTGTTTTCCTGGATGGTCTTGATGCTTTGATATTTGTCAGTGTTTATGCATTGTAGAGTTAGGTATTTATGTAAGTCTTCACAGTCTGGGCTTGTTTGTATGATTTTGTTTTGGGAAGGCTTTCCAGGTATTTGAAGGAACTTGGGTGTTGTGATCTAAGTTCTGGTCACTTTAGTCATATCTGCATTAGGGTGCACCAAAGCAGAATAATGCTATGGCTCTTGCAGACTCATAGAGGCACTTCCTTGGTGGTCTTAAACAAGATCCAGAAGAATTATCTGGATTACCAAGCAGACTCTTGTTCTATTCCCTTACTTTCTCCCAAACAAATGAGGTCTCTCTCTCTCTGTGCTAAGCTGCCTGGGACTGGGAGAGGTGGTGGAGGTGATTGACATGAGCAGCCCTGTCACCAGTGGGACTGTGCTGGGCCAAAACTTAAGCCAGTATGGCACTCAGTCTCATCCAAGGCCCACTGTAACCACTGCATGGCTTCTGTCTGTTTTTCACTCAAGACCCTAGGGCTCTACAATCAGCAGGTAGTGAAGCTAGCCAGGCTTGTATTTTTCCCTTTCAGGAAGCCACTTCCCAGACAGGCCCAGAGATATCATCTGGGAGTCAGGGCCTAGAGTAAAAAAAAAAAAAAAAATTGGGAGTCTGCCTGATGTTCTGTTCCATTGTGACTGAACTGGTACCCAAGCCACAAGACAGAGTCCTTCACGTTCTTCCCTCTCTTTTCCACAACCAGAAGAGTGTCTCTCTATGGCCACCACCAGCCCAGGCCCACTGTGAGTACTGCCTGGCTACTGCTGATGTTTGCTCAAGGCCAAAGGGCTCTTCAGTGGGCTGTGATAAATGCTACCTTGCCTGGGACTCTCTCTTCCAGGAAGTGGAAACTCCTGTGGCCAAAGGAAGGTCCAGAAATACTGCTCAAGAGCCACGGCTTAGAATTGGGGATACCAAGAGCCTGTCTGGTGCTCTAACCCACTGTGGCTGAGCTGGTACCTAAGCTGCAAGACAAAGTTCCCTTTGCTCTTCTCTCTCTTTTTCTCTAGCAGAAGTCTCTCCCCTTTGTTACCCCAGTTGGGAATATGCTGGTTCACACCTGAAATGAGCTTGTCTCTGAGTCTCACCCAAGGCCCATGGAAAGTACTACATGGGTACCACTGCTGATTATTCAGAGCTCAAGGGCTCCTTTAGTCAGCAGATAATGAATCTTGCCAGGACTGTGTCCTTCTTTTCAAGGCGGTGGATTCCCTTCTGGCCCAGGGTGTGTCTAGAAATGCCATTTGGAAGATATAGCCTGGGGGATCTAAAGGCTCTGTCTGGTGCCCTATTCACAATGGAGTATAGCACCAGGTAGACTGTGGCTGAGCTGGCATTCAAGTTGCAAGACAAAGTCTTCTTTACTCTTCCCTGTCATATATTCAAGTGGAACGAAGGAGTCTCTTTAGGATTTGTGAGCTGTGTTGCCTGGGTTTGAGGGAGGGGTGGTATAAGCACTCTCTTGGATGCTCTGCTTGATGTCTTACTTGGTTGCATGTCTCCCAAGTCCACTGGCCATGAGCTCAACACAGCACTAGGACCCACTCAGAAATTTCAGTCCTTGTGTCCTAGACTTCTTTTCAAGTTTATTTAGGACCCCAGAACACTTTAGACTGTGGTGGCAAAGCTTGGCAGAACTCAGGTTCTGGCTACTAGGATGGGCAATTCCCCTCCGGCCAGGGCTGGTCTAAATGCTCCGTCTGTGTGTGTCAGCTGAGCTCTTCCTTGTTTTGCTTTCCACTGTGACAGAGCAGCACTGAGTTCCAACGCAAAGAACCATAGTTATTTAGCCATTACTCCCCCAAGTGCACAGATTCTCTCTCTGCGCCATGTGGCAGCTGCCAAGGGACGGGGAAGGGGTGGTGTCAGAAACTGAAGGCTTTCTTTCCTATCCTTTTCAGTGCTTCTTTCAGTGATATGAAGTTACAATCAGGTACTGTGATTGCTCACCTGATTTTTGTTCTTATGAAGGTGCTTTATTGTGTGGATAATTTTTCAATTCGATGTTCCTCTGGGGAGGATGATCAGTGGTGGCTTCTATTTGGCCATCTTGTTCGACCTTTTCTTTTTCTTTGTGTTTTAATAAAATAATTGTAATGTACAAATCTATAGATAACATAAATATGTCATAAAGCATAATACATAATTCCAGCACTCATGCTATGCTGGTCTACAACTAAAGAATTGTCAGTGCTATAATCCCAATCCCAATGTATTTCTCTGTGTTTCCTTACTTTACTCTATCTATATCTCTTTCCAGCAGGAGCCGGTCTCACTCTGTTCTCATCATCTCTTTACATTTTAAAATAATTATTAAAAATTATACGTATACGTATATAGATTCCTATTCATAATGGCTTGTTGCTTAATTTCATTTAATGTTAAAATATATAAAACCTCTTTTATAAGGTATCAAGCTGCTTATAGATTTCTGGGACCTGTGTTTTCCCCCAACCATCTACTATAAAATTCTAAAAATTTTCAAGTTACAGGTAGCTCTAGTTCATTATTGTCATTGCCTAACCATAACTCATTGTATAATATACTATTTGTGTTTATCCTTATCCCTGACAATGTGCAATTGTGTTGCTTCCAGTTTTTGTTTTTAAGACTAAGGCCATAATGAACATTTTGTATGTGTGTTCTGGTACACTTTCATGTGTTTCTCTGGAGTTTCACCAAGGAGTATAATTTCTATGTTATACTTAATATGAACATTCATCTTTAAAATGTAATACTGACTTGTTTTTATTTCAGTTATAGGGACTTATACTCCCACCCTCAGTTTATAAAAATGTAACCTAATCTACAACCCATTTTGATATTTCCAGAAGTTGTAATTTTTGACAATTTAATTGGTTTAAAATTATATATCATTGTGGTCATAGTTTACATATCTCTTATTGCAATTTTTGTATCTTTTTTATGTTTGTATATAATTTTTATGTCCTAATCTGTAAAAAATCTATTCATGTTTTAGCATATATTTTTCTGTTGGATTTTCTTATTCATATGTAGAAGTTTCTTTATTTGAGAATCTTATCAAGATCTATTACTTGACAAACTCACTCATTTTTTATTCACTTAGAATTCTATCTTTAGTTCTCTCTTGTTCGTAAAAGATTATTTGGTAGGTATGCAATTGCACTTGGCAGTCATTTGCTTTAAACATCATGAGCCTGTTAACTGGTTGTCATCTGGCTTCCATTGTTCCTTTTGGGTCTGCTGTCTACCTAAATGGCTTCCTTTTAAGCTATTATTTCTCTTTACCTGCTTTTAAGAGCTTCTTTCTATTTTTATTGTGATTTTATCATGATATAAATAAATGTTTTTGTTTTTAAAGTTTTAACATGTTAGGAATGTGTGTGTGTGTGTGTGTGTGTGTATCTGATGTTTAAGCCATTGATTGTTTTGGATTTCACAATTATATGTTTCATTTAAAAAATAACCTTGTTACTTAGTTGTTACTTGTATATTTTTGTTTCTGTCCTTTATTTTTCTAAATATTTCATGGATTGCTAATGTATAGTTTATATCTGAAAGTTATGGTATCTTCAGATTCAAGAATCTGTATCTGATTTTTCTTGTTTTTTTGTTTTGTCTGATTCTGACTTATGATGTTCTGTCTGGTTGTGTGTTTTAGATCTTGATTGGATATCATAGTTTGATCTTAATCTATGGAACTCCCGTGAGCCTAAATTCAGGATTTCCAGATGTCTTTTCTCCAGGGATAGTTTGTTTCTGCTTCTGCCTCTTCTTTTGCCAGGAGTCAGAAAGTCACATGTGGAAGGTCTGGGCTCCACAAGGGGTCACTAGGCTCAATCCTTCATCTTTTATCTGGCTCAAGATTCAAGATCCTGGTAATAAACTGCTATAGGCCATTGTCCTCAGCACAAACTGGCTCCTGAAATTTCTCTTTCTCACCATTTCTGACAAAATCCCCCTACTCTTGGAAGGGTTGAATAGAATTGTGAACCCAGATATAAATTAATAAAATTTTAAAATATATCATATATAAATATATATATAAATATATATACACACACACACACACATTATATATTGTGTGTGGGTTGAGTGGGGAGTGAGGGAAGGTTCTCAGTGCACCTGTTTGGTCATACTGACAAAGATGGAAGTATTGCAAATTTCTTGTATGTTTCAACTTCTCCATTTTCTCTGACTTTCCTTGAGAAGTATCTCAAATTAATCTTGCTCAACACTTTAATTTTCTGTAGTGCCTCTTTTGTCCTTATTTATTCTCATACATATTTTACTTCTTCCCTTTTATTTTTAAATTTATTACAAGTTGGCTGTATCATTTTCATCAACTTTTTATAGCTCTTTCTCATCTCAAACTGTGACTTTATCAATTCATTGTTCATTTTTCCTTTCTTACAGATCATGTTTTCTTAAATTGTACTGATAACACAAAACCCAAGGCACTGTGAATTTTATGTCTGTTTTTTGCAATATTATCTCAAAAGTATGTTAATTCTGGATACTATTTTCCTCTTATGCTGCAGATATTCTTGTAGATATCTATTTTTATCAGTCATCCTTGAAATAAGAGCTTCTTTCTATTAAAGCATAATATTTATTGAGAAAGAGAGAGAGAGGATGATGGGAGGATGTAAGGTGGCGGACAAAAGAAACTGTGTAAGCTACTGAGGCAGCTGGTTTCAGTCCACTTGGATTTTTGGTTCATATAGCTCCTGAAACTTCAAATGTACATGGAAGGGCTCAAAGATGGGAAAAGGCATATCCATGCAGTCCTTCATGATAGTCAGAAGGTTTTCCCCTGAGCAGCATTGCTGTTAATGTAAACTGTGGACTAATGTTTTCTTATTGGTGGTTGTAGGTCTTAAGTTAGTGGAAATACATATCAGATTGTATCAGTGACCTATTTTTTATTTCAGTTTTTTATGATATATGTTTCCTTTTTATTTTCAGTCCTCATAGGTATTTTATTGAAAGCTCAGGGAGACCAAGTCATGGAATGCTAATCAGATACCATCCTATTCCACAAGTTAGCCTCCAGATTTTATAAGATACACTTCATCTGCACTCACATGTCATAATTTATTCATTATTTGCCAAAAAGAAGAAAAATCAGTCTTATTTCCACCCTTCAGTGATTGCTTTTCTGTGATGTCTGCTCGTTCTCACAACTTTAGCTGAATAAGACATGTGTCTTGTGCAAAATGTATTTGTGTTGTACTGAAAAGATCTTGAAGCTGGAAGTAAAAACACATAAATTATAGCCATGTCAATAATCAGGGTATGTAATCTTGGACAATACACTTCAACTTTACAGCTACCAACTTTTTTTTTCTTATTTCTTAAATGAGAAAAACATTTGCTGTTTCTGCTTCAAATGAGTGTAATTAAGTGCACATAGACGTCACTGGTGAAGAGCATCTGGTGTTGCATTTCAAGCAAATAAGGTAAGATGTGATAGAGTGAAAGTAAGAAATAGCACAAGAACATGGCAGAGAATGTGGAGGAAAGAAAAAAAGGAGTATCACAGCAGGAGCAACTTCTTGCTGTTTTAGTAGAGCAGTGGCTTTCAAAATGTGGTTCCTGCAAACAGCAGCAGACCAGCACTGGAGAACATGTTAGAAATGCAAATTCTTGGGGTCTACCCTAGACCAAGTGAATCAGGAACTCAGGGTGAGGCCCAGCTATTTGTGCTTTAACAAGCCTATGAGGTAATTTCCTAATACTCATTACATTGTGATAATCATTGGTGCAGAGAAATCCCTGAGGATATTTACTCACCTCCCTTCATCTGGAAAGTGAAGACTGTTATACAACATTGAATACCAAGCACCTAACTTCTTGGTAAACAGCAGGTTTCGAAGCATTTTTAAAAATTAATTTATCAATTAGATTTGGGGCAAAAGTCATATTATCTAACTTTAACTGAACTCTTGATGCTTCTTTTAATTTTGTATATCATTTTTTAACTTCCTGTTGTTTCAAACGTTTTCACACAATTCAATCGCCAACTCACACCTTCGTTCTTAGAAGACTTTGGTTTATATTTTTCTTAGTATATCAAGGAATTCCAGTCAACTTTTCTTTTCTTACTTTGGTAATGATTGTATTATTTTCAAATACTATTATTATATTTCTATTATCTTATAATTATATATATTATTAAATTAATATATTTCTGTTATGTTTCCAAGCACCTTGATTTTTATCTAAATATGCTCATTTATTTATTACAAAAACTGCTCACGTCTGCCTTATAAATTGATAAGAGGAATTAATTATTGCTACCTTCTTGAAAAAGGGGGTTACACTAACTATTCCACACAAATTTTTAACATTTTATTTTATTATAACAAATATACATTTATAATATAAAAGTATCTGCCTATTCTAGGTCATTCATGTAATTGGAACAATACAGTATTTGCTCTTTTGTGTTTTTTTCACTTAGCATAATGTTTTCAAGGTTCATCCATGTTGTAACATATATCAGAACTTCTTTCGCTTTATCGCTTAAACCCGGGAGGCAGAGGTTGCAGTGAGCCGAGATCGCACCAGTGCACTCCAGCCTGGGCAACACAGTGAGACTCAATCTCAACAACAACAACAACAACAAAAACACTTTATTCCCTTTTATAGCTGAATACTATTTGATCATATTTATAAACCATTATTTTGTGTATCCATTCATCTGTTCACTTAGATCATTTGCACATTTTGTCTATTGTGAATAATGCTTCAATATACATTTTTGTACAAATATGTGTTCAAATCCTCTATTTATTCATTTATCTATTTATTTATTATGGCAAGAACACTTAACATGAGCTCTATCCTCAACGAAATTTTAAATGCACAATACAGTATTGTTAACTACAGGCACAATGTTGTACAACAAATCGTTAGAAAGTATTTATCTTGCTTGGGCTTCCCTTTTCAATTCTTTTGGGTATATGTTGAAGAGCACAGTCTTACTGGGTTGTATTATAAGTTTAGCTTTCTGGGGAACTGCCAGACTGTTGTTCATAGTAGCTGTACCATATTACATTTCCACCAGCAATGAACAGGGTTCCAGTTTTTCCATATCCTTTTTAGCATTAGTTATTTTCTGTTTTTTAAATTCTAACTATCCTCAAAGATGTAAAGTGGTAGGCCGGGCGCGGTGGCTCATGCCTGTAATCCCAGCACTTAGGGAGGCTGAGGCCGGTGGATCACGAGGTCAGGAGTTAGAGACCAGCCTGGCCAACATAGTAAAACCCCGTCTCTACTAAAAATACAAAAATTAGCTGGGTGTGGTGGCACGCGCCTATAATCCCAGCTACTCAGGAGGCTGAGGTGGGAGAATCGCTTGAACCCGGGAGGCGGAGGTTGCAGTGAGCCGAGACCACGCCATTGCACTCCAGCCTGGCTGACAGAGTGAGACTCCATCTCGGAAAAAAAAAAAAAAAAAGAATGAAACTCTGTGTCAAAAAAAGAAAGAAAAAAAGATTGTGGGAAATAAAAAGATGTAAAGTGGTACATCATTGTGAAGTGTAAATAATTTGATTTGTACTTCCTTAATAGCTAATGATGTTGAGTATCTTTTAATTATTAACCATTTGTATATCTTCTTTATTTATTTATTTTTTTTTTTTTTGAGACAGTCTTGCTCTTTTGCCCAGGCTGGAGCGCAGTGGTGCTATCTCAGCTCCCTGCAAGCTCTGCCTCCCGGGTTCACGCCATTCTCCTGCCTCAGCCTCCCAAGTAGCTGGGACTACAGGCACCCGCCACCACACCCGGCTAATTTTTTGTATTTTTAGTAGAGATGGGTTTTCACCGTGTTAGGATGGTCTCGATCTACTGACCTCATGATCCGCCCGCCTCGGCCTCCCAAAGTGCTGGGATTACAGGCATGAGCCACCGTGCCGGGCCTGTATATCTTCTTTGAAGATATTTGTATTAAAGTTATTTGCCCATTTTTTAATTGGGCTGTTGGTCTTTCATTGTTGAGTTGTAGTAATTCTTATATATTCGGAATATTAAATCTTTATCAGATATATGATTTACAAATATATTCTTCCATTCCATAGGTTGTCTTTTCACTTTTTTGACAATGTTCTTTGATGCACAAGAGTTTTTAATTTTGATTTTCCCTTATGATTTCTTCCTTAGCCCATTGGTTTGTTTAAGTGGGTTTTCTTTTTGTTGTGTTTGTTTGTTTGTTTTAATTTTGACAGACAGTTACTGGGGCTGAGGTTATTTGAAGCATTATTCTGTCATGTGTCTGATGCATGAGCTGAAAAAAATGCAAAAGCCAGAACAGTAGCTAGGGATCTTTATCTGTTTGTAATCTCTCCAAATAATCTCTCCAGCATGGCAGCTTCAGGTTAGCCAGACTTGTTTGGAGCCTCAGGGCTCCAAAAGCAAATAATAAGAGATAGTTATGAGGAAACTATATATAATGAGAGGTACCTATGAGGAAACTATACCCTTTTGATATTCGAGCTTCAGCGGTCATATTGCATCATTTCTTCACTCTATTGGTCAAAGAGTAACAGGCTCTAACCAAATTCAAGGGAAGGGAGCAGAGTCTCCACGTCTTAGTGGGAGGATTGTCATTGTCCTACTTAAGATGATATAAATAACCACAAAAAATGGAATATTTTTGTGGTTATTTATATCAATGTACTTTGACACAGTGTGGAAACAGTAATACCATTCTGAATTACAAATCCAAAGAGTTTATATAATGGTAGAATTTTTGATGTGTACAATAGTAAATGTGTAGTGGTTAAATAATATAACCAATAGTTTCTGGTGCATTATTAATCCTCTTTCCACGACTGTCTACATTCTTGTATTTGAATTAATTATGTTTGTGTTTGCTAGATTGCAAGAATCACAAAATGGCTCTAGTATTGTCACTCGTATAAATATAAACAAAGTGATTACTTTTAGAGTCCTCATCTACAATGTTATTTTCTTCAGTCAGATTTTCTGGGGACAGATGTAGCTACACAGGGTTAAACAGAATTGACAATGAGACACAGAAACTCAAATATATAATTGTATTTATTTATGTAGTAATTTATATTTTACCTCGTTTTATGGAACTCATCCAGGCCTTCTTCATAGAGTGTTTACTGAGTGTAAGTGTGGATACTGAGCAATAAATAGAGAAAGGAAGAGACATAGAAACACAAAAATGTCACATAAAATGTGGAATCATATATCCTATATATGGATGTATACTCTTTCTCATTACAAGAAAATAACTTGAATTATCAAAAAGATATGAATTTTGAGTAATATAAGAGCATTATCTTTTTCATGTATGAAATACAAACAATGTAAAAAGCATCGCTATTTTTGTGCACTCATTTCTGAACTTGTGCAAGTTGGAATAAGGCGGAGACTGGCTGGACTGATTTAAATTGGGAAGGACACAGTAACTATAGAAGAAATGACCTTAAGGGGAGAAGGGAGTGATGAGGGAAACCAAAGTCTGTGTGGTGGACTTGAAATTGAGGGATCATTTGAGAAAGAGATGAAGTGCTTTCTAGGGCAGGTGATAATCGAGCTCTAATGTGGTAAACTTACTTTGGGGAGATAGATGAGTAAAAAGAGAAGTTATGAAGTATTGGCCTGTGTATGAATGAAATGAAACTCTGGAGAGGATGAATGAAACTCTGGAGAGGACTTTCATATAAACTTCAATTAAAATTTAAATAGCTGTTCAATCATTTTTGAATATTATTAGACTGTCATTTCTTTTAAATTGAATGTCAAGCTGAGACAGGTTAGTAGATTAAAGACATCATTTCTTTCTTTTCTGATCAATGAAAATATTTATAAAAGAGAACAAACAATTTGTAAAAATCTAGTAGAAAGAGCACTTAGTTGGGAATTACAAGATATGAGTTCTAGCACGGGTTCAGAAGGAACAATTTTTTTTCTACCTCTAACCTGCTAAGATTCCATTTTATTTTAGTTGTAAAACAAAAATAAAAGCATACAAAATTATCTATCATCAGGTTGGCCTGATGCTCTTACCATGCCCAAACTCAAATTGTTCACAAGGGAATACTGAGTGAGGAAATGTGCAAGATATTTCTAAATAAGTAGTGGGTCTTGATTTCAGCAAGTTTCTGGGAATGTAGAACAAAATTTTAAAAGCTCTTGTCTTTTTGTCATGACCACCTCTACAAGTGAACTCATTTTCCAGGCAAATTACCTGGCTCTCTTTGGCAATTCATCTTCACTCAACTGATAAGGCAGACTGAACGTATGCTGTCCTTGAAGTTATCTCAGAGACCAGTTCTATTGGATTTCAATTTGATGGATTTTAGCTCAATAGACAGTTTGAGAGATCTGGGAGGTGTACAAGGCAATTATCTTGAGATAATGAAAATTACAAGTCTTATTTGACATGAATTATTTCTCATTAGAGGAAATCTATCTGGAGATAATTTCTTCAATACTCTACTCACTGTGACCTATAGACTGCTTTAAAACAATCTTTGGAACTATTCCTGTTGTGGCCAACCTACAGAAACATGATGTGGCAGAAAGATCAAAGACTTAGGAATCAAATAAATGAGGTTATAGTCTTGCCTAATATACCAACTTCAAGCAAATATCAAAATTTCAAATTTTCTTATCAGTGAAATGAAAGGATTGAGCAAGAAGACAACTACACTTATTTTCACCTACAGTCATTTCTGACTGTGCCATCTTTGAATATGCTTATTCTGAAAGACATAATAAGTTGGATATGGAGATTAAAAAGGTGCTGAAGTTGATACCGCTGTCTACCTGTTCTGTTCTTACATTCTCCCAAACTCAGATTAGGAAATAGCACCATACTTGCCATATTAATTTCATTTGATGTAGTCCATTTTCATTATATAGCACAAACACAAATAGTTGTTGAAGATTAAACCAACAAAAGTTTGGCTCTTCTACCATCCACATGTTTTCGATATCCCACTAGCCCAAAGATAATGTGAGACACAGGGAGAAAACCTATATTCAACCTACACAGCTTGGAGCCAAATTAAGTGAAGACCAAACAATATTAGCCTCACCCAACAGATCCATAAATCCATAGATTTACGACCTGAGAACAAAGGTCTTTTTCTTGTATGCCACTGAGTTTTTTGGTGGTTTGTTAAACATTAATAATTAACACACATGGGTAATTAAGCCTTCTGGTGAGAATTGAGCTGAAGTATCTGAATACTGGTATTTTGCAGTACATTCTAACGGCATGTATTTTTGTCCAGCTGGATAACAAATGTGGGTATTAGTTATGTAGCCACAGAGGTCTCTGACAATGCCCTTGTTCTCTACACCATAGGACTAGCTTGGCCTCAGAAGGGATGTGGTCTCAATTATAGACAATTGAAGAAATGCTAGAGTTTCAAAGTATAGACTATTAAGTCATCAGTTGAAAGACAATTAATTTCCTTCCTTGTTTTCCACAGTTAGGACTATAATCCATGAGGTTTTTGATCTATGGATTGTAAGTACAAAGCATTAGATGGCATCAAATTATCCTTTGGAAATGGTGTTCCTCTTACATTCCTCTGAACTTCATTCCTGAGATGCCATCCTGTAGCACATGTAACTATAAATATAATTTTTGGGACCCTTATTGCAACTCTATCCAAATGTGTGATTGAATTTATTAATTTTAGGATTAATTTATTTACTAACAAATGTATATAAATAAATGAAAGGGGAACCATAGCTTCCTGTTGTATTGAGAATAAATTATTAAATTAAGTTATTACAAATCTAAGTCTAAAATATTACTAAAGAAACTTCTACTGGAACATCCAAGTTTGAAAATCAGTTTGGTATAAAAACAATGCAAAGATCTGGGTTTGCAGATAGAGAATTTTCATGATGCCCTAGATTAGTAGAGAGTGTAATTTAGGAAATAATGTTACCTTAGCAGAGAGAAGCTTGTGAAATGAATGAAGAAACAATTTTATCTCTTGGAGATAAAACTGGAACCATATGAGAAGAGAAAAGAGCATAGAACTCAAAAAATGTGCATACCAAGGTCCACAGTTACAATAAAAGTAAGGAAGATGTTTTTGTTGTTATCTCCTCAGGGAAGGTATCTGTGGGTTATGGATATTTAACGGAAGAGAGAAAATAATTGATGGAGCCAATTTATTGATCCCCTAAAGAAACCCAGAAACAGTCACTGATTTAGAGATGTCTCATTAAAGCCACAGGTAGAATACTTAGTAAAGACAATTTCAGAAACAAATTGCTTTTATTTAATACTTACCTTAAACAGAGGTATAGAAGATAGAAAACCAGGACATTTATATAGCTAAGTTTTCATGCTTAAGTTAAACACCAGCCTCCTAGTAGCGTGATTCAAATTTCAGTTACCACAATATATTCACTGTGAGTAATTTCATAATGAACAAACCTTCCTGTTAGCTCCTTAGTCTAGAAATCACAATGTAAATAACATGACATGACAGGTGCATGTCATGATCACTAACTAGCCACATCATTCTTCCCAAAGTCTGTTGGTAACTGGTCACTACAGATCTGTTATTCAGTGTGTCCACAGACAGCAAAGCATGTAGTTGTGTTGTCTCCTTGTCTCCCAGTAATAAATCCATACAAAATTTTACAAAAATGAGTAACAAAAAGAGAGAATTGGCTAACAAAGGTGAAAGTTCAGCGCACAAATGAAAAAGGATTGCGCTAGAAGTGAAACTCAAATCCAACATAAGTGGAGCTACAGAAGAAATTGCTGATGTTGGGAATGTGGATGCTCCCACCATTCAGGAGACACAAGATAGATAGGCAGCAGGGGAACTTAGTCAAGGTGAACTGAGCAACATCAATGAAGAAAGTGTTGTGACGAAAAGCATGAAGTCATCCCAGGGAAAGTGACATCAGCAGAAACCTTCACATTAAAGGAATTCTTTTTTTTTTTTTTTAATTATTATACTTTAAGTTTTAGGGTACATGTGAAAATTGTGCAGGTTAGTTACATATGTATACATGTGCCATGCTGGTGCGCTGCACCCACTAACTCGTCATCTAGCATTAGGTATATCTCCCAATGCTATCCCTACCCCCTCCCCCCACCCCACAACAGTCCCCAGAGTGTGATGTTCCCCTTCCTGTGTCCATGTCATCTCATTGTTCAATTCCCACCTATGAGTGAGAATATGCGGTGTTTGGTTTTTTGTTCTTGCGATAGTTTACTGAGAATGATGATTTCCAATTTCATCCATGTCCCTACAAAGGACATGAACTCATCATTTTTTATGGCTGCATAGTATTCCATGGTGTATATGTGCCACATTTTCTTAACCCAGTCTATCATTGTTGGACATTTGGGTTGGTTCCAAGTCTTTGCTATCGTGAATAATGCCGCAATAAACATACGTGTGCATGTGTCTTTATAGCAGCATGATTTATAGTCCTTTGGGTATATACCCAGTAATGGGATGGCTGGGTCAAATGGTATTTCCAGTTCTAGATCCCTGAGGAATCGCCACACTGACTTCCACAATGGTTGAACTAGTTTACAGTCCCACCAACAGTGTAAAAGTGTTCCTATTTCTCCACATCCTCTCCAGCACCTGTTGTTTCCTGACTTTTTAATGATTGCCATTCTAACTGGTGTGAGATGGTATCTCATTGTGGTTTTGATTTGCATTTCTCTGATAGCCAGTGATGATGAGCATTTTTTCATGTGTTTTTTGGCTGCATAAATGTCTTCTTTTGAGAAGTGTCTGTTCATGTCCTTCGCCCACTTTTTGATGGGGTTGTTTGTTATTTTCTTGTAAATTTGTTTGAGTTCATTGTAGATTCTGGATATTAGCCCTTTGTCAGATGAGTAGGTTGTGAAAATTTTCTCCCATTTTGTGGGTTGCCTGTTCACTCTGATGGTAGTTTCTTTTGCTGTGCAGAAGCTCTTTAATTAGATCCCATTTGTCAATTTTGGCTTTTGTTGCCATTGCTTTTGGTGTTTTGGAGATGAAGTCCTTGCCCATGCCTATGTCCTGAATGGTGATGCCTAGGTTTTCTTCTAGGGTTTTTATGGTTTTGGGTCTAACGTTTAAGTCTTTAATCCATCTTGAATTGATTTTTGTATAAGGTGTAAGGAAGGGATCCAGTTTCAGCTTTCTACATATGGCTAGCCAGTTTTCCCAGCACCATTTATTAAATAGGGAATCCTTTCCCCATTGCTTGTTTTTCTCAGGTTTGTCAAAGATCAGATAGTTGTAGATATGTGGCGTTATTTCTGAGGGCTCTGTTCTGTTCCATTGATCTATATCTCTGTTTTGGTACCAGTACCATGCTGTTTTGGTTACTGTAGCCTTGTAGTATAGTTTGAAGTCAGGTAGTGTGATGCCTCCAGCTTTGTTCTTTTGGCTTAGGATTGCCTTGGCGATGCAGGCTCTTTTTTGGTTCCATATGAACTTTAAAGTAGTTTTTTCCAATTCTGTGAAGAAAGTCATTGGCAGCTTTATGGGGATGGCATTGAATCTGTAAATTACCTTGGGCAGTATGGCCATTTTCACGATATTGATTCTTCCTACCCATGAGCATGGAATGTTCTTCCATTTGTTTGTATCCTCTTTTATTTCCTTGAGCAGTGGTTTGTAGTTCTCCTTGAAGAGGTCCTTCACATCCCTTGTAAGTTGGATTCCTAGGTATTTTATTCTTTGAAGCAATTGTGAATGGGAGTTCACTCGTGATTTGGCTCTCTGTTTGTCTGTTATTGGTGTATAAGAATGCTTGTGATTTTTGCACATTGATTTTGTATCCTGAGAGTTTGCTGAAGTTGCTTATCAGCTTAAGGAGATTTTGGGCTGAGACAATGGGGTTTTCTAGATATACAATCATGTCATCTGCAAACAGGGACAATTTGACTTCCTCTTTTCCTAATTGAATACCCTTTATTTCCTTCTCCTGCCTAATTGCCCTGGCCAGAACTTCCAACAGTATGTTGAATAGGAGTGGTGAGAGAGGGCATCCCTGTCTTGTGCCAGTTTTCAAAGGGAATGCTTCCAGTTTTTGCCCATTCAGTATGATATTGGCTGTGGGTTTGTCATAGATAGCTCTTACTATTTTGAAATACGTCCCATCAATACCTAATTTATTGAGAGTTTTTAGCATGAAGGGTTGTTGAATTTTGTCAAAGGCTTTTTCTGCATCTATTGAGATAATCATGTGGTTTTTGTCTTTGGCTCTGTTTATATGCTGGATTCCATTTATTGATTTGCGTATATTGAACCAGCCTTGCATCCCAGGGATGAAGCCCACTTGGTCATGGTGGATAAGCTTTTTGATGTGCTGCTGGATTCGTTTTACCAGTATTATATTGAGGATTTTTGCATCAATGTTCATCAAGGATATTGGTCTAAAATTCTCTTTTTTGGTTGTGTCTCTGCCCGGCTTTGGTGTCAGAATGATGCTGGCCTCATAAAATGAGTTAGGGAGGATTCCCTCTTTTTCTATTGATTGGCTGAATTCTACTTTAAAGCTAGCCAGTTCTTTTTCTTTGCTCATTTCTTTCTTGTAGTAACTTAATAAATTCACTAGACGAAAATAGCTTGTGCTGTCAAAATTTTGCCTTAAAACTTTGAAATGGAATAGTTCAAGTTCAATATCACATTTTTTTGTCTTTCATGTTAACTCAAATTAATACTTCTGCCAAATATTTGCTATTACATAACACAGGTGACCATTTATGAGCCTCCTAAAATAGTTCATTATAGCCTACCACCTGTGCCCAGAAATGATGCCACACATTTTAGGGTGTTTAATTTACCCTACTTATGGTACCAAATTTGTATCAGTCAGCTACTTTATTGTAACAAACATCCACAAAACTAAGTGGCATGTAACAACAAATAGCTATTTCTTTTTACATTTTTTTAATTTAACATTTTCTGGGTACATAATAGGCATATGTATTCATGGAGTACATGAAATGTTTTGATATATGTGTGCAATGCAAAATCATCACATCAGAGTAAATGGGGTATCCATCCCCTCAAGTGTTAGTTATTTTAAAATGTGCAATTAAATTATTTTTGACTATAGTCACCCTATTGTGCTAGCAAATACTAGTTCTTATTCATGTTTTCTAAATTTTTTTGTGCCCATTATGCATCCCCAATCCCCTGCCAACTACCCTTCCCAGCCTCTGGTAACCATCCTTCTACTCTGTATCTCTATGAGCTCAACTGTTTTAATCTTTAGCTCCCATGAATAAGTGAGAAGATGTAAAGTTTGTCTTCCTGTACCTGGCTTATTTCACTTAATATAATGACTTCAAGCCAACTGTGTTATGCAAATAAAAGAATCTCACTCTTTTTAATGGCTGAATAGTAGTCCATTGTGTATTTGTACCACGTTTTTTCAACCCATTCGTCTGTTGATAGACACTTAGATTGTTTCCATATCCTGGGTATTGTGAACAGTGCTGCAGTAAACATGGGAGTGCAGATATCTCCTTGGTATCCTGATTTGCTTTCTTTTGGGTAGATACCTACAAGTGGGATTGCTAAATCATATGGTAGCTCTATTTCTAGTTCTTTGAGGAACCTTTAAGCTACTCTCTATAGTGATTGTACTAATTTACATTTCCACCAACAGTGTACGAGGGTTCCCTTTTCTCCACATCCTCACAGCATTTGTGATTGCCTGATTTTGGATAAAAGCCATTTTAATTGAGGTGAGATAGTATCTCATTGCAGTTTTGATTTGCATTTCTCTGGTGATCAATGATTTTGAACACGTTTTCATATACCTGTTTGCCATTTGTATCCCTTCTTTTGAGACATGCCTATTCAAATCTTTTACCCATTTTGAAATCAGATTATTAGATTTTTTCCTATAGAGTTGTTTTAGCTCCTTTTATATTCTAGTTATTAATCCCTCATCTGATTAGGAGTTTGCAGATATTTTCTCCCATTGTGTAAGTTGTCTCCTCATTTTGTTGATTGTTTCCATGGCCTTGTAGAGGCTTTTTAACTTGATATGATTCTATTTGTCCATTTTTTGCTTTGGTTGTCTGTGCTTGTGGGGTATTACTCAAGAAATCTTTGCCAAGAGCAATGTCCTGGAAAGTTTCTCCAATGTTTTCTTTTGGTAGTTTCTTAGTTTGAAGTCTTAGATTTAAGTCTTTAATTCATTTCGATTTTATTTCTGTATATGGTGAGAGATAGGAGTCTAGCTTCATTCTTCTGCATATGGATATCCAGTTTTCCCAGAACCATTTATTGAAGAGACTATCTAGTCTCCAGTGTATGTTCTTGGCAACATTGTCAAACATACGTTCACTATGTGTACGGATTTGCTTCGGGTTCTCTTTTCTGTCCCATTGGTCTATGTGTCTGTTTTTAAGCAAGTATCATGCTGTTTGGATTACTCTAGCTCTATAGTATAATTTGAAGTCAGGTAATGTGATTCTTTCTCCTTTTTTTGTGTGTGTTTTGCTCAGGATAACTTTAGCTGTTCTGGATCTTTTGTGGTTTCACAAAAATTTTAAGATTGTGGGTTTTTTTGTTTTGTTTTGTTTTTTTTGAGACAGGGTCTTGCTCTGTTGCTCAGGCTGGAGTACAGTGGCATGATCTCAACTCACGCAACCCCCACACCCTAGACTCAAGCAATCCTCTCAGCTCAGCCTTCTGAGTAGCTGGGACTACAGGCATTTGCCACCACACCCAGCTATTTTTTATTTTGTATTTTTTTATAGTGATGGGTTTTTGCCATGTTGCCCAGTCCCAAAGTGCTGGGACTAGAGGTGTGAGCCACCACACCCAGCCAGTATTGTTTTCTATTCTGTGAAGAGTGTCATTGATATTTTGATAGAGATTGCATTGAATCTATGGATTGCTTTGGATATTAGGAACATTTTAACAATATTGATTCTTCCAATGAATCCATAAACATGGATTATCTTTCCATTTATCTGTGTCCTCTTCAATTTATTTAATTGGCGTTTTATAGTTTTCATTGTAGATGTCTTTCACTTCTTTGGTTAACTTAATTCCTAGGTATTTTATTTGATGTGCAGCTATTGTATATGGGATTACTTTTTAATTTCTTTGTCAAATTGTTCACTGTTGGCATATAAAAATGCTATTAAATTTTGTATGATGATTTTGTATCCTGAAACTTTACTGAATTTGTATATTAGTTCCACAAGGTTATCGGTGGTGTCTAGATTTTTCCAAATACAAGCTTATGTCATCTCCAAACAAGAATAATTTGACTTCTTCCTTTCCAATTTGAATGCCTCTTATGTCTTTCTCTTGTCTGATTGCTCTAGCTAAGACTTCCAGAACTATGTTGAATAGCAATGGTAACAGTGGGCATCCTCATCATGTTCCAGATCTTAGAGGAAAGGCTTTCAGCTTTTCACTATGCAGTATGATCCTTGCTGTGGATTTTTCGTATATGGCTTTTATTATGTTGACGTATGTTCCTTCTATCCACAGTTTTCTGAGGGTTTTTATCATGAATAAATGTTGAATTCTATCAAATGTTTTTCAGCACCAATCAAAATAATTATATGGTTTGTGGTGATTAATTCTGTTGATAAGATGTATCACACTGAATGATTTGCATATGAATGGTCTTTTAATGTATTGTTGAATTTGATTTCCTGTATTTTGTTGAAGATTTTTGCGTCAATTCATCAGAGTTATTGGCTTGTGATTTTCAATTTTTTTTTGATGTGCCTTTTTCTGGTTTTGGTATCAAGGTAATACTGGCCTTGTAGAATGTGTTTAGAAATATTGCCTTCTCTATTTTTCAGAGTAGTTTGAGTAGGATTGGTATTAGTCATTCTTTAAATGTTTGGTGGAATTCATCAGGGAAGCTTTGACATCCTGGACTTTTCTTTATTGGGATACTTTTTATTATGGGTTAAACATCGTTGCTTATTATTAGTCTGTTCACATTTTACATTTCTCCATGATTCAATCTTGATAGGTTGTGTGTTTCTAGGAATTTATCCATTTCCTCTAGATTTGCCAATTTGTTGACATATAGTTGCTCATAGCAGCCACTAATGATCCTCTAAATTTCTGCAGTGTCAGTTGTAATGCCACCCTTTTCATCTCTGATGTTATTCACTTAGGCCTCCCTCCTCTCTTTTTTTCCTCTTTAGTCCAGCTAAAAGTTTGTCAATTTTATTTACCTTTTCAAAATCCAACTTTCCGTTTCATTGATCTTTTGTATTGTTTTCTTCACTTCAAATTAATTTATTTCTGCTCTGATCTTTATTATTTCTTTTCTTCTACTAATTTTGAGTTTGGTTCACTCTTGCTTTTCTGGTTCTTTAAGATACATATTTAGATTATTTATTTGAAGTTTTTCTTCTTTTTGATGTAGGCAGTTATGGCTATAAATTTCCCTCAGTATTGCTTTCAGTGATTCCCGTAGATTTTGGTATGTTGTGTTTCCATCGTCATTTGTTTCCAGAAATTTTTCAATTTTCTCCTTAATTTCTTCTTCACTGACTCACTGGTCATTCAGAAGCATAGAGTTTAATTTCTCTGTGTTTGTATAAATTCCAATATTCCTCTTGTTATTGATTTGCAGTTTTATTCTATTGTGGTCAGAGAAGATATTTGATATTAATTATTTTGAATGTTTTAAGACTTGTTTGTGACTTGACATATGGTCTATCCTTGGGAATGATCCATGTGCTGAGGAGAAAATATGTATTCTGAGTCATTGAATAAAATGTTTTGTAAATGTCTGTTAGATCCATTTGATCTATGTTGGACTAAGTCCGATGTTTCTTTATTGATTTTCTGTCTGGAAGATCAGTTCAATGTTGACACTGTCTGTTAAAGTCTCTGGCTATTATTGTCTTGGGGTGTATCTCTCTCTTTAGCTCTAATGATATTTGCTTTATATATCTGGCTGCTTCAGTGTTGCATGTCTATATGTTTACAATTCTTACATCCTCTTGTGAATTCACCCCTTTATCATTAGATAATGCCATTCTTTTTCTCTTTTAATAGTTTTTGTCTTAAAACTAATTTGTTCTGATATAAGTAAAGCTACTCCTCTATTTTGGTTTTCATTGACATGAAGTTTATTTTTCCATCCCTTTATTTTCAGTCTATATGTGTGTGTCTTTACAGGTGAAGAAGTTTGTTTCTTGTAGGCAAAAGATCACTGGGTCTTGTTTTTCTATCCATTCAGCTACTCTATGTATTTTGATGGGAAAGTTTAGTCCATTTGTATTCCATATTATTATTGATAAGTAAGTACTTACTCCTGCCATTTTGTTATGTGTTTTCTGGTTGTTGTGTGGTCTTCTCTTCCTCCTTTCTTTTCTTCATTTCTGTCTTCTTTTTAGTGAAGGTGATTTTCTCTGGTGGTGTGCTTTACTTTCTTGCTTTTCATTTGTTGTGTATCCATTGTATGTTTTTTGATTTGAGGTTCCCATGAGGTTACCATGAGGCTTGCAAATTACTATAGTGTTCTGATAACAATTAACATTTATTGCATAAACAAACTTTCAAGAAAAGTAAAACTGATAAAGACTCTGCCCTTTAACTTTGTCCCCTTGCTTTTTAACTTTTTGTTGTTTTTTATTTACATTCCTTTGTGTAGATGTTAGTCAAACTTGGTGTTTCTGCTGGGGGAATAATCAGTGGAGCCCTCTATTTGGCCACGTTTCTCTGCACCTCCAAACAGTTATTTCTTGATTATGCTTTTGCAGGTTGATTGTGATTATTCTGTTTGAGGTTGCAGGTATGCAGAAGGCTGGGAAACCTCTGTTCCACATATTTTATTCTAGGGTTCAGGCTGCAGGACTAATAGATAGCTAAGGTATATTCTTCTCATGGAAATAACATAATCACCAAGTGGACAACTCAACCTGAACAAGCACATTTAAAATCTCTACCTATGTCATGCCAGTTAATGTCCCACTGGCCAAAGTAAGTCCCTTGGCCAAGCCCAAATCAAGGAACAGGATGGTACACTCTCTACATCATAAAGTCACAGAACATTCTGACTATTATATAGTTTTACAGAGAAGAGAACTTGGATCATAATTCAATATAGTACATAGTGCTATATTCTTCATTTCCCAAATTACTAATTAATTTTTATAGCTACTTCTCAATAAGGTATCAGTTTTCATTATTTCTGCTATTCCAACCATTTTTTTTTCCCGATGAGCATTAATCGGGTATTTTAGAATTCAGTGCTATACCTGAATAGGACACTTAATGTGAATGGAGCCTGTAAGTTTCTCATTTTTATTTTCATAGAAGTGAATTATCTCATTCACTGACTGGACTGACATTATTTCATATTTCTTTATTCTAGATGATTTCAGATTTTATTTACAAAATGAAGGGGGTCATCTATTCTCTTGTCTTCTATTCTATTCTCTGTCTCTCTTGTTTACCTCACATATTTACCATTTATTTGCAGTAAGAACATTTAAAACCCACTCCTTTAGCAATTTTCAAGTGTACAACACATAATTATTAGCTAATTCCTCATGTTATAAAATAGATATCTTGAACTTACTCCTTTTCTCTAACTAAAATTTTGTATACTTTGACCAATATCCGAAAACTATAAAACATCAGTAAAAGAAACTGAAGACACAAATACAATTATATGTCATAAACAATGGGGATAAACTCTGAGAAATGCATCATTAGGTGATTTTGTCCTTTTGTGAACATCACAGAGTGAACTTGCACAAACCTAGATGGTACAGCCTACTATACACCTAGCTATTTCATATAGACTATTGCTCCTAGGCTACAAACATGTACAGCATGTTACGGTACTGAATGCTGTAAGTAATTGTAACACAATGGTAAATATATTCTTTTATGAACATATCTAAACATAAAAAGATACAGTAAAATTATGGCATAAAAGATAAAAGTGCTATACCTGAATAGGACACTTAACATGAATGGAGCCCGTAGGACTAGAAGTCACCCTGAGTGAGTGGTCAGTGAACGTGAAATCCTAGAACGTTACTGTACACTACTGTAGACTTTATAAACACCATACACTTAGGGTATGCTAAATTTATATAAACTTACATAAACTATTTCTTTCTTCAGTGATTAAATTGACCTTAGCTTACTGCAACTTTATTTTATAAACTTTTTAAATTTTTAAAATCTTTTTGACACTTAAAATAACACAGCCTCACAGCCTAAAGCAGATATTGTACAGCTGAACAAAAAATATTTTTTCTTTATATTCTCATTATATAAGCTTTTTCCTATTTTTTTAGAAAATATATCTATAAGGGCCAGGCATGGTGGCTCATGCCTGTAATCCCAGCACTTTGGAAGGCCAACGTGGGAGGATCACTTGAGGCCAGAAGTTCAATCACTTGGCCAGCATAGTGAGAACCCATCTCTAGAAATGTTTTTCAAAAAAGAAAAAAGGAAAAAATTTAAAAAGTGTATATATATATATATGTATATATATATGTATATATATACACTTTAAAAGTGTGTATATACATACTTTAAAAGTATATATATACATACTTTTAAAGTATATATATACATACTTTTAAAGTATATATACTTTATACTATATAAATTTTAAAGTATATATACTTTATATGGTATAAATTTTATACTATATTTTATATATACACATATATAAAGTACATATACTTTAAAATTTAAAAAGTATATATATGTATATGTGTGTGTGTGTGTGTGTGTATATATATATATATATATATATATATATATATATATATATATATATCTAGAGAGAGAGAGAGAGAGAGTGAGTGAGTCTGAGTCTTGCTCTGTCACCCAGGCTGGAGTACAGTGGCACAATCTTGGCTCACTGGAGCCTCAACCTCCAGGCTCAAGTGATTTTCCCACCTTAGCTTCCCAAGTAGCTAGGTCTACAGGTGGGCACCATGATGCCCAGCTACTTTGTATTTTTTGTAGAAATGTGGTCTCACTATGTTGCCCAGGCTTGTCTTGAACTCCAGGGCTCAAGTGATCCACCCACCTAGGTCTCCCAAACTGCTCAGATTATAGGCATGAGCTACTGTGCCCAGCCTATACATTTTTATTTTTTTCACTTTTATACTTTTTTATTATAAACTAAGACACAAACACACACATTAGGCCTACACAGGGTAAGCATCATCATTATCACTGTCTTCCACTTTCACATCTTGTCCCACTAAAAGATCTTCAGGGACAATAACATATATGGAGATGTAATTTCCTATGATAACAATGACTTCTTCTGAAAGGCCTCTGGAAGGACCTACCTGGGGTTGTTTTACAGGTAATACTTCTTTATAAGTAGGAGTATATGCTAAATAAGAATAAAAAGTATCGTATAGTAAATACATAAACTAGTAACATAGTCATTCATTATCATTAGCAAATATTATGTACTGTGCATAATTGTATGTGCTATGCCTGTATATGATTGTTAGCAAGTGCAGTGAATTGTTTTACACCAGAATCATGACAAACGTGAGTAATACATTGTGCTACCACATAATGAAAGCTATGATACCACTAGGTGATAGAAAATTTTCACCTCCATTATAATCTTAGAGGACCACTGTAGTATATGTGGTCCATTCCTCCTTAACCACAGTGGTATGTAGCACGTGACTGTAAAAGAAAAAATATCCCATGTTCATAGATTGAAAGGATTAATGTTAAAATGCCCATACTACCTAAAGCAATCTACAGATTCAATGCAATCTTTATCAAAATATCAATGGGATTCTTCACAGAAACAGAAAAAAATCATAAAATTCATATAGAACAAAAAAAGACCTTGAATAGCAAAGCAATACTGAGCAAAGAGAACAAAGCTGGAGGTATCACATTACCTGACTTCAAAATATGCTACAAAACCATAGTAACTTAAACAACATGGTATTGGCATAAACCAATGGAACAGAATATAGAGCTCAGAAATAAATCCATGCATTTATGTGTAACTGATGTTTGACAAAGTTGCCAAGAATACATAATGGGGAAAGAACAGTCTCTTCTATATATAATGTTGGGGGAACTGGTTATCCTTGTGCAGAAAAATAAAATTGGACCCTTATGGAGTCACGTTTTATACAAAAATCAACTCAAAATGGATTAAAGAATTAAACATAAAACTATAAAATTACTAGAAGAAAACATATGGAAAATGCTCATGTCGTTGGTCTGGGCAATGATTTTTTTGGGCATGTCCTCAAAACACAGGCTACAAAAGCAAAAATAGACAAGTGATGTTGAATCAAACTAAAAAAAAAAACAATAGGCTCAAAAACGATCTACATAATGAGAGAAAATATGTGCAAGCCATGCATGTGATAGCAGTTAGTATCCAAATATACAAGGAACTCAAACAACTCAATAGCAATAATTATGACAAAGGACCTAAATAGATATTTATCAAAAAAATGACAATATAAATTGCCATGAGGTACATGATAAAATGCTAAACATCACTAATCATTAGGAAAATGCAAATTATTACCACAATGAGATAGCAACTCACGCCTGTTAGCATGGCTGTCATCAAAAAGTCAAAAGATAAGAAGTATTGGTGAAGATGTGGAGAAACGGAAACCCTTGTACTATTTCCATACATGAAAACTGCTGATGAGAACATAAATTTTTACAGCCATTATGGGAAACACTATGGTGGTTCCTTAGAAAATTAAAACTAGAATTACCAAATGATCCTGCAATTCCAGTATTGCATATATAATATATATATTATATATATATATACACACACACACAAAGAAAATGAAATTAGCACATTGAAGAGATATCTGCACTCTCATAATCAGTGCAACATTGTTCACAATAGCTTAAGATAGGAATAAATCTATCCATCAACATAAATGAAAAAAAGAAAATGTGCCATATATATACAAAATGGAATACTATTCAGCCATGTAAAAAGAAGGAAATCCTGTCATTTGCAACAACATGGATAAACCTGGAAGGCATTATGTTAAATGAAATAAGCCAGGCACAGAAAGACAAATATTCATGGCATGATGTCACTCATAGGTGGAATCTAAAAAAGTTAAAATCATAGGAGCAGAGTGTAGAGGGGAGGTTACCAGTATCTAGAGACTGGTAGGAGGAGAAGGGTGAGGGAAGTGTATTAGGGAGCCGCTAGTTCAAGGATACAAAATTTTAATTAGAGGGGAGGAATAAGTTCAAGATATCTATTGTATAACATAATGACTATAGTTAATAATAATGTATTATACTTGAAAATTGCTAAGAGAATATATTTTGTGTTTCTCAGCACAAAACAATGATAAATATGTGAGGTAATGGAAATGTTAATGAGCTTGATTTAGCCATTCTATCTTATCCTATGCTATTCTGTTTTATTCTTGCTCATCTTTCCTCATAAAATATATATGCCCTGGGGACCACAGTCTGAACCACAGCTTATTATGGTGGCTCATGGCTATTTTTCCATGGGAATATAATGCTGTGGACTCATTCTCTGTGTCAAACTTCAACCTTTTTAATGTTCTCAGTTACCCTTTGTCTGTGTCCTCTTCTGCTGTTACTCTCCCATGACAACAACAAAATAAATCAGGCTGTAGAGCTGAGGTATAGTAATTTTTTTAAAAAATATATAACATTAATATATTTACTTTTATATCATGTTTATAATATTTTACAGACAGTTGACCATTAAACAACACAGGTTTGAACTGAGTGGATCCACTTATATGCATACGTGCATTTTCTCCTGACTCGGCCACCCCTGAGACAGCAAGACCAATCACTCCTCTTTGACTTCCTCCTCATTTTACTCAATGTGAAGACCACCAGGATGAAGACCTTTATGATGATCCACTTCCACTTAATGAATAGTAAAGATATATTTCTTATTATTTTCTTTAGAACTTTTTCTCTAGCTTACTTTATTGTAAATATACAGTATATAATACATATTCAAAATACATGTTAATCAACTGTTTATGTTATCAGTACGGCTTCTGGTCAACAGTAGCCTATTAGTAGTTACATTTTGGGGGAGTCAAAAGTTACACACAGATTTTTGAGTGTGCATGGGGTTAGAGTCCCTAACCTTCATGTTGTCCAAGGGTCAAGTGTATAATGTTTATTTAAGCAGAGACTTATTTTAGTGTATTTAAATTTTTGGTCACAGATTTTTTGACTTCTGTGGGTAGGTAATGAGCCAAGGCTCTAATTTTTTTTTTTTTTTTTTTTTTTTGTGGGGAGCCTTAAGCCTGGATTTGGGTCACATTATATAAGGATGCTATTAATTTAAGTAGTAGAGCGGCAGGCTATAATTGACTTTGTTGAGTTCCAGGTCCTGTAAGTACATGGCTTCCAACAGAGTTTCCATTCTCTTTATGGTCGATGGAGATGCTCACCTTGAGCATGGCCATATATTTTATAATAGTTTTTTTTTTAAAAACATATCATTATCATTGCAATAAATTACAAATATAGAATAAAGCAATTTCCTTAACTTATTCTACTATTTTGAAATATGTCAATTGTCATTATATACACATTTAAAGAAACACATACACATGCACACACACACATCATAGTACTGAGCTTTTCAATGTTGTATCTTTTCAAGCAGACCCTTACCATTGGGCATGCAAGTGTGTATGTAGGCAAAGTGGTGCTAAGTGGCACTACTGGTCTTAAAAAGTCTTATTGAATTTTTAATACTTAAAAAATACCTTTCATTTTTGTACAATATATATTGACCTTCATTTTACTAAATATCACATTTCACAAAAGATCTTAGCTAATTGCAATAATTGAGTAAACAAGAATATAAAGTATAATATGCTTTTAAAGGATGACAAGGTAATTTCAAGCTCTTTTAGAAACATTTTACAGCAGATGTTTGCATATAATGTGCTAATTTCAAATGGTGCTTATTTAATTCTTGGAGGAAGCTATGTCAATTATTCTCCATTTGGAGAAACTATACGTCCTTTAGAATGACCCCAAGTATCTCAGAGCCTTTTAAAAAATAATGTCTTCTATTTTAAAGATATTTCAACCATTTTTAGCAGACTCAGTAGCTAAACTCAAAAAGTAGCAATGTAGTGGAAAGAGAACACATTTTAATGCTAAGCAAATCTGTGATCTGAAACCTACCTTCTATTATTTTCTAATTGTTTGAACTTAGGCAAAATTAACTTCTCTGGGTCTAATTTTTAACATATTTTTTAAGGGAAGATAACAATGGCTATCTAATTTGTAGAACTCTGAGTGGTTTAATTGAGATAATGAGTATAAATTTCATTATATGGGACTGGCACAGAATTGATGTTCAATATGTGTTAGTTTCAGTTCTATTTATCCAACATCTGTGAGATTTTATCCTAAAATGTAAATGTGACGATTATGTGCATCTCCATCCAGTCAGCCTTAATGAGTAAGATTATGCTTACCAGCTCTTGTATCCCTTCATGTCAGAACAATAAAAGCTGGATCAAAAATAGATTTTACTTGCTTATGTGTGCATATGTGTTTCCATTTCCTATTGCAACTTTGAAAAAAAAAGGGGGTGGTATTTATGTGATAATAGCTTGTGGAAAACAATGAAAACAATGTAATTATTTAGTCATTCTGAAACATGGCCCAGGAGGTATTTTTCTGCTTACATAGGCTCTACAAATAGATAACTCCATAATGAACTTTTATTCTACAGAGGTATTTTATACCTCTAACATATTAAATATAGCAAATGCCAAATGGAACTAAAGAGATGAAAAAAAATTTAGTACATTTGTTTTCAATCTAAACTCACTCCTGAAGTACATTGGGACAGGATCTGAGATATTTTGCCAGAAGTCATTTTCCTTCTTAGAGTCTTACAAACACTATGTTTTGCTGTGCATATTTGTGCTTCTTTGTGAGATTACCATCCGTTCTGAAAATACAAATTAGGTAGAGAATGCTTGAGCAGAAAATGCTGAAAGTGTTATTCCAATGCCAATTATTTAAGGTAGAATGTAGCAAAAATATCCTATAGGAAAACACACACACCCACAGACTTGTAATGAGAAGCCCCGTATTCAAATCCCGTTTTCAACTCTTCGTTCTCATATGATTATGAACAAGTTAGTTTTCCTCTCTAAAATTCAGTTTCATCACTCCTAGAATACAGAATTTTTATTGTCTAACAATACTTATCACATGGTAGGTACTGAAACAAGTAAGTTACCCTCTGTCCCTTGAGTAAGTAATGTTACACAAGAAATAATCTCCTAAAGGAAGTGTAGGCAGTTTCTGTGATGGATGGATGAATTTAAGTTTCAAAATACCAGAGACAGGTTTTTGTTCACATGCGTGTCTCCTCTCCCTAATATTTAGATTATCCAAAGAGTAGGTCAATAGGGATTAGTACATAAAACATGAAAGTAAATGGTTCCATTGAAGTGATTTTAATTATTTTGTTATTTAGTTGAAGCTTCTTGATTTTCATTTCCAAGAAACTTAGGAATACACTTAGAAAATCTGAGTATGAAATAACTATAAAATTGAATGTGTTTGTCAAGCATCCTTATGTCTTGCGCTATAGTAGGTACTAATGAAGTAAATTTAATAAAACACCACTGAAAATTACCTTCCCACTCAGAAACTGCTGTTGAGAAGGTAAAATGATTCAGCCACTTTGGAAGAACTAGCAATTTCCCAAATGATTAAACATGGAGATATCATGTGATCCAGCAATTTCAGTCCTGAGTATTTACCCAAAAGAAATAAATACCTATGTCCACACAAAAACTTGTGTATGAATAAGCACATTATTTATCACAGCCCAATAGTAGAAATAATCTAATGCCCATCAATTGATAAATTGATAAATAAAATAATTCATACATACATAGAATATTACGTTGCAAAAAAAGAAATGAATTACTGATATATGCCGCAACATGAACAAATTTTGAGAACATTATGCTAGTTGAAAGAAGTCTGTTACAAAGGACCACATATTGTATGTTTCCATTTATTTGAAATGTCCAGAATACGGAAATCTATGAAAACAGAAAGTAATACTACTTAGAGTAGGAGTTGAGAGGCGTATTAGAAGGGTTTGGAGACTGGGGCTGGGGTGGTGGTGAAAGCTAAGGGATGTGGAGTTTCTTTCTTGGGATAATAAAATGTTTAAAACTGATTGTGACAATGCATGTGCAACTCTGTAAGTATATTAAAGGACATTGAATTATACACTGAATGAGTGAATTGTATGTAAATTACATCTTAATAAATTTGTGAAAATAAAGCATGATGTCTGTCCCTAAGGAGGTATCAGGTGAGAGTGACATGCTAACAAATAAATTACAATGAATCCTGTTACAGAGATCCATTTTGATCTTAAACTGATTCTTTCATCCTACAGATATTTAGTGAGTATGTACTCTGTGTCAGGCACCATATTAGGAGCAGGGACATACATTAATTAGTTGTGTGATGTAGGGTAAATTAACCCCTCAGTACTTTGCTGACTGAAGGCATTCAACTAGAAGGTTTTTCAGTTCCTCTTTGTTCTAAAATTGTTTCTTTTTTCATTATCCTACAATTAACCTAATAATTATTCTTCTTATATATTTTAGAGTATAGAATGGTGGTGAAGAGTATAGTGTTAGGAATCTGATATAGCTGACAGTGAATGCACATCCTATTTATCAGAAAGGTGTTTGGGACCTGGGAAAATTCTCTATAAGCCTCATTTAACTCATCTATAGAAGAAGGAAATAGAATGGCCTCTTAATGTTGTTTTGAGGATAAAATAACATTTTATATTAAAAAACACCAGAACCACACAATGTATTCAATAATTAGACATGATTATTGTTGATCTCCAGTAGATGCACTCATATAAAGCAGGCTGCTCAACACAGTTGGTATTAAAATTCTCTTTTTAAATATTTTTCTTGTTTTTAATCTTTGTGGAGCATACTAGATGCATATATTTATGGGGTATGTGAGATATTTTGATACAGGCATGCAATACGTAATAATCACATTGTGGAAAATTGGATGTCCATCTCCTCAAGCATTTATAAATCTCTTGTGTTACAGACAATCCAATTATACTCTTCTAGTTATTTTTAAATGACAAATTGTTATTTACTATAGTCCCCCTGTTGTGCTATAAAATACTGTCTTATTCATTCTTTTTATTATTTGTGCCCATTAACCATCCCCAAATTCTCCCTGACCCCCACCCACTACTGTTCACAGCCTCTGGTAACCATCTTCTATTCTCTATCTCCATGAGTTCTATTGTCTTAATTTCTATCTCCTATAAATAAGAACATGCAAAGCTTGTCTTTTTGTGCCTGGCTTATTTCACTTAACATAATGACCTCCAGTTCCATCCATGTTGTTGCAAATTACAGAATCTCATTATTTTTTATGACTGAATAGTACTCCATTGGGTGTATTTCATTTTCTTTATCCATTCCTCTGTTGATGGACATGTAAGTTGCTTCCAAATCTTGGCTATTGTGAATAGTGCTACAGTAAACATGGGAGTGCAAATATCCCTTCAGTATACTGATTTCCTTTCTTTTGGGTATGTAACCAGCAGTGGGATTGCTGTATAATATGATAGTTCTATGTTTAGGTTTTTGAGGAACATCCAAACTATTCTTCATAGTGGTTGTACTAGTTTACATTCCTACCGATGGCATACAAGGGCTCCCTTTTCTCCACATCCTTGCCAGCATCCTCACCAGCATTTGTTATTGACTGTATTTTTTTTTTATAAAAGCCATTTTAGGAGCCAAGATGGCCGAATAGGAACAGCTCTGGTCTACAGCTCCCAGCGTGAGCGATGCAGAAGACGGGTGATTTCTGCATTTCCATCTGAGGTACCGGGTTCATCTCACTAGGGAGTGCCAGACAGTGGGCGCAGGTCAGTGGGTGCGCGCACTGTGCGCGAGCCGAAGCAGGGCCAGGCACTGCCTCACTTGGGAAGCGCAAGGGGTCAGGGAGTTCCCTTTCCGAGTCAAAGAAAGGGGTGACGGACGCACGTGGAAAATCGGGTCACTCCCACCCGAATATTGCGCTTTTCGGACAGGCTTAAAAAACGGCCCACCACGAGATTATATGCCGCACCTGGCTCAGAGGGTCCTACGCCCATGGAGTCTCACTGATTGCTAGCACAGCAGTCTGAGATCAAACTGCAAGGTGGCAGCTAGGCTGGGGGAGGGGCGCCCGCCATTGCCTAGGCTTGATTAGGTAAACAAAGCAGCCTGGAAGCTCCAACTGGGCGGAGCCCACCACAGCTCAAGGAGGCCTGCCTGCCTCCGTAGGCTCCACCTCTGGGGGCAGGGCACAGACAAACAAAAAGACAGCAGTAACCTCTGCAGACTTAAATGTCCCTGTCTGACAGCTTTGAAGAGAGCAGTGGTTCTCCCAGCACGCAGCTGGAGATCTGAGAACGGGCAGACTGCCTCCTCAGGTGGGTCCCTGACCCCTGACCCCCGAGCAGCCTAACTGGGAGGCACCCCCCAGCAGGGGCACACTGACACCTCACACGGCAGGGTATTCCAACAGACCTGCAGCTGAGGGTCCTGTCTGTTAGAAGGAAAACTAACAAACAGAAAGGACATCCACACCAAAAACACATCTG
This sequence comes from Homo sapiens, assembly GCF_000001405.40. NCBI lineage: Eukaryota > Metazoa > Chordata > Mammalia > Primates > Hominidae > Homo > Homo sapiens. The sequence goes on along the minus strand of NC_000007.14, from coordinate 136,779,927 downwards.
TACATCACCATCATCAAAGACCAAAAGTAGATAAAACCACAAAGATGGGGAAAAAACAGAACAGAAAAACTGGAAACTCTAAAACACAGAGCGCCTCTCCTCCTCCAAAGGAACGCAGTTCCTCACCAGCAACTGAACAAAGCTGGATGGAGAATGACTTCGACGAGCTGAGAGAAGAAGGCTTCAGATGATCAAATTACTCTGAGCTACGGGAGGACATTCAAACCAAAGGCAAAGAAGTTGAAAACTTTGAAAAAAATTTAGAAGAATATATAACTAGAATAACCAATACAGAGAAGTGCTTAAAGGAGCTGATGGAGCTGAAAACCAAGGCTCGAGAACTACGTGAAGAATGCAGAAGCCTCAGGAGCCGATGCGATCAACTGGAAGAAAGGGTATCAGCGATGGAAGATGAAATGAATGAAATGAAGCGAGAAGGGAAGTTTAGAGAAAAAAGAATAAAAAGAAATGAGCAAAGCCTCCAAGAAATATGGGACTATGTGAAAAGACCAAATCTACATCTGATTGGTGTACCTGAAACTGATGGGGAGAATGGAACCAAGTTGGAAAACACTCTGCAGGATATTATCCAGGAGAACTTCCCCAATCTAGCAAGGCAGGCCAATGTTCAGATTCAGGAAATACAGAGAACGCCACAAAGATACTCCTCGAGAAGAGCAACTCCAAGACACATAATTGTCAGATTCACCAAAGTTGAAATGAAGGAAAAAATGTTAAGGGCAGCCAGAGAGAAAGGTCAGGTTACCCTCAAAGGGAAGCCCATCAGACTAACAGCGGATCTCTTGGCAGAAACCCTACAAGCCAGAAGAGAGTGGGGGCCAATATATTCAACATTCTTAAAGAAAAGAATTTTCAACCCAGAATTTCATATCCAGCCAAACTAAGCTTCATAAGTGAAGGAGAAATAAAATACTTTACAGACAAGCAAATGCTGAGAGATTTTTGTCACCACCAGGCCTGCCCTAAAAGAGCTCCTGAAGGAAGCGCTAAACATGGAAAGGAACAACCGGTACCAGCCACTGCAAAATCATGCCAAAATGTAAAGACCATCAAGGCTAGGAAGAAACTGCATCAACTAACGAGCAAAATCACCAGCTAACATCATAATGACAGGATCAAATTCACACATAACAATATTAACTTTAAATGTAAATGGACTAAATACTCCAATTAAAAGATAGAGACTGGCAAATTGGATAAAGAGTCAAGACCGATCAGTGTGCTGTATTCAGGAAACCCATCTCACGTGCAGAGACACACATAGGCTCAAAATAAAAGGATGCAGGAAGATCTACCAAGCAAATGGAAAACAAAAAAAGGCAGGGGTTGCAATCCTAGTCTCTGATAAAACAGACTTTAAACCAACAAAGATCAAAAGAGACAAAGAAGGCCACTACATAATGGTAAAGGGATCAATTCAACAAGAAGAGCTAACTATCCTAAATATATATGCACCCAATACAAGAGCACCCAGATTCATAAAGCAAGTCCTGAGTGACCTACAAAGAGACTTAGACTCCCACACATTAATAATGGGAGACTTTAACACCCCACTGTCAACATCAGACAGATCAACGAGACAGAAAGTCAACAAGGATACCCAGGAATTGAACTCAGCTCTGCACCAAGCAGACCTAATAGACATCTAAAGAACTCTCCACCCCAAATCAACAGAATATACATTTTTTTCAGCACCACACCATACCTATTCCAAAATTGACCACATACTTGGAAGTAAAGCTCTCCTCAGCAAATGTAAAAGAACAGAGATTATAACAAACTATCTCTCAGACCACAGTGCAATCAAACTAGAACTCAGGATTAAGAATCTCACTCAAAACTGCTCAACTACATGGAAACTGAACAACCTGCTCCTGAATGACTACTGGATACATAACGAAATGAAGGCAGAAATAAAGATGTTCTTTGAAACCAACGAGAACAAAGACACAACATACCAGAATCTCTGGGACGCATTCAAAGCAGTGTGTAGAGGGAAATTTATAGCACTAAATGCCCACAAGAGAAAGCAGGAAAGATCCAAAATTGACACCTTAACATCACAATTAAAAGAACTAGAAAAGCAAGAGCAAACACATTCAAAAGCTAGCAGAAGGCAAGAAATAACTAAGATCAGAGCAAAACTGATGGAGATAGAGACATGAAAAACCTTTCAAAAAATCAATCAATCCAGGAGCTGATTTTTTGAAAGGATCAACAAAATTGATAGACCTCTAGCAAGACTAATAAAGAAAAAAAGAGAGAAGAATCAAATAGACACAATAAAAAATGATAAAGTGGATATCACCACCGATCCCACAGAAATACAAACTACCATCAGAGAATATTACAAACACCTTCACGCAAATAAACTAGAAAATCTAGAAGAAATGGATAAATTCCTCGACACATACACTCTCCCAAGACTAAACCAGGAAAAAGTAGAATCTTTGAATAGACCAATAACAGGAGCTGAAATTGTGGCAATAATCAATATTTACCAACCAAAAAGAGTCCAGGACCAGATGGATTCACAGCCGAATTTTACCAGAGGTACAAGGAGGAACTGGTACCATTCCTTCTGAAACTATTCCAATCAATGGAAAAAGAGGGAATCCTCCCTAACTCATTTTATGAGGCCAGCATCATTCTGATACCAAAGCTGGGCAGAGACACAGCCAAAAAAGAGAATTTTAGACCAATATCCTTGATGAACATTGATGCAAAAATCCTCAATAAAATACTGGCAAAACGAATCCAGCAGCACATCAAAAAGCTTATCCACCATGATCAAGTGGGCTTCATCCCTGGGATGCAAGGTTGGTTCAATATACGCAAATCAATAAATGTAATCCAGCATGTAAACAGAACCAAAGACAAAAACCACATGATTATCTCAATAGATGAAGAAAAGGCCTTTGACAAAATTCAACAGCCCTTCATGCTAAAAACTCTCAATAAATTAGGTATTGATGGGATGTATTTCATAATAATAAGAGCTATCTATGACAAACCCACAGCCCATATCATACTGAATGGGAAAAAACTGGAAGCATTCCCTTTGAAAACTGGCATGAGACAGGGATGCCCTCTCTCACCACTCCTATTCAATATAGTGTTCAAAGTTCTGGCCAGAGCAATTAGGCAGGAGAAGGAAATAAAGGGTATTCAATTAGGAAAAGAGGAATTCAAATTGTCCCTGTTTGCAGACGACATGATTGTATATCTAGAAAACCCCATTGTCTCAGCCCAAAATCTCCTTAAGCTGATAAGCAACTTCAGCAAAGTCTCAGGATACAAAATCAATGTACAAAAATCACAAACATTCTTATACACCAACAACAGACAAACAGAGAGCCAAATCATGAGTGAACTCCCATTCACAATTGCTTCAAAGAGAATAAAATACCTAGGAATCCAACTTACAAGGGATGTGAAGGACCTCTTCAAGGAGAACTACAAACCACTGCTCAAGGAAATAAAAGAGGATACAAACAAATGGAAGAACATTCCATGCTCATGGGTAGGAAGAATCAATATCGTGAAAATGGCCATACTGCCCAAGGTAATTTACAGATTCAATGCCATCCCCATCAAGGTACCAATGACTTTCTTCACAGAATTGGAAAAAACTACTTTAAAGTTCATATGGAACCAAAAAAGAGCCTGCATCGCCAAGTCAATCCTGAGCCAAAAGAACAAAGCTGGAGGCATCACACTACCTGACTTCAAACTATACTACAAGGCTACAGTAACCAAAACAGCATGGTACTGGTACCAAAACAGAGATATAGATCAATGGAACAGAACAGAGCCCTCAGAAATAACGCCACATATCTACAACTATCTGATCTTTGACAAACCTGAGAAAAACAAGCAATGGGGAAAGGATTCCCTATTTAATAAATGGTGCTGGGAAAACTGGCTAGCCATATGTAGAAAGCTGAAACTGGATCCCTTCCTTACACCTTATACAAAAATCAATTCAAGATGGATTAAAGACTGAAACGTTAGACCCAAAACCATAAAAACCCTAGAAGAAAACCTAGGCATTACCACTCAGGACATAGGCATGGGCAAGGACTTCATGTCCAAAACACCAAAAGCAATGGCAACAAAAGCCAAAATTGACAAATGGGATCTAATTAAACTAAAGAGCTTCTGCACAGCAAAAGAAACTACCATCAGAGTGAACAGGCAACCTACAAAATGGGAGAAAATTTTTGCAACCTACTCATCTGACAAAGGGCTAATATCCAGAATCTACAATGAACTCAAACAAATTTACAAGAAAATAACAAACAACCCCATCAAAAAGTGGGTGAAGGACATGAACAGACACTTCTCAAAAGAAGACATTTATGCAGCCAAAAAACACATGAAAAAATGCTCATCATCACTGGCCATCAGAGAAATGCAAATCAAAACCACAATGAGATAACCATCTCACACCAGTTAGAATGGGAATCATTAAAAAGTCAGGAAACAACAGGTGCTGGAGAGGATGTGGAGAAATAGGAACACTTTTACACTGTTGGTGGGACTGTAAACTAGTTCAGCCATTGTGGAAGTCAGTGTGGCAATTGCTCAGGGATCTAGAACTAGAAATACCCTTTGACCCAGCAATCCCATTACTGGATATATACCCAAAGGACTATAAATCATGCTGCTATAAAGACACATGCACACGTATGTTTATTGCAGCACTATTCACTATAGCAAAGACTTGGAACCAACCCAAATGTCCAACAATGATAGACTGGATTAAGAAAATGTGGCACATATACACCATGGAATACTATGCAGCCATAAAAAAGGATGAGTTCATGTCCTTTGTAGGGACATGGATGAAATTGGAAATCATCATTCTCAGTAAACTATCACAAGTGCAAAATCCAAACACCGCATATTCTCACTCATAGGTGGGAATTGAACAATGAGATCACATGGACACAGGAAGGGGAATATCACACTCTGGGGACTGTTGTGGGGTGGGGGTAGGGGGTAGGGATAGCATTGGGAGATATACCTAATGCTAGACGACGAGTTAGTGGGTGCAGTGCACCAGCATGGCACATGTATACATATGTAACTAACCTGCACAATGTGCACATGTACCCTAAAACTTAAAGTATAATAAAAAAAATAAAGCCATTTTAACTGAGGTATGATGATATCTCATTGTAGTTTTAATTTGCATTTCTCTGATGATCATTGATGTTGAGCACTTTGTCATATGCTTGTTTGCCATCTTTATGTTTTATTTTGAGAAATATACTCAAATATTTTGCCCATTTTAAAATCAGATTATTAGATTTTTGCTTCTGTTGAGTTGTTTGAGCTCCTTATGTATTTTCCCTATTTACCCCTTGTCTGATGGGTAGTTTGCAATATTTTCTCCCATTCTGCAGGTTGTATCTTCACTTTGTTGATTGTTTCCTTTGCTGTGCCGAAGCTTTTTAACTTCATGTAACCCTATTTGTCCATTTTTGCTTTGGTTGTCTGTGCTCGTGGGATATTACTCAAGAAATCTTTGCCAATCCAATGTCCTGGAGAATTTCCCCAATGTTCTCTTGTAGTAGTTTCATAGTGTGTAGTCTTAGATTTCAGTCTTTAATTCATTTTGACTTGGCTTTCATATATTGTAAAAGATAGGGGTCAAATTTCACCTTTCTACATATAGATATCTAGTTTTTCCAACACCACTTATTGAATAGACTGTTTGTCCTCTGCTGTACGTTCTTGGCACTTTTGTCGAAAATGAGTTCACTGTAGTTTGTTCCTGGGTTCTCTATTCTATTCCATTGGTCTGTGTGTCTGTTTTTATGCCAGTATCATGCTGTTTTTGTTACTATAGTTCTGTAGTATAATTTGAAGTCAGGTAATGTGATTCTTCCAGTTTTGTTCTTTTTGCTTAGGAGAGCTTTGGGTATTCTGGGTCTTTTGTGGTTTCACATATATTTTAGGGTTTTTTTTCTATTTATTTGAAGAATGTCATTGGTATTTTGATATGGATTCCACTGAATCTGAAGATTGCCTTGGGTAATATGGATATTTTAACAATATTGATTCTTCAATCCATTCACATGGACCATCTTTCCATTTTTGTATGTGTGTCCTCTTCAGTTTCTTTTATCAGTATTTTATACTTTTCATCGTAGAGATATTTCACTTTTTTGGTTAAAATATTTCCTAGGTAATTTATTTGATGTGTGGGTATTATAAATGTGATTACTTTTTTGATTTCTTTTTCAGATTGGTCACTGTTCACATATAGAAATGCTACTGATTTTTGTATGTTGACTTTTGTATCCTGCAACTTTACTGCATTTATCATTTCTAAAAGTTTTTTTAGTACAGTCTATGTTTTTTCAAATAAAAGATCATATTATCTGCAAACTAGAATAATTTGACTTCTTCCATTTCAGTTTGGATGCATTTCATTCTTTCTCTTGTCTGATTGCTCTAGATAAGACTTCTAGTAACATGTCTAATAACGTGAAAGTGGACATCATCATTGTGCTCCAGATCTCAGTGGAAAGGCTTTCAGTTTTTTTTTTCATTCAGTATGATATTAGCTATGGGTCTGTCATATATGGCTTTTATTGTGTTGAGGTATATTCCTTCCACAACCAGTTTTTAAGAGTTTTTATCATGAAGGGATGTAGAATTTTATCAAATGTTTTTTCATCATCAATTGAAATAATCATACGTTTTTTGTGACTCATTCTGTAGATATGCTGCACCACTTTGAATGATTTGTGTCTGTTGAACCATTCTTGCATCCTTGGGAAAAAAATCCCACTTAGTTATGATGAATGGTCTTTCAAATGTGTTGTTGAGGCCGGGTGTGCTGGCTTACGAGTGTAATCCCAGCACTTTGGGAGGCTGAGGCGGGTGGATCACTAGAGGCCAGGAGTTTGAGACCAGCATGGCCAAAATAGTGAAACCGCGTATCTACTAAAAATACAAAAATTAGCTGGGTTTGGTGGCATGCACCTGTAATCCCAGCTACTGGAGAGGCTGAAGCAGGAGAATCACTTGAACCTGGGAGGCTCACCTGCAGTGAGCTGAGATCATGCCACTGCATTCCAACCTGGGTGACAGAGCAAGACATGGTCTCAAAAATAAAATAAAATAAAATAAAATAAAATAAAATAAAATAAAATTGTATTGTTGAATTCAGTTTGCTAATACTTTGTTAAGGATTTTCCCATGTATATTTATCAGAGATATTGGCATTTAGTTTTCTTTTTTTTTTTTTTTAATTTGTCTTTGTCTAGATGTGGTATTAGGGTAATACTGACCTCACAGAATGAGTATGGAAGTATTTCTACCTCCTCTATGTTTCAGAACAGTTTGAGTAGATTAGTATTAGTTCTTCTTTAAACGTTTGGTAGAATTCAGTAGTGAAGCCATTAGGCTTTTCTTTACTGGGAGATATTTTATTGTGGTTTTGATCTCCTTACTTGTTATTGATCCATTCAGGTTTTGGGTTTTTTCATGGTTCAATTTCGCTAGGTTGTATGCATCTAGGAATCTGTCCATTGCATCTATATTTTCTAATTTATTGGCATACAGTTTTTCAGAGTAGCCATTAACAACCCTTTAAATTTTGCTTGTATCAGTTGCAATGTCTCCTTTTTTATTTCTGGTTTTATTTATTTGGTCTTCTCCCTTTTTTTTCTTGGCTGGGCAAGGTGGCTCATGCCTGTAATCCCAGCACTTTGGGAGGCCAAGGCAGTGGCTCACCTAAGCTCAGGAGTTTGAGACCAGCCTGACCAACATGGAGAAACCCCATCTCTACTAAAAATACAAAAAATTAGCCAGGCGTGGTGGCACATGCCTGTAATCCCAGCTACTTGGGAGGCTAAGGCAGGAGAATCGCTTGAACCAGGGAGGTGGAGGTTGCAGTGAGCTGAGATCGCACCATTGCAGTCCAGCCTGGGCAACAAGAACAAAATTGTGCTCCCCCGCCACCAAAAAAAAAGAAAAAAAAGTTCTATAAACGTCTATTATATCTATTTGTTCTGTAGTGCAGATTAAGTCAGGTGTTTCTTTGTTGATTTTCTTCTGGAAAATCAATCCACTGCTGAAATTGCAGTGCTGAAGTCTCCCGCTATTATGGTGATAGGGCCTATCTCTCTTTCTAGATCTAATGGTATTTGCTTTATATATCTCAGTGCTCCAGTGTTGGGGATGTGTTCATTTAAAATAGTTATATCTTCTTTCTGAATTGACCACTTTATCATTATATAATGATATTTTTTGTCTCTCTATAGCTTTTGTTTTAAAATCCATTGTGTCTGATGTAAGAATAGCTACTTTTGCTCTTTTTTGGTTAACATTGGCGTGGCGTATCTCTTTGCATCCCTTTATCTTTAGTCTATATGTATATGTGGAGGTGAAGTGTGTTTCTTGTAGGCAACAGATCATTGGGTATTTTTTTAAATCTATTCAGCCACCTAAGTCTTTTCATTGGACAGTTTTGTTTATTAACATTCAATGTTATTATTGATCAGTTGGAACTTACTCTTGCCATTTTGTTATTTGTTTTCTGATTGCTTTGCCGTCTTCTCCTCCTTTCCTTCCTTCTTGTCTTCCTTTTGGTAAAGGTAATTTTCTCTGATAGTATGCTTTGATTTGTTGCTTTTTGTGTATGTGTATCCATTGTGTATTTTTCAATTTGAGGTTACTGTAAGGCTTGAAGATGCTATTTTATAACCCATTATTTTAAACTGATGACAACTTGACACTGATTGCATAAACAAACATGAATAAAGAAAACTAATAAAAACTCTACACTTTAACTTCATCTCCCTACATGTTAACTTTTTGTTGTTTCTATTTATGTCTTATTGTACTATTATCTATGCTTTGAAAAGTTGTTGTAGTTACTATTTTTGATTGGTTCATCATTTAGTCTTCCCACTAAAGTCAAGAGAAGTTTACACATCACAATTACAGTGTTATACTAATTGTGTTTTTCTCTGTGCTTACCATTATCTGTGAGTTTTGTACCTTCAGGTGATTTCTTCTTGCTCATTAATATCTTTTTCTTTCAGACTGAAGATCTCCCTTTAGCATTTCTTGTAGGACAGGTCTGGTGTTAATGAAATCACTCAGCTTTTGTTTGTCTGGCAAGGTCTTTTACTTCTTCATCACACTTAAAGGATATTTTCACCAAATATACTGTTCCAGGTTAAAAGTTTTTTTCCTTCCGCTCTTTAAATATGACATGCCACTCTCTCCTAGCCTGTAAACTTTCCACTGAAAAGTCTGCTGACAGATGTATTGGAGCTCCTTTTTATGTTATTTGTTTCTTTTCTTTTGCTGCTTTTAGAATCCTTTCTTTTGGTGCTTTAGACATGAAGTCCTTGCCCATGCCTGTGTCCTAAATGGTACTGCCTAGGTTTTCTTTTAGGGTTTTTATGGTTTTAGGTCTAACATTTAAGTCTTTAATCCATCTTGAATTAATCTTTGTATAAGGTGTAAGGAAGGGATCCAGTTTCAGCTTTCTACATATGGCTAGCCAGTTTTCCCAGCACCATTTGTTAAATAGGGAATCCTTTCCACTATTCACAATAGCAAAGACTTGGAACCAACCCAAATGTCCAACAATGATAGACTGGATTAAGAAAATGTGGCACATATATACACCATGGAATACTATGCAGCCATAAAAAATGATGAGTTCATGTCCTTTGTAGGGACATGGATGAATCTGGAAACCATCATTCTCAGCAAACTATCACAAGGACAAAAAACCAAACACTGCATGTTCTAACTAATAGGTGGGAATTGAACAATGAGGACACTTGGACACAGGAAGGAGAACATCACACACCGGGGCCTGTTGTGGGGTAGGGGGAGGGGGGAGGGATAGCATTAGGAGATATAACTAATGTAAATGACGAGTTAATGGGTGCAGCACACCAACATGGCACAAGTATACATAAGTAACAAACCTGCACGTTGTGCACATGTACCCTAGAACCTAAAGTATAATAAAAATGTACATATTAAAAACAAAAAGAATCCTTTCTGTATCCTTGACCTTTGGGAGTGCGATTATTAAATGCCTTGAGGTAGTCTTCTTTAGATTAAATCTGCTCGTTGTTCTACAACCTTCTTGTACTTGAATATTGATGTCTTTCTTTGGGTTTGGGAAGTTCTCTGATATTATTCCTTTGGATAAACTTTCTTCTCCTATCTCTTTTTCTATCTCTTCTTGAAGTCCAATAGCTCTCGGATTTGCACTTTTGAGACTATTTTCTAATGTTGTAGACATGCTTCATTTTTTTCCAACTTTTTTCTGTCTCCTCTGACTGTGTATTTTCAAGTAGCCTGTCTTCGAGCTCACTAATTATTTCTTCTGCACCATCTAGTCTGCTATGAGGAGACTCTGACGCATTCTTCAGCATGTCACTTGCATTTTTTAACTGCAGAATTTCTGCTCAATTCTTTTTGATTATTTCAATATCTTTGTTAAATTTATCTGATAGGATTCTAAATTTCTTCTCTGTTTTATCTTGAATTTCTTTGCATTTCCTCAAAACAGCTATTTTGAAATGTCTGTCTGAAATGTCACATATCTTTGTTTCTCCAGGATTGGTCCCTGGTGCCTCATTTAGTTCATTTGGTGATGTCATGTTTTTCTGGATGGAGTTGATGCTTATAGATGTTTTTTTGGTGTCTGTACATTGAAGAGTTGGGTATTTATTGTAGTCTTCAGAGTTGTGGCTTTTTTGTGCCTGTTGTTTTTGGGAAGGCTTTCCAGGTATTCAAAGGGACTTAGGCCTCAAGTCCAATAATGCTGTGGTTTTTGCAGACTTGTAGAGGTACTGCCTTGGTGGTCTTATATAAAAGTGAGAGGAATTCTCTGCATTACCAGGCAAAGACTCTTGTTTCCTTATTTCCTCCCAAACATACTAAGTCAGTCAGTCTTTCTCTCTCTCTGTCTTTCTTCCTGTCATTCTTTCTGCTGAGCCACTTGCAACTGGAGGTGTGGGGATGCAAGAACTCCTGTGGCCACCAACACTGGAACTGTGCTGAGTCAGACCGGAAGCCAGCAGAGCACTCAGCCTTGACCAAGGCCCTTCCCTTCAAGGTGGCAAGTTCCCCTAGGTCCCATGCATGTCCAGAGATGCTATCTGGAAGCCAGGGATTATAGTCAAAAACATTACCAATTTACTTGACACTCTATTCTATTGCAGCTAAGCCGGCACTCAAACTATAATAGAAAGTTATTCCCACTCTTCCTTCCCCTTACCACAGGCAGAGGAACTTCTCCTTGTGGCCACCACCAACACCAATCCATGAGAGCATCTGCCAGGCCATTGCTGATGTTTGCTTAAAGCCCAAGGGCTCTTTCATCAGCTTATGGTGAATGCTGTCAGGGTGGATACTTAATCTTCAGCGCAGTGGGCCCAGGGCAGGTTCAGAAATACTATCCAAATGCTCAGACCTGGACTTGGGGACCTCAAGAGCCTGCTTGTTGCTCTATCCCACTGTGGCCCAGCTGGTACATAAGGTGCAAGACAAAGTCCCTTTTACTTTTCCCTCTGCATTTTTCAAACAGAAGGAGTCTTTCACTGTAGTCACAACTAGGAATGTGCTGGGTCTCCACTGAAGCCAGCACATCTCAGAGCCCAGTGCCCATTGAATACTTCCTGGTTATTGATAGTGGTTATTCAGGGCCCAAGGGCTCTTTAGTCAGCAGGTGATGAATCCTGCCCAGACTTGGTCTTTCCCTTCAAGGTAGCAGGTTCCCCTTTGGCCCAGGGTGTGTCTAGAAATATTGTCTGAGAGCTAGGGCCTGGAATGGAGGACCCAGAACTCTGCCCAGCTTCCTATCCTACTGTGGCTGAGCTGGTATCCAAGATGCAAGATAAAGGCCTCTTTACTCTTCACTCTCCTCTCCTGAAGCAGAAGGTAGGAGTCACTTTCTCTGCTATGAGCTGCACCGCCTGGAGTCGGGGGAGAGATGGGGTAAGCCCTCCCTTAGCCATTTCCTAGGTCACATGCCACCCTAGTTTACTGGCTCTAAGCCCAATCTGGCACTAAGAGTTGCCTAGAAATTGCAATCTCTGTGTCCTAGGTGGACTTTCAAGTTTACCTGTTGCTCCAGAACACTTCAGCCTTTGGTGGTGAAGCTTGCCAAGAAACTCAAGTTCTGACCACTCAGATGGACAAGTCCCCTCTGGCTAGGGCTGGTCTGAATGCTCTACTCATAAGCAGGCACTGGCTGAGCTCAACACAGCTTTATTCTCTGCTATGGCAGGGCAGCACTGAGTTCAATTTAAGTCCCCCAGTTGCTGTGCTCTCTCTTCCCAAAGTGCAGTTTATCTCTCTGTGCTGCACAGCCCCTACCAGGGGAGAGGGGAGGGGTGGCATCTGCAATTTAAGACTGTCTCTCCTGCCCTTCTCAGTGCCTCTTTCTATAATATGAAGTTAAAATCAGGTACTCTAGTTGCTCACCTTATTTTTGGTTCTTATGACGGTGTTTTTTTGTGTGCAGATCATTATTCAAATTTGGGGCTCCGGTAGGTGGCACAAAAAGTGTAGGCTTTTGTTCTGCCATCTTACCCCACCTGCACAATCCTCTTAAATGCAAAGTTTCCACTTGATACCTGATACATTATAACGTTATCTTGCCCTAATGTGCTATGTATTTATCTCTAGTTTACCATAGCTAGAAATAGTTTTTTAGCTAGAGGTCAATCTCTGAGTCAATGAGTTATTCCAAATACCTGACTGCTGTGCCTTCTCTGAGAATTTTTGAAATGAAGCCTATTCTGACAGTGTGGGAACAGCCTGGAGGAAATGCAGTGAAGAGAGAGAAGGGGACAGTGAATTATGTAAAGAACACCCCTCTAGAAGTTATAAGACAAAAAAGGGAAAAATGCTAGCATAAAAATGAACACCTTAAATTCAAATTATTTATATTTTTGTGGTTTCTGTCTTTTATAAAAATTGTATTTTTATTATAGAAAAAATTATATAACTTATACAAGGAAGAGTGTATCATTGTATGAAAATAGTACTTAAACAATTCAAAGTAGCTCTTGAAGGGAAAACAGCAGAGGCTAAGTTAATTTTTTCACCCTTGTTTAAAATCACACCTAAGGCATCCATATACAGATCCTTTAGCAAATACCTCGTTAGTCTTGCATATATTTTAGGAATGCTTTCAAGAAGAAGTACACCTCTATACCTACTTACAGCTGAACATAGGTTTGTGTTGACTAAACATAGAGATCTGTCCAATCAAATAGGCACATCCACAAACTCTTATTTGTATTCGTCCAAATACATAGGGATATACACATTGACACCCACACTCAGAGGAAGTATCTATATAAGCTGAAACTATTTCTTCAGTTTTAGCAAAAAAAAAAAAAAAAAAATTTAGACCTTTGTAAGTAGAATGCTTTTTTCTTTCTACTTGTAAAATCTGGCTGTATAAGAGATCCCAAGTTACCACTAGAATATCTTAGGATTTTAAAGTTAAAAATAAACATTATACAGAATGAAGTTAGTTTTGCACTTCCCTACTAATGCTGTATGCAGTGATTTTATAAGTGCTTTAGGATAGCCTAAAGTAATAAGTTTCTGCCCTCATTACAGGAGCATTTTGGGCTGGCCTCAGGAAACCTGCAGTGGAGACTGCCTAGTGCCCATGGAAGGTGCTGAGGAGAAAAGATCCTCTTTGGAACAAACACTGTAACCTTCAGTCCTATAGACTTGCTTAGGGATTTAAATAAGCAAGTTTCAGACATGCCAATGAAAAGACCCAGACAATGGGGTTTTCTAGATATACAATCATGTCATCTGCAAACAGGGACAATTTGACTTCCTCTTTTCCTAATTGAATACCCTTTATTTCCTTCTCCTGGCTAATTGCCCTGGCCAGAACTTCCAACACTACGTTGAATAGGAGTGGTGAGAGAGGGCATCCCTGTCTTGTGCCAGTTTTCAAAGGGAATGTTTCCAGTTTTTACCCATTCAGTATGATATTGGCTGTGGGTTTGTCATAGATAGCTCTTATTATTTTGAGATACGTCCCATCAATACCTAATTTATTGAGAGTTTTTAGCATGAAGGTTTGTTGAATTTTGTCAAAGGCCTTTTCTGCGTCTATTGAGATAATCATGTGGTTTTTGTCTTTGGTTCTGTTTATATGCTCAATTCCATTTATTGATTTACGTATATTGAACCAGCCTTGCATCCCAGGGATGAAGCCCACTTGATCATGGTGGATAAGCTTTTTGATGTAATGCTGGATTCGGTTTGCCAGTATTTTATTGAGGATTTTTGCATCAATGTTCATCAAGGATATTGGTCTAAAATTCTCTTTTTTGGTTGTGTCTCTGCCCGGCTTTGGTATCAGGATGATGCTGGCCTCATAAAATGAGTTAGGGAGGATTCCCTTTTTCTACTGCTTGGAATAGTTTCAGAAGGAATGGTACCAGTTCCTCCTTGTACCTCTGGTAAAATTCGGCTGTGAATCCATCTGGTCCTGGACTCTTTTTGGTTGGTAAGCTATTGATTATTGCTACAATTTCAGAGCCTGTTATTGGTCTATTCAGAGATTCAACTTCTTCCTGGTTTAGTCTTGGGAGGGTGTATGTGTCGAGGAATTTATCCATTTCTTCTAGATTTTCTAGTTTATTTGCGTAGAGGTGTTGGTAGTATTCTCTGATGGTAGTTTGTATTCCTGTGGGATCGGTGGTGATATCCCCTTTATCATTTTTTATTGTGTCTATTTGATTCTTCTTCTTTTCTTCTTTATTAGTCTTGCTAGCGGTCTATCAATTTTGTTGATCCTTTCAAAAAACCAGCTCCTGGATTCATTAATTTTTTCAAGGGTTTTTTTGTGTCTCTATTTCCTTCAGTTCTGCTCTGATTTTAGTTATTTCTTGCCTTCTGCTAGCTTTTGAATGTGATTGCTCTTGCTTTTCTAGTTCTTTTAATTGTGATGTTAGGGTGTCAATTTTGGATCTTTCCTGCTTTCTCTTGTGGGCATTTAGTGCTATAAATTTCCGTCTACACACTGCTTTGAATGTGTCCCAGAGATTCTGGTATGTTGTGTCTTTGTTCTCATTGGTTTCAAAGAACATCTTTATTTCTGCCTTCATTTCATTATGTACCCAGTAGTCACTCAAGAGCAGGTTGTTCAGTTTCCATGTCTCCTTAAGCAGATAAGCAACTTCAGCAAAGTCTCAGGATACAAAATCAATGTACAAAAATCACAAGCATTCTTATACACCAACAACAGACAAACAGAGAGCCAAATCATGAGTGAACTCCCATTCACAATTGCTTCAAAGAGAATAAAATACCTAGGAATCCAACTTACAAGGGACGTGAAGGACCTCTTCAAGGAGAACTACAAACCACTGCTCAAGGAAATAAAAGAGGATACAAACAAATGGAAGAACATTCCATGCTCATGGGTAGGAAGAATCAATATCGTGAAAATGGCCATACTGCCCAAGGTAATTTATAGATTCAATGCCATCCCCATCAAGCTACCAATGACTTCCTTCACAGAATTGGAAAAAACTACTTTAAAGTTCATAGGGAACCAAAAAAGAGCCCGCATCGCCAAGTCAATCCTAAGCCAAAAGAACAAAGCTGGAGGCATCACACTACCTGACTTCAAACTATACTACAAGGCTACAGTAACCAAAACAGCATGGTACTGGTACCAAAACAGAGATATAGATCAATGGAACAGAACAGAGCCCTCAGAAATAACGCCACATATCTACAACTATCTGATCTTTGACAAACCTGAGAAAAACAAGCAATGAGGAAAGCATTCCCTATTTAATAAATGGTGCTGGGAAAACTGGCTAGCCATATGTAGAAAGCTGAAACTGGATCCCTTCCTTACACCTTATACAAAAATTAATTCAAGATGGATTAAAGACTTAAACGTTAGACCCAAAACCATAAAAACCCTAAAAGAAAACCTAGGCATTACCATTCAGGACATAGGCATGGGCAAGGACTTCATGTCCAAAACACTAAAAGCAATGGCAACAAAAGCCAAAATTGACAAATGGGAACTAATTAAACTAAAGAGCTTCTGCACAGCAAAAGAAACTACCATCAGAGTGAACAGGCGACGTACAAAATGGGAGAAAATTTTCGCAACCTACTCATCTGACGAAGGGCTAACATCCAGAATCTACAATGAACTCAAACAAATTTACAAGAAAAAAAAACAAACAACCCCATCAAAAAGTGGGTGAAGGACACAAACAGAGACTTCTCAAAAGAAGACATTTATGCAGCCAAAAAACACATGAAAAAATGCTCACCATCACTGGCCATCAGAGAAATGCAAATCAAAACCACAATGAGATATCATCTCACACCAGTTAGAATGGCAATCATTAAAAAGTCAGGAAACAACAGGTGCTGGAGAGGATGTGGAGAAATAGGAACACTTTTACACTGTTGGCGGGACTGTGAACTAGTTCAACCATTGTGGAAGTCAGTGTGGCGATTCCCCAGGGATCTAGAACTAGAAATACCATTTGACCCAGCCATCCCATTACTGGGTATATACCCAAAGGACTATAAATCATGCTGCTATAAAGACACATGCACACGTATGTTTATTGTGGCACTATTCACAATAGCAAAGACTTGGAACCAACCCAAATGTCCAACAATGATAGACTGGATTAAGAAAATGTGGCACATATACACCATGGAATACTATGCAGCCATAAAAAAGGATGAGTTCATGTCCTTTGTAGGAACATGGATGAAATTGGAAATCATCATTCTCAGTAAACTATTGCACGGACAGAAAACCAAACACCGCATGTTCTCACTCATAGGTGGGAATTGAACAATGAGAACACATGGACACAGGAAGGGGAACATCACACTCTGGGGACTGTTGTGGGGTGGGGGGAGGGGGGAGGGATAGCATTAGGAGATATACCTAATGCTAGATGACAAGTTAGTGGGTGCAGTGCACCAGCATGTCACATGTATACATATGTAACTAACATGCACATTGTGCACATGTACCCTAAAACTTAAAGTGTAATAATAAAATAAAAAAAAAGAAAAGACCCAGAATATACACCTGATGAAAGTAAAAGTTATTTTAACCGAGATGTTCCACATGAAAATTAGCATTATTAGTTTGGGAACTACACTCTGTAGCTGTGCTTCTGAAAGTTTAGTGAGCATCACCATCATTGGGAGGGCTTGTTAAAACAGATTGCTGGACCCACTCCCAGAGCTTCTGATAGAGATAGAGAGTGATGTAGCAAAAAAAGGACTTATCAGAATCTTCCAGGGAGTGTAATTGAGATCTGAGTGGGAATATGTAATTTTGCAAAGTTCTTTAGGGAATTGTACTTCATTCCTCTATTATCCTCAACCCCAATTCTCCAGCCTGATAACTAGTGGGATAGACAAATAATGCAGTTTCTATCATAGAAGTGGATATTGCTAGCCTTAAAAAAACTCTGGGAAGTACAAATACGTGTTATAGATTAAGAGTTATCATGAAGTGGGGGAAAAAATATGAACAGAAGTCCCTAAGACCTGCATCATCTTTGCAAAATCATCATAGGCTCTGGAAATAAATACTTCTTTTTTATGCTAACGCGAACTTAAAGGCATTGGTTAAATGACAATGAAGTAATAAAATAAAAGGAAGAAAACATATTTACAGAAAATATGTGCTAAAAATTTATTCTCTGGTAATGTTGATTAGAAGATATTTTGTAGTCCTAGCCAATTAAATCAGCTTCCATTACTACAAAAATTGAAAGAGTTAGCAGAGAGAAGGCAGAGAGAATGAACAAGAAGTCCAAAGACAGCAAACATTTTCCCTTTAAGGCAAGAAATAAATATTCAGAAAACAAACAAACAAACAAACAAAACTTGCATTTCAGCTTCTGAAATCCAATGAAAATGGTTTTAACTCTCCAAGCTGTAGCTATGGAGCAGCTAGCCCTCAAGTCATTGGGCTAATGATGTGGCTGATTGCTTCTATGCACAGAATCATTATTTCTGATATGGGCAAGTTGCTTAACCTCTTTTGGTCCCAGTTTCCTCATCTGTAAAATTAGGAAGTTGGAAGTGATGATTTCTGAATTCCCTTCTAGCCCTAACATTTTATGATTTAGTGCCTGACTGGCAATGTTGCCTCTTAAGTGCTACTGTGCACAGCCGTGCATAACTTAAAATACTCCTACTCAGGGTGCCAGCTTGTCTTCACAATTGAAAATAAAAAGAGTTGGCTTTAGGCAAAATAGTGAAGTCATTCAAGTTTTATTTAATCTTCCTTATGTCTTATTTAAACCTGACTTTTGTGCCCTTTCATGAAACTAAGATTACCTTGCTTTTCTTTACTATCCTCTCTTTATAACTGCCTTTGCTCCCATTACTGAGAGGATTTGCTATTATTTACAAGTTGGTGTGATTAGATTTTTTTTGTAAGTGTATGAGCTCTTTCTAGCAATAAGTTGTTTTTTTTTTTACCTAAGACTAATTTTTTAAATGAACAAACTATGTGTCTTTGTCCATTCATGTGGATATAAATGAATATCTGAGGCTGGGTAATTTATTTATTATTTATTATTTTTTATTTTTTTCTGATGGAGTTTTACTCTGTCTACCAGGCTGGAGTGCAGTGACACGATCTCAGCTTACTGCAACCTCAGCTTCCTGGGTTCAATCAATTCTCCTGCTTCAGCCTTCTGAGTAGCTGGGATTACAGGTGCACACCACCATGCCCAGCTAATTTTTGTATTTTTAGTAGACACAGGGTTTTGCCATGTTGGCTAGGCTGGTCTTGAACTCCTGGCCTCAAGTGATCCACACGCCTTGGTATCCCAAAGTGCTGGGATTACAGGCATGTGCCACCATGCTCGACCTGGGTAATTTAAAAAGTAAAGAGATTTGTGGGGCTCATGGTTCTGCAGTTGTACAGAATCATGGCACCAGCATCTGCCTCTGATAAGGGCCTAAGTAAGCTTCCTACCACAGTGGAAGGTGAAGGGGAGTGGGTGGGTGCAGAGATCATGTGGTGAGAGACAAAGCAAGAGAGAAAGAAGAGGCTTTTTTAAACAACCAGCTCTCACAGGTACTAAGAGTAAGAACTCACTCACTCCTGCTAGAATCATACCATCCCATTCATGAAGGATCCATCCCCACAACTCAAACACATCCCACCAGGCCCACCTCCAACACTGGAGATCAAATTTCAACATAAGACTTGGTGGGGTCAAACAAAACATATCCAAATTATAGCACTATGCTGTTGCTTTCAAAGGAATGTTGGACATTGGTATGCAGGAAATGTTTATTAGGTAACTGATAACCTCTCTAAGGTGTGGATGCCTGTAGGTTGATTTAAGAAAATGATTAAAGTCAGATAATGACACCAAAACTTGGTGCAGTCAACAATTCCAGATCCAAGGAAAGAGCCTGGAAAATGAGGTAAAAACAAAAACGAAAACAAAAACAAAAAAACACAAAAACACAAAAAACAAAAAGAAAACAAGCAAAATATCTGGCAAAAAAAACTTGAGAACTCAGAGGACAGAAGAAATCTTGGTAGACCTAAATGAAAGGAAACTGTTCCTCAAGTACATTCTCACACAATCCAGAAGAATACCAAAGCATGCTGTCATAAAGAGCTAAAATAAATGTCCAAGTTTGGTTAGTTTGATGCAAAAAAAAAAAAAAAAAGTTAAAATAATTACAACTGCCTTGTCAAGGGGTTCTGTAGGCATAATACCAGGAGAATTCCTGACAGAATCCTTCCTGTTGTCCCTGACATCACACCATACCTTCCCCTAAGTTTGACTCCTTGGAGAAGCCTGGTAGGTTGGTCTAGAATCCCTGAAGCCTGTCTGTGTTTCTCCCAGCTTCTTTCTTATCTCCCTCCCTTTTCTAGAAAGGCACTCTGTGAAGGAACCTGACTAGTTGGGAGATAAAAAAGAGCATGTGTGCAAGAGTTATTGGCTTTTGACCAGGACATCTAACTTGCAGCCTTCTTTCCTGAGCGCTAGTTTGCCTCTATACCTGTGTCACTTTCCAGTGCTTTCCTCTGCCTCTTCCTCCTCTCCTTCATTTTGTTACCTGCCATGGTAAAGCCTGTGATCACGTTCTTATGCTTTTGACCTCTCATTCAACGCTGAATGATGTAGGGTTACTATAAGCACAGTCTTGGCATGTAAGACATCTGGCATATAATCTTCCAGACAGGGAATAGCTGATAAAAGTCTCAAAAAAATTGGCAAGAGGAAAAGATAGAGAAGAGGAGGAGGAAAGAACAAAAGGAGTTTTAGTCCCAGGCTGAAGTGGACAACATGAGGTGAATCAAAATTTAAAATTAAAAAATAGCTTTTGAACTATTAGTTAGTGGATATATGTAAACAAAAAAAAAGGTGATTGGTACAATTTGAAGATAATGTAGATATATGTAAACAACAAAAAAAGCTGATTGGTACAATTTAAGGATAATGTAAGTAGTAACAAAGGAAATCGATTTTTATTAATAAAAGATGTCTTTAGTAGGAAAGACATATTAACTTCAAAAATTTACATAAGTTGATTTATTTTCTGTGCTTAATAATTACACAGAATAGTATTACCTAGTAATTAATCATATTAATGATAGATAGAAGTTTATTCTAAGTTTGATATGACTACAACATGGTATTTTGGTAAATATGCCATCATGCTATGTCTTCAGAGTTCATTTTCGTATGGAGTATAGTTATCTGTTCATAAGTCAAAAAGAAATTAGAGAAAAGGGTCAATGATGGAACTTTTATGTTTATAGATTCATTCTTAAAGATAAATTAATATTGGCCCCTTTACAATCTCCACTCAGAGGAAAAGATAAAACTACTGCTTTTATCCATTTCAAAATATTAGAAATAAGCTATTCTTACATGAACTCTGATCCAACTCAAGTTTTGTTCTTAATTGTTCTCTTCACAGAGACATGGTTTGAAAAAGACCCAACAAACCAACCCTTTTATTTTTACATCCACTGGCTGGAATAAGCCCAGGTTAAATATTTTTAAATAATCACAACCAATTTTGCTTTACTCTTCAACGCTTTTATGTTGAATACAGAATTCAAGAGTCCCTTATGTTTCAAGAGCCCCTTTTAAGAAATTCAGATGAATTATTTCATTAGTCTTAACCCCAACTCACTCTTCATATTTTAGCCAAGTGTAGAAACCTAGACTGTTTTCCAAGTGTCCTTGGCTTTTCGTAGAATAGCTACTGGTCCTAGATGTCCTGGGACATAGCTGAAAGGGAGACATGGGACATTTGCATATACCATAGCACATGGTATATGTAACATAACATAACATAATACAGGGCCCAATGAGAACAGAGTCCATTGCCCTGTACTTGAAATATTGAATCTTGGCAGGCTTTACAACTCACTATGGTCAAGAAAATGTGGCAGAAGTGATGTTATGCCATTTCTGTGTCTAGGCCTTAAGAGACTCTGTGCACTTCTGCTTTCTCCTGGGACACCTGCCTCCACCATAGCACAGTCTGCTATAGCAATATGTTATTGGTACAATTATCTACAGCATTTGTAGTCCTCCTTCCTCAATTGATGGCAACCCTGGGATTGGGGTGGGTGGACCCTTGGTGGAAACAGTAAAGAACCTTAATTTTCCCTTTGTTGCTGGCTCATTTGTTCCTTTATAGTGATATCATATATGTGGCAAGTCCTAAGTGGGTTAATTTGTGAGACAGGACCATCTGCTTGGAAATTATATTTGACTCTGAAGGAAGACAGAGGAGACAAAGCAACACTGTAAGAAAATAAAGGAGAGACTTACCACTATGGATTGACCCTTGGTTGAGGTCTAAAGTAATAGAGGCGAAGATGACCTTCATCAGTGCTCAACTCAGCGAAAAGGAAAGTAGTACTAGATAAAGGGCACACATACTGTTCAAAAACATTGTATGTGTTTGCCTAGTATATATCTAGAGATACATTAAAATGTGTTAATAGAGCTAGTTTTTGTTTGTTTGCAGTCTCATTTAACAACGATACTAAAGCTAGTTGGCAGAGCACCTATGCTAGGATTTTCTAAAGTGATGGCCAAATCCAATATGACAAAAATTACTGTATTATCCAAGTCTAAAGTACATAAAGGATGCTAGAAAAATAATTGGGTGGGAGTACTAGTGAATGGAGACTCTAAGGGAGTTTCTGGAGTGTTTTCAGTTTCCTTTTTCTTCCTACCTACAAAGGAGTGGAGGGAGGTACACCCTCCAAATCAAGCCAAGCAATGTGAGGGATGCAAGACAAAATATTGGAGAACACATAGACTTGTGCTTAATTCTTTCCAAAGGAAAAAAAAAAAAAAAAAAAAAAACCTTTAAAAGGTATCATCTAGCTGAAGCTATGAGAGCCAAATTAGGAAAAAGAGATAAATGAGGAAGACATTTATACAATAAACACAGGGAAGGAAGGTATATGCACAAGCTAGAGTAGATAAAAGGTAACTAACCATGGGCCATCCAGGAAAGGTCATGTCAAAAAGGGGACATGCATCCTCAACAGATAGAGTATGCTTGAAATGTATTGCCAGAGGACTAGCTGATGGGGGGTACTGAACAGAGAATGCTTCAGTGGAATTCCTCATGTAGAGGAGTTGCTCCATATCACAGAAGTACCCCATCTCAGA
Source organism: Homo sapiens (assembly GCF_000001405.40). Lineage (NCBI taxonomy): Eukaryota > Metazoa > Chordata > Mammalia > Primates > Hominidae > Homo > Homo sapiens. The sequence goes on along the minus strand of NC_000007.14, from coordinate 136,757,191 downwards.
AAGGGCCCATATGTGGGTATTTGCTGTGCCGAAGTTGCTAATATTACATCATAAAGCCCCTAATCAGATGAAATCATTCCCCTTTCCATGCCCAACTGTGGAGGATCCTGGAGGAAGAGTACTGCCAGTAGGAAAGGAAGATTTTAAGAGATGAAAAGATACAAGATAAACGATAAACATGCATTCATTTCCTGATGCAGGTTTCCAGTGAAAGGAAGGAAAGGAAGTAGGAAAGGAAGATTTTAAGAGATTAAAGGATAAACGATAGAACATCCATTCATCTCCTGATGAAAGTTGCCAAGCCTGGGATGGGAGAAAGGAAAAAAAAAAACTTTCATTTGAATTAAAGTCTCATTTTGATTCAGAACAGATGGGACTTTTTGAAGCATGAGAATTTGTTACCAATAAGCTTCCAGATAATCAGTGGAATCCAATAATAATAAATTGATGGCATATTGTGGGAGTGGGTTTTTCAATGTGGGGGTGGTAATCTACAAATAACCAAAAGGAGAATGCTAGAATGAGGTGTGCTAATGTGCTACAGTTGGAGACATCAGTAACAACTCTTGTTTACCTTAATATAGATATAAGTAACTATAGATAAATTATGTATAGATACATGTGTGTATATATACATTCATATATACATACATATTTCTCTTCTCTTTCTGTGGAAGAGGCCTAAAACGATTGACTCCTCAGTAGTGAAATGAACACCTAATTCCCAGATACTGATTTCTAATACCATTTTCCAAGGAAAGAAACTAAGGCTTCTTGGAGAATTGGCTGATGCTGGTACTGGAGTGGGAAATATGCAAGATGAGCCTGGTGCATCTTGCAATGCCAGAAAGTAAGGAAGTGCTTTAAAAAATGTGGGGGGCATATGAAATCGACACAGGAGAAGACTGAGAGAGTTCCCAATGGTCAAAAATGGAACAATTCTAACAGAAAAATAAATAAAGCAGTATTGGATTATAACCCACATGTAAAATAAATATCTATTAATCCATTATAGTATAAATAAATAATTGAATACATTAATAAACAGAGAAGGAAAACAACAAATCTGTGCGGAAGAATCCCAAATACATTAGGTAGATACTCCACCTTAAAGAATGAGAGCACAACTCCTCACTCCTTAAGTGTGGGCTACATATAATGGCTCCCTTCCCAAAGAGAACATTATGGAAATCCTGGGAGAGAAAAAGAACATTTGGCAAAAACTAAGAAAGCCTGAATAAACTATGGACTTTAGTTAATATAGGGATATAAGTTCATTAATTGTCACCAATGTACCATACTAATGTAAAAAGTTAATAATATGAGAAACTGCATGTGAGATAAAAGGAGGACATAGAAACTCCCTGTACTCTCTGATCAGTTTTTCTGTAAATGTAGAACTGTTCTAAAAAAATTGTCTATTAAAAATAGTAGCAGATGGATAGGTAAGAAGAGCTCACTGGATGGGTGGTAAGTTTACCATGATTTTCCTCCATTACCCCCGACTGAACTCAATTCAGACTGAAATTCTTCAGTGGCATCAGAGCAGACACAGAGAGCTTCAGGAAAAGCCTTCTAGTCCAGGCTCAAGAATAAGGAGAAGGGTCTTCTTACGTGCAGATGAAATGGAGAAAATTTTCCATTTTTTCTTCTTTTTCCTGTGTTTTCTTACATATAAGCCCCCAAACAATTCTATGACAGAAGCCTAAAACTGAGGGGACTTTCCTATTAAAGGAGCCATAGCCCCAAGCGGAAGGGGAACTCTTGTTACTTTTCTGTCTCTCTGTCCTCCTGCCTCTTAACTTCAAACACATGTGTAGTCCAAGAAATTACACAGCACAGCAGAATATATAAAACTGTAGCTTATTTGATGGAGAAGTTTAAAGGGAGTACTGAGGTAATCACGGAGAAAAAGGAGAATGTGACTTCACAAAGTCCCTTATAAAGTTTTGGGCTTATCCCAAAACTGAGCATAAATGAATAGGACCCTAAACAGCGTGCATAGGCTTTGATAACTGAACTATGGGATAGACCACATTTGAGTCCTACATTGACCACTGGGTGATGCACACATGGCATAGATCTCAGTAGCCCTTCAAAGGCTTTGAAAGCTGAGCTGACATTGGAATCACAACCCATAGAAGGTAGATCAGGACTTGCAGGCTGCACCCGGACAGGATGATTGTCTTCTTAAAAATATAATTAGTAATCTCTACAGAGATAAAGTGAAACGCAGAATCTTATAACAAAACATTCAAAATGGTTATGATACAATCCGAAAATTACTTGGCTTCTGAAGAACAAAGGAAATTTCAACTTGCATGAGAAAAGAACTGTTAAACTTCAACATTGAGATGACACAGAGGTATCATCCTTTATCTAAGGGAGAGCCACATGGAAAGTTCAGAACTGAAAAATATTATAACCAGAAACAAACAAACAAGCAAAAAATACTCTTACTGGATGGGCTTGATAGAAGATTGAGGAAGATAGAAAAGTCACTGAATTTGAAGATAGATCAGTAGAAGTTATTCAATATAAATAATGGAAAATAAAAAGATGAAAAAAAGTTAAATACAGGATAAAGGACAAGTGAACAAATACCAAAATGTCTAATCTCCATGCCATCTGTGCCCAGAAAGAAGAAAAAAAATGTAGTGCAAAAAATATTTTGAAAAACATAAGGGTTGAAAACTTCCGAAATTTGGCAAAAGACATTAACCTACATATTCAAGAAGCCCAGCGAATTGCAAAACAGATAAACCGAAAGAAATCGATATCAATAATATCATAATTAGATTGCTTAAGACTAAAGATAAACAAAAAATCTTAAAAGTAACCAGGGAAAAATGATGCATACTTACAGTGCAATGATGAATCAAATGACTGTGGATGTCTTATCAAAAATTATGAGGCCAGAAAAATGTGTAACAAAATTTCCGAAATATTGGATGAAAATAAGTCTAATGCAGACTTCTATATCCAGTGGAAATATCCTTCAGGAATGAAATTCCTGATTTTCAGATTAAGGAAAACTAAAAGGATTTCTGGATAGCAGACTTATTATAATAGAATTGTAAAGAAGTTTTTAAGACGTAAGAGAAATGATACCAAAAGAAAACTTGGAACATTGGAAATAGAGGAAGAACAACAGAAATGGTGAAATCAGAATAAATATAATAGAATATTCTCTTATTTTGTTTTATAAAATATATTTGGACTGTTGGAAGCAAAAATTATAACAATGTCTGATAAGGTTTTCAATGTGTGGGGATATAATGCATAAGACAACTACAATATAACGGAGGATGGGTAAGTGGATTTATACGGTGGTAAGGTTCTACTTCAAGTGGGGAAAACATCAATAAAGTTAATTGTGTGAATTAAAGTACCCAGAGAAATCTCTGAAAATTATACAAAGGGAAATGGAAGTTAAAACTGCCATGAGATAGAGCTATCAAGCTTTGTGAAATGGCTAAAATAAAATATACTTGCAGTATCAAGTGCTATCAATGAAGAGGAGCAACTAGAACTCTCATATATTATGAGAGGGAATGAAAGATGAGTTAGCCATTCTGGAAACCAGTTTGGCAGTTTCTTTCTTCTTTTTTTTTTTTTTTTTTTTCAGACGGAGTCTCGCTCTGTCTCCTAGGCTGGAGTGCAGTGGCATGATCTCTGCTCACTGCAAGCTCCGCCTCCTAGGTTCACGCCATTCTCCTGCCTCAGCCTCTCAAGTAGCGGGGACTACAGGCGCCCGCCACCATGCCTGGCTAATTTTTTGTATTTTTAGTAGAGACGGGGTTTCACCGCATTAGCCAGGATGGTGTTGATCTCCTGACCTCGTGATCCGCCCGCCTCGGCCTCCCAAAGTGCTGGGATTGCAGGCATGAGCCACTGCGCCAGGCCGGCAGTTTCTTATAAAGTTAAATATCCACTTACCATGCGACCCAACAATCTCACTCTCACTCTTACGTATTCACATTTGATAAATAAAAAAGTTATATTCACGTAACTGTACACAAATGTGTATAGCAGCCCAAATGGCCTTCTATGGGAGAATAGATAAATCATAGTACATTCATACAGTGGAATACTATTCAGCAATAAGAAACAATGAACTATTGATACATGCCACATCTTGGATGAATCGCAATGGCATTTTGCTGATTGAAATGTCTTCTTTCCAAAAGCTTATACTCTATACAGATCAGACCAGCAGTTGTCAGATTCAGGGGGAATAGGAGATTATGACTACAAAAGGAGAACAAAGGGAGTCTTTTAAGATGATGGAATTGTCCTGTATTCTGATTGTAGTGACAGTTATGCAAATTGATACATGTGTTAAAATTCATAGAACTGTAGAAACACATAGGCAAAGTTATTATATGTGAATATAAAAAGTATATACAGTATATATTTTAACAGTTTTATTGCAGTATAATTGATATAGAAAAAGTGCATATATTCAAAATATACAATTTGGTGACTTTTGATGTATGTGTACAACTATGAAACTATCACCACAATCAAGGTAATAAACATATCCATCACCTCCAAGAGTTTTCTCCTGACTCTTTGTTCTTCTCTTTTCCTTATTAACTTTGGCAATGTTAGAAATGCTTGTTCCCCAGTGTCATAAAGAAATAGCACTTGAATATAAATTTAATTTTCTCAGCAAGGCCACTTTTTTACTTTCTGCAGAAAGGGTACACTTGCCATCAGTTTTGCCACAAGAATACATTGAACAAAGGAGACAGGGTCATTTATAACTTGATGCGTCCACCCTACTGCTGTGTCTGGTTTCCATTGGCTGGAACGGGACCTCACATTCTGTATTTGTCCTGATTGACTAGCAACTTAGAACTTTTCAAAAGAGGCAAAGGCAGAGGAGAACAAAGGAAGGAGGAAGTAACTTGTGGAATGCCAAGGTAGGTAAAAACACCTCCAAATAAAGAAGAGGAACAGGCTATGACCTAATGCTTGCTTGGACCAGCATAAGCATGCCAGGGCAAATATTTAGGCTAAATTGTGGGAGTTAAGAACACAAAGTATATTGATTTTTTTTTATTATGGTTAGCAGATATTTAAGAATGTTAGCCCAGGTGTTTCAATAAATTTTGTTTCTAAGAGAAGTTACTATTTGTTCTTAATTAGATGGGGAGGAAACTCTCTTTGAAGAGGAACCTCTATTCACATTTTACAGCAAGAACATATAATGTTAGATCAACCCTCTTAACAATTTTGAAGTTTACATACAGTATTGTTAACTATAGGCACAGTGTTGTACAACACATCTCTAGAACTTATTCATCATGTAAAACTTAAACTTTATAGCCATTAATTAAACAGCAACTCCCCATTCTCCCTTTTCCCCAGCCCCTACCACCCACCATTCTATCTCTGCTTCTGTAAGTTTGACTATTTTAGATTACTCATATAACTGGAATAATGTAGTATTTGTCCATCTGTGACTGATTTTATCACATAGTAGTTCTTTAAGTTTTTAAGGAACTACCATACTCTTTTCAACTGGCAAGTGGAAGTACATGAAACTGAAAACCTTCTGTACAAAAAATGAAATAATCAACAGAATGAAAAGGCAAATTATGAAATAAGAGAAAATATTTGCAAACCATGTATCTGACAATGAGTTGATATCCAAAATGTTAAATATCAAAAAAAAATTTCTTAAAGAAATGTCTACAATTCAATAGCAAAAAAAGAATACAAAAGAACAACAATAGCAAAAAGCAAATAACCTGATTAAAAATAGGCAAAGGACTTGAATAGAATAGATAGTTCTCCAAAGAAGACATACAAATGGCCAATAAATAGGCATGTAAAAAGGTGCTCATCATCACTAATCATCAGTGAAATGCCAATCAAAACTACAAAGAGTTCTCACTGATAAGTGGGAGCTAAACAATGAAACACATGGACACAGGGAGGGGAACAACACACACGGGGCCTGTCGTGGTGGGTGGGGGTTGCTAGGGAACGGAGAGCATTAAGACAAATAGCTAATGAATGCAGAACTTAATACCTAGGTGACGGGTTGATAGGTGCAGCAAACCACCATAGCACACATTTACCTACGTAACAAACCTGCACATTCTGCACATGTATCCAGGAACTTAAAGTAAAAGAAAAAAATCACAGAGCTATCTCCTCATAGCGTTTTGGATATTTAATATTTAGGATGGCTATTACAAAAAAAAAAGATAAAAAAGTACACACACACACAGACAGACACCGACACACACACACACACACACACACAGACACACACACATACACACATTTTTAAAGCATTCCACAAAGATTAAAAACAAGATTGAAATCAGAGGGACCAAATGAAATTTTTACCTTTGTGGGTACTGAAGGTAATAACATGGAATATCCTGTTGCCAAAATGTCTTTTGAACTTGAGGTCAGAGATAGCAGTCCAATAGTGCTAAATTCACAGAATGTTCTTCAGCTATTGGGCAAATTAAATAAAAAATATCACCAGGCCAGATGGCATTCACTAGAAGTGTTTTAAAGAAATTCTTTTAATGAGAACCTGGTTTCTATTCTCTTGAGTTTTTCACGTCATAATCTGTTTCACCTCTGAATTTCCAGCTCTCAGAGCACCTACGGCACTTGTCATTTTTTGGCAGTTTATTGACAATTATAAGCACTTATGGGTGTGAAATATAAATTAATGATATTGAAGCCCAAATAAATGAGGGATACAATTAGGTTTCCAACTATAGTGATCAGTGAATGCTTGTCCATAAATGTTATCCTGAAATAGTCCTATTTGATGTCTTGTGGAGAGGAGGCAAAGATGAGTTTTATAATGAGGACCATTAATGTCCTGGATGCCAATCTTTTGGCCCCTGTGAAAATTATCAGGCAGAGAAGAAAAGCACCTGCAATCATAAAGTGAATTAGAGATTTAATATGGGATACACAGATAATTGCCACAAAAATAGTAGGAGAAAATGAGAAAAGACATTCTGGGCAACATAGAAATGAGAAATTGACGAAAAGTCTTGAAAAGCTTTCCTCCAATTCTTTCTTAGTCTCTTTTTTCTCTCTTTCTTTCCTTCTTTCACTCTTTCTTTCTCTTTTTCTTTCTTTCTTTTTTTTTTTTTTTTTTTTGACAGAGTCTTGCTCTGTCACCCAGGCTGGAGTGCAGTAGCATGATCTCGGCTCACTGCAACCTCCATCTCCTGAGTTCAAGCAGTTCTCCTACCTCAGCCTCCTGCGTAGCTGGGATTACAGGCACCTGCCATCACGCCCAGCTAATTTTTGCATTTTTAGTAGAGATGGGGTTTTACCATGTTGGCCAGGCTGGTCTCAAACTCCTGACCTCAGGTGATCCACCTGTCTCGGCCTCCCAAACTGCTGGGATTATAGGCATGAGCCACTGTGCCCGGCCCTTATTTCTTATATTCATATTTATTCATTTCCTTCAGTAAAGAAAGGAAACAAAAGGAATAAATTGAACATAACTTTAAAAAAGTGAATGTTTTCTCTGCTTTTTGTGCAATTATCCAGCAGGTTTATTGAAGTAAACTGGCAAGTGTCATCTCCTTTGTCCTTTGTTACCAAATGGCTGAAGTTTTTATAATTCTCTTTCCTGTTGTCTTTGACATCTTTATGAAAATCCTGACATGACCCACCCTAGAGGATAACTGATTACTGAGACTTTGATAAAAGTAATTTCCCAATATCATTGTTATGATTGGTTTTCTTCATTTGGTTGAGGACAAAGGGCAACTATCATACCTGTTTCTCTTTCAGATGTCAGAAGATTTTCTTTTTTCTTTCTTTTTTTTTTTTTTTTTTTTTTTGAGATAGAGTCTTGCTCTGTCACCCAGGCTGGAGTGCAGTGGCACGATCTCTGCTCACTGAAAGCTCTGCCTCCCGGGTTCATACCATTCTCCTGCCTCAGCCTCCCGAGTAGCTGGGACTACAGGCACCTGCCACCCCGCCTGGCTAATTTTTTGTATTTTTAGTAGAGACGGAGTTTCACCATGTTAGCCAGGATGGTCTCAATCTCTGATGTCAGAAAGTTTTGAGGGCAAAACTGATCAGACTACTTTAATGCATAATTTCAGAAAGGAGATACAAAGTTTGCAGGTTTGGAAATGAGAACAAACAGAAATGGGAAAAAGGAAATTTTGAGAACTCAGTCTAAAGAAAACAGATTCTCCAAATGACAATTCATAAAAAGCTCTCATAGGTCAAGAATTCCCTGTTTCAGCTACCATAATAGACACTTTGTATACATAATTCAAATGAATTCTTCCAGCAACCTTATGAAGTAGGTTGTAACAAAGCTGAAGTAGTCGCTCACTGCAACACGTAGGTATTATCTATTGTTTAACAAGCAGTGATAGAACACGTGACATAGAAAGACCACTCTGCTGGATGCTAGACTGGACATGGCAGAGATAGCTCCTTCCACTCTGGCCACGAAGCTTATTCTCTATGGGAAAATCAGATATTAAATAGTTATGTTCTAGGACTTTTCTAATGGGACAACTAACAAAACATGGAGGCCAAGGAAAGCCTTTTCAAAGTATTGATATTGAAGTTGAAACCTAAAGAATATGAATAACCTGAGCTGAGTTAGATGTCTCTTCATTGTAATGCTATAGTTCACTCACCATACCACTATGTGCTCTCAGCTTACTTGCACCACATAATTCATAAAGATAGAAAGGCTAAGATATTGCTCCTGTTCTAGATGGTCTCACAGAAAATGTACAAAAACAGATGATGAGATTTGAGGACACTGAACAAGACCTGATGTCCTAAACATTAATTCCACTTTCTGGTTAATAATTTGGGAGCTTTAAAAATACTTACATTTTTATTTGTCAATTGTTAAGATACAAATATTCCTAGGATATAAATAATAACTGCCACATACATGGTGCTTACTTTGTGCCAGGTCCTATTACAAGAGCTTTACACGTATTAATTGAATTCATTCTCGTAACCAGCCTGTGAGAGAGACACTAGCCATTAACCTCATTATGTATAAGAGAAAAAGAAGGCACAGAGAGGTTAAGAAAATCCCCTGGGAGCACACAGCAAGTAGGTGGTGATGCAGGTCCCTTTTCTTTTTCTTTTTCTTTTTTTTTTTTTGAGACGGAGTCTCGCTGTGTCTCCCAGGTTGGAGTGCAGTGGCGCGATCTCGGCTCACTGCAAGCTCTGCCTCCCAGGTTCATGCCATTCTCCTGCCTCAGCCTCCCAAGTAGCTGGGACTACAGGCGCCCGCCAACACGCCCGGCTAATTTTTTGTATTTTTAGTAGAAACAGGGTTTCACCGTGTTAGCCAAGATGGTCTCGATCTCCTGACCTCGTGATCCACCCGTCTCGGCCTCCCAAAGTGCTAGGATTACAGGCGTGAGCCACCGCGCCCGGCCTCCCTTTTCTTACTGTCTTGGTCTTTACATTAATTTATCAACCAGTTGATAATAAGACCCTATAATTATAGAACACAGGACAGTTGTCAGGAAGAAATCAGAGGGTAATGGATAAACAGAGTGCAGGGAAGCAAGAAGAACCAGTTACAGGGGGGTTGATTCAGTCCTATCATAAGAGATAACAAGATAAAAAGAAAAACTCCATAAGATTTACTTTAAAAAAATGCTGCCCCTACATGAGCATTTTTACTTATATTAACAGATATGCTCATTTGGACTAGCTGTAAATTAGTGGTCCAATGTGAAACTTCTGGAAGTAAAAAAGTCCTATAAGAAAATTTTAAAGCTATAGCCCTACCTCCAGAAGAAATTCAAACACACATATATTTATATATAATTTTCAGGGTTTGAAGTCCTGTTGGAAATCACCTATGATGCTAGCCATCTCAGGGACTCCTTTTGTTCTTACTATGTCCATTGTGTTGGAATGATTTTATCAAAATGCTAAAGCCAGGGAAAAATCTGTTAGAGTTTACCACAAGAACCTTAGAGAAGATTCTAAAAATCTAACTGATCAGGGCAGCAAAGAGAAGATAAATCATTAAAATATTAAATAATATCTCTTTTCCCTGCATGGCCCTTACTCCTACCACCAATAAACAGATGGCCAGGTCATTATCTTCCTTATTTTATGTGTGTTGGAGGGCAGGAGGTAGAATGTATTAAAAAAAAAATTTCTAGTGGTTTTGGTAAAAGCCTGAAAACTATGTAACTTTTATGTTAGATGTGCAGAAGGGAAAATCGAAAGCCAAGTGACTTTGAGAAAAGGACATACACTTCCAGCTTGATGTGGACTCTGCGCCATGCCAGTTCCCGTAAACGTCGACAGGTCTCAGTGGTGGTGACTTCAGGGTGCATATGGATAGACAGGTCTCTAAGCTCTGGCATTTCTAGGCCTAGAAATTTTTATGTAACCCATCAGAAAGTCAGCAGAATATAATGTCCATGCAACCTTATAAAATGTATTGCTCACTGGCCACCAATATGGACTGAATATGAAAGAACCTTCTGGAATATTTTGTTCAAAATAAGATGCCAAGACCTTTGTATGATTAACAATTGGAAAGGGAACTCCCCATCAATAGCTTATACTAAATTTTTAGACAGGGCACCAAATTCAATTTAATTAGACTTAATAAAAGTAAATAAAAGTAACTTTGCTAGTACAAAGTTATTACACTAAGAATTGTATTGTATCAAGAATATGCTGACTGTCCTCCACATATAACTTGTCTTCTCACCTTTTCTGATTTTTGTACATGTTGTGCTACCAGTCTAAAATGCCTCAAGCTCTATTTGTCAAACTAACTCTGTCCCCCTTAAAAGAGACTTGAAATTAAACTCTTCCAGGTGTTCCCCAATTAAGCTCATACTACAAATGACTCACATAAACAACCATTAAAAATATACACTATAAGGCAAGTATAAGGAATTGTTTTTATTATTTTATGATATTTTCCAAATCCATAGTCCATAATGTTGCGGGAAGTCAGGGACCCCGAACGGAGGGACCGGCTGAAGCCATAGCAGAAGAACATAAATTGTGAAGATTTCATGGACATTTATTCGTTCCCCAAATTAATACTTTTATAATGTCTTATGCCTGTCTTTACTGCAGTCTCTGAATATAAATTGTGAAGATTTCATGGACATTTATCACTTCCCCAATCAATACTCTTGTGATTTCCTATGCCTGTCTTTACTTTAATCTCTTAATCCCATCATCTTCATAAGCTGAAGATGTATGTCGTCTCAGGACCCTGTGATGATTGTGTTAACTTCACAAATTGTTCGTAAAGCATGTGTGTTTAAACAATATGAAATCTGGGCACCTTGATAAAAGAACAGGATAACAGCAATGTTCAGGGAACAAGGGAGATAACCATTAGGTCTGAGTGCCTGGGAGCCAGGCGGAACAGAGCTGTATTTCTCTTCTTACAAAAGTGAATAGGAGAAATATCACTGAATTCTTTTTCTCAGCAAGGAACAGCCCTGAGAGAATGCATTCCTAGGGGGAGGTCTCTAAAATGGCCACTCTAGGAATGTCTGTCTTATATGGTTATAGATAAGGGATGAAATAAGCCCTGGTCTCCTGTAGCACTCCCAGGCCTATGAGGATGAAGAAATTCCTGCCTGATAAATTTTAATCAGACTGGTTGTCTGCTCTCAAACCCTGTCTCCTGAAAAGACGTTAACAATGACAATGTGTGCCCAGTGGGACATGAAACTTCATTAGCAATTTTAATTTCACCCCGGTCCTGTGATCTTGCTCTGCCCCCATTTGCCTTGTGATATTTTATTGCCTTGAGAAGCATGTGTTCTCTGTGACCCATGCCCTATTCATACACTCCTTCCCCTTTGAAAATCACTAATAAAACCTTGCTGGTTTTGTGGCTTGAGGGGCATCATGGAACCTGCCGACATGTGATGTCTCCCTCGGACACCCAGCTTTAAAATTTCTCTCTTTTGTACTCTTTCCCTTTATTTCTCAGACCGGCCAACACTTAGGGAAAATAGAAAAGAACCTATGTTGAAATATCGGGGGCTGGTTCTCCCGATACATAAATATTCAGTGGGCAGATATTGAGATCCACTATATGTTGGCACTCTGAGTTTGAAATATGAAAATAAATATAAAGATATTCCTTGCCTTCAAGAAATTTAACATGGGATTTTGACATATAAAATGTTACTATAAACTTTCATTTGTTCAAGGTGGTAGATACAGTAAGTTTATTGCAACTTTTCCAATCAAAAGAGTGCATTCTCTACCCCTTAAATCTGGGATGGACTTTTGACTTTGTTTGACCAAAAGAATGTGGCAAATATGAGGTTGTGTGAGTTCTGCAACATTGGCCTCAAAAATATGTGCAGATTCCATCTCCACCTTCAGAATAATAAGAATTCCACCACGCTCATGAACGATGAAAGACCACCTAGACAGACAACACAGCTAATAGGTATCACAAAAGCCCCAGACATGAGAGTTAGGTCATCCTGGATCCTCCAGCTCTAGGCAAGAGGCTGGCTCAGTACAGCTACATGAATGAGCCTGGGAAAGGCCAGCATAAGAACTGTCCCATCAAACACAGAATCATGACAAATAAATTGTTGCTTTGACCTAGCAGGTTTTAAAGTGGTTTGCTACACAGTAATAGATAAATATTATACTTGACGTTTCCTTCTAAGTCTTCCTCAATCAGTAGTAGAGAAAAGAACCAAGTGTTATAGACATTCTTCTTATAGGTGAAATAAAAAGAGGTTTATACAATTTCATTTTTCTATATTTGAGCCAGAAAATTAAAATAATTAGGTTATCTTGATATTAATTCCATTTGTAACATTTTTGTACCCTAACATTATTCCATGTAATTATGGAAATATTTTGCCAAAAAAGGGGGAAAGATGAAAAGGCACATGTGGGTGACATACTGGCTTTCAGCAGAGTTCTATGGTGCTCAGGCACCAGTATTCACCATCTCTCCTGTTGTCTGTTGCTTGTGTTCAAGGATTTGACTTACTTGTGCCAGAAATTGAATTGAACCAGTGAAACCCAATTAAATCCTACCACTTCCAAAAGCATAAAATAATTCATCATTTTGGATTGTTTTCATAGAGAATAAAAATTAGTTTGAAGGTGGGATGAAGGGGGAAGGAAACATCAATAAAGCAAAAACAACTAGAATCACAGAAATCATTAACATTGATTTCATTCCAGGACACTTGGTCAGCCAGAAAGCTTGTGCTGCTGAGTGAAGAAGGCAGATTTGGTGCATTGGAAGACAGCAACTGCAGATGCAGAGGAACTGGAAGGGAATCACAGCTGGTCATGCCAAAGGGGCAGCCCAACCTATGTTCATTCAGCAACCATGGCAGTTTCTCTACATCTGTTTTCAATTCGAGCTCCAGGTCATGTTTTTCAGTTAGAATAAAATGTGAAAACTATAAAATAGACCCCCCTAATTTCTTTTCCCATATCCCTTCCTCATGATCTTTTATCTTCTTGAATGAAGGAGTATCAAGGTTATTGAGCTGAGAAGTGGAAACTAGTGGACTTTTTTAAAGGCAAGACAGATAATATCAGATTTGATATGATAGGCATGAGAAATACATAAAAAGTAATTACAGACTTTCAAAAAGTGCCTTTACACTTTTCTAGTGATAAGCCTTTACAGTCAAACACCGATGCCTCCCCTCATTACCAAAAGCTAAATTTAAAGGAGCTACACGGAATGCTAACTAAGCATAGTAAAATGGTCATCATCATCACAACAGAGTTTTTATCAGGTGGAAATTCTTTGTCTCTGTGCTCAAACCTAAAGATCCTCTAATTTTTGTCACTCCCTTCACTAGCTCACCTCTGCCAGTGTGACTATTTTCATGCATGCCACTTGAAGGTTGACTCTTCTCTTAGATTGTCCTTTTGGCATACACTGATTGCAGTAAATACCATCTTGCACTTTGGAGCCTGTGAAACACTCTTCACTTCTTGGCCACACTCCATCCATGTTCCTATCTAAACTATAAATTACTTAACGGTAGAAAAGTTGTCTTATTTTTCCTGCTTTTCTCCTCAGTGACAGTGTTTACTCAAATCTAGAATTTAAAATAAGCAGAAAAGTGTTAAAAGTATTTTGTTTGTCTAGTAATAATATATAGACCTTTTTTTTTTATTTAAAATGAGTTAATGTAAGTCAAGCATTTATACCAGTGCCTGACATATAGGAATGACTATACTGCTCTTATTGCCATTATCATAATTACTTGTATATAACCTACAAGTTGATACATAAAATTTTCATTACAAGCTCTTGATTTCTTGAGACCTTCAGCTCCTGGCTACACCATAAGCATGAAATAATCCATGCTTTACAAGCCATCTGGGTACATGTGGACTTTTTTCCTATGTTCTGTATCACTATGTAGGCAGACAATTGCCCAGAATTTCATTAGCTTTAAAAATAAAATACAAAAAACATGCAAAACACTTTAAGACTAAAGGTAATATATTATGCATGGGGACAGGAACTGTGTCTCTTTTACTATACTCCCAAACACTAACATGACATCAGGCATCTACTAGAGGCTCAACAAATAGATGTGGAATAAATGAATAAATAAGTAAGAAAAAAGTGACTCTATTTGAAGGAGAAGAAAGGAAATAAAAGGAGAAAGAAGAAAGAGAGGAAGAAATAAAGAGAGAAAGAAAAAAGCTGAATGAAGAGCCATGATTTTGCTTATTGTGGAACGAATGGCAGGTAGTTGATACATTTCCTAATTCTTGAGCAGTTTTGGCTCAGACTCTGAGTACTTAAGTAAAGATCCCAAAATATTTTTCCCAACATGACCTTTTCAATGCTATTACATGGATTTATCCTTCTCCTGTTCCAATAGTTCTCTACAGCAAAAGTTCCGTGTTATAAGTATGACCTCTGCTCTGTTCTGCAGAGCACACCTCACATGCCTACCTTAGTCCCTGTGCCTACTTCTGACTTCAGGCAAAGACCGAGCAGACAGTTCTGTGCCAGCTCTGACTCACTTTGCCCTGACAGAGTCATGCCTCAGGCATACAAGTCTCAAGTCTTTCCTCATCTGGCCTCAATTTTTTTTTCTATGCCCCAAGAATAGCTTGATTGTCCCATGCTCAGCTGTGGCTTGGAAATGCCAAACAGTAAATGCTCTTGGTGGGTAATCCTCAACCAAAGACAGATGGGAGCCAATTGGCAGCTGATTCTCCTCCCATACTTTTTTTATATGGACCGTTCTCATCAGTCTTTCACACAGTTCCCACAGCAACCATAGTAGAAGCCTCAATAAACCTGAGATTGGCTTTATCTCCTTCCCTTACCTGTTCTCAGTTGCTTCCTGTGATAGACTCTCAAATTAATTACCTGTAGTCAAGCCCCCAAATTAGTCACCTCTGTATCTAATATTTTTCTTTTCTTTCTTAATATACAAATATTACATAACTATGTATATATATATACATAGATACGTGTGTGTACATATATTTTCTCCCTCCATACATATGTGTGTGTGTGTGTGTGTGTGTATGTATTTGTCTCTCCCTCCGTGACTCTTTGTTAATGTGAAAGAATGGAATTCTTTAGAAGTTTGAGCACACTAATTAATAAGCCAATTGCAAAGCAGCTAATTTACTGATGTTTCTTTTTCTGTATCATTAGCTGTAGTGGTTGCATACACGGATGAATGAAGATGCATACAGGGAAACAGTCTAAGATCATACTAAGTGTGAACGTTTCTGATATATTATCTGAGAATCCAAATTTACCTCTTCTGCTTAGACAATGTTGTTAAGGAAAAATCACAGACCCTTCTGTACATACCAGACTATCCTTGTCTTTTTTAAAAAATATAAATATTATGAAATTTTAGAAGTTACCTTTAAAGATCCATTTGGAAAACCCAAAATAAAGAAAACTCCCTTAATCAGAAAATTTTTATATGTCAATTATTAGAGTCAATGGACCTTTAACATTTTCTGAAATGCATGTGATTTCAAATAGTCTGTTTTAATGTTTCTATCAGTGCATTTGTAAATGCATGCTTAAAGTTAAATGCATTAAATATATAAACTCATGTTTCTCACTACTGCTTCTTACCTTCATCAGTTCACTTGCTCCAAGCCCTCTTCTCTGCCCATCATGAGATAGGACATTTTAATAAAATGGAATGTTGAAGACTATTGACTGAAAAAGCAGCTTACATGAATATGTAGTGTGTAATTTTCTTTGGCTTACAAAAAGATAGATTTATGTGTTATTCACCTAACTCAGAGAAAGAGAAGGAGAGGAGGGGAGGGGAGGGTGAAGGGTGGGGGAGAGGACAGAAAGAGATTCAGAGGGATATAGTGTATAACATTGAATGTGCATTTTTTCTTGTTTATGATTTGTGTTATCTTTCTGTACTTAATTTTCTATAATGCATATATATATATAGCTTCTACAAATGTTATACGTCTATGTTTATATATATCACAACTTGAAGAAACCACTAATTTAAGTTTTGTTTGAGAGAATTGTTTTACTCTTCTGAAAAAAGAAACAAAAGAAACACACAGTCTCTTGGCAAGGATAAATCAACCCAGATGCCAACAAGAGGTTTCAAGTTTGCCTAGAATTTTCAAGTTCATGAATGTGGAGTGGTCTCTAAATTTGGCAACTCATTTTTCTCATTGTTAATAATAAGTCTCTTCTACTATCATATACAAAGCACTGGATCCCCTAAATAAGCACTATAAAAATAACCACCTTTATTTATGGCCATGCTGTTTTGGATGCCCATGGTCAATTGTCTGCCTTGCTTTGAATAAAGCCAGAATGCTCCCATTTCCCTTCATTTCATTCTTATGGCTCCCATTTCTCTAACACATTTGGGAATACTAAAAATAAAGCAGATGATTTATTGAAAGATGGTAAGCAAAAGATATACATACCTATATCTAAATGCTTCACATCATCTTTTATTTTTATTTTATTTTTTAAAGATGGAGTCCTGCTCTGTTGCCCAGGCTAGGGTGCAGCTGGGTGATCTCGGCTCACGGCAACCCCCGCCTCCCAGGTTCAAGCGATTCTCCTGCCTCAGCCTCCTGATTAGCTGGGATTACAGGTGCCCGGCTACTTTTTGTATTTTTAGTAGAGATGGGGTTTCACCATCTTGGCCAGGCTGGTCTCCAACTCCTGACCTAGTGATCCACCTGCCCGGGCCTCCCGAAGTGCAGGGATTATAGGCGTGAGCCACTGCGCCCGACCCAAGATAATATTTTTTTTTTTTTTTTTTTTGAGACGGAGTTTTGCTCTTGTTGCCCAGGATGGAGTGCAGTGGTGGGATCTTTGCTCACTGCAACCTCTGCCTCCCGGGTTCAAGCGATTCTCCTGTCTTAGCCTCCCCAGTAGCTGGGATTACAGGTATGCACCACCACGCCCAGCTAATTTTGTATTTTTAGTAGAGACAGCGTTTCTCCATGTTGGTCAGGCTAGTCTTGAACTCCCGACCTTGGGTGATCTGCCCGCTTTGGCCTCCCAAAGTGCTGGGATTACAGGCATGAGCCACTGCGCCTGGACTGCTTCACATCATCGTTTATGTGTTCTTGGGATTAGTTTTACAGCCTATGGGATCAAAGCATTTCCTTCTCTATATTTTACAAAGTATATGTCCTTTAAAGAAAGGAAAGGAAACTTGGAAGGAAGCATGTGCAGTCTTTAATAAATGATGGGAGTACAGGCTATGAGACACTCCCTGGACTCCCACCAGCTCTGCAACACCTTCAAGTCACTTCCCTTTATGATCCCTCCCCTCAACCTTCATTAACCTACTGCACTCCATGAAGAACTTTCATAGGGGTATAAAAGACACCACTCTGTATTATCATGCAAAAGTCGGGGGCTCCCATGGTGAAATTTGAAGGGAGTATGTGTCTCTAATAGTTTGGTTTGGAAAGGACTCCCAGAAATAAAGAAGCAAAAGCTACTTCTCTCTCTTTCCCTCTCCTCTCCCTATTGCCCCTCCTCCTTGCCTCCTTCTTAATGGTGAACATCGTTTTTCTTTCTACATTTGAGGAGAGTCAGGCAGAGGGCTGAGTTCTGGAGAATACTGAGTATGTGGGACTCTATTATTTGTGAGGGCTGAGAGCCTTGCCAGACTGCTATAATGTATTGCTACTTCAGAGAAGCAAGGAAACATCCTAAGATTTCATTTACTTAATGGCTTAAGGACTAATTGAGTTCCATACAGCCCTGAATGTTGTAGTTTTCCTTAAAACATACTGTACTATTTTTTAAACAGTACAAATGATTCTTTCTTAAATATAGCTTAATTTCTGCTTTGAATGAATTTACTCTAACTGACCTATTACTTCAAATTAATATGTAGAGATTTTATATTGAAAGAATCACATTATATTATTTCTCTAACTACAACAAAAGGCAGAATACTACCCTATTGAATCCTCCAGTAATAAAACCTAAAACTCAGAGGCTATTTAGAGCACCTTTCAAATAGAGAGAGCTTGCAAATGTACCTCAATAAAATAACATTCTATTCTTTGTTATTCTTTTATTTAACTGAAATTCTTCTTATTAACTTAGAAGAATTTGAGTTCTCTTTGAGTTGTACATTCAATAAATTCTGGGGAGAATTTAAGTCATAAAACTTGTTAAGCAACTTCTTCCCCTAAATGAAATGACCTATGTTGAATAAAGAAACTTTATGTGACTGTTTCATTAAATAAAATTTAAAGTAATGCCATATTCTGCTACCATTTAAATAACAAAATAAATGACAGACATAATGAGAATTGCCAAAATTCAGAGAAACAAGCCATTCATAAAAGCCACATTACACAGGGAATTACCACTGGGGAGGAGATAAGGTATGCTTTGAATGATGAGCGTAAGTTGGATATGTAGAAGTAAAAATTATTTTATGACCAAAGTGCAGATGGGAGAGAGAAGAGAGTGGCTGATGGCAGGAAGAAAACCAGCCCCTCTGACACAGGCATTTAATGTGAAAGAGCAGTGGCAGATAAGGTTGGATAAGCTTGGGGGTTTAAAGTGGAGCAATAGACAAGGATACTAGCAAGAAAGAATATATACGGCAAATCCTTAAGTAGCCATCTAAGGAATTTAGATTTGATCCTTTCAGGTACTGAAGTGTCATTGGGAAAATTAAGATTGTTATCTCTATAAAGGACTGGGAGGACTAGGGTATGAAATACAGGAGAAGAAGGGTGAGATGGCTATTTGTGATTTTTTTTCTCCTGGTAATGAAGATGAGAGTGATAGACATTAAAATGGAATCATATGAACTGTAGCAGCAGCAGCGGGAGAGCCACAAATCATGAGAGAACAAGGGGTCAGAATGATATGTCCCTGACTTTGACCATGGCTGAGTTTCTTTTAGCACTAAGTAGAAACAATGCAGGAGGAAAAAGTTAAAGCAAAAAGGATCACAAAAGAGAGAAAGCCACAAAGCATGGAAAATATTTTCATTTTCTTCTATTATAAATGGTTGAGAAGATGAGAAAGAAATTACCCAATTTTATGTTAAATTAGATAAATGTATTTTAAATGAATATTAATCAGCTTACCTTATATCCCAGTTCCCTGTCACCAGTCCAGTCCAGATTGGACACTTCCCATAGGGGGTCGCCTACCAGTGTTTCTCATATTACTTCATAGATTTCCTCACCTCCCCAAAATTCTCTGGCACCTGCTGGACAACTCTTCATATTTGATGTCTCTCTCTCTGCTATATGCTGTACATTATAAATATTTTTACTGTTGCTCATAATTTTAATCTTTTTCTCTTAGTCATTTTTTAAAAAAGAACACTGCCATATAAGATAATTGCAGATCTGTCTTTTCGATATTTTCATTTTTCTTTTCTTAGCTTTTAATTAATGGCTAAGCTTTTTATTGACTTGAGAAGATGAAAACAATCTCCTGAGCTTTGTTATGCACTTATCTTCACTACAGTACATGACAGTCTCTGAAGTTATTTTTTCAGTTCTCAGAGAATTAATGTTTTTCACTTCTCCAGACTGTACCTTGCTTTACTAGTAATACTTCATGGTAGATAAATGATTGACAGATAGATGACAGATAGATTATATAAATAGATAGATAATTAACCTATCTATCTATCTATCTATCTATCTATCTATCTATCTATCTATCTATCTATCTACCTATCTATCTATCTACCTATCTATCTATCTATCTATCTATACACATGTATTTCCTAGTTCTGTCCACTGGGAAGTCCTACAAATAATGATAACCTAGTACCAATGGGCACAATTAGTATCCAAATCTTGGTTTCTGAACACCATCCTCAAGTAAAAGAAACCAGAGTTTCAAATGAATGATTCTGGAGGAAAAGTATTACATGGTAAGCCTGGAACATCTTGTAGTGCCAGAAAATAAGGGAAAACTCAAAAGTTGGGGTGACATTAAAAATCTGGGATAAAATAATTACAGTTTTCTATTATAACACATAGAAGAAGAAGTTATGATTCCATAGTGATATAAATAAATAGGGAGGATTCCTTACAGTAAAATTCATACTAATAAATATAGAAAGAATGGTAGGAGTAAAAAGAATCACCATTTGGAAAACACCACAGTAATTAATTATAACAGGCAAGAACCATCATTGAATGCTAAAAATAGCGAGTGAAATTATGAAGGGAGACAGAACATTTACATAGGCTCACAATATATTATGAATTACATCTCTCCACAATTTATTAATTATGAAGAAAAATAGTACCTTCACAGTACAGAAACTGTAGACACCAGCTTAACCACAAGGTAAATCTAGCATTATTAATGGACCACATCAACACCATATGCTGGTGATATGGTACACTGAGAAAGGTTCACTTTCACTTCTATGGTATTCTAACCAAATATATACACCCCAAATTTAAACTTCAGAAAATATCAAACTCACATCAAGGGAGATTCTACAAAATAACTGGCCAAAACTCTTCAAAGTGTCAAGGTTACCCACATTTTTGGCTAAATTTATTCCCAAGCATTTTTTGTTGTTGGCAGTGGTGGCAGTGCCATTGTAAATGGAGTGTTTTCTAATGTTACATCTTGTAACTGGTTACTTTTTTCTGCTTTTGAAAACTATTAATTTGTGAATACTAATGTTTTATTCTGCCATCTTACTATATTATGTTTAGTTTACCATTGATTCCCTAGGATCATTCTGTTCAATAGGGTAGGCACCAAGTGTATGTTTATGGTATTGGACAACTCAGTGTAGAACATTTCAATAATCACAGAAAATTGCAGGAGATGAATGCTGCTTTAAGATTTTACAGGCGTCCTATAGTGTCTGCATATATAAATAATTGTATTGCTTTTTTAAGATTTTTAGACTGTTAACAGATTTCTCTTGTCCAATTGTATTATCTAATACTTCTAGGAAAATATTCAACAATATAGGAATTGATGGACAGCCTTGTCTTCTTATCTCAATTCAAATACTTTTAATGTTTCCATATTAATATGATGCTAGCTTTTAATCTAAGGGAAATATATATATGTTTGTCTATATATCTATACCTATAGATATGCATATATTTATATTTCCCTTAGTTGTAAAACTATATATGATATATATTTATAAATATATATGTATTTGATAAAATATTTTATATATATGCACACAATGATTTATCTTAAATTGTTGAGAAAATGTCCATCAAGTTCTATTTATTTGTTATTTATAAAAAGAATGGGGATTAAATTTTGTCAATGACTTTTTTAGCATCCATGACGATAACCGTAATCTTTTCCTTAGCTCAATTAATATGCTATATTATTATACTGATGAATTTCCTAATCAAAGCCAAACTTACATTCCTTTAACAAATCTCACCTTGTCATAGTATATTATTTTCCAAAATAGTGTTTGATTATGTTGGCTAATGTTTTGGTTAGAACTTTAAGTATCAAAAGTGGTATTTGTCTATAACCTTCTTACACTGTTTTTAGCAGGTTTAGGTAGCAATGTTATTTGTACTTCACAAAAATTATTAAGTTTTCTTTAATTTTCAATACTGTGGAACAATTTAAAGAGGATTGGAACAATCAATGCTTAAAGGTCTGCTTTAAGCCCCTTACGAAAGCTTGTTGGGTTTTTGGTTTCTTTGTTTTCTTGGCTTTATTTTATTTTTTTGGGTACTTATTTGATATCGTTCTCTGTTTGTTGAGAGTTGGTCTGTTTGAGGTTTTTATCTCAAATGGTTCCATCTTTTTAAACCAATATTTATCTAAAATATATCCCATTTCACCTAAGTTTTCAAATTTATGTAGACATCTACATATTATGAAATTTTATTTTTTAATTATTATTTTCTAAATGCCTGTTTCTTTTATTTATTTATTTTTATTTCAAAAGGTTTCTGGGGAACAGGTGGTGTTTGGTTACATGAATAAATTCTTTAGTGGTGATTTCTGACAGTTTGGTGTACCCATCACCCAAGCAGTGTACACTGTACCCAATGTGTAGTCTTTTTTTTTTTTTAGACGGAGTCTCGCTCTGTCGCTAGGCTGGAGTGCAGTGGTGCGATCTCGGCTGCGATCTTGGCTCACTGCAACCTCTGCCTCCCGAGTTCAAGCAATTCTCCTGTCTCAGCCTCCCCAGTAGCTGGGACTACAGGCACTTGCCTCCATGCCCAGCTAATTTTTTTTTTTTTTGTATTTTTAGTAGAGAGGGGTTTCACCATGTTGGTCAGGATAGTCTTGATCTCTTGACTTCATGATGCCCCCTCCTTGGCCTCCTAAAGTGTTGACATTACAGGCGTGAGCCACCGTACCCGGCCCAAGGTGTAGTCTTTTATCCCTCACCCACCTCCTGCCCTTTCCAAGTGCCCAAAGTCCATTGCATCATTCTTGTGCCTTTGCATCCTCATAGCTTAGCTCCCACTTATGAGTGACAACATACGATGTTTGGTTTTCCATTCCTGAGTTACATCACTTAGAATAATGGTCTCCAATTCCATCCAGGTTGCTGCAAATGACATTGTTTCATTCTGTTTTATGGCTGAGTAGTATTCCATGGTATATATTTGCCACATTTTCTTTATCCACTTGATTAATGGGCATTTGGGCTGGTTCCATATTTTTGTCCCTGCAAATTGTGCTGCTATAAACATGCATGTGTAAGCATCTTTTTTGTGTAATGACTTCTTTTCCTCTGGGTAGGTACCTAGTAGTGGGATTGCTGGATCAAATGGTAGATCTACCTTTAGTTCTTTAAGGAATCTCCGCACTGTTTTCCGCAGTGTTTGTACTAGTTTACATTCCCTGCAACAGTACGAAAGTGTTCTCTTTTCACCACATCCACACCAATATGTATTATCTTTTGATTTCTCAATTATGACCGTTCTTGCAGGAGTAAGGTGGTATTGCATTGTGGTTTTGATTTGCATTTCCTTTATAATTAGTGATGTTGCACATTTCTCCATATACATGTTGGCCATTTGTATATCTTCTTTTTGAGAATTGTATATTCGTGTCCTTAGCCCATTTTGATGGGATTGTTTTTTTTCCTGATTTGAGTTCTTCGTAGATTCTAGATATTAGTCCTTTGTCGGATGTACAGATTGTGAAGATTTTCTCCCACTCTGTATGTTGTCTGTTAACTCTGCTAATTATTTCTTTTGCTGTCCAGAAACTTCTTAGTTTAATTAAGTCTCAGCTATTTATCTTTGTTTTCATTTCATTTTCTTTTGGGTTCTTGGTCATGAAGTCTTTGCCTAAGCCAATGTCTAGAAAGAGTTTTCCAATTTATCTTCTAGAATTTTTATGATTTCAGGATTTAGATTTAAATCTTTGAGCAATCTTAAATTGATTTTTGTAGGAGGTGAAACATGAGGATCCAGTTTCATTCTTCCACATGTGGCTTTCCAATTATCCCAGAACCATTTGTTGAATAGGGGGTCCTCTCCCCACTTTATGTTTTTATTTGCTTTGTTGAAGATCAGCTGGCTGTAGATATAATATTTGGCTTTATTTCTGGGTTTTCTCTTGTTCCATTGGTTTATGTGTCTATTTTTATACCAGAACCATGCTGTTTTGGTGACTATGCCTTGATAGTATAGTTTGAAGTTGAGTATTGTGCTGCCTCCAGATTTGTTCTTTTTGCTTAGTCTTGCTTTAGCTATGCAAACTCTTTTTTGATCCTATATGAATTTTAGCATTTTTTTTCTAGTTCTGTGGAGAATGATGGTGGTATTTTGATGGGAATTGTGTTGAATTTGTAGATTGCTTTTGGCAGTATGGTCATTTTCACAATAATTATTCTACCCATCCATGAGCATGGGGTGTGTTTCCATTTGTTTGTGTAATCTATGATTATTTTCAGCTGTGTTTTGTCATTTTCCCTGTGGAGATCTTTCACCTCCTTGGTTAGGTATATTCCTAAGCATTTTATTTGTTTTTGCTGTTATTGTAAAAGGGGTTCCGTTATTAATCTGATTCTCAGCTTAGTCGCTGTTGGTGTATAGCAGAGCTGCTGATTTGTGTACATTAATTTTGTATTCCGAAACTTTGCTGAATTCATTTACCTGTTCTAGGAGCTTCGTGAATGAGTCTTTAGGGTTTTCCATGTATACAATCATATCATCAGCAAACAGCAACAGTTTGACATCCTCTTTACTGATATGGATTCCCTTGATTTCTTTCTCTTGCCTGATTGCTGTGGCTAGGACATCCAGTACTAGGATGAATAGAAGTGGTGAAAGTGGACATCCTTGTTTTGTTCCAGTTCTCAGGGGGAATGCTGTCAACTTTTCCCCATGAGGTATAATGTTGGCTGTGAGTTTGTCATAGATGGCTTTTATCATCTTAAGGTATGTACTTTCTATGTTGATTTTGCTGAGAGTTTTAATCATAAAGGGATGCTGGATTTTGTCAAATGTGGCTATTGAGATGATCATGTGATTTTTGTTTATAATTCTGTTTATGTGGTGTATTACCTTTGTTGACCTGCATATGTTAAACCGCCCCTGCATGCCTGGTACGAAACCCACTTGATAATAGTGGATTATCTTTTTGTTATGCTGTTGGATTCAGTTAGCTAGTATTTTATTGAGGATATTTGCCTATGTTCATCAGTGATATTGCTCTGTAATTTTATTTTATTTTTATGCCCTTCCTTGGTTTCGATATTAGGGCGATATTGGCTTCATGGAATGATTTAGGGAGGATTCCCTCTTTCTCTATCCAGGGGAATAATGTCAACAGAATTAGAACCAATTCTTCTCTGAATATCTGATAGAATTCAGCTGTGAATCCATCTGGTCCTGGACTTTTTTGTAATTGTATTGGCAATTTTTTTATTACCATTTCAATCTTGCTGCTTGTTATTTGTCTGTTCAGTTTCTTTTCTTTTCTCTTTTTTTTTTTTTTTTTTTTTGAGACAGAGTCTCACTTTGTCTCCCAGGCTGGAGTACAGTGGCATGACCTTAGCTTACTGTAACCTCCCAGGTTCAGGTTTTGGTATGAACCTAATCATAGTTCTCCTGCTTCAGCCTCTGGAGTAGCTGGGATTACAGACAGGCACGCACCACCACTCCTGGCTAATTTTTGTATTTTTGGTAGAGACGGGGTTTCACCTTGTTGCCCAGGCTGGTCTCAAACTCCTGACATCAGGTGATCTGTCCACCTCGACTTTCCAAAGTGCTGGGATTACAGGCATGAGCCACTGTGCCAGGCCTGTTCAGAGTTTCTATGTCTTCCTGGTTTAATTTAGAAGGGTCATATATTTCCAGGAATTTATTCGTCTGCTCCAGGTTTTCTAGTTTATGTGTGTAAAGGTGTTCATAACAGCCTTGAATAATCTTTTGTATTTCTGTGGTCTCAGTAGTAATATCTCCCATTTTGTTTCTAATTGTGCTTATGTGGCTCTTCTCTCTTTTCTTGGTTAATCTCACTAATGGTTTCTCAATTTTACTCATCTTTTCAAAGAACCAGCATTCATTTCATTTATCTTTTGTATTTTTGTTGTTGTTGTTGTTTGTTTCAATTTCCTTTAGTTCTGCTCTTCACTGTCTATTTTCTTCTGCTGGTTTTGGGTTTGGATTGTTCTTGTTTCTCTAGTTCTGTGAGGTGTGGCCTTAGATTGTCTATTTGTGCACTTTCATACTTTTTGATATAGGCATTTAATGCTATGAACTTTCCTCTTAGCACTGCTTTTGTTGTATCCCAGAGGTTTTGATAGGTTGTGCTGCAATTATCATTTAGTTCAAAGAATTTATTAATTTCCACCTTCATTTCCTTGTTGATTCAGTGACCATTCTGGAGCTCTTTATTTAATTTCCACATATTTGCATGGTTTTGGGGGTTCCTTTTGGAGTTGATTTCCAATTTTACTCCACTGTGGTGTGAGAGAGTATGTGGTATAGTTTCAATTTTCTTAAATTTACTGAGACTTGTTTTGTGTCCTATCATATGGTCTGTCTTGGATAATGTTCCATGTGCTGAGAAATAGAATGTGTATTCTGAAGTTGTTAGGTAGAATGTCCTATAAATATCTGTTGAGTCCATTTGTTCCAGGGTATAGTTGAAGTTCATTGTTTATTTGTTGACTTTCTGTCTTGATGACCTATCTAGTGTAGTCAGTGGAGTGTTAAAGGCCCCCTATTATTGTGTTGCTTTCTATCTCATTACTTAGCTGTAGTAGCAACTGCTGATTAATTTGGGAGCTCTAGTGTTAGGTGCATATATATTTAGGATCATGATATTTTTCTGTTGGACTAGTCCTTTTATCATTACACAATGTCCATCTTTGTCTTTTTTTATCGTTGTTGTTGCTTTAAAGTTTATTTAGTCTAGTATAAGAACAGCTACTCCCGCTCACTTTTGGTGTCCATTTGCATGGAATACCTTTTTCCACTTCTTTAGCTTAAGTCTATGTGAGTCCTTATGTGTTAGGCGAGTCTCCTGAAAACAGCAGAAGCTTGGTTGATGAATTCTTATCCATTCTGCCATACTGTATCTTTTAAGTGGAGCATTTAGGCCACTTACATTCAACATTAGTACTGAGATGTGAGGTATTATTCTATTCATCATGCTGTTTGTTGCCAAATACCTTGGTTTTTTTTTTAATATTGTGCTATTGTAATATAGATTCTTTAAGATTTATGCTTTAAGGAGGTTCTATTTTGGTGTATTTCAAGAATTTGTTTTTGATTTCTTTAAGCTAGACTTCACCTTTCTCTGTTGCCTCCTTGATTAGCTTAATAATTGACCTTCTGAATTCTTTTTCTGGTTATTCGGAGATATCATCTTGGTTTGGATCCATTGCTGTTGAGGTGGTGTGATCTTTTGGGGGTAAGATCCCATCCCTGTTTTGTCATATTACCAGAATTATTTTTCTGGTTCCTTCGGGGTGCTCCCTTGATGTGGTGTTCTCCAGTTTCCACTAGTAATGGGGCTTCCTGAGAGCCAAACTGCAGTAATTGGGTTTGCTCTTCTGGGTCTAGCCACCCAGTGGAGCTACCTGGCTCCAAGCTGGTACTAGGGAGTTTTTGCAAAGAGTCCTGTGATGTGATCCATCTTCAGGTTTTTCAGCCATGAATACCAGCATATGCTCTGGTGGAGGTTGCAGGGGAGTGAAGTGTATTCTGTGAGGGCCCTTGGTTGCATTTTTGTTTAGTGCACTGGTTTTATATTGGTTGGCCTGCAATCAGGAGGTGGCGTTTTCAAAAGCACATCAGCTGTGGTACTACAGGGAGGATGCAAATTTGCTCTAGGGTTGCCTGGTTAAGTATTCAGGTTTCTCAGGCAGTGGTCAGGGCCATAGAGCTTCCAAGATATTATGTCGTTTGTCTTCAGCAACAGGGTGGGTAGGGAAAGACCACCAGGTGGGGGCAGGGATAGGCAGGTCTGAGGTCAGCCTCTCCTTGGGAGGGGTTTTCTGTGGCCGCTGTGGGGAATGGTGGTGCGGTTCCCAGGCCAATGAAGTTATGTTCCCAGGAGGATTATGGTTGTCTCTGCTGAGTCATACAGGTCACCAAGGACATCAGGGAAAGCTGGCAGTCACAGGCCTCACCCTGCTCCCACACAGCGTGCAGTCCTAAAGGCTAGTCTCACTCCCACCATACTCCACCAAGAGCACTGGGTCCACTTCCAGGCAGCTGGTGACCAGGGTTGAGAACTTGCCCCAGACCACCAGACTCCTGCCTGAGAAAGCAAGCAGACTCAGTTTTCTCGGTATCACAGGGAGCCTGCAGCGGCAATCCAGTTTCTTCAAAGGGTCTGCAGATTATCTCAGCTTTCCTGGTATGTTCTTGTGGTACCACAATGTTAGTCTCCACACACTGCTCTGTCTGTTTGAGCAGGAGCTGCAAGTTAGTCTTGGCTCCTATTCCCACCTTCCCTTGCCTCATGAAATTTTAAATGTTTAATTTTCAGTTGTCATTTTTTTTGGTATTGTGCTATCAATTTTTTATGAAAGTTACATAGTGATTTATTTTTTTAAAAAAAATCATTTCAGATATTAATTATATCTACTGTTTCTATACTCTATTGTCTGTTTTTATATTTATTATATCCTTGTAGAGATTTCTTAACTTTGTTCTATCTCTACTTTTTTGAGGTGGGAAATTAGTTTATTTTATTCTTTAATTTTTATTGATAAAGGCATCTCTTATCATTCTTAAACAGTATGCCATAGATTCTGATGTGTAGTGCTTTCATTATCATAGTTATTTTCCCAAAAGTACTGTTATTAAATTGTATTTCTCTTTTTCACCCAAGAGTCATTTAATAGGGCACTCCATGTGGAAGGACCATTTTTTCTTATTTTATTCATAATCTCCACTTCCATTGCATTGTGATTAAAGATTGTTATTCGCAATATGTATACCTTACATTCATTTAGAATATTCAATAAACTGAAAAGAAGAAGTATTCTCTACTAATGGGGTATAAAGTTTGATGTATATTCATAAGATCAACCTTGTTAATTGTGTTCTTTAGTTCTTATATATCATTACTTATATTTTGTTTACTAGATCTGTCTTCTACTATGAATGCCTGTTAAAGGATCCTATTATTAATATTTTTCTATGTATGTCTCATTGCATATTGTAATGTTTTTGCCTCACAAAAACTGCTGCTGTGTTATTTGAAGCATAGATATATAACTTACATTTTCATCGTGAATTGTAGCTTTTACAAATAAAAATTTCCCTTACAGGCATATTTCTTTTATATTTTTATTTTTGTAGGTTTCTTGCCTTCACTCAATGAACATTATTAACTGTTTACTTGAATATGGTGTCACTTGGACACCTTGTGGAATCAACATTTAGGTTGATCCCACATCTTTGCTATTGTGAATAATGCTGCAATAAATATACAAGTGCAGGTGTCTTTTTGATGTAATGATATCCTTTCCTTTGGGTATATACCCAGTAGTGGGATTGTTGAATCAAATGATGTTTCTATTTTTAGTTCTTTGAGAAATCTCCATACGTTTTTCCATAGAACTTGTACTATTATAATTTACATTCCCACCCACAGTATATAAGTGTTCCCTTTTCTATGCATCCTCACCAATATCTGTTAGTCTTCATCTCTAAAAAGTTTAGTTTTTTCCTCCGTTTCTTTTCAAGTTCCATCCAATCTTATTACATTTTGTCCCATTTTCTATTTTTGTTTCTTAGAACAAAAAATATTCTTTTAGATTGTACATTTATGCTTCAAAATAGTTTTCCATACAACTTGTGCTATTAAAATTAACATTCCCACCAACAGTACATAAGTGTTCCCTTTTCTACGCATCTTCACCAGCATCTGTTGTTTTTTTTGCTTTTTAATAATGGCCATTTTTGACTGGTATTAGATGGTATATCATTGTGGTTTTAATTTTCATTTATCTGATGATTAGAGATGTTGAGCTTTTTCTAATATATATGTTTGGCCACTTATATGTCTTCTTTTGAAAAATGTTTGTGGCCTTTCCCCAATTTATAATGGGTGTTTTTGTTTTTTTCTTGTTGAGTTCCCTGAGTTCCCTGTAGATTCTGGATATTAGTCCTTTGTCAGATGCATAGTTTGAAAATATTTTCTCTCATTCTGTAGGTTATATATTTACTACACTGATTATTTATTTTGCTGCGTAGAGGCTTTTTAGTTTAATTTAGTCCCATTTGTCTATTTTTGTTTTTGTCATGTTTCCTTTTGAGGACTTAGTCATAAATTATTTGCCTACACCAATGTCCAGAAGCGTTCTTCCTAGATTTTCTTCTAGGATTTTCATAGTTTCATGTTTTGCATTTAAGTTCTTAATCTATCCTGGTTAAATTTTGTGTGTAGTGAGAGATGTGGGACGAGTTTCATTCTTCTGCATATTGCTCTTCAATTTTCTCAGCACTATTTATTGAATGCGGTGTTCTTTCCTCAGTGAATTTTTTTTTCTACTTTGTTAAAATTCAGTTGGTTGTAAGTATGTGGCTTTATTTCTGGGTTCTCTATTCTGTTCCATTGCTCTATGTGTCTATTTTTATGCTGAAACCATACTGTTTCAGTTTCCATACACTTGTAGTATAATTTCAGGTCAGTTAATATGATTTCTTCAGCTTTGTTCTTTTTCTTTAGGATTGCTTTTGCTATTTGGGCTTTTTGTTCTATTTGAATTTAAGGATTGTTTTTTCTAATTCTGTGAAGAATGACATTGGTAATTTGATAGAAATTGCACTGAATTTATAGATTGCTTTGGGCAGTATTGTCATTTTAATGATATTGATTCTTCTGATCCATGAGCATGGTGTATTTTTTCATTTGTTTATGTCATCTATGATTTATTTCATCAATGTTTTGTTGTTCTTCTTGTAGACATCTTTCACCTCATTGGTTAAATATATTCCTAGATATTTTATATTTTTGTAGCTATTTTTAATGGGATTGAGTTCTTGATTTGATTCTCAGCTTCATTGTTACTGGTATATAGAAATGCTACTAATTTTTATATGTTGATTTTGTATTCTGAAACTTTATTGAAGTCATTTATCAAATTTAAGGGTTTTTCTGGAGGAGTATTTAAAGTTTTCTAAATATAAGATCATATATTCACTGAACAGAGATAATTTGACTTTGTTTTCCAATTTGGATATCTTTTATTTCTTTATCTTAATCTAGCTAGGACTTCCAGTACTATGTTAAATATGAGTGGTGAAAGTAGGCATCCTTTTCTTGTTTCAGTTAATACAGGGAATGCTGTCAACTTTTCCCTGTTAAGTATGATGTTGGCTGTGGGGTTGTCATACATGGCTTTTATTATTTTGAGGCATGTTTCTTCTGTGCCTAATTTGTGAGGATATATTTTATCACGAAGTGATTCTGGATTTTATCTAATACTTTTTTTGCATCTATTGAGGTGATTTTTTTGTTTTTAATCCCGTTTATCTGGTGGATTATATTTGTTGATTTGCATATGTTGAACCATCCTTGCATCTCTGGAGTAAAACTCACTTCAATGTGATATATTAACTTTCGACATGCTGTTGGATTTGGTTTGCTAGTATTTAGTTGAGCATTTTTGCATCTATGTTCATCAGGGATATTGGCCTGCAGTTTTAAAGTAAATGTAGTCCCACCACTAACTTCCCTTTTCTTTCTTACCTGAAGTATTTTGTTTGTTCTTTGACTGCCCTTGCTAGCTGCAAAAGCTTATGATGAATGTTCAGGAGATTGCTCAGGAGATTTGCTAATTTCTTTTGTTTTTGTTTTGTACAGTTATTTAGAAAATTCTTTATAGTCATCTTCTATTGATGACCAGGAATATTTTTGGGTAGTTTCATTTGTTCTTACTATTGTTCTGTATTGTTTAGGATGTATACAAAAAGGGCAAAATTAGGGACCTACCATTATATTTTACCACATGGAAGTCCAAATCATAAAATTTAACAACATATGTATTATGCTGTGCATTGCAAAATACTATAAATTTTTAAGAGAAATGAGAGACTGAGAGAAAATTCTTGTAAGTTATAACAATGATACATATAGCACAGGCTTAATAGCCATGACATTCAAATATTATTACAAATCAATATGAAAAATGCTAACTACAAAGTTAAATGTCAAATGATATGAAATGTATTTCACAAATGGAGAAAAACAAATAGCTGGGAAATATCAGAAAACCATTCAACCTCATAACTGATCAGGGAAAAGTAAATTAAAATAAGGAGATATCTGTTTTCAAACTCCCTACAAAATATCAATAATATTGATCATATCTATTGTTGACCTGTGTGGAGAAAAAGAGACTTTATGGGTATAACTTTTACCGATGACATTTGACATATCTATCAAAATCAAGTAGTGCATACCTTTTTACCATTTAACCTAGGGATTCCATTTTTAGGAATATATCCTGCAGAATTATTAACACAAGTATTAAGAGGCATATGTACAGAGATGTTTGCTGCAGTATTATAATTATTATTCCAAGACAAAT
This sequence comes from Homo sapiens, assembly GCF_000001405.40. Lineage (NCBI taxonomy): Eukaryota > Metazoa > Chordata > Mammalia > Primates > Hominidae > Homo > Homo sapiens. The sequence goes on along the minus strand of NC_000007.14, from coordinate 136,724,696 downwards.
AAATAGAGCAAATTTTAGTACATTTATTTTTATAAGTAAATGAAAACATGCATATGTCCATGCTATTGCTCATACATAGAGAAAGCTCTGGAGTTTAAAGACAACAAATTATCAGGAGTTTTTACTTCTTTAGTGACTGGGATTACGTGTGTTAGGAGAGGGAAAGAAATGAGGATTTTCCATTTTTATTCTACAGATTTCTGGCCGTATTTTTTATATACACCTAGTAATGTTTACCACTGTAGTTTTATTAACTTTTATATTGCTTTTACAATGACAAATTAAAGTTTTGGCTTATTCTTTCTTTCCAGTTATTAATTTTTCCCTTATTTTTGCTTATGGCAAATGCTTCAAGTTTTTTTCAAATATTCTCACTCCTTGCATATTTACAGAAAGTACAAGTTTTAATTGTTGGCATAGATGATCAGAAATAAAAGCTACTTGCAGCCCTTTGTGGGTATGCATCTAAGTGAATGGTTACAAACACAAAGGAGGCATGTAAGTTTTATGTCTGATGTACGTAGTAGTTGGACATCACACCTCTTCCCTCTACTTCTCTCTTTTTCTTTCCCATTGGTTAGGATGTGGTAATTACCTCAGACAAAGCAAATAAGGGAAACACCCTAGTATGGTTGGAAAATGAGCTCCTGACCTCTAATAGCAGAGACACCATACTTTCTCAAACATACATATGTATGCATAAAACTGCATATTTATGTAAATACACTTATAATTACAAAATATAACAGTCAATTATATTAGGCAATATTGAAGGTAAAATGACTTAAGAAAGACTCCTCTGTATTGATGTTTTCTCTGTACTTCATTGTATGGTTTATTTCTTGATGTGTATTCTATGTTGATAAAGATTGTTTAGAATTTTAACCCAGATGTTTTAAATAATAAAGATATAAATATGAATGATTCAAGTACTTCTAAATGAAAATGTTATATATCTTTTTTTGAGAAATGTCTATTCAGATCTTTTGCCCATTATTAAAGCAGATAAAACTCAGATCAAGGTGCTACCATCTGGTGGGGGCCTTCTTGCTGTGTCATAACATGGTAGAAGGGATAACGTGGGTGAAAGACAGACAAAAGCGAGGCTGATCTCCTCCTTTTATAAGAAACCCAGTCCTGTGATAATGGCATTAATCCATTCATGAGGGTGGTGCCCTCATGACCCAAAAGTTGGATGACATAGTCAAACCATAGCACTCTATCAATCAAAAACATTCTAACCAAAACGAATTAGATTTTAGGAACAAAAATATAAATAGGTGTAAAACAATAGAGAAAAAGTGTAGTAAAGTTAAGGAATTATAAAGTTATCTCTCTTGAGAGTCATTTTAGAAGGTTTAAAACATGTGAACAGTGACAATCTTTACTTTTCCCATTCAGCTGGCTTATATTTTCTACTTAGTGTTCACCAAAATGAAAGCCATTTACCAAACCTTCAGCTCCAAATATACACTAACCAATAGATAATTCTCTCTAACTGAGGCTAGGGTAGAAATAATGCAAGGAATAAACTACTATGTTTACCTTTATTCCATTCTTCACTTTATCTGCACTCTCTCCTGATATAATCATTCTAAGTACTTATTGATTTTTTTTTGAAAAATAATCACATACAATTACATATAAACTTATTTTCTCAAAGTATTTCACAACAAAAACTCACGTTTCTATTATGGCCAGCCTATAAACTCACACCAGTACAATAAGGAATTTAGATAAACAATGAAACTAATATTTATTATGCAGTTATATTGATATTCATGCTTGATGTTATACCATTTTTGTAACACAAATTTACCTACGCATTTTTGTCCCTATTTTACAGGTGATGAAACTAAATTTCCAAGAAATTAAATATTATCCAAGGTCACATAGTGAATTAGCTAGTAAGTGATTCATCCAGCATTTTTAAGGAAGCCTTTAAAACATTAACCATCCACTTATTCTATAAATAAGATGATGTAGAAGTATTTTAAAAAATATTTTGGCAGACCATATTTGTCTCAAATGATCTAAAATGTGTATAAAAGTAATTACAATAAAAACTTAAAGTTATATATATTCATTATACAAACTTGAAATGTAAATTTATTATACTGTGGAGATGATACATTCTTTTTCATTATATTATTAAAGGTTGTCCATTTTTTTTTAGAAAGACAGCTTTCGTTCTCAATTTTTCTGGTTTATCTTCACTAAAATATGGTCCTGTCACTTGCATGCTAATTTTTACATGTGGTGAACTTTATATTTTGCTCTTACTTTTATGCTGCTTCCATATCCCCAATTCACAAAAATGTATTAGTGTCTCAAAAATGGTTCAGTAAAACATAAAATTAGCAATGAAAAGCACTGCATGAATTATATAACTCAGGAGAATATCTCAAATTGTATCTAGCATGAGAGTCTGCCATGAAAAAAGTAAAATCTGTTAATGTAGTGATTAACATACATAAACGTGTGAATATTTGCATAAGAACCTAAGATTAAGGTTACAAATAAGATACATGACAGTAAATATCTGAACATTGGAACTATTAGATTTGGGAGCCATTTGAAGGCTGGCATAAAACCAATGAAGTCTCTTTAATAAAAATTAAAAACACAAATGACCTAAAGATTTTTTTCTTGAATTAGTAAAAAAAAAATATATTCCAGTGAAAAAAGATTAATTTTTAAAACAAAGATAGAGAAGATCCTAAACCTACAGTCATATCATTCAAAATTGCAGTCCTGAGAGTTACATCACAGTATGGCAAGGTATTTGCAAAATCAGGTAGAAAATTAAGGATTATAGCAAAGACTTGGAACCAACCCAAATGTCCAACAATGATAGACTGGATTAAGAAAATGTGGCACATATACACCATGGAATACTATGCAGCCAGAAAAAATGATGAGTTCATGTCCTTTGTAGGGACATGGATGAAGCTGGAAACCATCATTCTCAGCAAACTATCGCAAGGACAAAAAACCAAACACCACACGTTCTCACTCATAGGTGGGAATTGAACAATGAGAACACATGGACACGGGAAGGGGAACATCACACACTGGGGACTGTTGTGGGGTGGGGGGAGGGGGGAGGGATACCATTAGGAGATATACCTAATACTAAATGAGGAGTTAATGGGTGCAGCACACCAACATGGCACATGTATACATATGTAACAAACCTGCACGTTGTGCACATGTACCCTAAAACTTAAAGTATAATAAAAAAAAATTTTTCTTTAGAAAACAAAATTTTTCTTTAGAAAAAAAGAAAGAAAATTAAGGATTAATGTTCGATTTAAAGAGAAATCAGAATAAGTTAATTAAAAAATATGTAAAAATTTCCTTATTAAATGATGTTTGTTACCACATAGTGGTGATACATGCAATATAGAATACAATTCATATCAGATGATCATGCCAGCAGATATGTTGGTTTAAAGCTATGCAGTCCTTGTGGGACAGAATTTGACCCTGTGCTTGGGACACATGTGGGACTTATGTCAAGGAGAAAGTCTTGGTTAATATTTGATCTGTTACTAAAAACACAAACCCCTGGAAAGGAGATGTTTCATTTAGTTTACTAGTATTTTGTGTGCCATAATTCAGCTGGAGACAGGGGCTTTAATATCAGTAGCAATGTAGAATCAACAATGCGAGTAGCAATGAAGGGCACTGCTGTCTAAGGAGATGTTGGCTCTGGATACCAATCCACACAGAGCTTTATTCAGATGATTCTTGGTGGTTGAAATGAGATTTCTGGATCATGTTCCAGTGATGAAACAGTAACTATCTTAAATATACTCAAAGCATATTCTCTTGGTCTACGTCTTTTCAGCCTTTTGAGTGAAAAAATAGGCAGTACAGACCTAATTTCCCATAGGGATTCCTCTGCACTTCAAAGGTAAAGATGCCACTCAAAATTAAGTAATGAAATATGAGATAAAACTATTTCTTGATAAATACTTCTAATATTGAAAGTTTGAACATGCCTATGATTTTATGTGGCTTGCTCAAGTGATGTAGATTAGTGATATAATCAGCATGTTGCAGAGGCTAAATCTATAATTATAAAATAAAATATTATTTTAATATTAGGGATATGAGGACTTTTTTTCTTAATAGGAATGAATATGAAAATAAAGTCCATTTCAGGATAAATAACTAGACTGTTGAAAATTTTGATTCCTCCCCACCTTAAGCCTGTATTGTTTTCTCCATTCACTAAAGAAAGAGACAAATGATAAATTATTGGGCTTAAGTTAAAATCACACCCAATGATATTGCAGAGCATGAGAAATCCTGTTGAATGCTGAATGCACCCAGAGAGTGGATTGGGAATTCAGTTGACATTTTCCTTTCAGCTGAACTAGTTAATTTAGCAGCTATTTATTGAAACATACCTACCTACTTGTCATCCAGGCAGGAGCCCTGAAGGGGGTTGAGTCCATTTGAATTCAACTCTCCAGAGCTACCTGACAGAGCCGCCATATTTTGGCTGTCTTTCCCAATGATCTCCTATTGTAACTTAAGACTTATCACTTAATGGAAGTAAAGAATAAGAAATACAAAAAGAACCTGATTCATTACTCAAACTCTCTAACATGAAAAAGGATAAAATGCATTTATTTTCCTGTTTACTCTTAAGAAATAATTATAGCTATTAGAAATATACACTTGTATTTAATAATATTGTACTAAAACATACTTATAAATATGCCTAAAACTGATGGTCAGTGTATACACACACATACACACACACACATATATATATACATCAGTGTGTGTGTGTATATATATACATACACACATACACATATATACATCAGTGTGTGTGTATATATATATACACATACACACACACATATATATACATCAGTGTGTATATATATATATTTAGTAACAGTGTGTGTATATATATATATACACACACACACTGATGTCTGAAGAGACCAAGTGTTTGAATGCATGAATGTAGAGCATGAGTTCTTTGTGTTATACAATACAGCTCTCTCCCTCCTTCCTTTTTTCTCTTGACCCAGAGAACATGTACAGTAGGGAAAGATTCCCTGTAGCTAGTCATGCATTCACTTTGTAATTTCAGATCAACCAATTCAAAAGAGAAACTACTGTAGCTTCAGGGCTTTCCCATATAAATGGCCAATTTCTTCCCAAAAAGGACTTTAGGAGGATAAGTGAAAAGTACAAAAAGTACTCAAAGTATCATATGATAAAGAAATAGTGTAAATGGCAAAACTAGTCCAAATCCTTGTGCTAGAAGGGTGCTCATGTATCATCTATTGACTATTTTAGAGGCCCAGAGAGTTTAATCTCTTACTCCTCTGAAACACACAATCAGATAAAGGCAAATCGGAGACTGTAACTCAGTTCTTCGGTCTTTCTCAAATTTCAGTGCATATTCTGCTTCACTCTGCACTGTTTCTTTGTTTTGCGTTCATCTAGATTGCTCATCAAAGGTACAACAAATACTTTTCTGAAGAGACTGTGTAAATCCACTTAATATAATACTAATCCCATTGTAAATGTATGAGACTAACCCTTACATTGAAAAACCCTATCTTGAATGTTTGTGTTATCAAGAAGTCAGAAGTGATAGGAATAACCATGTAACCTATTTGGATTACGAATTTGAATTTTCATATATTGGTACAATCTGTATTTCAAGGGTTATTGAATCTGCTGAGATTCCTTGTCCTCCTTGTACCACAGTCCCCTGAAAAGTTTCTGAGAGTCTCAAGGGCGCATTTCACATTTTTTAATAGACTCAGTGCTACTGCTGCTGTGTCCTGCTCCCCAGGTGCCATAGCCTCCACTATAACCCACGGCACCAGTGTCTTGGAAATTAGAATCACCTGCAGAAGTATCGCATATCTTGATGCCCAGGATGCACTCATTATTAATTAAATCACACTATCTAGGGGGTAAAAACCAGGCATGGACACTTTATTAAAGATCCCAGGTGATTGAAAGGCCAGCAAAGTTTAAAGCCAGCTGACCTATGTCTAGGAATTGCCAGCTATCCAAACTTTGTAGTAGCCTAAGGGGTAAATGGAGTAGAATTGTTTTACCTGCTTTTCCTATCATACTCTGTTCTTGGGTAAACGTGTTAGTTTCCTCTTGGCTCTCAGCCTCACATATGCCTTTTTCATTTTACCCTCTATTCTGTCAAGGGCTGGAAGCGTCCAGACTATTTTCCTGGACCCCTTTGCTCACAGGGTTTGATTAAATTCTGCCAGTGGGCAGCCTTAGCAGCTGACTAGAAGCCAGGAAGAGATAAGTAATTTTTTTCTACTCTGGCTCTGGCAGCATCTGTGATATCACCACTGATTTAAGCAGCCACCGAGGGACTGCAGACTCCTGGATTCTCACTCAGCGCTTGCAGTGATTCCAGTTGCCATGGTGTTTTAGCTCTTATGGTTTGGGGCACTGCCACTTTCCTCTCTTTCTTCTCAGCCTGAGCAGTTTTAGCAGCTTCTTGCATTTACTTGCATTTCTTTTCCCTATGGCTTCGCCTTCTAACAATTTAGAAACATTTAACTATATTAAATCCCTCCGAAATATTTAAAGTGATTTTGATTGGATAATTAGATAACAACTGATAAAGCGAGGTGCTAAAGCTGTGCTTATTGAGTCTCTATGTCTCAATTATGAGTTATTAGTGAGACAGCTTTTCCTGGTTTTTATTTGCAGCACTCTCTCTCTCTCTTCATTGCCCAGAGTACTCCACTATTTCTAGGGACAGAGCCCTATTGATAGACTTACTCAGATCCTTCCTCTGACAGTGGATAGTTTCACTGCATCAAGCTTGTCATGCCACTTTCCCTTTACGTGAAGCCTCAATTTTTTTCTCAAGAAAATCCTCAGGGCCTCTGCTTCTGTGCTTCTGGTAGTCTTACACTCTCAGCTTACTAACACATCTGAACCTCATTGTTGGATATAAAACATAGGCTGAAGTTGGGACACTTACAATATTGTTTTGTTTCTCAATTTCAACCTAATTTATTTAAGTTCCTGTGAAAGCATTCATTCACAAATTTTATTATATAAGAGAATGACATTGAGAGCTCATTCAAATGCAGATTCCCTGGCCACCCTCTCCCACAGCCAGACAGTCATTCAGTTAAGTCTTGCACTGCTTAGGAACATGTGCTTTTTTTTTTTTTTTTTTTTGAGACGGAGTCTCGGAGTCTCGTTCTGTCGCCCAGGCAGGAGTGCTGTGGCGCGATCTCCGCTCACTGCAAGCTCCGCCTTCCGGGTTCACGCCATTCTCCTGCCTCAGCCTCCCGAGTAGCTGGGACTACAGGCGCCCGCCACTGCGCCCGGCTAATTTTTTGTATTTTTAGTAGAGACGGGGTTTCACCGTGGTCTCGATCTCCTGACCTCGTGATCCGCCCGCCTCGGCCTCCCAAAGTGCTGGGATTACAGGCGTGAGCCACCGCGCCCGGCCGAACATGTGCTTTTAACAAGCACTCAGGAGGATCCTGAAAGAAGGAGCCAAATGACAACACGCTAAGAATGACTATCCTACTGCCTATTTTTACCTTATTTTCTTTCTACACACCTTATTTGAAGTATTTGATTGTCATTTTATACAAAAATCTAAACTGAAACTTCTGTTGCTTATCAAGTATCACGTATTTTAGAAAAATCATTGTAGTAGCAAAAAGCAAGGCATACTGAGTTGAATTTGGAAGCAAAAACACCTGAAATGGTGAAGGTGGGGTATGTAAAGCCAGTGCAGCTCATGCAATGTCTTTAGGGGAATTAGAAAGAAAAAAGCGCTTTCCCTGGGCTATTGAATTTAAAAAAAGAAAAAGAAAAAAAGAATGAAAGTACACTCTCCAGGTGGATACTGCTCATAGGCACGTGACTTATGAAAGGAATATTCTCTTTGAAGGAAGAAAGAGGTATTCCTTCCCTCAGTAGGACATGATCCCACATGAAGACATATGCTTGACAAATGGAGTGAGTTTCTACTGCTGCTCACGGCCTTTGCCAGACATCCCAATTCTTCACTGTCGTACCCTGGGAACATCGAGGGAGGAGTATAATGAATCAGGATGGAGGAATTCAAAGGAAAGGGTTGTATGCAGATGACTGACATGCTTTAAGGAGTAGAAAGGGTAATTGTATTTATGGAAAAATATGGAAGGAATAGTGAGTGTGTTAGAAACAATGCCACAGAATGTCACTGTAGGAGCTCAGGGAGAAGTTGCCACACTTGACTGTGCAAAGACGATCAATAGATTCAAATCATTATTGAACTAGTATATGATTCTATTAGACACCGTAGTTGCTTCCATTTCTCTCTGGTCCAAGTTACAATACCTATGAAAATCTCACAATAGAAACCTGGTAGGAGCATATTTTAATTGTAGAAAATGCACCTAAAAAGTAACTACTTCCTTTTCAGCTCTGGCTTTGAAAACACAAAAGTATGAATTAAATTCATTTAGCGTTTGTTAATTTGTAGAAATGTTTCTGGCTTTGTAAAATATATTTTTCCTACCTCTTTTCACAATCTTAGAAATAAATGTGTCCCTCACCTAATATTCACTCACTTCAATATGTTCTGTGTATAGCCAGTTGGACTTGTTCATATTTTCCATTTTTCTATATGCTCATAAATTTAAATAAATAATTGAAATAAAAACATTTAAAATAGTTTTTGTATGAAAAAATATATTTCATGCCATGTTATCTTTCTTTCACTTTTGCTACCTTCTTAAGGATTAAGTGCCTTATTGAATAAAATTTGTTTGGGGCACTTTATAAAAATAAATAAATTAAAATACTATGTATATGCTAGTAGATCATAAACTTTTACTTTTGAATTAGAAATGATTTTTATTTCCCAATTACAAAGGTGATACATGCTCATCATAAAAATTCAGATACTTTGTTTTTTCTGCCATAAAGAAACTTGACTGGGACTCAGAAACAAAAGAATAAAACATTCCCCGATGCAAAGTAAATTAATTAGATATAAATACTAGTTAATTTTTTGTAATAAATAGGATTGAAAGCATAAACACATTAGCCCTGTTTTGTTTTTGTTTTTAGAGCATTTAATGGTCTACAAACACCTTGGCAAACTTTAACATACAGAGTTAGGTGCTATACTCCTACTCCTATTGCTATGTTCTGAGCACTTATTTTCTGCTTCCTAAATTATTACTTGATCTGTAATCAAGCATGTTCTGACCTGCGATTCATAGAACATGTTTTTTTGTTTTGTTTTGTTTTGTTTTGAGAAACAGCACACTTTATCGGGAAGCAGACTGCTGCACAGTGACCAACAGACAAAAGCCACCCTATGGGCACTTACACATCATATGCCAAAAGACACAGAATTTTTGCTAATAAAAATCAACCAGAACAGGGATTCCTCTGGGCAACTCCCCCAACCTCATCCCTTTCAGGGTTTGAGAAATCTCCCAACCATTTTCCTGATGGCAGCTGTGGTTCACTAGAGATAGAGCCTCTCAGGGGTGCCTTCCTGTTTCTTATAAAGAACATTTTCTTTAGACTTTTGGAAGTCTTCATTTTTTACTTGCATTCTACATTCTCTTGAGGCCATCAGACCAACTTCTGTACAGATTGCCTTGATGTCAGCACCAGAGAGGTCATCTCTAGTCACGATCAAGTCGTCCAGGTTTACATCATTGGCCAGCGTCATCCTGATTGTGTGAATCTGAAAGATGCGCTTCTTAGTATTTTCATCATGAAGGGGGAACTCAATCTTCCTGTCAATGCAGCCTGGTCTGATAAGTGCTGGATCCAAAGTTTCTATTTGGTTTGTGGCCATGATAACTTTCACATCTCCCCTAGAATCAAATCCATCTGACTGGTTCAACAGTTCCAATGCTGATCGCTGAATTTCTCTCTCACTACCAGAATTTGAGTCATATCTTTTTGTCCCAATTGCGTCAATTTCATCAATAAACATGATGGACAGTGCATATTCTTCAGCAAATCAAAACAATTCCCATACAAGTTTGGGCCCATCACCTAGGTACTTCTGAATAAGTTCAGAGCCAACCACTCTCAAGAAAGTGGCTGAGGTTTGGTTTGCTACTGCTTTGGCTAACAAGGTTTTACCTGTGCCAGGTGGACCATAGTGAATGACCCCCTTAGGGGGCTTTATACCCATCTCTTCATAATATTCAGGATGAGTGAGAGGAAGCTCCACAGATTCCTTAATTTCCTGACTTTGGTTGTCCAACCCCTGATACCGGCATAGGTCTCCTGGGGGGCCTTTTCCACCTTCATCACTGTGACCAGGGGATCCATGTTATCCATCAGCACCCCTATCATGGCATGCACCTTGTGGTTGAGCAGGACTAAGCAGCCAGGTTCCAGCAGATCCTTGTCTACAAATGAAAGAATGCTGACATAGCGTTCTGAGCCCACAGATGTAGACACAGTGGCATGACTGTCATTGATGATCTCTTCCAAGGTTCCTACTGACATCGGGGTCCCCCTAAGATCATCCACTTTTGATCTTTCCTCCTCTTGCTTTTCTTCTAGTGGTTCCATTTGTTTCTGTTTTCTAATGAATTCTTCCTCCATGAGAAGCAGTCTTTAATTCTCTCTAACTTCAGTAATTTTAACTGGCACTGAGTGTGAGGTGTCACCAGTGGCAGTTTGCTGGCAGCATATGATCCCTCTGTTTTCTTCTTCTTTTTCCCCACTCTAGTTGGTACAGGAGGTTTGTATTTCTTTTTCTTGTCTTTGTCATCCTTCTTTCCACCTCCAGGACCATGACCACCACTCTGACTTTGAACCATCTTGCCTTGGCCACTTGAACTGCTGCTGCTAAAAGTTCGTCCACCCAGAACATGTTATTATGATCTTACAGAACACAGACTATCTTATAACTTATGTTTTTCTTCTCATAGAGTCTACTTCCAAATTCTTAGAACTTACATTTGACTGTATGTTCAAAACAAAGTTAGTGCAGTCCATGGTCATTCTTTTTTTTTTTTAAGCTTCATTTACCACTTCTGTTGGGTTCCTAGGGTTGCTGTAACAACATTGACTTACAACAACAGAAATCTATTTTCTCACAGTTCCGGAGGCTGAAAATTCAAAAATCAAGGCATGTACAAGACTACACTTCCACTTCCTCTGAAGCTCCCGTGGTAAAAATCTGATCCATGCTCTTTCCTGGCTTCTGGTGTCGCCAGCAATCCTTGGCATTCCTCAGCTTGCAGCTACACCACTCCACTTTCACCTGGCAACATCCTCTCTAGATGTGTCTGTATCTCCGTATTTCTGTGTCTCCATTTCCCTATGCATATATGGACACTAGTTATTGGATTTAGGGCCCAGCCTAATCCAGTATGACCTCATCTTAACTACAGGTGCAGGGGCTAGGATTTCAGCATATTTCTTTGCAGAACTCAATTCAACAAATTATTTTTATGATGTTTGCTATTGTCTATGTCTTCCCTCTAGAAAATTTCTCGACTAATACCTCTGTCTTTTCAAATGTCCCTTTCTTGGTCTTGTCCCTAATGGGAAAAGAGAATAGGATAGAAGTGGGGGCAATGGTTCTCAACCAGTGGTGATTTTGTTCCACAGGAAATATTTGGCAATGACTGGAGAAATTTTTTGTTGATGAGGGAGTTGCTGTTGGCATTCCCTGGGCAAGAACACTGCTAAACATCCTGCAATGCACAGGACACCCCACCTTCTAAATTCCCCCAATAAAGAATTATCTGGTCTCAAATGTCAATAGTGCTGAGGTTGAAAAACCTTGATCCAGAAGTTTACAACACTATTAGAACATACATTCTCTCAGATGGCTATCTCACATCTTTATCAGAATGCACATTGCTAGCTGAGAGTGGTGATAAGGAGTTTAGAAGTATAGACCGGGGACTGGTTCTATACAAAACACCTCACCTCACAGCTTGGTCTTTGTATAGCACTGGTTGTCAAGCACAGCTAACAAAACCATCTGGGGAACTTAGAAAAATGACAAAAACTCAGGCCCCACTCTGTTCTATTGAACCAAAATCGATGGTGGATTGCAGAAATCTATCCTTTTGATGTTTACAGTCTAAAGAGTAAGTTGGAGAGTAACAAAACACACAAACAAAACATTGTTAACTTTTCTAGGAAAGGAGGTAGCCTAGGAGGAAAACAGTGGAAAAGAACAATAGAAATGTAGTCTTCACATAACTAAAAAAAAAAGTGTTAAGCAAAGAAAAAACTTCTCTCTTCATTTTTTTAAACTGCAGATTAAGTTAGAAATAGACAAGTCTCCATTTTTAGAGAGTTTCAAAGATTAGAGTAGCTGTGTGAAAAGTGGACATACCCCCAGGTACCCATCAGCTTAGTGTAATTCCCCACTAGGGCCGCCTCGAGCGTGGAGTTCCTGGCACCACATTTACTAGAGTACTTCCCGAGTGCCCCATGGCCTTGATACAGGGTCCCTGGAGCCCAGAAGTCTGCTTCCATTCATAGTGTGATTTGACTAACACCTCAAACCAAGACTACTAAAAACGGTGCCTGACAAATACTACGCACTCAACATATATGTGTTAAATAGATAAATAAATACTCTAAAATACAAAGGAAATCTTAATTCTAATAGCCCACCTGACCACTGGAACACAGAATGTTCCAAGTTAGCAAAAGTGCTGTGTTTCCCTCAATCCTGAGGGATCACTCTAGAATAAAGAGTAATCTGTAACAGATAGCATTATTACTGACATGTTCAGCAAGCAAGATGAGTGGGATGTCATAAAGTGGAAATGTCTTTCACTGTCTTTATAAATGAATTAACGTATTCTAAGTTGCAATGCACAGTCTCTATTTGCTAATGAGAAAGGCTGGTCCTCTATTTTGTCAGATGATTGAACCTGGTCAACTCAGAGGGTACTGCTGGCTGGACTCTTCCTTTTCCTGTTCCACTTTCCCTTTGCTGCAAATCAGGGCTTTTGGTCCATCTTGGATTGAGCCAAGCAAGGAGAGGATAAACTTTTCTTGATTAAGAGAGCTATTAACTAACTAGTTCTGCTAAGCCTGCCTAATATTTAAACCTTCTTTTCCTGGGCACTTGTCTTGGTCCTTCAGATGCTCCCTTCGCACCTCCACTAGGCCAATCCAGTTGGGCTGTTCACATCTCTCACATCAGGCAGCCACCCCCAACCTAGCCTCTTGTTTTCTCCTGAATCCATTCCACACAGAACTCTCCCTGTTGAAATTCCCACCACTACTCCAAACATAATAATGCACAAGGTTTCAAAGAACTCCAAGTAAGCTTGCTCCCTCCACTCTGGACCTCGGGAAAATTCATGGGGGAAAATTCATTCGTTCTTTAAGATGCTGTCTTTGGGTCTTTGGTGATAGCGAAGGTTGCATTGACATTCCAGTTCTCTCTCTTTCAGTCTCTCTCCCCTCCTCCTCCTCCCACTCCTTCTCTTCCTCCTTCTCTCTCTGTATCTCCCTCCCTCCCTCCCTCTGTCTCTCCCCCTCCCTCTCCCTCTCAATGCTTCATGCTACTAGCTATCATCTCAAGGCTGCCTGTCAATCAGCTTTGGCATGGAAAGAGGTACTCCCTCCTCATTCTTAGTAGGATGGACCTAAGGGCATAGTCAGCAACTCTTCACAATCCACAGTTTAACTTAACCTGTTCTACCTCCTTGTGAATTTGAGAGGCCTCTCACCATCCTAGGACACCTCCTGAGAAGTGTCCACTCAGCAGTCTGGCACATAACTTTGAAATTCCACATCTTTTGAGTCCTGTTGACTAAACTGAAACAGAAAACAAAGAGCCCAATTGTATGAGCATTAACTCAGTAATTAAGAGTCTTCTTATTTTGACAATACACAGTGATTCAGTAATTGTTAAATGGCTATCCTCAGGTTATTTTTCCATTTTTATGTTTAATTTAGAGTAATAATTAAACTAAAAGGTGTATTGACTTTCAGTCATAGCTATGGAAGTTTTGCATGGCCAGGACACCATGTCTTAAAGCCTACCCAGATTTATTATATAATCTCTTGGGTGAAATAGCCTCGAGAGTGCTCAAATCTAAATCTACATCCATAAAACTAAAATAAACATGATTACCAAAATAACTAAAATAAGTGGAACTCAAGTAGCCAACCCACTAATCCAAATAAGTTCATAAAATGAAGCATTGGCAGCATTCCATATAGCAGCCAGAGGTAAGGCAAATTGTGTTAAGATTTGCCTTACCTAATCCTCCAATGTCTCCCAACTGGACCTAGAATGAAATCCTAGGTCCTTAGCATAGCCTGTGAGGCCTTAATGTGATTTGGCTTCTCCCTACATCCAGATCTTTTTTCCTCCTACTTTCTCCTTAAGCCACTTTCTTCCAGATATACTGGCTTTTCATACAGCTCTTTGGCTTGTTACTGTTAAGGCCTCAGCACTTTATGATGTTTCCACCACTGTGGTTCTCAACTGAAAGCAATTTCCCTTCTCCCCCATGAGATACTTATCAAGGTCTGGAGACAATTTGGTTGTAACAACTGGACTGGGGAATGGAGGTGCTATCAGCATCTACTGGGTATATACTAAGAATGCTGCTAAACATCCTGCAATCACAGTACAGGCCCTCCAACAAATTATCATCCGGCCTCAAGTGTCAATAGTGCTGAGCTGGAAAACTCCTCTCTCCCTGCAGTAATCTGCCTGCTATCTTTGTATGCCTGCAACTTCTCATTCTAGCCTCAGCTCAAGGCTTCAGCAAAATGTTCTTCCAACCACCCAGGCTGACATAGCCCAGATCCCACCCTACCCCTGCTGAGGTCATTACTGTATTATTTTCCTTATTTTAAAGTTTATTGTTTTATTGTCTCGTAGTTTATAGCTCTAGCAGGGGGTTGCTTGTTCTTCCTGTCCACTGCTACATACCCAGCATCTGAGCAGAGCAGGGCACACAGTGACATCTATTAGACAGGATATGGATTAGTGAATTCCAAAGGGAAGGGCACATAAGAATGAGTTAATAAGTAGCTGAGACCTTTTTTACTTTTTTTTTTTTTTTTCAGAAACACTGCTTAGCTAAAGAGGAGGGAGAAAGTTCAATAATTGATTTACAAAAACAACAGGGAATTTCAGATGCAATGGATTAGCAGATGAAGCTTTGCAATGGCATCACTGATGTTCTAAAGCTCAGAAAACTTGGAAGAGCACTAGAGCACAACCCACATTAATATTACAGTAAAAATAGCATGTTCACAAAATTGGCAACTCATGCCTCTGCAACATAACTGAGCACTATTGTGAACAAATCTTACTGAATGAGCAGCAAAAAGGGGAAAGCCCGTTAGGTTCCTCGTGAAGATAGGAGGAAAACCACTTAAAGAACAACGCAGGAGCTGGGAAATTTACTTGCATTTTACTTGGGCTTTAGTCAGTCCATTTGCTGTGAATTAACATCACATCAGTTATTTATGAGTGTCAGCTTTCTAGATCAATTTCTTTCTGATTTGGTACCTGAATGGTAAAGATGGCATCCTTATTCCTCACTAGTTCGATGGCTCAATCTTCAACCTCTGTGGACTGTTCAACTCAGAGAAGCAAAGACATTACTTTATGCAATCAGAATGCTGCTGAAATAACCACTATCCAGCCAGGTCTAACTTTTAAGGAATCAAGGTTTTTCCATTTTCTAAAACACTGGGTATGCAGGAGTGTGGGGTGGAGGTGGGGAGAAGACACCAGAAGGAGTAGAAAAATTAAATCTATATCTCATGAAAGATTCTGATTCACCCCAGTTTTACCTTTAGCCAAGGAGTAGAAGCTCTATGGCTTGATGCGTGGAGTCTGTGAACTTCTCAAAAGTAAAGTCAGAATAATGTTTATGTCTTGTTCTGAGAAGCGTCTCCACCATTCTGCTAGAAGCTCTGACATTTACACTCTTTAGGTATTCGGCACTCTGAAAATATTCCGTATTTGGTGACATAGCAGTCAGTTATAAAATTAGTATAAACTGCAGACAATTTTGATGAACTTGGTAGAATTTGGCGATACGTTATTCACGTGTTTCCATTTCAGAATGTACAGAGATTTTAGCAAAGAAGTCTGTGACTCACCAAGAGCCACATGGAATCTTTGAGCTGGTGGCGAACTATTCCTGGGTATCCTATGATTTCCTCCAAGTAGAGAAGTGAGGTGAAGAGAAGAGGACAGGTGTTTTCTCCCTAGGGCAAGAGTTCCAGAAAGTAAAATAGAACAAGTTCAAAAGATTAGGCTCCTTCAGTTTTATCCAACCCAATTTTTGTTTTTTTTTTCCCAAATATCATGTTACTTTACAAAATAAAGGAATTTATTTGGTGAAGGTAGCTGCAATTAAAGTTCATATGAAGGAGTGAGGAGAAATTTGGGAAAAGAGGACTGCTTCAGAAGAGAATGATGAATGGTTGGAAAGAAGAGCAAACACAGGGAATTCTGCCTTTTTTTTTTTTTTTTTTTACAATTAAGCAGTTAACAGATTGCAACATCTGAATTTGGAGAAATAAAGAGCAACCAATGCAAGCCTTGCACCCACTGTTTTCTCATCACAAGTCCATCAGTCATTCTTAAGAGAGAAGCTTAGGTTCTATCTTCTTAAATCTGCTTGAATCCCGTGGCAGGTGCACAGGGACGACAATGGTCAGAATGCTGCCATGTAAACTTGCAGTATGTAGCAAGCACACAAATAAAAAAAAAAAAGCTGAAACTTTTTTGAACAGGAGAATCTGCACCTACCTAGACAAAGGCTTATTTATATACTTTTGTCTTTTGCTTTACTTTAAGTAGAAATACGTAATACCTGTGTAAAATTATCCCCTGCCTGGAATAGAGGTGATGCAGAGATGAAGATACTTGTCATTTGACAATCTTGATCTCTAAGAATCAAATGAATTTTCTTTGAGGCTTAGATTTCCAGCTCTATGACAAAGGTTTTAGAGATAGTCATTACTTTAGTGACTAACTCTTGACTTTCTACATCAAAAGTAGATAGTCTCATTTGATAGAAACGTGTGAGTAGATCATATCTCCCCCTTTGATGCTGTAAATCGGACATGAAGGTGATAAAAATAATAGATTGCGTATTTGTTGATATGAAAAGATAAAGTAAGAATGTACAAAGAAAAACCAATGACCACCAAGGCTAGATTTTACATCAAGAAAAACAAGAGATCCAAATGTGGCTTTTGTCTCTAAGGAGGGGCAACCACCCTCACATATTGAAAAATAACTATTGGGTTGTAAGAAATATGGTTAGTAAAAAAAAATTCAATAACCAAGTCTTGGGTTATGTGAAAATAATAAAAAGCATGAATAATTCCTTGTGAAAACTCTATAAGCAATTCCGGAGCACCTGTCAGAAGAAGAACAGATGAGGACATAAAATCAGCCTGGTGAGCTGGTCTCCTTGAATGCAGAAATGTCTCCCCACATTGTGTTTATAGTGCTTGAGGGCACAGCAAATAAATTTGTTTTTTCCATTGATGTTCACATCTGTAGCTGTGGGATTCCACTCCAACCTTGGGACAGATGGCCAAGAAGCTATGCTAGGCATTAATAGGGATTCCTTTGAGAGCCTGGCATAGCTTCCCACAAGAATAGCTCTCAGTCTACATATATTTATAGCAGATAGTCACCCATATTCACAATTTGGGAAGGACTCAAAACCCTCTCTATTTTTTTTTTCTTATCACCATAGTGCTGAAAAGCTTGAAAATACCACTAGCTAATTCCTTCTGTACAGGCTTTCTAACAGTGCTTAATGTTTACATTAATTATGCTAGTACCATACTGGTCCCAGCACCTTGTTAGCTAGCTAGCTGGTAGCAGGGTGGGTTTTTTTTTTCTTCCTTTTTTTTCTAATTCCGTGTCACATAGCAAAAGGTAATGAGCACAGACAACTTCTGATGCAGAGTGAAAGAACAGTGAAGAGGTAGGGAGATATTCTGTTCCTCAGGTTCTGACAAGGATGGTAGAAACCCAAATCATTAAACTCAACGTGTTTAGGGAAGGTCAAAAGATACTAAGGATGATAATTCAAAATATTTGCTCTGGGTATGTTATCAGGTAAGTGTTGAGATTCTATACTTCTCTGAGTCTTTCTTGTGCCTCAATTATTCTATCAAATTCACCTTTTCTTTATAGACAGCAGCACTAAGATTGCTTAGTTCAGTCTGAAGTGGTTTTCCTCTAGGGCAATTGCACAGTTGTCAGTCTGGGGTCTCTCTTCACCTTCGTCATGAAAAGCCCCTTCTTCTGTCTTCTGTGCTAAAGAAGAATCCTACTTCCTGAATTACACACCTCCCTCTATCCATTGCTTCCTGGGAAAGAACACTTAGGGAGTAAATTTTTTTTAATTTTGTAATTGACTCATACCTTGACATAAAATCTTAGGTAGGATGAATTTGTCTTTTAAATTTGAAAGCATTGTTTCATTTTAGTCTAGCTTTTAGTGCTGTGGAAACATTCATTCTTTTTATTCTTGTTTTCTATGTCACGAAGTGTTTTGTTTGTTTTTTCCTTTGTGAAAACTTTGAAAATCTTTTCTTGATCTCTTGTTTTTAAAATTTTACAATAATGTGTGTTGGTATGAGTTTGTTTTGATGTCATGAACTTGGGCACTGTGTAGGTGTTTTTAATCAGGAAGTTGCTTTCGATTTTCAGTAGTTCTTCTGAACTGAATTTTCATGGATAATTTCTTAGCGTCTGTTTTCTCTGCTCTCTTCAACAGAAACTCCCTATATGTGAGCATTTAAAATTTGGGGCTGATTCTCTAACTTTTTTTTTTTTTTTTACTTTTTGTTGTCCTTTAATTTTTGTTATCATACTACTTTCTGGTATATTTCTGAGGCTTTATTTTCTAAAAACTTTATTAGCATTTTAATTTCTGTTATTATATTTTTAATTTTCAAGATTTTGGGGGTGATATGGAAATTGTTTTCTGTTATTTTTCTGAATAACCTGATGTGCAATTTCAGTTCTTTCTTATGGAAATAATATTTTATCACTCTGAAAAAAATTATGTATCTCCATATATATTCACACACATGTATTTGTGGAATTTTCTCCCTACTCTTCATAAATTTTTCTTCCACTTCCATTTTTTCTGCTGTTTCAATTTCTGTTTTCATGTTATAGACTCAGTTTAAATATCTGCTAATTATAAACTGTATGTCTGTATTTGAGTGAAGTACCAGAACCCTATTTGAAAGCTTTTCTCAATGCTTGGTTTTATTGCAGTATGATCTCTATTGGCCATTTATTTGGGTAAGTCCCAATTACTAGATTTATTATCATTCTCTTAGGATTGTCAGTTTTCCCAGAAAGCAAAATTCATTCTTTTTTTAGCTGAGAGTAATAG
Source organism: Homo sapiens (assembly GCF_000001405.40). Classification (NCBI taxonomy): domain Eukaryota; kingdom Metazoa; phylum Chordata; class Mammalia; order Primates; family Hominidae; genus Homo; species Homo sapiens. Next base: position 136,705,302 of record NC_000007.14, on the reverse strand, counting down.
GCCCAGCTACCAGAGTTTTCCTGAATCCAAATATGAAAGAAGGTAGCGAGGTGTATATCTTCTCAGGAGACTGTTAATCTCTGTTTCCATTATGTTACCTGGCCTCACATGGTACTTAATGCACACAGATCTGATTCCCTCTCATTCAGCTTTTAGTCTTCTAATAGTTTAATAATGGAACTATTACCCAGTTGCACTTTTTATGCAACTATTCAAGTAATTCTACTGCCTCAATCTCTCAAGCTCTATCCTGCACCCTTACTCCTCACTTTTAGATCAATCCAGGCCTTCTAATTCTTGAGGTATTCTAAAATTCTTTGCCACAAATCAGCATGGTGCAAGTTCTGAGTTATCCCTTCATGAATTCTTCCCCTCTCTCTTTCTCTTCTTCCCTCCCTCCACCTCTCCTGTCAATCACATCATTGGTTTGTCTGTTGTTGGGATATTTGGCAGGGAAAAATCACCTGCAGCCCTTTTCCTTGCCAGAGTTCTAAACCACTTCAAAAATAAGATAAAAGGAATAAGATATGTAGAAAACAGAATAAACATTTTGGAATGTTAATGCTGATATTAAGTGTTTCTGTTATCTACAAGAAAGTGGACTTTGTAGTAGTGAACCCTTGAGTGAGAACATTTGTCCCACTCAGTAGTACTGGACTGGAGCAGAGCTCCAGTCCTAAGGCAGAGCTACTCCTAGAGATCCAAAACACAATGTACATTATCTGCAGTCTGCTGGCTCGTTAGAAGAAAAGGAAAGTGCTGGCCACTCATGCCTTCTTTCTCCTTCCAATCAGTCACAGCATTTCGTCTTCCCTTGGACAGAGTGAATAATAGGTAGCAAAGGGCCAAGAGAATTATGCCAAAGTGTTTCTTTTCACATGGAGGTAATTATCAGGGGAAAAGAAGAAGCATTAGCACCCCAGTATTACCCAGGTTTTGTTATCTTAATTCATTGGCTTAACTATTAAAGTTATGGTCAGTTGAGATGTGCTACCTCCTTTCTGGGAAACGATTAGCTGTCCCTCGGAATAATCCTTCACGATGCCACTCTACATTTAACAACTGCTTGTCTGGCTTTCTTCTCGGATATGGGTCAGAAGAGTGCATTAATTAAATCATTTCCAAGGCCACTCTGTACTCAAGGCTGAAAAGTCACTCTTTATTCTATTTCCATTCTCAAATTACGTTTAGCCACTTTTTCAGAGGTCCTCGATGAGCTCAAATGACATCATAACTATGTTTTAATAATAAACTACATAAAGACACTGTAACAATAAAATTCCAGCAGCACAGAGATGCTTTAGATGCAAATATAAATCTCCTGCCATCATCAGATTCTCCTGGGGAAAAAAAAAACAAGAAAACAGAGCCAACTATCAAATCCCCTTGTAAGTCAAAGCCAAAAGGTCAAAAGATGGATAGATCCAAAATTATATTTCCCTTCTATGTTACTAGTTCCCAGAAATTTAAGTCTACCTCAACTTCTTATTTCAGCTCAATTTCAAAGCTTAGTTGTATTTGTCTAGGTGTTTGAATGTAATGGATAAAAGCACGGAGTCTAAATCAGATTTCCTGCATTTGAATCCTATGGAGATTACTTAATAGTTGTGTGACCATGGAGAAGTTTTTTAAGCTCTTTGTCTCTCAGATACCTAATCTGTAAAATGGAAATATTATTAGCCATCTCAAAAAGACAATGTGAGTTTTACCTAAAGTAATGTATGTTAACTCCTTAAAAGATTTCTTGGCATATAATTAACTCTCAATAAGGAATTAATTTACTTTCTTCAGTGGCTTCAGCCTGAACCACCTTTCCCAGAAATGGGTAGGACTCCTTTGAGTCCTTGGAAATTAAATTAATCAATACCAAGTTTCTGGGGTTGCTCATTTTTAAAATCCAATTCATTAACAGGACATCCTAGAGTATGACCACTCTGACTGCACACACACAAAATAATACAGCATCCTCAGAGCACAGAGCAGTTATCCCAGGCAAAATTATGTTCCCAGAAGTCAGTATTTGGAGATGTCAAAGATCATATTGCATTCTCAATGGTAACTGATTGAGAGAACATAAATAGAGAAAATCCTTATTTAGCCATGCCATCATTCAAGCAATTCAGAATCCATGACCTATGAATTTAAACTGCCCATCAAAATGTTAATTTGAGCATGTGCATTTTCAGTAAATGGTGGAGGGTGGAGGGGCTCCACACACACTGACCATCTTTTCTATGGAGCCACATTTGTGCAACAGCAGCCCTGCTTACCAAATATGTTAAACTTGGTTACTTTATTTTTCCAGAATCTTCACGTCTTAGTTTTCTTTCTTACTTTGAATTCCATGTGTCTATGTGTCTAGGGCAAAATAGAGAAAGAGACAGAGACAGAGAGACACTGGCTAATTGTGGCCAGCTACGCTTTCCAAACACACTAATTACCTCCACCTTTTTAAGTGCAAAGTTGTGAGGGGTGGAGTGAGATTCTGTTAACAGATCATGCTCCACACAGAAGAATACCCCAAGAATGGGGATGAATTCCATCATTTTTTTCTTTTATTTTCTTTCATAGAAGTTACATTTAGTTTTGTGGATTTTTAAATTTTTGGTTTGATTTTTCTTTCTCCAATTTGTCTTCTTATACTTACTAATATTCTTCCTCTTACTTTCATTGGGTTAATTCTGTTTTTCTTTTGGTGACTTTTGGATTGGACAATTAGCTCATTATTTTTACCCCAGATATATTTTCTGTCCCTATAATTTGCCTTTCCTAGAATGTCATCTAAATGGAACCAAACATCATATTGTCTTTAAATCTATATTCTTCATTTAACACAATGTATTTGAGATTCACCCATGCATGCATCAGCACTTGGTGTCTTTTTGTAACTGAGAAATATTTCATTATATGTAATTATCACAGGTATATATTTACCTGTTGATGGATATTTGGATTGCTTTTAAATTTTATTAATGATGAATAAAGGCATTATAAATATTTGCATACAAGATCAGAATTCAATATATTTATAGAAGAGACTTAATGGAACACAACGCAGCTACAAAAAAATAAATAAACAAATGATCCATTCACATTCACACATTCACCTGGTGGTAGAGCTTGTACAAAGCCCAATTTGGTATTAGGTAAAATGTGTAAGGTGTTGCAATGGATATGACCTCATCTCTCAGGATCTGCAGCAAAAGTGATCAATTCTTATTCAGTTTTCTGCCTTCCTCCCCTCTCCTTATCTATTTTATAACCCCAGGCTACTCATTAATATGGATGTTAAGGGTCTAATTGTATAATTCTTGTTATGGTATTAAACCAAAAAAAGTTTTTGCAAACATTTCTTGCTGGTTTTGCATTTTAAAGATTGTAAATCTAAATCCTGTTACAGTGCAATAACAAATGTTCATTTATATACATTGCAATACCACATTCATCTGCAATACAGTAATTTGTAACTCATCATTTAGGATGAGTTGGGCAGAAACTTACTAGTATTCTATTTGTGAAAAAAATACATCTCTGAGCAAATGAATGGTATTATACAAACTTTAGGAAATACAATTAACCACTTTAAGAGAAGAAATTACTTTCAATTAACATAAAGCATCTGCTTTCAATAGCTGACATGTTCATTACAAATCTTGTCTTTTCAATAAAGGAAGTCATGGATATTCACTAGGCAAACCTTTGTTAAAGTGGTTGAGACTTCATGGTAGCAGAATTTTATTTAATTAGAAATGTAAAAAATTAGACAATACAAATTCAGAACCCACTCCACTATTTCAATTAATTGAAGATAAATAGACAGTTTGGCTAAGATTTTGACAAATTATATTGCGAATTCAGCCAGCCTTACAAAATGAAAAGAGCAAAAGTAGTAATAAATACTTTGTAAATGTATTTAAAGAAGCAGGTTTCCAAAAAATAAAAATAAAATAAAAAATAAACAGATTAAATTAAGCCTAACCTAACCTTGTAAATTATAAAGGAAAGAACCTCGAGGTTCATCCAATTGCTTACTTCCTCTTCTCTTTCTCTTTTCTATGGAGGCAACTACTACTGTTGGTTCTTCAAATCTCCTTTTGTGTGCCAACTTCTTTAGGAAAACTTTCCTGACCCAAGGTCTCTGTAAGATACCATTATTCTGTTCTTCCAAAATACTTGCATAGTCTCTATTATAGCCCTTGTCCCATGGCAATGCGATAGTTGGTTTACATGTCTAGACATTATAGCCCTAAACCTCATACTGAGGTCATCAGACCTTAATCTGCTTACAGGTAGAAACCATGCCTTTCCTCTCTACATTCTGACCCAAGTACATAATCTGGCACAGAGTAGGCACCTGATAACATTGTGGGACATATAACCAGCTAGCATTTAAAGCCCTGGTCCCAGAAATAAACTTTAAATCTAGAAATATTTTATATATTGAACAAATATCTTATCAGCACAATTTTTATTATTCCTACATTTTATTTTACATTGTGGTCCTTCGGAGAGAGAGAGAGAGAGAACTAAAAAAGAACTTATACCCAAGAGTATTTTTTAAAAAACTTACAGTCATTTCATTTCAATGTCTTTGGTGTTTTCCTTAAACTTGGCTGAAAACTTTACAAACTTCAAACAATTAAGTAGTTCTAACCCATGGAGTCAGGAAAAGAAGATTATATATGAATAAAAAGTGAGAGAAGAAAGCCAATTAAGAATAGGTGAAAGGAGACAGAGATATGAACTATTCTTCAAGAAATTAAGAACAGTCAATATCAACATATTTTTATTAAGTACCTACTATAAATTATATATTAGATTTGATACCGAATGGAATTTGATGTGGTTCCTAAATCTAAAAAGTTAGAGCCCTGGCTTGAAAATAAAAGAGGAAAAGGATTTCATTTACACTAACATGATACTAAGGCCTAGAAATGGAAGAAAGCAACAGGAAATCCATTTGTGTGCCCATTTAACTCCTAGCTTAATAGATGACTACTGATAGAAAGATATAGCTACTATTCTTGCTCTACTATTTAATAGGTGTATAGTCTAAGTCAGGTCATTTAACCACCCCGACTTTCAGCAGCAATATCACTACGCAGAATGGTTGAAAAGTCTGACTATTGAGAATTATATAAAAATGCCTGGTACATGGTAGCCACTAATTTAACTTTTTATATAGTGCTGTTCTCTTTTATTCTGGATATTTCTAAGCTTTAAAAAGTTATTAGAAACACTCACAATTTTTAAGAATTTAAATATTCTTTTGTGTTCTCACGTAACGAAAACTAGTTTTGATGTGTCTGACCTATATCAGTAATGTCACGAAACAACAGAAGGAAGTGGAGGGAGTTGCCTTTCACTCAGAAAACTTGGACTGGAACAATGACTTCTCAAGGTCCAGCTCACCCCAGAGTATGTGACACTTGGTTTCATGGTGGTGGTAATAAATGGTTATGTTTCTTTTCGTTTCCATCATTATAATACCATAATTGGTACATCTGTGACATACAGGATTCCTGCTGTCCTGAAAGCAGTTACTGAAATAAAAATCTGGGCAATGTTTTTCCTAAACGTGTAATAGCTCTTCTCATTGCCTGCTTTGTTAAGGAGGCAGATAAGAAAAAACAGGAGGGAGGAAGTTCCTTGTTCTAAACTCTACAGACAGGGAACTATACAACCCTAATCCTCCAGAGAGAATGCTCTTCTACCTAATGTGGAATAGTGCCAAAGACCTATGGTTAAGTGGAGGAAGCGAGTCGAGATCCGAGTGGCTGCCCAAATCTAGGCTTTTTCTGAAGTCCACTTACATATATGTAAACATATACAAATGTACATAAACCCACAGGGATACCCTAACACACATGCCGATGAACTTACGGATACCCACATTTATTCAAAGACATCAATCGAATAGCTAAAGATCTGAGTATGTCAATAAGAAGCTTAGTAGGCAAGCAAGAGGGAGTAGAGGTGACACAAGTAGGTTATAGACGGAGAAAAGCAATGTGAGCAAAGGACACCAGTGTGCAGTATGTGTCAGTTCAGAATACAAGCACAACCAGGCCTAAGAGCCAGAGGGATCCCATCCTGTTTGGTGAGTGAAGCTTCTAAATTTATCTGTGCTATTTGGAGCCATCATATGCATTCATGTTTGGCCTTCCCCAGGTGCTGGCTGTCTGATACCAATGGAGACTTTTAATTTGAAAAGACTATATCTGGTGATTATTTTAAAAAAAATGAAATGAAATTTTTCTTTTTCACAGAAGATAATTCTTCTGTGCCTAATACCAAATGCTTCGTCTTTAAATGGCATTATCCTGAAAGCAATAATCACATTCATCTTCCAAGTGCTTCCCGTGCCTCTTGTTACTCCTTAGGCTTAAGGGCCACTTGACACCCTGTACCTGATGCCTCTGCAGATCTTGTCACTGAGATTTTAATGCCCATTTGAAATAAATCAGGAGTGATTATCATCCAGTGAAAAGTTCACTAGAACTCCATGTATGGTATTCTACCGTCCCACCACTGGAGAGAATTTCTCTAGTGAATTTTATGGAAAATATTCTCTAGTGAATATTTATGGAATTAAATGATTTGATCAAATTAAAGAATAAATGTTTAAAGTCAGTCAATATACATATGTACAAAAGGCAGGTTTTAAAATTGTACTCGATTTAAAAGAATTTTTCTTTTCGCAAAAAAAGAAGGCCTTTCCCATATAAACACATCCACCTACTCAAACACACACACACTCGTATACCCACAGGAGGTGATATTTAATCTAGGCAACCCAGAATATAAAGCTGTACTCTCCTCTGCAGAACATCATTCTGACAGCTCATATGTTGCTGGGGCTGTGTGGACTCCCTCCAAATCAGCATGCTTTCAGGGGTTTTCTTAAGGCAAATACAGTGGTCTGATAGCTCAGGGAGCTTTGCCAAGTGATCTGGTATCATGATAACTAATCATGCCTATGTGGAGAATTTTTCAACCAGGCTGTAAGTGTTAAAAAGAGGCAGAGTAGCTGAAGCAGCATGCTGAATTGTCCTTATCTCTGAGGTTGAGTTTATGTATCCCCAAGGCTCCGGTTGGTTCTCTGAGTTGGCAGAGAGAAGGCCAGGGGAGATTATGTTTTCCAACTGCTTCCTTTTCTCCTAGACTCTGAAGGGATTGTAGCAGTGATGCTTCCCCTGAATACACTTGATCCTTCTTGACACTGGCATCCACAGAATGCCTCTGGGAAAATAACATTTAATGAGTGTGAATTTGTTAGGTGAGGTGCTACTCACTTCACCTACAGCATATCATGGAGCTCTACAACTGTTCTAACGAATTGGCAGTCTGATATTGATTTTACATGCAAGCAAACTGAGGCTTAAGAATGGCTAAATAATAGACAAATCCAGATCTTGATAGTAAGTGGCAAGACCAGGATTCAAACTTGGTCAAGATGACCGGGAGTCGTCTTGGGAGTTCATCATACCAGGCTTTGACTATTACATTCATGTCAAATGCAATCTGAGTGCAGCCAAGGACAGCAAACTGCAGTGCGCTCCAGCCTGGGACCCATCTGAGGGCAAATCTGAGAAGAGCCAGTTTCCGTGTAAACACAGGGCATCAGTTTCCCTGACAGATGTCTGCCTTTATGAATCTTCCTTCCAAGGGTGCATCTCCACTGACAGGGATGTAGATTTTCATCAGGCAGGAAAAGTCATGGCATAATCTGAGGAGGTGTCTGTGTTCTGGCAAATCTCCTTTCTTGCCAAGTATAGTTTCAGAGGCTGGAGATGAAGGTGGGAATGTTCTCTCATTTCTGTTCCCAGGAAGATCGAGGGCCAACTTCCTGGCTTGCAAGCAAGGCGGCTTTTCTCTACAACCCCACTCCTGCCTCCACAAACCCCAGTCTGTCTGTTTAACACATATTTCTTTCTTCTAAGTGGTATAATTTAAGAAGAAAGCAAGTAGACAATTTCTGAAGTCAGAGAAGCACTTTCAGAATTAACACTACTTTAAATTTCCAATATTTTTAAAATAGTTCACCAAGAAACAACTGAGAAGCAACTGAGAAAAGGGCATTAGATACTACTTTTAACCATGTGTTCAGCAATGGTGATACTGAAAATCTTCAATGCTCTAGGTTTCACCCACTGGCATGGGAATGCTTGCTTAGTCCTGTGTCCAGAATTAGAGGTAAAATGTAGTCAAGGCTCCCACTTCCCTGGGCACAGTGGCCAGTGGTTTGGCTCTGCAAATGATAAAATCGGTGACCAGGGACACATGCTTTTCCCAGGTATGAGGATGAGTTTGAGGCAGACCACACATTTATTTGCATGGAACCTCCATATAATCAATAGCACAGTTGGCTAGGTAGCAGTAGGAGGGCTGTCAGGGTTGTTTTCTCTATACAGTTATCAGCTCTTATAAAACCTGTGAATTCTCCAATAATAACACCAGAAAAACCCTAATGAATAAAAACAGATAGAAAACACACTTCAAGAATGATATAAAAATAAATTAACACGCAAAATACCCACTTTTTTTCTTTAAATTTTCTCTTTTAAATTAAAGAATGAGTTGAAGATGCCAGAAGGGATCTTTGAGATAATCACTTCAGCCATCACAGGAAGAGGAAGGGGCATCAGCATATCCAAAACTGCGTCTCCTTATTATGAGTTGCCTTCTATATTGTACTAAGGATCTAATGACAAAATGCGTAGGAATATTTAACGCACCATCGCCATGTAGGCATTACTCTTTTTTCCACCTTTATTAAGGTATGGTGGACAAATAAATACTGTATAAGGTGTACATGTTTCAATATACATATACATTATCAAATGTTTACCACTATCAATCTAATTAAAATATTCATCACCTCACATAATTTATCTTTTTTATTTTTTGGAATTAGAGCACTTAAGATCACTTCTCTTAGCAAATTTCAACTATACAATACAGTATTATTAATTGGAGTCACCATGCTGTACATGAGATCTTAAGAACTTGTTCAATCTATATAACAATTTCATACTCTTTCACCAACATTTTCCATTTCCCTCACCCCATCTACCCTGACAAACATCTATGAGTTCAACATTTTTAGATTCCACATATAATTGACTTCATGATTTTTTGTGCCTGTATGTGTGTGTGTGTGTGTGTGTGTGTGTGTGTGTGATAAAATGCAGTATGTATGTCCATTTATCTGTTGCTGGATATTTTAGCTGATTATTGTGAATGATGCTGCAATTATAGTAGGAGTGTAGATATCCCTTCAAGATACTGATTTCATTTCCTTTGGATATATAACCATATATATATCCCAAAGTGGTATTGCTGGGTCTGGGTCACATGGTAATTCTTTTTTTTTTTTTGAGTAACTTTCCTACATTTTTCCATAATGGTTGTACCAATTTACATCCCCATCAACAGTGTATATGAGTTCCCCTTTTCTCCAAATCCTTGCCAGTACTTACCTTTGTCTTTGTGATAATGGCATTTTAACAGCTATGAGTTGATATTTCATTGTGGTTTTGATTTGCATTTCCCTGATGATTGCTGATGTTGAGCTTTTAAGAATATACATGTTGGCCATTTGTAAGTCTTCTTTTGAGAAATGTCTATGCAGGTCCTTTGTCCATTTTTTATTTAGCTATTTGTTTTCTTGCTACTGAGTTGTTTGAGTTCCTTATATATTTTGGATATTAAACCCTTATCTGATGTATGGCTTGCAAGTATTTTCTCCCATTCCATAAATGGTCTCTTTAGTTTGATCGCTTCATTTGCTGTGCAGATTTCCAGTTTGATTCAACCTCATTTGTCTATTTTTGCTTTTGTTGCCTGTGCTTTCAGAAACATATCCAAAAAATCTTTTCCCTGATCAATTTCATGAAGCTTTTCTCCTATGTTTTCTTTCAGTTGTTTTACAGCTTTAGGTTTCACATTTAGATCTTTAAGCCATTTTAAGTTGTTTGTATATTTTATGGGGCATGGGAGCATTAAGACAGGCCTATGGCCTGCTTATACTGAGATTGGCCTGGTTCCCGCATCTGCAGGGTTGGGCCTGGCTCTGAGTCCATGGGAGCTGGCCTGGAACCAGGGTCTACTGGGATGGGCATGTTGCGTGGGTCCATGGAGGCAAGCCTGGTGTTTGGGACCGAGGGGGCAGGTCTGGAGTATGGGCCTACAGGGCCAATTTTTGTGCTGGGGTGGGCCTGGAGCTTGAATCTATAAGAGTGGGCTTGAAATCCAGGCATGGTGGCTCATGCCTATAATCCCAGCACTTTGGGAGGCCAAGGAAGGCCGATCACCTGTGGTCAGGAGTTCAAGACCAGCCTGACCACCACAGAGAAACCCCATCTCTACTAAAAATACAAAAAATTAGGTGGGTGTGGTGCTGCATGCCTATAATCCCAGCTACTTGGGAGGCTGAGGTAGTAGAATTGCTTGAACCCGGGAGGCAGAGGTTGTGGTGAGCCGAGATCTCACCATTGCACTCTAGTCTGGGCAATAAGAGCAAAACTCCATCTCAAAAAAAAATAAAATAAATAAAAAAGAGTAGACTTGGAGCCTAGGTCCTCTGGGTCTTGGTCCATGAGGGCAGGCCTGGCACAAGTGTGGGCTTGGAGCCTGGATCTATAGGGGCAAGTATTACCTTTTTTCTTCTTCTTTTTGGAGGTAGGATCTTGCTCTGTCACCCAGCTGGATTTCAGTGGTGTTATCATAGCTCACTGCAGCCTCAAACTCCTGGGCTCAAATGATCCATCCACCTCGGCTTCCCTAAGTGCTGGGATTAAAGTTGTGAGCCACTGCATGTGGCCAAGTATTATCAATTTTTAATGCTGTCTTCACTGATAGGGTTCTTGGCATAACCATGATTAAGTAAGATGTGTCAAAGTTCATTTGGCCTTCTTATTTCACATCATAGCCAATACTTGAAAATTTAATCTCTAGAATTTTCAGAATATCACAGAAGCTTGAAGTAAATACTACGGACCAAATTAGAGAGTTATGTGAAGAAACTGAACACAGATTATCACAGAAATAAAAGGAATAATTTTATAGAGAAAGCAAGACAATAGCATCAAATTCGGAAGAGAGATGAGGATTGCAATTGAGATGAAACCAGTGGATTGATGAGAATAGTGCCAGATAATCTGAAGAGGAAGATGAATGCGGGAAACTGAGTACAGGGATTATGGGCTGAATAATAAAATATATTAGACTTAGTCTTAGGGATAACTCAATTAAACATTTTAAAATTATATTTGAGGGAATAGAGAGCACAGCCAAAGAAACAAATCAGCAAGACAGGCAGTGGTAGAACTAGGACTGGAGCCATGTTTGTTTTAGCACACATTTGTTGTGCAGTCACTTGAAAGTGGGTAGCAATTCAAGGACGAAGATATGCAGCCAGGTGATAAAGGTTTCTGGGCTCAGAAGAGAAGGACAAAGAGTGGAAGTAGTTGACTCTGGATATCTGTTGTTCAGTAAGAAAGCACAGCAGGAATGAATAAACGTAACTGAAGTGGCTAAGGATTGCTGAAGAGTTGTCTTTCTCTACTGAATTTTTTTTTTTGATAAATTATTTGACATCTTTGTGATACTCACTTAATAGAAGTTTTGGTTTTTTTTTTTTTTTTTCTGTTCCTAAACCAGCCTCTAATTCTTCAGACTTATCTGAAACTAAAAGCTTTCTTGAGATGACTAGATAGTATAATTGAGTGAGGGTGACGCCATGGCACAGCTTTATGGGCAACCATCCAGTGTTCTAGGGGATGAGATGACAGACCTGAAAGTGAAGTATTTTTGTCTATGAAAAAATTGCATTATGGTCTGGCAAATCAGTGACTAAGTCCCATCTTTGAAAGGTAGTCAGATTCCCAACTGTGAAGAGAAATAACAATGATGCTGGTGTCTCTGGTTTGTAACTGTAGGATCATATAACAAGGTGCATTTGTGTGTGTATTGTGGGATCTTTGCCCTCTTATGCCCACTCATACGTGGGTGAGAGTCATAGGTTAATTATAAAGTTTTTTATAAGTCACTTGATGTTAAAAATCTTATTAATTCCATTTACATAGGGCAGCATGACTGCAATCAGCTTTAGAACTACTAAGATCACAGATAGAGCTGTATTTGAACCCACTACTTTATGTTTCAGTTTTCTTATCTATAAAATGAAGATAATTATAATAATGTCTACCTCACAGTGTTTTGGGGAAAATAATATATATAAAGCACTAGCACAGGATGGGTTTATAATAAGCAATTTTGTTGTTATTGGAACACATGTTTGTGTTTTCTACTGCTGGTAAGAATGGAATAGAAAAGGAGACAAGGATAACTACCATTTATTAAGTACCCATTGTGAGCCATATGAATTATTATAGATTATCTCATTTAATCATCTCAATAGTACATGAGATAGGTATTATTATTCTTATATAACAGATTCAGAAAGTAAGGTTCAGAATGCCATATTTAACTTTCATAAAGTTACACAGCTTATAAGTGGCAGATACAAGATTGGAAACCAAATGTTTATCTATTTTGAATAAATTACATGAATTATTCTTCTCATTTGGAAATCAGTTTATGGGAATAAAAGCAGAAAGGTCATATGTTTCTATATTGATTTAACAAGGCTTCACTAAGCATCTATTTCAGTTGACAGAAACATTACCAAAAAGTCCCATAATCCATAGCTTGATCTCTGGTCTCTAGGTCTTCACAGTCTGAGGAATAAATATTATTATTTTTGCTGCCACAGAGAGACTTCTCCTTCCTCTAAAGGAGGGAATTACTTAAACAAGCCCAAGCAAATGGAAACTGTCACCTGCACAACCAAATCTGCCTGTCAGTCAGCCAGCCAGAGTCGGCCGCTGATTGCACAGCTGACATCTGTATCTCATATTAATCACAGTGTCCCAACTTGGCCAGAGACACACAGACTCAGACAAGGACGCAACAAATAATTCCAGCTCCTCTGTGGTTCTTTCAACTGTCTATCAGAAATGCATTAGCATGAGTATTACTAAACTGATGTATTTGGGAAGAAAAAGACCACCAGCAGAAGAGCCAAGAACAATCTTCTAATACATGTTAGATGCGGTCACCCTTCTTGTTTAAGGCATTGTTCTTAAAATTTCATACATGTCTGTACTGAAAAGTTGTGTATGTGCTGTAGTTGTGAAATATTGTCTCTTATTTCCTCAACTCATATAAAGAATTCCTTCTTTGTTTTTTGGAGTGCCTCAAGTAGGTATACCAAACTCTTGAATATGCTAATAGCATGGACAATCAAGTTGAAAATAGACTCTGCTTTGAACAAAAATGAACCATTTCTTAGAGTTCTCCTCATTTCATTTTTGATACTCTTGATTCCTAGACAGGACTTCTGTCCTGAGATATACCTTTACATCCTATTCCTGAATTTTTCTATTACATTCTAAGCATCCAGATCCTGTCTTCCTCCTCTGAGTGCTATCCTACCTGCTCTATTTAGCTCTAAGGTTTTCAAGCATGCATGACAGAATATAGTGAGGTATTAGTAAAAAGATTTTTTTAATAGAATAAGAAGGTCATTAATTTTTATAAATATTATATATGTGTATATATCTGTGTCAATCTATATTGTATGTGCATGTCTACTTATCTCTGTATTTGTCTCTTGGGAGAGAGAGATGGTACCATCACTTGGAATGTGGGCCATATAGTCACATCGCTACAGAAAGTGAAGCATCTTCAGGGAAGCTGACAAGCAACAACGAGCAGACATTGAGAGCGGTATGCTCACTTACTTGCTCTCACTGTATTGAGACACTGAAGTTTATGTATGTCTGTTTCAGTGGATTTACATATCATATCATCTAGCGGACTTTAATTCGCCCTTGTAAAATCAGAAGAGTGCTAAAAAAGTTTCTGTAAGGAATCTGTGGTTTGGCCATAATTTAATAATGCTAGAACAAATAAACAAGGGAATGGCTCAGCTGATACATCCCTGCAGCATCTCTGTCAACAACTGTAGAGACAAAAATAATTACTGCCAGTAGTATCCAATCAGACAGATATTAGGAAAATTAAGCATACATTCTACCCCTGTAAAGGAGAGATTTTAATTATAGTTAACAGAGTAACTGATTTTCAATAGACACTTGTACTATGCAGAGAATATTTTTAAAATTGGATATTCTGAAATGTCACCATAGATATGTGATTTTGTCGAATTTATGCTAATCAAATAAACCTCTATTTGGATACTTTAATAACTTAGAAGCAAAACACAAAACAAACTTAAAAACATTATTTTATGTCAAATGTAAAAATGTTGTATATACAGATTTGATTTATTTGTTTAAAATATCAAAGTTCAATTTATTTCTTCCAATTTACAGGATAAGTTATTGACATCAGAGAGGATAAAGAACAATAAATAATTTCAGTGTCTTACATAAATATATGAATACAGATATTCAGAAAGTACAGTGAAGATATAGAAGAACTGATCAGTTCTGTCACAGGAGCATGTGGTTGGAGGATTAAAACAAAATTTTCACATTCTTAAGTTGACTCCTTTTTTTTTTTTTTTTTGAGACGCAGTCTTGCTCTGTCGCCCAGGCCGGACTGCAGTGGGGCTATCTCGGCTCACTGTAAACTCCACCTTCTGGGTTCACGCCATTCTCCTGCCTCAGTCTCCCGAGTAGCTGGGACTTCAGGCGCCCGCCACCACGCCCAGCTAATTTTTTGTATTTTTAGTAGAGACGGGGTTTCACCATGTTAGCCAGGGTGGTCTCCATCTCCTGACCTCGTGATCCGCCTTCCTTGGCCTCCCAAAGTGCTGGGATTACAGGCGTGAGCCACCGCGCCCGGCCAAGTTGACTCTTTAAGGATGCATCAAGGAGATGACGGAGAAATTATTTCAGAGACAAAAATACCAGGTGATCAGCCTTTGAAACACACTGATGCATTCAATAGAGTAACTGCAAGAGTGAAGCTGACAAAGATTCTCTCCTTGACCAAACTCTACTCAGGCTTCCTGAATGTTTCAACTAGGCTTCAACTTTTAGACTCCCATGTTTTTGTCTGTGTTGTCTAATTTTGGCAAAAATTCTGCTAAGCCAATTCAACCAGAACACCCCACCCTTCATATCCCATCACCCTCAATACCTAATCAGGTTCCTCATCCTCCACCATCCCTCAGGGGATGTCTGATCCCCTTGGCCTGCCTTCAGCAAGAATCTTGTTAGATCAGTTTAGCCAGAATCTCCATTATGTTGTTGATGTTTTTGATGTTTTCTCTTAGTAATTTTTCATACTAGCCCCACAATGCTCCTGGGCTATAAATCCCCACTTGCTCACTTGTATTCTAAATTGAGCCCAGTCCTATACTCTTCTCCCCTATTGCAATAATCTTGAAAGAATTTTGTTTTTCACCACTTTAATGACCTTCCAGTTCTGGTTTTCTTTGACAAGCACTGCTGAAATGATGCTTCCTAGGTGTAGGCAATGGTTAGAGCTGAAGCTGGAGAATTAGATCGGTTAATCAATTTCACTGTTCTAAAGAATATGACCCCTCGGCCAGGCGCGGTGGCTCATGCCTGTAATCCCAGCACTTTGGGAGGCTGAGGCAGGCAAATCATGAGGTCAGGAGTTCAAGGCCAGCCTGGCCAACATGGTGAAACCCCTGTCTCTACTGAAAATACAAAAAATTAGCTGGGCATAGTGGTGGGCACCTGTATTCCCCACTACTTGGGAGGCTGAGGGAGGAGAATTGCTTGAACCCGGGAAGCAGAGGTTGAATTGAGCTGAGATTATGCCACAGCACTCCAGCCTGGGCGACAATGCGAGACTCTGTCTCAAAAAAAAAAAAAAAAAAAAAAAAAAGGAAAAAGAAAGAAAGAGAAAAGAATATGGCCCCTCAAGGTTTTAGGACACTGCCATGGTTAGGTTTACACTATGGAAAGACCACCCAGGCATAAAAATAGATAATTGTATAGGAGTAGCCAGTTAGTTTGCAAGAAGAAAGCCCAGTAAGAAGATACTTGAAATATGACAAGATAACAGATACTGAACTGCTGAAAAGAACTTGAAGCAATGGTGACAGAGATAAAGGGTGAAATGGAAAATAGCAAACAATTTTTGATGTAGCCCACACACTTGGCTGGGCCAAAGGAGAAAGGTTATGCTATGAAAGTTATGCACAAGAATCAGAGTCACTCAGTTTAGGCATCTACATTAAAGACGCAGGGGTCAAGGCATTTGGTTCTGGTTATATTATTCAAATACACTCTCAGAGATCACAGCTCATCTAATCACTCCTCAGAATTACTTTTTTCTGCTTTCCAAATATGAATGCTAAAATTCGTCCCATGATTACTGATAATATCATGATCTTTAAAGATATGGAAACAATGGCACTAGGCAACACAGAGTATTTCTAAACCTTGCTTGCAGGGAAATATGAAGATGTCTAAGCAATAGAACTGTTCTAAATACTTTTTGAATGATCATGTTTATGTAAAGACATTCCATGGTAAACAGTGGAAGCATATTCTGTAGTAACATTTCACCTTTGATAATAGTGGCATGTGCCAGGCTGTGAGTGACCAGGTGCTAATGTTGCATTGGTCCAATCTGTGCAGCATGAGCAGGCAACTGACTGTGACCCACGATAAAAAAATATTGTCAAAGGTTAGATTGTGTTGAAAGAATACCATAACTTTTATGGAATGAAGATCACTTGTTACAAATGGAAATTACTCAATATGTACAGGCTGGTAAAAAAAAAAAATGAAAATCTGAGGTATAACAGAAGCAAGTAGAAGATGTAGATTATCTGTTCAGAAGAGCTACTACACCATTCTCAACTTAAGTTTTTCTAGTTGTGTCAAAATCCACATGCCTGGCTGAAGTTCAACCTAGGTTTCCTGATAAATTATTTTCTATCAAATTATAACATGGTCAATTTGGAGAAGTGTGTTAAAAATTCTGATTTTCAGAGGAGAGTTAGGAAAATGCCTGTGTTATGTTTAAGTCACTATACATTTTGAGTTTTATGTAATATTTTTCTATTTTCATGTGAATTAATTGTTTTTGTCCATATGAAGTCATGACTATATGCATGACATTCTTCAGCTGCATTCACATGATACATTTATATTCTACAAAGGGCCAAGATACATGTTCTAAAAAAAACTAATTTATTTGGTTATTTCTATCTTATAGGTCCAACTTTTTAAAATGGTTGTGCTATTTTGAATGAAAGATGTCTAAACTCTGGAAAAATCTTTAAGATAGCTTCTGAAGATTCTGGATAAAATGAACTTTAACATGATTTTGATGGGTTGTTTGTTGCAATTTATGTCCACTCCACCAGGGGGCAAGAGACAATATAGGAAGGAAGAGATGCAGTTCTGGATTTTACAGGCTTATGGAGTAGACCAATGTTTGGAACGCCATATGGTAGGTGACCCAACACCACGTGCCTTAAGAGTGGAGAGTAAAAAAGGGCTAGCTGGGGAGGCAGTGTCTGGGAAGGCCCTTAGGAAAAGTGAACATTTGATATGGTCTTGAAAGATGAGGACAGCATGTCAGTTAGAAAGAGAGGAGGAGAATTCCGGGTCAATGGAATACTTCATCCAAAACTAGAGATGAGATCTTGGATTCTAGCCTGAATCAGCCACAGTGAAAGCTCAATTTGACTATTTATGGCCCTTGGTGAGGCAGCAAGGAAGGGGAAAGCCAGGTTATCACATAAGGACATGCAAGACAGGAAAGAGGAACTCCAGTTGGATCAGGACAGATTTTGTATGCCAGGCTCAACAACTGGAGACTGATTTCCTTGACAAAGAGGAATAATTAAAAGTTTTAAGCTGAGAAGTAATATAATATCATAATGATCATTCTGACCTCAATGAATAACACAGAAGAGATACTAGTAATATGGAGTCTCATGAGAAGGTTAACCCATTCATGCCTGAGGTTGCAATTTTTAAATTTTTGCATGAGTGAAAAATCAGACATTGGCAATGACCTTGAGCAGCAGGATACAAATAACTCTCACATGCTTAGCATTCCAATAACAGAACACTAGGCATAAATTTGTTTTAGTAACATAGCTGAGGGTACTTAATGAGTTCATATATTATTGTATCTTCATACTTGTGAGGTAGGTATCATTTACCCTTTTTGCAAATGGAGAAGCTAATAGTGAGTTGATGTAAACTGTCTATGACCACTAAGAAAGATCCCTCAAGGATCAGCCACTAGAACCTCCTGTTATTTATTTTTTTCCCAACAACTCTGACTTCTTTATTTTTCTCTTAGCAGAAAGCAAAAACATGAGAAATAAAAGTATCTCTTGGCATTTTTTCTTCAAAAATGCTAACAATTGTTATTTTAAAATATTTATTCTAATATCTCATATACTTTATGCTTCCAATAATATACTTAAAAATTCAACAAAGATTAACTTCTAACAGATTATAAATGTGCAAATGTATCTAACAATAAGACCTGTCACCTTCTCTGTTAATGTATGAGTAGCATTCCAAACTGAGACATTCACAGAAAAAATAAAAGCTATTTTCTTTTTACATAAATCTCCAAAGGAAATTATAAAATTGCCTCTAAATTTCCAAGGAGACTATGCTGAATTTCATTTTGCTGTGGGAGGAGGGAGACACTTGATACCAGACATTCAGGTAAAAACCTCAATCCTGTGGAAATTCTAAATACAGGGAATTATAGGACAACCTGGGTCCCTTGAAGCCTAGTCCCACAGGGTTTTATTTTTATATCACCTGCATATTAATGCTCTAACTCTCATATCAAATAGAAATAGGCTTGAATATCACCTCTCTCCATACTAACTGGAACCCTGAGGAAGTCACACAGCATTACTTTTCTCCTTTTGTTCATCTCCACTGATGAACAAATGATATCACTTAGTTCATCAAAGGTCTGTTTTGAGGAGTATTTTAATCCATATAAAAGACTTTGTCTAATGTCTAGTCCAAAGTGTATGTCCAATGCATTGTAGCTGTTACTGTAATCACTCATTTAGAAATCACAGAATCAGAGCTAAAATGCACTTCAGCAATCATCTGAGCAACCATCTGATTTGGGTATTTAAAAAAACTGAGGTCTAGACAGAAAGTGTTTGCCCAAGGTGACATAGCTAATCCATCACAGAGCCGAGACTGTAACCCAGATAATTTAGATTCTGGTCTGGTGTCCTTTCTGCTATTACACACCAACTTCAGTGCTGCAAGATATTACAGCAGATGTGTTGCGGTTCTGTCTGGCATAACTGGGAGTAGCTGAAACTCAAGCAATTTGGATGTGCCCGGGGAATGGGTGAAATCAATGAGTGAGGCTCTTACTCTGGCATAGATTGAAGAATGAAGCACATGTATAATGTGTACTGCTCTCTTTCACCTTTGTGTTCTTTAGGATTTATGGATCTTCTTTCCACGTAGGAAGATGACTTCTTTGAAAGACAGGTAATGTGAGACACATGCCCTGAACTCCGGAGTGAATAGCAGCTGAAACAGCTGCTGGAGCCCCTATCCTGCCAGCAAGTATCCCCTTCATCTTCAGGCTGACAGAGAGCTGCTGGCTGCATCTGATCTGTCAGCTGCTTCACTCCTCCGGAATGAGCAAATAGTCTGTGCCCTGATCTAAGATGAGAAAAAACAACAGCCTAATCACTAAAAACTCTGCCACTGACGCACATGCAAATAGCAGTTTATAACAACAAAAAAGAGGCATATATGTAGCTGGCCTATAATTATTATATTAGACAATTTTATGGATAAGTGCCTGGCTACTCTTTGGGAGAGAAAAAAATAATCTCCCATCAGGATCTACCTACAGAAATATCAGCACTAATAATTTTCAGTGGGGGAATGCTTAGCTTTTTCAACATTAGCAATACTAAAAATAAAAAGCAATAATAATACTCTAAATGGTAGTGGTACTGTAACAATTCAGTTGATATTTTCTGCTCAAAGTCTTTACAATTGACAAGTCACCTCTTACACTGTATTTTATTTTTATGTGTTAAGTGAGACTACTGACTTAGATAATCTCTGAAGTCCCTTTCATTATATAATATTGTAACTCTGAGCTTAATTCTTCTATATATCTGATAGAATTTCTCTATGATCATTGTACTAGCATATAATAAGTAGGGTTCACACTGATTCAGGAAGAGTTTTTAAAAACATATTTAATATTCTCAGGTAATTTTTCAGAACTGTTAAAAACTATTTAGCCTTTTGACTTGTGGAAAAAAAACAATAGTTGTATCTAAGGATAAAAAGATGACAAGAAATAGAATAATAACAAAAAGACTAAAATATTTCATAGCTTCTCAATTCTGTATGCCATATTTTACATAAATGTTACAAAATTCAAGGAAGTAGGTATTTTCTTCATTTTTTTTTAATCTGCAGAGTGGTAGTGGAACTTGCCAAGGACATACAGTTTTAGCCACAGTTTAACACTAGACCTTCTGGTTTCAAGTCCAAACCTCTAGCACCAATCTACGGCTGTTTCTTGATGACAGGCCTGGTATTCTCCACTAAATTCATACTTTTCATGAAAAAATAATAATGTCAAGTTCTCCACATTAGGAACTGCTATGGTCTGAATGTTTGTTTTCCCCCAAAATCCATATGTTGAAGTTATAACCTCCAAGATGATGGTATTAGTAGGTGGGGCCCTTGGTAAGTGATTTGGTCATTATGTCATTTTTATTAGAGTTTAGTGCCTTGCCCCTTCTTCCATGTAAGGACACAGCAAAAAGACAGAGGTCTATGAACAAGGAAGTGGGCCTTCACCAGGCACCAAACTGCCAGCACCTTTATTTTACACCTCCCGGCCTTCAGAACTGTAAGACATAAATTGCTGTTGTTTGTAAGCCACGTGTCTATAATACTTTGTTATAGCAGCCTGAAAGGGCCACAACTTTGACTCATTTAAAATACATAAGTGCAAACACAAATTAAATGTAAGCTTTATATTGATGTAAACATATGTAGCAAAAGAATATAAATAGGTCTGGAATTAAAAAATGAAAATTCTAGTGAGGATTCTTTTGGGGATGGAGACATGGAAATGAGATTGGGATGGGAACCATCTGGGAGTTAAATTATATTTATAGTTTTTAAAAGAATATATATATTTTATATATTTTTGTATTTTTAAGAGAATATATATATTCTTAACACTATATATAGTGTTATCAGAATATATTATATATCATATATATGACATATATTATCTATAGTGCTAACAGAATATATATATTCTTATATATATAAAATATATACAAATATATATTCTTTAAAAAAATGCAAATTTATATATATGATATATTTATATCAGATATAAATATATATAAATATACATATATATAAAATATATTAAGAATAAGCCAAGCTGGAAACTGGGTACCTGTTTATTATATTATTCCATATATTTTTCTATAGGTTTAATATAAATTACTCTTTTTTTAAGTAACACATGACAAGTGCCCACCTGTTTTCCTGCAACCTAGCATCAGCACCTATGCTTTGAGGAGGAGACACAGAAGTGCCAATCCCAACCACTTCCATATCACAATACCTGGATCTTTTTGGGTGATTTTGTTTAGCTCTATAGTTTGTGAGTTCAGATGGCTTAAAAGTATAACGCTTAAGATTATTAGAAGATAAAATCACCAAGAGATCATAATCATGAAAGATTAAGGTAAATGGAGCATAAAACATTAGTTATTCAATAATTCGGCTATTTTCTCACTAAGCAGTGCAATTGGAATAGGATAAATTTCTCCCACCAGCAAGTAACTATTATTGGGTAGAGAATACATGAATATTTAATATACTATTATTTATAATTGTCTATTTACTTGATTTTAATGAAGTGTTAAGCTCTTTTTCGTGCACAATGTGGGAAAATTAGGGGATTTTGCTTTCCAGCTATTTAAAATTTAGATTGGGGGAACTTAGGATATTTGAAGAAGAAAAAAATTGGAAAAAAATTGCCCAATGAGAAATATCTTTAGCAAAATGAGTCTTTCTGAGAATAGAGGAAGTATTTATCAGACTAAGATAAATCTTAAGCATTGACAACTAGATCTAGGTAAGTGTAAATTAATGTGATATGATACTGATTTTCAGTCATAGGTATTTATAACATGGAGATGAAAAGATGCTAGGCATATTTTAATGTTTTTCTTTCTGCTATTGTTTCTGGTGCCTAGAGTGTTACAAAGGGAGAGGCAATTTGCTTCAGTTTACAAGGTATTTGAATTTTGATTTGTAGTGTGTTCACTCCCCTTACTGCTAGGAAGATTTCTCAATGTAGATGTCTATTTTGTTTCATTCTAATAATTTATGCCTATAACTCTTGCTTGTAATCACGATTCTTCTCACCACACCACACAGTGATATTGCTGTATTCTGTTAGTCTGTCCATTCGCAGAATGTACAATTTTTACCAGCCCAAAAGAATTTGAAAACTGATGATTACAACTGGGACAGTTACTGGTACATTTGTTACGATTAATGAAACCACACCAACCCATCATTATCACCCAAAGTCAGTGGTTTACATTAAGATTCACTTAACGTTGCAACTTCACTTAGTTTTGTACATTCTATGAACTCAAACAAATTTATAATAGCATGTACCTACCATTATAGTGTCGTGCAAGGTATTTTCACTGCCCTAAAAATCCCGTGGTGTGCTTATTCATCCCTTTCTCTCCCCTAACTTCTAGCAACCACTGAACTTTTTACTCTCTCCATAGTTTTGACTTTTTCAGAACATCATATGGTTGGAATTATACCATATGTAGCCCTTTCAGTTTGGCGTCTTTCACTTAGTAGCACACATTTAAGCTCCCTTTGTATCTGTTTATGGCTTAATGGCTAATTTCTTTTTAGCAATGAATAATATTCAATTGTCTGGTTGTACCCATTTACCCACTGAAGGATATCTTGGTTGATTGCAAGTTTTGGCAGTTATGAATAAAGCTTCTAGAAACATCCATGTTTTTCTAGAAGGTTTTTCTGTGGGCCTAAGTTTTCAACTCCTTGGGTAAATACCAAGGAACACAACTGTTACATTATGTGGCAAGAGTGTGTTTAGTTTTGTAGGAAATGGCCAAACTCTCTTCCACCGTGGCTGTATTATTTTGTGTTTCCACCAGCAATGAATGAGAGTTCCTGTTGCTCCACATTCTTACCAACATTTAGTATTATAAGTGTCCTCGATTTTGTATCAGCTCTTTGTCATATTACATTTCCATCAACATTTTTGTTATTTTATGACATACAGCCTTAGAATACTTTTCAAATCTATGCTTTTCAGCCTATTCAATATCAAATATCACATATCTGCCAAACTTGCAATCCTTCCAGTTCTACTTAGAAAACATAATTCTGTATTTGTTGAGAGGAAAGAAAACCAGCCCTTGGCCATCTTCTTGGTAACTCATGGTTGGGTGACACTCATAATTGTGGATGTGATCACAGGAGCAACTGGGAAGATTCCTGAGAGAGTTTCCCTGTTGGCTCAACCCTGAGAAAGAAGGAAGCAACTGTATAAAGGGCAAGAAATATCACTGGACCCTACTTACCTATTTTTCCTATGAAATGAAAGCCTATTCATGTCCTTCGCCCACTTTTTGATGGGGTTGTTTGTTTTTTTCTTATAAATTTGTTTGAGTTCATTGTAGATTCTGGATATTAGCCCTTTGTCAGATGAGTAGATTGCGAAAATTTTCTCCCATTTTGTAGGTTGCCTGTTCACTCTGATGGTAGTTTCTTTTGCTGTGCAGAAGCTCTTTAGTTTAATTAGATCCCATTTGTCAATTTTGTCTTTTGTTGCCATTGCTTTTGGTGTTTTAGACATGAAGTCCTTGCCCATGCCTATGTCCTGAATGGTAATGCCTAGGTTTTCTTCTAGGGTTTTTATGGTTTTAGGTCTAACGTTTAAGTCTTTAATTCATCTTGAATTGATTTTAGTATAAGGTATAAGGAAGGGATCCAGTTTCAGCTTTCTACATATGGCTAGCCAGTTTTCCCAGCACCATTTATTAAATAGGGAATCCTTTCCCCATTGCTTGCTTTTCTCAGGTTTGTCAAACAGACACTTCTCAAAAGAAGACATTTATGCAGCCAAAAAACACATGAAAAAATGCTCACCATCACTGGCCATCAGAGAAATGCAAATCAAAACCACAATGAGATACCATCTCACACCAGTTAGAATGGCAATCATTAAAAAGTCAGGAAACAACAGGTGCTGGAGAGGATGTGGAGAAATAGGAACACTTTTACACTGTTGGTGGGACTGTAAACTAGTTCAACCATTGTGGAAGTCAGTGTGGCGATTGCTCAGGGATCTAGAACTAGAAATACCATTTGACCCAGCCATCCCATTACTGGGTATATACCCAAAAGACTATAAATCATGCTGCTATAAAGACACATGCACACGTATGTTTATTGCGGTATTATTCACAATAGCAAAGACTTGGAACCAACCCAAATGTCCAACAATGATAGACTGGATTAGGAAAATGTGGCACATATACACCATGGAATACTATGCAGCCATAAAAAATGATGAGTTCATGTCCTTTGTAGGGACATGGATGAAATTGGAAATCATCATTCTCAGTAAACTATCGCAAGAACAAAAAACCAGACACCGCATATTCTCACTCACAGGTGGGAACTGAACAATGAGAACACATGGACACAGGAAGGGGAACATCACACTCTGGGGACTGTTGTGGGGTGGGGGGAGGGGGGAGGGATAGCATTGGGAGATATACCTAATGCTGGATGACAAGTTAGTGGGTGCAGCGCACCAGCATGGCACATGTATACACATGTAACTAACCTGCACATTGTGCACATGTACCCTAAAACTTAAAGTATAATAATAATAAATAAATAAATTTAAAAAAAAGAAAAGAAAGCCTAATATCCAAAAAAAGAACATCAAAAACTGTCTTCCATAGGTCACTAGTGAAAAGTCATTGCATCTAAGAGAAAAAAATACAGAAAATGACATATTCTACTCCTTGTAAAGGGGAGAAAATAAATACTGGACCCAGAACAACAGCTTCAGTAGTAATAGAAGTACCTGTGCAGTTTTTAACCTGGGAGACTCAAAGACACACTATATGACTAAGACTGAAGCTTAAATAGAACATTAAATAACATGTCCCTGTATCTTCCATCACCAGCCCAGCAGTGATTGAGTAAAAGTAATTTTTAATACTGCTAAAGGAGCTGAAACACATACACACACACACACACACACACACACACACACACACACACACAAAGGAAATATATATACTTTATGTGAGTCCTTATGTGTCAGGTGAGTCCTTGAAGACAACAGACACTTGGTTAGTGAATTCTTATCCAGTCTGCCATTCTGTATCTTTTAAGGGGAGCATTTAGGCCATTTACTTCAACATTAGTATTAAGATGTGAGGTATTGTTCTATTCATCGTGCTATTTGTTGCCTGAATACCTTGTTGTTGTGGTTGTTTTTATTGTGTTATTGTTTTATAGGTCCTGTCAAATTTATGCTTTAAAGAGATTCTATTTTGGTGCATTTTGAGAATTTCTTTCAACATTTAGAGCTCCTTTTAGCTGTTCTTCTAGTGCTGGCGTGGTAGTGGCAAATTCTCTCAGCATTTATTTGTTTGAAAAAGCCTCTATATTTACTTTATTTATGAAGCTTAGTTTTGCTGGGTACAAAATTTTTGGCTGATAATTGTTTTGTTTAAGGAGGCTAAATATAGGACCCCAGTCCCTTCTAACTTGTATAGTTTCTGCTGAGAAATCTGCTGTTAATCTGATATGTTTTCCTTTGCAGTTTACCTGATGCTTTTGCCTCACAGCTCTTAAGATTCTCCCCTTTGTCTTGACTTTAAATACCCTGATGACTATGTGCCTAGGTGATTATCTTTTTGTGATGAATCTCCCTGGTGTTCTTTGGGCTTCTTGTATTTGGATGTCTAGATCTCTAGCAATGTCAGGGAAGATTTCCTTGATTATTCACTCAAATATGGTTTTCAAACTTTCAGATTTCTCTTCTTCCTCAGGAATGCCAATTATTTTTAAGTCTGGTCATTTAACATAATCCCAAACTTCTTGGAGGCTTTGTTCAGTTTTTTAAAAATTTTTTTTTTGTCTTTGTCAGATTGGGTTAATTTGAAAACCTTGTCTTCGAGCTCTGAAGTTGTTTCTGGTACTTGTTCAATTCTATTGCTGAGACTTTCCAGTGAATTTTGCATTTCTCTAAGTGTGTCCTTGATTTCCAGAAGTTTTGATTATTTTTTATCTATGCTATCTATCTCACGAGGATTTTTCTATTCATATTATGTATATATATTTTTTAATTTCTTTAAGTTGGACTTCACCTTTCTCTGATGCCTCCTTGATTAGCTTAATAATAGACTCTTAATTTTTTCTCTGGCAATTCAGAGATTTCGTCTTTGTTTGGATCCATTGCTTGTGAGCTGCTGTAATCTTTTGGGGGTGTTAAAGAACCTTGCTTTGTCATATTACCAGAATTGTTTTTCTTGTTCCTTCTCATTTGGGTAGACTATGTCAAAGGAAAGATCTGGGGCTCAAGGGCTACTCTTTAGATTCTTTTGTCCCACGGGGTGATCCCTTTATATGGTGCTCTACCCCTTCTCCTAGGGATGGGGCTTCCTGAAAGCCAGAATGCAGTAATGGTTATTGCTCTTTTGGGTCTAGCCACCCACCAGAACTACCAGGCTTTGGACTGATAATGGGGAATGTCTGCAATGCATCCTGTGATGTGAACTGTCTTCAGGTTTTTTAGCTGTGGATACCAGCACCTGCTCCAATAGAGGCAGAAGGGGAATGAAGTGGACTCTGTGAGGGTCCTTGATTGTAGTTTTGTTTAGTGCCCTGATTTTCCAGAATTCTGGTTGTGCTAGCAGTGAAGTTGTCATGTAGACAGACTCAGCACCTCTGGCTAGACAGGACGTTACAAGTGGTGGAATTAACTATTGTTTTCTCCTGTCTCGGAGCAGGGTTGTTCTATTATGAGTCGCTGTAATGGCTTGAGTTGATTGGCCTGCAGCCAGGCTGTGATGTTTTCAGGAGAGCATCAGCTGTGTTAGTATGGGGTGGACACAGCCTTGCCATAGATCACCTGGATAAATATTCGGGTTTCTCAGGTGATGGGTGGGGACACAGAGCTGCTAAGAGTTTATGTCTTTTGTCTTTGGCTACCACGGCAGGTAGAGAAAGGTCATCTGGTGCGGGCAGAATTAGGCATGTCAGAGGTCATAGTGTCCTTGGGTGGGGTTGCTGAAGCAACTGTGGGGATTGGGAGTGTGAGTCTCAGGCCAATGGAGTCATGTTCCCAGGGGGATTATGGTTGCCTCTGCTGTGTCATACAGATCACCAGCAAAGTAGGAGAAAGTCAGCAGTGAAAGGCCTCACTCAGCTCACAACGCAGCCAGCAAGGCCAGTCTCACTCCCACCGTGTCCCACTAACAGCACAGAGTTTATATTCATGCAGCTGGTAAGCAGGGCTGAGATCTTGCCCCAGGCTACAAGCCTCATCACTGAGAAAGTAAGCAGGGTTTTCAGATCCTGTCCCTCCCTGCCTGCTGTGGCTTCTGTGCATGTATCTGCACTTCCTGTTTTCCACCCCCAACGCCCTGATTCTGCCCAGAAAAATTCATGCTCTGATGAAATTATTACAAAGTTCAGCTGGAAGTTTCCTTCTCCCTTTGGTCCTTCCCCAACTCGGGGGCAGCCCTCCCCAAGGACCCCTGTGCAAGTAATGTCAGAAATGGCTTCCCTGGGTTTCCTGGGGACTGGGAGTGCCTATCAGGCCCTTTCAGCTGTTTCTTCTACTTTTATATTTCACTCAGCTTTCTAAATTCATTTCAGCTCTAGGTAAGGTTAAATCCTCCTGTGATCTGGATTTTCAGGTTCCTCATTGAGGATGTGTGTTTGGAGGCAGACTTTCCCTCTCTCACACTTTGGGCATTCCCAGGTTTTTGACTGTCTCATGGAGTTTGCAGCATGTTACTGCAGTAGTTCTTGTAGCAAAAGTTCACAGTGTGAATTTCCACATGCTGCTTGGTCCATTTGAGTAGGAGCTGCAAGTTAGTCCTGCCTTCCATCTACCTTTTTTTTTTCTGCCAGCCATTAATTCTTCAAATACTTTTTTTTTAAATCTTGTTCTCTTTCTCTTTTCCTTCACACACACACACACACGAAGGAAATGTGTGTGTGTGTGTATATTTATATATATATGGTGTGTATATATATATATGAAATGTATATATAAGGTATATATATATAAACGTGTGCATGTGTAGTTGTGTGTGTGTATATATATATACACACATATATGGAAATGTATATATACTCAACTCAAGGAACTCAAATCAGCAAAACAAAAACAGTCTCGTCATAAAGTAGGCTAAGGACACAAATATACAATTCTCAAACAAGATAAACAAATGGCTGGCAAACATGGAAATATGGTCAACATCACTAATTATCAGGGAGTTGCAAATTAAAACCACAATGCAATACCACCTTACCACTGCGAGAATGGTCACAAATAAAAAATAAAAAAATAATGTATGTTGGCATGGATGTGGTGAAAAGTGAACACTTTTACACTGCTGGTGGGAATGTCAACTAGTACAACTACTATGGAAAACACTATGGAGATTTCTTAAAGAACTCAAATTAGAGCTACCATTTGATCCAGTAATCCCACTACTGGGTATATACCCAGAGGAAAAGAAGTCATTATATGAAAAGACACTTGCCCACATGTGTTTATAGCAGCACAATTTGCAGTCACAAAAACAAGGAACCAGCCCAAATGCCCATCAATCAACCAGTGGATAAAGAAAATGTGGAGGGAGACATATATATCTACCTGTAAATAAAATGTGGTTTTATATATGTGTATATATAAAATGTATATATATAATTGTATGTATATATATAAAATGTATATATATAAATTTATATTTATATAAATATATAAATATGGATATATATATATAACCATAAAGTAAATGTGAGATTGCTGGATCAAATGGTAGCTCCAATTTTAGTTCTTTAAGTAATCTTCATAGTGTTTTCCATAGTGATTTGTACTTGTTCACATTCCCATCAGCCGTATAAAAGTGTTTCCTTTTACCACATCCATGCCAATATATGTAACATATATATATATGTTACATATATATATATATATGTGGTTTCTCATATATGTTATTTATGTGTGTAGGTATAGTTTCTTTATGGTTATATATACACATATAACCATATAAATATATATATATATACACACACCATGAAATACTGCTCAGCCATAAAAATAAAGGAAATAATGGCATTTGTATCAACCTGGATGGAGGTGGAGATCATTATTCTAAGCGAAGTAACTCAGGAATGAAAAACTAAACATCATATTTTATCACTTGTAAGTGGAAGCTACAGTATTAGGATGCAAAGGCAGGAAAATGATACAATGGACTTTGGGGACTCACAAGGAAGGGTGGGAGGGAGGTGAGGATTAAATGACTACCCATTGGGTGCACTGTACACTGCTCGGGTGATGGTTGCACCAAAATCTCAGAAATCACCACTAAACAGCTTATCCATTTAACAAAACACCACCTATTCCCCCAAAACCTACTGAAACAAGCAAAAAAAAAAAAAAAGAGAGATAATGACATACAGCAAACCAAACATCCAATAAGGTGAGGGGATACTAAGATTTAAAGAAAAAACCCTTAGGCATATCATATATAAACAGCTGAAAATGAGAACATTTGAAAGACATCCAGAGAAAAAAGATACATCACAAACATTGTAACAAAGATAAGAATAACAGCGCCCTTCTCATGGGATGGCATGCAAAAAGGCTAGACACTGGAATTATATAGTTAAAGTGAAAAAAGCAAGTGGAAAAGAAAGCCAGGTGGCAACCCTGAATTCTCTCTACCCAGTGAAGATATCTTTCCAATTAAGGCAGCATATAGACCCTTTTAGCAAAACAAAAACTGAATTTATTGGAAAAAATTCTATACTATAGAACTTGTTAAAGGAAATTCTTCAGATGCAAACTTAGATCTGAACAAATAATTGAGATGCACTATAATTGAATACATATAATAATGTTTTGCTATTTTAAAAAATTTATAAGATAACTGATTGCCTAAAGCAAGAACAGCAGTAATATTCTGTGTGTTCATAGTACACGTAAAAGTACAATATTACATAGCGAAAGCACTATAATTGAATACATATAATAATGTTTTTCTATTTTAAAAAATTTATAAGATAACTGACTGCCTAAAGCAAGAATAGCAGTAACATTCTGTGTGTTCATAGTACACGTAAAAGTACAATATTACATAGCGAAAGCACAATTGAGAGGGAGCAATTAGGAGTATAATCCTGTAAAATCCTTATATTACATGGGAAGTGGTATATTATTTTACTAAAATGATAAACTAAATATAAATGAGTTTTTAATGATATAAATAAATGTAAATAAATAAATGATAGAATATTTTAAACTGAGGAGAAGGGACAGCTGTTCCTTATAGAAAATTCCTATCAATCAATGTAGAAGAAATTAGGAAAATAAAAAATGACCATTAGACCATCACAATAACATTGTTGCTGGAAACATAGTCTAATGATTTTTAAAATTAATAGACAAAGGTTTAAGAAGAAATCAAATATTTGAATAGTCTCACAGTATATTTGCTAATATATTCATCAATTTTAAAGGAAAAAAATAGCAAATTTGCAACACACAAATTAGAATTCACTATCTTAATCACATGATCAATGACCAGTGCTACCAAAAATAAGATATATTGTCCTCCTATACGCCTAGTATAAATCATTATGAAAAGCGTAACTTTTTTATGCCAAAAAATGGACAGAAACAGAAAGAGAAAATATTAAAATTACTTCAATTGAAGAACAGTTTACTAAATGACTAACTAGTACTCCAAGAGTCAAGATCATGAAAGACAAAAGATAACTAAGGAATTGTCACAGATTAGAAGACTGTAAGGAAGCATGATAAGTAAATGCAGTTTGGAATACTAGATTGGATCCTGGAACAGAAAAAGGGCATTAATGCAAAAACTGATGCAATTCAAATTACATCTGTAGAGAAGTTAATAGCATTATATAAATTTTAATTTATTAGTTTCATTACTTTATACTAATACAAGACATTAGCATTAAAGAAGCCAAGTGAAGAATGTACGTAATCTTTGTACTATTATTGCAACTTCTCTTTAAATCTAAAATTATTTCAAAATTAAAAGAAAATAACCATTTTGAATTGCATAATTTTAAAATACCTGGAAATAAATTTTATAATCTATGTGCAAAACCTTATAATGAAAACAACAAAACTTTGCAAAGAGAAATAAAAACGATGCAGTTGGAGGCCGTTATATTAAGCAAATTAGTGGAGAAATAGAAAACCAAATACACATGTTCTCACTTATAAGTGGAAGCTAAACATTGGGAACACATTGACATAAAGATGGGAGCAATAGACATTAGGGACTACTAGAGGCAGGGAAAGAAAAGCAGGCAAGGGCTGAAAAACTACCAGTTGGGTATTACACTCACCATCTTGTTGATGGAATAATTAATACCCCACTCTTCACATTGCACAATATACCTATGTAACAAACATGCATATGTATCCCTGAATCTAAAACAAAGGTTAAAATTAATTTAAAGAAAGCAATAATAAATGGATACATATACCATGTCCATAGATGTGAAGATTTAATGCTTTGAAGATGGAAAATCTTCTCAAATTGGTATGCAGAATCAATGTAATCTCAAATAAAATGACAAACTTTTTTGAAAAAATTGATAAAATGGGAGACACATCATCAAGATGAGTGATTAGAGGTACCCAATGTTTGTCTTATCCAAAAGGAAGGAGCAAAACAACAAATAAATAACTACACTTTAACTCAAGTGTTTAAAAGTAAATATTGGAATTCTTCATGAAAGTGTCTCCCTTAGGCACTGAGGACTAGCCTGTCCACCAGTCCTCTGACCCAAGCAAAACTGAACCATTGCCTCCACAAACACCCACAGTCTAGGCCATTGAGGCATTGCAGATATGATTGATGTTAATAATAGCCAAAAAAAATTACACAGAGACTCATTATTGTGCCCACTCAGAACCAAAACCAAAGCACACTACGCAAACACTATAGGACACATCTAGAGGGAAAAATCTTTCCCTACGAAAGCTAGTCCATAAAATTGGAAGAGGCAAGTGTTCCCACAGATGTGCAAATATCAACAAAAGGACACAAGAAACAAGAAAAAGCAGGGAAACATTACACCTCCAAAGGAACACAACCATTTTCCCATAAAAGACCACAAAGAAAAGGAAATTCACTGACTACTGAAAAGGAATTAAAAATAATTATCTTAAAGAAATTCAGCATGACACAAGAGAATACAGATAGACAATTTAAGAAATCAGGAAAACAATTTATAATCTAAGTGAGAAATTCAACACAGATAGATATTAAAAAACAGAAATCTTGGAGCAGAAGAATTCAAGGAATGAAATAAAAAATACAATCAAGAGCTTCAACAATAGATTTGATCAAGCAAAATAAAGTTTCTGAACTAGAAGGAATAAAACAGACAAAAATATATACATACATGCACACATACATACATAAGAAAAAAGAAAACCCTACAGAACTTATAGGACACATTAAGTGAACAAATAATTGTATCACAGGATTTTAAGATGGAGAAGAGATGAGAAAGGCATAGAAAACCTATTAAATAACAAAGCAGCTAAAAACTTTTGTAGTCTTGGAGACATATGGAATCTAGATTCAGGAAGCTCAAAGGTTACCAAATTAATTTAACCAAAAAAGGTCCTCTTCAAGGCACATTATAATCAAATTGTCAAAATTCAAATACAAAGAGTGAATTCTAAAAGCAGCAAGAGAAAAACATCAAGTCACATATAAGAGAAACTCCATTAGACTAACAGCATATGTCTCAGCAGAAACCTCACAAGCCAGGAGACCTTGAGATGATATATTCAAAGTGCTGAAAGAAAGAAAGAAAGAAAAAAAAAACCTGCTGGCAAGAATACTATACCCAGCAAAGCTATCCTTCACAACTGAAGGCGAAATAAAGTCTTTCCCAGACAAGCAAACACTGAGGGAATTCATCATTACTACTAGATTGACTTTGCAAGAAATGCTTAAGGAAGTTGCACGTGTGGAAGTGAAAAGATGATAACTAGCACCATGAAAACACACAAAAGTATAAAACTCATTGATAGAGCAGCTATACAATGAGAAAGAGAAAGGAGTCAAAGCTTATCACTGTGGAAAACTACCAAGCCACAAATAAAAATAATAGAGGAAGAAGGGAACAAAGGAAATACAAAGCAACCAGAAAATGATTAGAAAATGACAGGAGTAATTCCTCACCTATTAATAATAACTTTGTAAATGGATTACATTTCCAATTAAAAATATAGACTGGCTGAATGGATAAGACAACAAGACACAATTATATGCTTCCACAAGAAAATCACTTCACCTATGAAAACACACATAGGGCCAGGCATGGTGGTGCATGTCTGTTCCTAGCACTTTGAGAGGCTGAAGTAAGAGGATCATTTGAGACCACAAGTTTAAGACCAACCTGGGCAACATAGCAAGACTCTGTGTCTACAAATGAATAAATAAAATTAGCCAGGTGGTGGAAGGTGCCTGTATTCCTAAATACTTAGGAAGCTGACGTGGGGAGATTGCCTGAGCCCAACAGTTTAAGGTTACAATGAATTATGATCACTTCACTGCACTCTAACCTGGGTGACCAAGCTTGACCCTGTATTAAAAACTTTTTTTACATTAAATAAAAGTAGACTGAAAGTAGAGGGTTTGAAAAAGATATTCCACACAAATGGAAAACAGAAATGTACATGAGAAGCTATACTTAGATAAAATAGACTATAATCCAAAAACTGTAAAAAGAGACAAATAAGTACATCATATAATGATAAAGGGATCAATCCAGCCAGAGAATATAAGAATTGTAAATATGTATGCATCCACCACCCAAGCATCCAGATATATAAGGCAAATATTACTATATCTAAAGGGAGAAATAGATTCCACTACAATAATAACTGAGAACTTCAACAACTCACTCTTAGCATTGGACAGATTATCCAGGTATAAAGTCAACAAAGAAACATTGAATTTCAACTGCATTCTAGATGAAATGAACCCAAAGGACATTTACAGAACATTTCATTTAACAAAAGAAGAATACACATTCTTTTCATCAGCACATAGATAGAACATTCTCTATTATAGACCATATATTAAACAAAAAAAAGTCTCAACAAATTTTTAAAGTCAAAATCACATCAAGTATCTTTTCTGACCACAGTAAAATGACGCTAGAAATTAAGAACAAGGTGAAATTTGGACACTGCAAAAATACATGAAAATTAAACAACATCCTCCTGAGCAATGAGGCAGTTTTAGAAAATTAAAAATGTTATTGAAACAAATGAAAATGTAAATACAACATACCAAATCATATAGGAGAGAGCAAAAGCAATACTAGGACACAATTTTATAGCAATAAATGCCTACATCAAATAAGAAAGATTTCAAATGAACAACCTAATGGTGAACATCATGAAAATACAAAAGGGAGAAAAAAAAACAAATCAAAATTAATCAAATGAACAATATAATGAAGATCAGAGCTGAAATAAATGAAATTGAGACTAAAGCAGTAATAATATCAATAAAATGAAAACTTGGTTTTTTAAAAAAAATAAATAAAATCAATAATCATTAACAAAACTAAAAAAAGACAGAGAGAAAGACCCAAATAAATAAAATCCCCCCCAAAAATGAGACATTACCTGATATCTCAGAAACACAAAGGGTCATTGGAGATGATTATGAACAACTGTGTCCCAACACATTGGAAAATCTAGAGGAAATGGAAAAATTCCTGGACACATACAACCTAACGCGATTGAAAGAGGAAGAAATACAAAACCTGAAGAAGCCAATAATGATTAACGATATTTAATCTTTAATAAAAAGTCTCCCAGCAAAGGAAACCCAGGACTAGATGGCTTCGTTGCTGCATATTACCAGCCTTCTAAAAACTGACACCAATTCTTCTCAAGTTATTCCAAAAAATTGAAGGGCAAGAAAAATTTCCAAATTCATTCTACAAGGCCGGCATTACCCTTCCACCAAAACCAGACAAGGACACAACAAAAAAGAAAACTACATCCCTAAGGAACATAGATTTTTAACAATTCTCAATTCTCACTAGCAAATAAATTCCAACAGCATATCAAAAAGATTATATATTATTGCCAAGTGGTATTTATTCGGAAATATAAGGATGGTTCAAAATATGCAAATCAATAAGTGTGATACATCACATCAACAGAGTGAAAGTCAAAAACCATATGATTATCTCAATGGACATATAAAAACTATTTGATAAAATTCAACATCTCTTCATAATAAAAACTCTCAGCAAATTAATACAGAGGAGTGCACCTGACCACAATAAAGTCCCACACATGGCAAACCCACAGCTAACATCGTACTGAATGAGGAAAAGCTTTTTCTTTAAGAACTGGAACAAGACAAGGATGCCCACTTTCACCACTCTTATTTGTCATAGTACTAGACATCCTTGCCAGAGCATTTCAGCAATAGAAAGAAAGGTCAACCACGTTGGAAAGGAGAAAGTCAGATTTTTCCTGTTTGCAGATGACATGAACCCCTAAAGATTACACCAAAAACACCTCTCAGAATGGATAAATGAATTCAGTAAAATTCTGGATACAAAATTAACATACAAAAATCAGTAGCATTTGTATACACCAGTAACAAACTTGCAAAAAAAGAATTCAAGAAAGCCATCCAATTTCAATAACTACAAAAAATTAAATATTTAGGAATAAATTGAACCAAGGAGATGAAATACCTTACAGTAAAAACTATAAAACGCTGATAGGACATATTGAAGACAACACAAATAAATGTAAAGACATCTCATGTTTATTGATTAGAATTAATACTATTTAAAGGACCACACCACCCTAAGCAATTCTACCCATTTAATGAAATCACTATCTAGATAGATTCTTCACAGACATAGAAAAAACAATTCGAAAATTTATGTGGAGCCATAAAAGATCCCATATAGACAACGCTATTATGAGAAAAAAATATCAAAGCTGGAGGCATTATACTACCTGACTTCAAAATGTACTACAAAGTAATTGTACTGGCATAAAAACACGCAGAACAATGGAACAGAGTAGAGAACCCAGAAATAAATCCACATATTTACAGTCAACTGATTTGCAACAAAGGTGTCAAGAATATACATTGGTGAAAGGAAAACCTCTTCAATAAATAGTGCTGGAAAAACTGGATATTCATATGCATAAGAATGAAACTAGACCCCTATCTTTTGCCATATACAAACATTGACTCAAAATGGATTAAAAAATTAAATGTAACCCCCAAAACTATGAAACTGCCAGTAGGAATAAACACAGAGAAAACACTTCAGGACATTGTTCTGAGCAAATTTTATGGATAAGGTCTCAAGAGCATAGGCAAGCAAAGCAAAAATAGACAAACTGAACTATACCAAACTAAAGAGCTCCTGTATGGCAAAGGAAGCAATCAACAGAATAAAGAGACAACCTAAAGAATGGGTAAAATATTTGCAAACTATTCATCTGCCAAGGGATTAATATTCATAATATATAAGAAACTCAATTCAACAGAAAGAAAAGAAATAACCCAATTTAAAAATGGGAAAATTATCTGAACAGACATTCCTTTAAAAAAGGCATACACATGGCCAAGTATATGAAAAAATGCTCAACATTAATAGTGATTGGGAAAATGCAAATCAAAACCAAGATGAGATAATATCTCATACCTATTAGAATAGCTATTATCAAAAAGACAAAAATATATAGCCAATGCTGGTGAAGAAGCAGAGAAAAGAAAACTCTTACACATTGCTGGGAATGTAAATTACTATAGCCATTAAAGAAAACATCACGAAAGCTACTAAAAAAATTAAAATATTAGTACCATGTGACCTAGCTACTCCACTACTAGGTATATATCCAAAGGAAAAGAAATCAGTATGCCAGTAAGATGTCCACACTCCTGTGTTTATTGCAGCACTATTCACAATAATCAAGATATGAAACCAACTTAAGTGTCCTTCAACAGATAGGTAAAGAAAATATGCTATATACACACAATGGAATAGTAGTTAACCAAAAATAAATAAAATAAAATCCTGTCATTTGCAGCAACGTAGATGAGCCTGGAAGACATTATGTTATGAGAAGTGAGCCAGGCACAGAAAGATAAATACCACATGTTCTCACTCATCTCTGGAAGATAAAAAAATTGATTCCATAGTAGTAAGTACAACAGTGGTTGTTAGAGGATGGGAAGGGTAGAGGGGTTAGGGAACAGTTGCTTAATGAATACAAAATTACAGCTAGATAGGAGAAATATGTTCTAGTGTTCTGTAGTGCTGAATGGTAACTGAAGTTAATAATAATTTACCATATATTTTCAAATAACTAGAAGAGAGGATTTCAAATGTTCCTAACACTAAGAAATGATAAATGTTTAAAGTGGTGGATATGCTAATTACCCTGATTTGGTCATTATACATTGTATACATGTATCAAAACATCACATTTTACCCCATTAAAATTGATGTGATAATTATATGAAAAGACAAAGGACTTTTAATAGGAAAATTAATAATGAAAAATAAAGGTGGGACCAAATGACATTCTTTACCTGATTTCAGGATTTACTCTAAAGCAAAAGTAATTAAAAAAAAGTTGTGTTCATGTAAGCATGAAAATATATATCATATATTTATTATATATGTATCATATAACATATTAAGTTACATGTCATACTATGTATCATATAACATAAAATTATATATCATATATTCATTACATATGTGTCATATAACATATAATATTATATATATAATGTTGGCATGGAAATTGTATATATATGTGTGTGTATGACATGTAGTCTATAACAGATGCACATCTGTATGTTTAATTTATTTTCAACAAAGTTACCAGGGTAATTCAATTGGGGAAAGGTTTTTTATTCCTCAGTTTCATTAAGGTAAAATTGACAAATAAAAACTGTATATATTTAAGGTGTAGAACATGATGTTTCATATATCTACACATTGTGAAAAAATTACCACAATCAAGCTAATAAACATATCCATTATCTCACAGTTACCTTTTTGTTTTTGTTGTGTGGTGAGAATACTAAGATATATTACTCTCTGAAGAAATTTCTGTGATACATTATTTTTAAACTATAGCTGCATTTCCCTGATGATTATTGGTGTTGAACACCTTTTTATTTACCTATTGGGCAGTTTAGAAAAATTTCTATTCAGGTCTTTTGCCCATTTTTAAATTGAGTTATTTGGTTTCGCTGTTTGTTTTTTACTATTGAGTTGTATGAATTCCTTCTATATTTTGGATATTGATGACAAAGGGACATGAAGATGATTTTTGGGGACAAGGGACTTATTTTTTAATCTTTAGTGTGGTAATAGCTACATGACTGCTAACAATTACCAAAATTCATCAGGTGAGCACTGAAAACAGGTACATTTTATTACGTGTAAGTTATCCTTCAGGTAATCATCCTGGCCAAAAATGTAAACAAAGATGAACCGTGTAAGAAAGGAGAGAAGAAGTAGGAAACTCTGCCAATTGGCGGGGAAATAATGTTGCAGTGCATGTTTACTGTAATATTACCAGATAACATTTTATTGCTTACCATGAACTCTTCCAGATGCTACATATGTGTTGACTCAATTAATCTTTAGCAGAACCCTGTGAGAGAGGCACTATCCTTAGCTCGTTTTCACCGATGCTGAAACTGAAGTTTAGAAAGATGAAGTAGTTTGCCCAAAGTCATGTAGTTAGTAAGTACCATTTTATCTGACAATATCTTTATTTCCTCTTTCTTTTTAACAGGTACTTTCACCAGATATACAATCTAGCTAGTCACTTCTGTTTTCTCAACATTTTGACAACACTCTCACACAGTATTCTGGCTTCATGAGTGAGGATTTATGTGTTTCTGGCCAGTGCTCAGAGATTTTATAAACCCACTGCCTGTTAAAAATGAATTTATTTCAGGGGGAGGGGGCTTACAATTATAACAGTTTGGGCCTTCAAACTTCAAAATATATAGAACAACTATTGCTTGTAAATTATCAGGAAAAAATTTTGTTTGCTTGCTTGGTTTTGTATTCTTGGTTTTTGACTTTTTTAATGTCCTTTTTAAATCTACCCAGAGATGTATAATGGGAATGGATGTAGTATCTAACTGAGGAACAGCATTCTTGGGCTTAGAATTTTACTCGTGGTTTCCTATTACTACATAAATGAAGGTTTTTAAAATATCCTGTGGTCCATTAAAACCTAAGATTTTCAACTATGAGACAGTGGCAAATGATTCCATACTGCCCCGACTTTTCTCTTCACTTACCAGCCTGGACTTTACTCGTGGTCTTTAAAGATTGACCATCTTTTTTGCCAGGCCAGCAATACATTTAAAAGTGTATTTTACAGCATTTAATTAGGCATTTCTGATGTTTTATGACATGACAAGAGCGTTTTCAGAACATCTAATAAGCCATGTTGCTGGAAATTGAAATCTCCTTTTTTAGTGCATTTAAAAAATATTTTACAATAAGCAGTAACTCTATTGCCCACCAAAATTAGTTTTGTGTTCTATGCTCAAATACTTATATTAAAACGCTGGTAAATTGAAACAAATGCAATTAAATTTTAATGTGAGAAAATTGGCACAATATTTATTATAGTAGAATAATACCAAATTGTATCTAAAATAATTCAAATTTTAAAATATGTGTATCTTTGTGAATAGGCAGATTAAGATAAAATAAAAAAGAAAGCTTATGAGAATCTGAATACTAACAGATTCATTATTACATGATAGTATAGATTATGCTTAGTCTTTAAACAATTTTATACTTTCAAAATTCTATGTAATGAATATGTATTAGATGAGAAAATTTTTAAGAATCCCTCTCAGAGGTAGCCACAGAACCTGTATATATTAACAGAATATTTACAGATAATTTCAAATAAACTCTGCTTTAAGAAATGTCTGCACGTGGTTTGCAACATAGCAAAAAAGATAAAAAAAAAAAACATTTACTTTATTTTACTTCACTCTAGTAATACAATGGTCAACACTCACACATCTATATAAGAGCATGTAGGTATGTCAGCAAAAAGGAGGAAGTAGAGGAAGCAGATAACATATATAATAAGAATATAAATGACAAAGCATAGATTATGAGATAGGGAAGAAAAGAAGCTGACAGCTAAGTGTGGTGTCATTTTGGTAAAATCATGACTTTCATAAACTGTGTAGAGTAAAAATTAGACTTTTTTTCTGATAGTTTTCTATATAATCCCTGCCTTAAAGGAACAAAAAGTACCTTTAGGGAGAGGTTAGAAACTGACTTATTT
The DNA here is from genome assembly GCF_000001405.40 of Homo sapiens. Taxonomy (NCBI): domain Eukaryota; kingdom Metazoa; phylum Chordata; class Mammalia; order Primates; family Hominidae; genus Homo; species Homo sapiens. The sequence continues at coordinate 136,664,559 of NC_000007.14, read as the reverse complement.
AGCCCCCAGAAAAAGTACTGGATGTAACTTTCTTTATGCATAAGTGTAGGAAGCTGTTTGAGTGAAGGCATGTGTCTGATTTTGTGCCCTTCGGTAAGTATGGTGTGTATATGTATGAACTCTCAGGACAGTAAGCTTTATTAAAGAATGTTTAATATTCAGGCCGGGCACAGTGGCTCACTTCTGTAATCCCAGCACTTTGGGAGACTGAGGCAGGTGGATCACTTGAGTTCAGGAATTTGAGACCCACCTGGGCAACATGGCAAAACCTTGTCTCTACAAAAAATACAAAAAATCAACTGGGTATGGTGGTCTGTGCCTGTAGTCCTAGCTACTTGGGAGGCTGAGGTGGGAGGATCACTTGAGCTTGGGAGAATGAAGCTGCAGTGAGCTATAATCGTGCCACTGCGCTCCAGCCTGGGTGACAGAGTGAGAGAGACCCTGTCTCAAAACAAACAAACAAACAAACCAAAAAGAATGCTAAATATTCATCAATCTGCCTATCTTATTTTTCTTCTTTTGTCTTGGAGAGTTTTCCTCTTGGCAAGTGAAATATTTTACTGGAATTTGGCATTTTCCATGTATGACCTCATTTGACAAGGTTTGAGTTGATGATCTTTCGATCAGTTTAAAATATTCCTTTTCAGATGGCATTTTTGTTTTATAAGAGCTATTTTAAATTATTTATAATATCGATAACTAAAAATTTGAATGCCTCAGAATATTTTACTAAGTTCTTTTATCCCAAGGAAATTATTGTATGCATACTTTTATGCAAATTGAAATAATAAACGTATTAACTCTCTTATGTAAAAAACCATGACTTCTTTTTCTCCATATCTACTGAGAAACCACTAAGAGGAAATTTGCTTAAATTTAGGCAAGAGAAAATTTGAAACAACCATATTTTGGCTAGAAACTTTGTGAAAACCTGTAATCAATTTTTGAAAGAGACTATGGAGACAAATGGATTTATTTGCTCAGTAATGCCTACTATAGCACACTGTAGCTTTGGGAATTGAATAATCATTTAACTGAAAAATAACTGCTTACTCATGCTGAAATTTTATTATATTTGAAAGGTTAAAAGTATGCAGACTTTCCAATAAAATTACGAGTTCATTATTCTGTAATCTTATAAATTATCAACACCTTCAAGAAAATAATATTGTTAGTTACATGTTTGGCCATTTCCAATGTATCATAGAAAAATATGCTTATCCAAACGTGGCCATTGATGTTGCTAGTAATATTACTGCAACAAATTTTCATGGTGATATTAACTTTGACTTTGTTTAGCACTGTAGAATATACCGAAAACACCTCTGCAAACTGTTAGTTCCAGGTAGCTATAGTTAATGCCTTAGTTAAAGTGCCCATAGATAATAGCCATTTTGGACTAGAGAAACAGCCCATCAAATTCTTCAGAAAACAGACTGCCATTAGGCCTAATATTTTGGGGCTAAAACCAGAATGATTGTGAGGTTATAATAGGAAGAGGAAATAAGTAAATAAGGACAACACAATTCAACAAGAATACTTACGAAGCTCACACGAGTTGATGTGGAAAAGTTCACAACATCTAGACTAATACAGTCAGAAGGGGATTGATGATGCCGCAATATAGTAAGTAGATAAAAATCCTTAGTTACTAAACATTGGAGGAAATATTTTTGGAAGGTATTATGAAATCTAGAAGTTTATGTCATCCTTTTATATACTCAGAGTCCTCCACAACCTCCTTTTTAAATGCATACCTAGAGAGAAGTCACTCAAGCGTTAAAAAGGAGATACATGGAGCTTGCCTATATCTGGCTATGATAAAACAACCGACTCTGGGCTAATTTGTTCTCTGTATATCACCAGACAAAACCAACATTACTTTCACCATGTAAATGTGTAAATTTGCAACCACTCATCACAATAGTTTAATGGGGCTTCTGGTAACACCAATGACCACCTTTTGATGACAAACTATAAAACTGTACAGATATATGAAGCAATTATTTGTAGACTTTGTTCAAGAGGTAGAAAAAAATTATGATCTAAGAGAGAAGGAGAATGTCCCAGGTAAGTCCTGCAGTTGATCTAGCTTTCTGCCTTGGATAAAACTCCCCAACATCAGCAAAAGAAACACTAGAAACCAATAGGCAAACTACTCCCAGAACTCAGACAGATTTGGGGATAATTTGTGTTCACAAAAGAGAGGAGAATTAGTACGAATGGGGCTTTTATAGATTGCCTAAGAGAACATTGGGTTAGTAGCGAGACTAAATTAGCCTTAGAATAAAGGTTTCTTTTAGACCCACCATAATAAACCTTAAAAGCAAAATGAAAAGATGTACCTGATATAAAATAAACTAATTGTGCACAAGAATAAATTCTGAAAACTGTAGAAATATTTAATTTTCAAAAATGTAAAACTTATAATATCCAACACCCAATCAAAAACTACCAGATATTCAAATAAGCTGGATAAAATTAACCATATCTAAAGAAAAATCTATCAACAGAAACAGACTAAATAACAAAAGACACAAGAAATTTAGAAGAGGAAGAACTATACATATGTTAAAGCATTTGAAGGAAAGCACAAATGAAATAAAAAGAAAAATGAAGACCAAAAAACACAAATTGAACTTCTAGAAATAAACATATATAAAAAATACATGGAATGAAATTAACAGCAGATTATATACCACAGCAGAACAGGTCATTGCACATGAAAACATAGAAATATCCTAGATGAAGCATAACAAAAATAACAAAGAAAGAAAAAAAAATCATAGCCCAAGTGATCCATGGGATAATATCAAAAGACCAACATATATGTAATTGGAGTACCATGAAAAAAAGGATGAGGGTATTAAAATGCTTTTAAAATATAACTGCCAGCATTTTCCAAAATTGATGAAAATTTTAAACTCAGATATCCAAAAGCTCAATAGGCTGTAAGAAAATAAACTATTTTTTTACACAAAAGAAGGCAAAACCTAACCAAATGTCTGAATCTAGTGACAGAGAAAAGTATTGAAATATCTGAAGAGAAAAGACATGTGCAGATAAAAATCACAGCAAAATTCTCAGAAATAATGAAGGCTAGAAGACAACAGAGCAGTATTCTCAGTTTACTGAAATGAAAATATTGTTAACCTAGAATTTTCTATCTCATGAAAATATCTATTCAAAGTTAAGGTGAAAAACAGATATTCCAACAAACAAATCCTATGAGAATTAACACTAGCAGGTTATTACAAGAGATACTAAAAAAAAAAAATCCTTTAGCCAGAAAGAAAATGACATCAGAAACAAATTTCGATCTACATTAAAAATGACAGCAGCAGATGAACAACCAAAATTATAAATATGTGCATTAATATTTAATATTTTTCTTATTATGTAATCTCTTTAACAGATCACATTTTAATGACACACACTAATGTACATGGCATTTGTAACAAATAAAAACAGTGTATATTACAACATTGAAGAGAGGATGGAGAAGTAAATTTATTATACAATGTGTACATTTTTTACACTATGTGGGAAGTGCTATAATATTTGAATGTAGACTACAATAAGTTAAAAATTTATATTTTATACTCTAGAGCAAGGATTAGCAAACTACATCCCACAGCGAAATCTGGCCAAATCTTGTGGCCCTAATTTGGTCATACCTATTTGTTTATGTGTTTATAGCTGCTTTTGTTCTACAAAGGCAAAGCTTACTGGTTGTAAAAGAAATGATGTAGCCCACAAAGCTGAAAATACCTATATTTTACAGTTACAGAAAATGTTTGTAAAGCAACCACTGAAAAAAAAAAGAAAAAAAAAGAGGAACATATATGAATAATAAAGAAAAATGTAGTTATAAGAAATAGTACTGTACAAAGAGGTCCCAAAAGCAGGGGGTTAGGTGGGTGATGGAGAACAAAAAATAGATTGAACCAATAGAAACAAATAGTAGGTAATCATTTTAAATAGAATTATATAAATAATTATGTTAATACTCTAAGAACTCCAATTAAAAGTCAACATTATCAGACTAAATAAAAATGCCAAAGAAAAAAATGGCTAGAGAAATAAAAACATATGACCACATAAAAACGTGTGCATAAATATTTTTAGCAAGAAGCCAAAAATGCTAAATGTCCATTAAATAATGAATGTACAAGCAGATAGTAGTATTGCTATTCAATGGAATATTACTCAACAATTAAAAAAAAAAACAAAGAAATGACATATGCACTAACATATATAATCTCACCAATGTCATGCTAAGTGAAAGAAGCTGACAGCTGGACACAGTGCCTCACACCTGTAATCCCAGCACTTTGGGAGGCCAAGGTGGGCAGATCATGAGGTCAGGAGTTTGAGACCAGCCTGGCCAACATAGTGAAACCCCATCTCTACTAAAAATACAAAAAAAATAAAAATTAACCAGGCATGGTGGCGGGTGCCTGTAATCCCAGCTACTCAGGAGGCTGAGGCAGGAGAATTGCTTGAACCCAGGAGGCGGAGGTTGCAGTGAGCTGAGATCACGCCATTGCACTCCAGCTTGGGTGACAGGGCGAGATTCTGTCTCACAAAAAAATAATAATAATAATAATAATAATAGAAGCAGCAGCAGCAGCAGCTGACACAAAAGACTACAAACTTTTATGCATGGTTCAATTTATATAAATGCTAAAATTGGCTAAGTTACACTGATGGAATAGAGAATAATGGTTGTGCTTGTGGTAGCGGGAGAAGTCGATTGTAAATGTTGACAAGATAATATTGTGGAGTAACAGAAATGTTCCATATGTTGATTGAGATGGTCATTGCACAAATGCATATTTTTGACAAATTTATGAGAATCTACACTTGAAGTTAATGACTTTTATTTGATGTAAAGTATATTACTCAACATTATACTTAGTAAAGAGTATTATTATTCTCCAATAGTAATATTACTCAATAAATACTAGTATATTCAATAAATATACAAGAATACTCAGTATTAGTATTCAATAAAGAGTAATGTTATTCTCACTAAAACATATTACAATTGATTTTATTATTATAAGTCAATAAAGCTGACTTAAATATATGTATGTAGTGAGTGGGTAAGTTACTATTTTTAAAAGTCAAAACCCCTCCATAGTATTAGAAGTCAGGGTGGTAGGTAGTGACAGGAAGTATAAGAGGGTATTCTGAAATGTTGGTAATACACTGTTTCTTGATTTGAGCACCAATTATGTGGATGCTTGGAGTGTAATGTCTGTATATTTTTATACAGAAAATGTCTGTATATTTTTCTAAGTGTATATTATACATCAATAAATTTCCAAGCAGAATATAAGCATCAGCAGAAGAAAACTAAAATATTGGAGTTTCTTAATGGGCATAAGTTGTCTGAACATCTGTCACAATCTTTAGTCTTTGAAGGGGGCAGTTGAGAGAGAATGATAAATATTTATCTATATGAATTTGCTATTAGCCATCCTAAAGTTTCTCTTACAGTCTTGGTAAAGGTAGGTTTGTACCAGATGAACCATAACAGATAGTTTCATTCATGATTCTGGTTACTCCAGTAACAACAGTTAACAACAGTATTTCTTGCTGAAGCAATGTGTAATCATCTCAGTCATGCTTGAATAATTTTAAGCAATAAATGAACACAGCATTAAATAGCATGGTACCACAGGGTACAAAAGCTTTCTCATACACTAAGTTCAATATTTCTGATTAAATGAAGACAAAAATTATGTTTGGTGTGCTTAGCAGCTAGTATTCCTTTTTATCAGGGGGAAAGCAAGCATTGGGTCCTGCTCCTGGAATTAAATATTTTTATTATGCTTTGTTTACACAGTAACCTTCTATATATGATACCTGATAATAGTTTTCCTACCACAGATATCATTGTAAACTTTCCTTTTGAAATAATTTTTTAAAAATAGTTGGGAACTTCAAAGATAAAAATGAAATAATAATGATATAGTAGCATGTTTGTATTACATATGTCACTTAAAGCTGTGAATAAGGAGAAATCAACAAAAGGAAAAGAATTGAGACAGGAAGAATTTGGTCAATAATCCTTTCTAGCATATCGAATGAGCACTATAATAATCAATAGTGCTTCAGGTTGGGGAAGATGGGGCAATAATTTCTTCTGTTCTATATTTTAAGTGACAAATAGATACATAGATAAACAGATAGATGAATCACATGACACACTCTTATAACCTTTCATAAAATCTAACTTTTCATGCTCCAAAATAGGCCTTGTCATTAAATTTGTTGCTGTAAAAAAATTAATATTTCTCCAGGAAAAAAAAAACGGTACTGTAGGTCAAAGTCTATTATTTCCTGAATACTGCAGGGACCACAGAGTTGACCGACCCTTAGAAATGAGACTTTAAATCTTCTGCGATCAGATGGGCCTTAACAAATCCCCTTTCACATGGGAAGGAGTGAAGAATCTAATATTCCCAACTGTAACTCCCTGACTTTGAGGCTACAGAAACATACTTTAATCAATAAAGGAAGTATATTTTCCCTTGAAGATACCATCTCTATAACAATACAGTGCTAAGGGTGACAATGTTTTCTGCTTGGTCATTTTCTGAATGTAGCACCACTGACAGGATGACCATTTAACTCTTTTGCTATTTATTTAAGCAATAAATCAAGAGATGAGCACACTGACTTCCTGAAAACTTTAAATTGACCTCCTAGTGGCTCCATAAGCAAAAGAAATAGAATGAACAATAATCAGAAGACTGAGTCATCCTGTAGAGAAAGCTTTCAAATACAGTGTATTGGCCTTATTTTCCTCCTTAGAGCTATGTGGTCTGATGAAAAACAGACAGGTGAATTTATCAGTAGAAGCTGTCTAAAATTGTTCTTCAGGGTTGTGATTTTTACTACTTACATGCAAGAGGAAGACATCTAAATCGTGTATTTATATGTTTAAGATAACATCCCTACTTGGGCATTAAAATCAGCAGATTAATATATCATGCTTTTGCTTGCATTTCTATTCTCAAACGTAATGGCTCAGCTAAGTGCCTTCTGTTTTTATTCATGTTTTCAGAATATAAAACTGATGGCTGGGTCTGTCTTGGAATGGTATGCAAATTTTATAAAATCCAAACATTTGAGAAATGTAAACACACTTGTATTGACTGAGGACAATAACTGAGGATTGAGCTCTGGTTTGAAATTTTTTACAAAGTACTTCATAGTTTCAAAATCTGTTCATGTGCAACATTTCCTTTAATCATCACAACCCTGTGAGGTAGATATTGTTATAATTCCTGATAAATGGTGAACCTGTAATATAGGTAGTTATTTCATATAGTTTTAACACAGGGTAGAGCTACCTATATACCTCAGATCTGTTTATTTGGAAGACGTTTTGTGAATACCTATTTTGTGCCAGATACAATGTTGTGTGATAGAAGAGAAAGAAAACTAATGCACAGTGCCAATAGCAAGGAGACACAGTACAGTGGAGAGAGAAGCTAACTTCTCCAAATACAATATTGTTGTTAGCCAGAACGTAAGCCTAGAATGTTATGAAAATATATAAAATGCAGGCCTCTGATGCAGTTTAGCAGTGTGTGTTGGGAAGGACTACTAAAAGTTAATTAAATTTTACTGACCAATGAGGCTTAATTAAGTAAAGAATTGCACAGGGTATTCCAGGCAGTAACATCAGTATTTCATAACAAACAGATTTCTACATGATCATGGGACTAAGAATTCACCATTGATGCAGGATAGCTGGAATACAGGATCCAACAGTAGAATGATAACAAATGAAACTACAGATGTGAGCAGCCAAATTATGAGAGATCTTTATATATTACACTGAGGAGGTTAGATAGCAGCCTGAAGGCAAAGGGAAACCATGGAGACATTTTACTAGGAAAATATTATTATATTTGTTTTTACGAAAAAAAAAATCCCTGGCAGCATTTGTGAAAATAGTTTAGCAAAGGGACAGACCTGGAGGTGTGTAGATTAGGTAGGAGAGTGAAACAATTCAAGGCCTCCATTAAGGGCAGTGGATACACTAAGAAGAAAAAGGGGATGAAGATATTAAGGTGAATACAAAACACTGGACAACTTAGTTTTCAGACTTGACCAATTAAGTGGATACTAAGCATGAAATGTTGATGGAGTTCAACTTCAAATGTGTGTTCAATGGGATGGACATTCAAATGGATTTGAATACATGAATCTAGAAGCCCAGACTAAAATTACATTTTGGATCCATCACTATTTACATAACCAAGGAGACAGGATTAAATTAATCAGACAGAGTATTAAAACGAAAACCAAAAATAACTGAAGGCAATACTCTGGGCAAGCACATGCAAAGGAGTCTGAGGGGGAGGGAAATCTGTGAAAAAGGCAAAACAAGCAAGAAAACAAATCTGAACAGTTTTAAGTAGGGTGGAGTGGTCAAAGGGATCAGGTATTACAGTAAAAGTAAGTTACTCTACATAAAGGACACAGTGGAGACTCTGGTGATAGCCCTTCCAGTGAGGAGGTATGAATGATGATGCCATGGCCAACCAGATGGATTTCTGTGTGAACCACAGGTGACAAAGTGAAGACTGCAAATGCAAACAACTCTTTCTGGAAACTTGGGTATGAAGGAATGAATGGATTCGTCTAGTATATAAAGGAAACAGAGCTAAAACCTGGACTCAAGCAGTCTAACTCCAAATTCTTATGTTCCACTTTTTCTTTTTTTTTTTTTAAATGATGATTTATAAACTATTAAGATAGTTTTCTTCTAAGCTGATTAGTTTAGCTGGTTAGAATTTGCAGCTAATGAGGTGAAAGTTCTTTCCATGATAGCTCATACTCTTGGCCCTGGGTGATGGCCTTACAAATGTGTACCTTTTGACTGAACAGAGGAAATGAGGAACTGTGGGTGGCTCAGAAACCTCATTATCATCCTGTGCAAACTATAGGTCATCCATCAGTAGTATCCTCTTTGCATAACAGGATGGGGTTCTTAATGATAGTAGAAACAGTATTAAGTTTTCAGAGACTCTAAATGCAAAGACAAAAAATATGCTGTATTCCTGTGTTTCTATTCAGACTTGAATAAAAGCAACCTCCTCCATGCCCCAATTTTCATAATGACAGGGCTAGTCTTAAGTAACAGTGTAAAGTATTGAATGTTACTCTCTTCTTATTCCATTGCCCTTCAGTTACCCAAATTCCACATGCTATTCTGGCCATACTTATTCTAAAAATCTCCTTCAGACATTACATATTGATTTAATCTGTCCTTTATACCAGGCATAAAAGTACTTTGAGTCTGTTAATGATCAGCACCATTCCTGCCTTGAAGGCACCTGCAGTTTCCTAACAGAGAGGGGAAATGTGATACATTCTACCTGGCATACCTTTCTCTCTCAGCTATCTTGAAACTCCCACACATGCTTACACTTTGTGTTTGGGCATCACTTCTTCCTAAGGCGTTTAATAATATGGACAATAGTGGGACCCACCCCTCTTCTGCTCTCCCCTACCACCCTTGATGCATCTCCTCCAGTAGAGCCCCAGCCATACCCTATAACTAAGCCTAGTTAATTGTCCACCCTCTCTTCTAAGCCGTGGTCTCCTTGGGACAGGTACTTTGACTTGATGTTTCTTCTTCAGAGCCTAACCTCATGCAGTGCAATTCCTGATGCATAATTATGGAAAGCTTGTCATAAATATAAGTAACTTTAATACAATAAAAATGTGTCACAAGAAAATACGAAGTGCTTTAAGAGGTCAGAGAAGAGAGTATAAGGTAACATTTGCACTGGGTTTAAAAAAATCATTAAAATGTGAATGTGCAGAAATGGAGTAAGAGAGGTATTCGAATGTAGAGGGAGCTCATAAGAGCTCTCAGGCATGATGTGAGAAGAAAAGCCAAGGATATTAGTCATCTCTGGCTGCCAAAACAAAATATCATAGATTGGGTGGGTTAAACAACAGACATTTATTTTCTCATGGTTCTGGAGGCTTAAAGTCCGAGATCAGGATACCAGCATGGTCAGGTTATGGTGAGGGATCTTTTCCTGGCTTGCAGACAGCTTCCTTATTGCTATGTCCTCAGGTGGCAGAGAGGAAGGGCAAGTTATCTAGGGTCTCTTTTTTTTTTAACTTTTATTTTACATTCAGGGGTACAAGTGCAGGTTTGTTACATAGGTAAACTTGTGAAACGGAGGTTCGTTGTACAGATTATTTCATCGCCCATATATTAAGCCTAGTGCCCATTAGTTATTATTCCTGATCCTCTTTCTCCTCCCAGCCTCTATGCTCTGATAGGCCCCAGTATGTATTGTTCCCCTCTATGGGTCCATGAGTTCTCATCATTTAGCTTTCATGTATAAGTGAGAACAAAAGGATACTAATCCCATTATAAGGGGCTCATCCTCATGACCTCATATAAGCCTAATTATCTCAAAAAATCCCTGTCTTCAAATACCATAAAATTAGGGCTCAGGGCTTCAACATATAAATTTTGGGGGACACAATTCAGTCCATAGCAGTCAAGAAATAAGACTGGGAAGAGCAGTTAGAATCCAACTCTGGATAATTTTGTATAAAAATCTAGGATTTTGCTCATCCATGACCACAGTCACATTCAGGATCTCATCCCTGTAGCTGTGAGAATAGGAAAGTCTTCACATTATTGTAATGTAAGAGAATTATAAAATTAACATAAGGCCAGGCTTTGATCCTAGTAGAAAATCATTTTTAAATTGAGCATTTTAGGAACTCATAATTCAACATATGGGACTTTGGTTCAGAGATGACCCACTTACGGATGAGGATTTTAAGTCAGGAAATCATGACTTTTCCGTTGGTGAGACTAGTATATGACTTCAGGAGAGGTTAGCACCATCGTCCAAAGGCTGTGTACTGGTCATCAGTGGGTGGAAATCCTCCAATTCAAAAATTCACGGGCATGTGGTATTGGCAGAATCTCACTGGCAAGAGCACAGTCGTCTTTAAAACTATTCACAGACAGCAATTATAACATTGACTCCAAATGTATAGGGCATGTCTTGTTTTACTGATGCCTGAAAGCTTTTCAAGAGTTTCTGTTTTGAGTCCCATTTGAACTTAAGTGACTTGTCTGGTGACGTGACTATCATAAAACCCTTAAACCTGGAATATGGTGCCTCCAATACCTATGGATCCCAAGCAGGTATTTACCCACTTTTGTTTTAGGTGGTGGCTCCGAGTCCCACAGTTCACCAAAATAAGCTGGAGAAAGTCACTTTGGGCTGCTGCCCGTATAGTGTTAAGAAGGTTTTGGATTTTTATCCTCATATTACTCCATCTTTAGCTGACTGCCTGTAGATGACATGCAAAGCAATGCAAGCTATTTCCTTAGTGGAGCCACTCTAAAAATACCATGAATATTCATCTGAAATTCTTTCAAGATACTGCCAGGGGAAAAAAAATATGGGAAGTGTAAATGAAACAAAAATGTCAGAATGTTGATAAATGTTAATATTAAAAATGTGCATGTTGATATTATAGGATGTATATATGATGGTTCAATATTCAATCTTTCCATTGTGTGTATAGTTAAAATTTTTAAACCAATAATGTTTTTAATAACATGTTTGGATTCCAATGAGTAATTCATATTATGCTAGGGTTTTCCTAACCACTGATGATACATCGCTGGCTGAGGATTCAGGACCTTGATTTTGCACTGGGTTCCTTAGTAGGGAATGGCAAACTTATCTTAATCCTCTTTGTGAAGGATTGTGGGGGTTGAGGAGAAAGCTGATGCAAGGCTGTATACCAAATGCCTGTAACAGACACACTTGTTAAGTCACCTTTATGATATATGCCAATATGGAACAGAGGGCACTTCTCTGTTTAGTTTTGGCAGTCCACAGTGAAGTGCCAAATATTAGTGACTTTTTAAAAGTGTTTCAGTCAGATAAGGTCGTTAAACTGGGAAATCACATTGCATAATATCTCTGCCTGCATTAAATCTTTTATATGGAAACTAATTCATTTTTCTACTCCTGGAAAGCAGGATTGTTTCCATTGCATGGCTGTAGCAAGTTTTAGGGTTACACTCATTTCTTAACAATGCCTCTGGTCAAATGTAAAAGGAGCCATCAGGGGGGTGATAATGATTTCATTCAACCACCCTGTCCTCTCACTGGAGCTGAATTTAAGGAACTCAGAAAGTCCAAATTGATTATACAGTCTAACAAAAGAACAGCAAGTGAGTCCAGATGAAAAAGCCAGCAACAGCTGTAGAAGCTCCAATATACAGTAAGGCCTTATATGAGTCTCCCTTCACCCTTTCCTATAGCCTTTCGGTGGGGAATGGGAAGTAGAGTATGGCATAAGAACCCAGCCCTAGCTCTTCTCAAATTTCTTGCTGAGCTTCTCCCCATATCTCCCTAAATCTGTTCTGCATATCTGCAGAGGTTATGACTTTCTCTGTGTTCCCATATACCTTCCTGATCTGTAAGCAGTTGCCATAGAATAAGTGTCTGGCTGTAAGTATTGACCCTGCATGCAAGTGCCATTGTTGTATTTTTGCTGAGACAGGTCTCTTTTCCCTGGCTACTGGCACCCTTTTTATTGTTTGCAATATGGTTTGGCTGTGTCCTCACCCAAATCTCATCTTGAATTGTACTCCCATAATTTCCACGTGTTGTGGGAGGGACCCTGTGGGAGACAATTGAATCACAGGGGCAGTTTCCCCCATACTGTTCTCATGGTAGTGAATAAGTCTCACGAGATCTCATGGTTTTATCAGGAGTTTCCACTTTTGTGTCTTCCTCATTCTCTTTTTGCCTGCTGTCATCCGTATAAGACGGGACTTGCTCCTCCTTGCCTTCTACTATGATTGTGAGGCTTCCCCAGACACGTGGAACTGTTAAGTCCAATTAAACCTTCTTCTTGCCCAGTCTCGGGTATGTCTTTATCAGCAGTGTGACAACAGACTAATAAAATTTGTTTGTTTGGTTTTACCCTGAGGCTAATCTACTATTCTGGAATTTCCAAATGATCCTTTTTTATTTCTGGGTTTCAGTGGTCTGGGAAATCCATAAATATAATAGCTCATGAATACAACCACTGAGGTGTAAGGGCATTTTAGAATAACCAGTGACCTGGTCACTCTAAGTCTGCTGTTCCTCACAGGCAATATAATTACCTATTCACCAGCCTTCTTGGTAATCTGCAATCATCCAATCATTCCTGGGAAGATATTTCACCACCAGCATAGTGCATTAGAACTCTCTCATCTATTCCTTAAAACCATAGCACCATAAAGTGTTGTATGTCCATTGTGGTCAGCAATGGTAATAACATAAACATAAAATAAACAACTATGTTACTGGTTTATGTATTTACTATACTTTTTAATTTCATTTTAGAGTATACCAAATATATGCTAACTGTAAGACAGCCTCAGGCACGTCCTTTGGGAGATATTCCAGAAGGCATTGTTATCGCAGGAAATGACAGCTCCATGCATGTTTTTGCCCCTGAAAACTCTCCAATGGGACAGGATGTGGAAGTGGAAGACAGTGATATTGGTGATCCTGACCCTGTGTAGACCTAGGCTAACGTGTTTGTGTCTTAATTTTTAACAAAAAAAGTTTAAAAAGTAAAAAAAATCTAAAAATATAAAAGCTTACAGAATAGAGATACAAAAGCACAAAACATTTTTGTATAGCTATACAATGTGTTTGTGTTTTAAGCTGTTATTATAAAAGAGTCAAAAAGTTAAAAAACTTAAAAGTTTATAAAGTTAAAATGTTAAGTAAAGGTTAATTTACTGTTGAAGAAAAAAATATTTTCAAATAAATGTAGTGTAGCCTAGGTGCACAGTGTTTATAAAGTTTGTAGTAGAATACAATAATATTATAGGCCTTCGCATTCACTCACTGACTCACCCAGAGCAACTTACAGTCCTGCAAGCTGCATTCATGGTAAATGCCCTGTACAGGTATATTATTTTTTATCTTTTCTGCATCATTTTTACTGTACCTTTCCTATCTTTAGATATGTTTAGGTATGTCACTGTTGCTACAGTGTTGCCTACATTTACTGTACCTTAGATATGTCACTGTTGCTAGAGTGTGGCCTACATTTACTGTACCTTAGATATGTCACTGTTGCTACAGTGTGGCCTACACTAACATGCTAAACAGGTTTGCAGCATAGAAGCATTAGGCTCTATCATCTAACCTAGGTATGTAGTAGGCTAAACCATCTGGGTTTGTGTGAGTGTACTCTATGATGTTCACACCACAGTACAATTTCTTAGAATGTATTATCATTATTAAATGACATATAACTGTACTGCAGAGAAATCATAGAAGGGAGTGCAAGCTACTCTCTTGGGATAACGGAATTTCCTGACCACTGAGAGTCAGTTGGAATAACAAACTAAGGTAGAGTCAAATCATTCAAATCCAATCATTGACTCCAGGTTGAACGAGTGAGGATAACTGGTATAGTTTATTCTATCAATAGGTGTAGTAACAAGAGGAAGGAGATGGGAGAATAACTTGAACAGTAACAAACTAAATGATTCAATTATGATAAGTGTACTCATGGGTGAAAGAGAAAAAAATCAATGAATTAAAAAAATGAAGACATAAGTTAAATGGAGTTGGGAGAGAGGAATAGATTAAGGCAACCAAACATTTCTTTAAGACTAAAATAATGTCCGAAAATAACATTCATTGTTTATTATTACAAGACCTTAGTCATAATTCTCTATGTGGATGGAATCCTGGGCATGGGCCTTTTTGTGAACCCAATCAGGCCAAGACCTTCAATTACAAAATTGAAGTGAGCCTTCATGATCTTTATTTCTATAGGTAAATACCCTCAGGTGACATTTGCAATCCTACTAATATATAGTATTAGGAAAGATGAATCCAAGTTTCTCTCTAAATTCTAGAGCATCCCTTGCCTTTGGTTCTTCACATCTCCAAGTTTTTATAGGAGAGAAGTCAGGATGGGAGAAATAAAACCTTCC
This sequence comes from Homo sapiens, assembly GCF_000001405.40. Classification (NCBI taxonomy): domain Eukaryota; kingdom Metazoa; phylum Chordata; class Mammalia; order Primates; family Hominidae; genus Homo; species Homo sapiens. The sequence continues at coordinate 136,649,522 of NC_000007.14, read as the reverse complement.
AAGTACAAGATGGTTCCAGGATTGCTTTTGCCATAATTTCTGCAAAGAGCAGCTCATCAACATTTTCCAGTGGAAAGGGCACTTAAGTTTAAAACCTGAAGCACTGGTAGGTACTAGTCAGTGAAGAAAAGGAAGATCATTCCGTAAAGGGGAAGGGTAAGTGCAATTGCCTAGAGGCAATAAGGAACATACTGCTTTTGAACAACTGAAAGAAGTTCAGGGTGGTAGTAATAAATCATGAGTAGTGGTGCAGGATAAGGCAAGAATAGAGGAAGAACCAGACATTGCAAAATCATATAGGTCCTAACAGGGAATTTTGTACCTTATCTTAGGGCAATGAGAAAACATTGAAGGATTCTTAAAAGGATCCTGAAGGCTTAGACGTGTTTTTAGAGAAACATCACTTGGGTTGCAATATAAAAAACTGACAGAAGACGACTATGGCTGGAGTCAGGGAGCCCTCTTAAGAGTTGTGGGGGGTGGGGGTCATGATGACCTCAGTTTCTTTAGTGAAACTAAGGTAAGAAATGTCAACAATTAGAGGGGAAGATTTGCTAAGGAGGAGCAACTATCCTGTTTCTAAGTATCTACCTTTCCTAAAAGGATGAAGAAAATTGACATGGCTTGGCTTTGTGTCCCCAACTAAATTTCATCTTGGATTATAGTTCCCGTAATCCCCACATGTTGTGGGAGGAACCAGGTGGAGATAATTAAATCATGGGAGCATTTTACCCCATCTTTTTCTTGTGATAGTGAGTTAGTTCTCATGAGATCTGATTGTTTCAAAAGGGGCTTTCTCCTTCACTTGGCTCTCATTTCTTCTCCTTCCTGCTTTCATGTGAAGAAGGACATGTTTGCAGTTTCCTCTGTAGTCTCAGGCATTTTACACTTAATGGTCAAAGAAATGAGAGACTTCACTTAAGCTACTATTCTTCAAATTCTTCAATCTATTGTCTTCTGAGAAACACTCCATGGAGGATAGGAGAAAGATAAATATTAGGTTGTTGCTCAACTATTATTTAAATAATAAGCATCAGTCAGGATGGACTGGTTTATATTGTCAAGATGAACAAACCCAAAACGTGGGAAGCTTAACATATCAAAATGTTATTTCTTATTCCTGGTTTGTGTTCAGTGTGGGCTGATGGGGGTTGCCGCTCATCACAATTGCTCAGGGAGCTGACATAGTAAAGCTTCATACTAGCATATGCTTCCCAGTTCTCAGATCACTACAGAAGTGAGAGGGGACATGATGAATGCCCTCCTTGGCCTTTAAAGGATCCATCTGGAAATGATACATGTCACGTCTCTTCACATTTTGTTGTCCAAAGACAGACTTAACTTCAAAGTATGATATGGAAGCCATGGGGCTGGAGAGTGAAAAGCTATACATTTGGGGTGAACATCACTAAAAACCACATAAAATATCTTGTTTCTTATTGACTACTGCTTCTTCTGTGCATGCTCACATGACTGAGAAACTTGGAGCAGAAAAAAAAAGAGTAGGTTTCAGTGAATAGAACCCCACCACACTCTTGTAAATACATGAAAGGTATAATCAAATGTAGGTGATGATTGCTTGGAGGTCAGAAGCAGGGAGAATAAGTAATCCAGGAAAAGAGTTTCTGTTTTGGAGAATCTAGCAAGCAGTGGTGCCATCTCCAACATGTTAGCCCATGCCCCTGGAGTCTTTCTAAATTCTGTATCCTGTGTTATACTACACTTCCAATATTGCCATATACGATTGCAAATGCTAGAATGGGGGAAATATGTATGACTTTTGGAATTGTGAGACATAATACTTGATAATATATAAAATAAGCTTGAGAAAATGCTTGATAATACATAAAATACTTGATAATACCAAAAACAAAGCAAATATCTTTGAAATATTTCATAACTTTTTTTAACAGATGTAAGAAAATGACCCGTGCCTTTTCATGGAAAGATCTACCATGCCCATGTGAGATCACACTATTCCTCCTATCTTACCAACACAGCCTGTGCCAGCATTTCCCACCTCATCTTAGCCACTTTTTCCTTTGGAGACTATCATAGAGATAGAAAACCCAAGATGAAGAGAAGGTTTAGAGGAGGAAACAAGTTCCAGTTTTGCACAGTTCAATGTAGTTGCCTGTGAAGCATCTGGGCAGAAATAAAAATAGGCAATGGGACATGTTGGTCCAAATCTCAGGGGAGTGATCTAGATTTGAGATACAAATTTGACCATCACCAAGATATAGATAGTAATTGAACTATGGAAGTTAATATTCTTACTTCTTCCTCCACAGCCAGACTTCCGAGTGCCTCCATTTCTCCTGGGGCCTCTTAATAGATTCAAAAAATTCTTTCTTAAAGGAACAACTTTAGTTTTATATTACAAGTCATGAAACAAGATTCTTTCTGTTTCTTATGCATGAATGAGCAGTCAGAGACTGAAACGTTATTGTTTTGAGGTGACAGTGAAGCCCTAGGTGAAATCAGATGGCAAGAGAAAGTATTATCTAACTGCCCAATCAAGAAAAGTTCCAGGATAAATTTTTACTTGAACAATATTTTTTAAGTGTTTAAGTAATATTGAGGATAAATATGAATAAAATTCAAATTTGGCTCATTTAATAAAACTACTATTTAAGAATCATTAATATATGGAGACTAATAAGGATATTTATAACCCTCAAATATTTGGCCCCATATGTCATGGAAGCAGTGTAATCCTCACCACCTCTAGAAGTCTCCATTGGAATACTCACAATTTGCTTGGTTTCAGCTCTTGCCTACATACTTAGGCTTCTTTGGGAAACAGCAGCACTTGTGGGCTGTGTGTGTGTTTGTGTGTGTGTGTGTGTATGTGTGTGAGAGAGAGAGAGATACTAGACCTCCCACCTTTAATATTTCACTAATAAATATTCTATAAATCAATAAGTTCTTGAAGAAAGAGGAGTAAAACTTAGACAAAGATGAAGCAATTATAATACCTTGAACTTCATCAACTTGTAATCATGTCTACTATTTTGGGGGAGGAAAGAGAAATAATTAATCTCTGTTTGACTATTCTTTCTGCAACCTGTCTTCTCTAATAATATTCTCTTACCAATTTATATTCTTCCCTCTTAAATATTTAAAAGCCTTCTAATTTTTTATCCAGTATGTACCTAGGCAGTTTCAGCGTGTTTAATTAAAGGATTTGCCTTACCCAGAGTTTATAATAGGTTTATTAACCACTTCGGAAAAATCTAGCAAAAACAAGTTATTATAAAACACTAAATGGAGTTTCAAATTTAAACTACGTCTTCAGTGTTCCATGGATTTACTGTGAGAATGTGGTTCCTGGGATTAACTGCGGTCTTACCCTGCCACTTAAAAGTAGCTGAATGACAAAAGAGATTTGTGACTATATGGAAATTTAGAGAAAGATTATTGAAACTGTAAAAATGTCTAGAGATTTTTAAAATCCAAATACTACACATATCCCCACCCTCCAAAAAAAAACTATAAAATCACAGGGAAATAGACTAACATAAGGAAAGTCATAAGTTACTGAAAGGCAGAGTTTGTGTACTTTAATCAATGATTTTTTCATATTACTCTGCATAAAATTTATCTTAATTAGAAACAAAATATTTTTCTATTATAAAAGAATATCAGCTTCTAAGACAAACTTTCCTCTCAATAATTGAAAATGCTTATCAAAAAATCCTGTTTATTAATTTTTTCTGCTTTTCTGTTACTAATACTTTTAGAGTACAATCGTTAATTGACTAAGAATACACTCAAGTGTATAGTAATCATACATACATGTTTCCGTCTTTACCATGGGTGTCACAAGGGAACTTGTTTGGGTGAGTTTAGAAATACGATATGCTGGTGGATGTTATTTTGTCTCTATCATAAACCAATAGAGAAAGGAAGGAAGTCATTTGGACTGTCTTCGCAGTTTCTAAGTTTCTACTGGCTACTGATAATGACACATTCTCTTGTATGTGCTGCAGGTCATCTGGCTAAAAGATCCTTTCTAAAACTTGTAATTTTTCCATGATCCCCATGAATCTTTCATACTTTTCTGGGAACCACATTTTCTTCCTGAAAACAAAAAACAAAGCAAAAAGCAAAACCAAACAACACTTCAGGCATATTTACATCTTTTGAGTAATTTTTAAGTGGGCCGTGATGTTTCCTGACAAAAATTTCTCTCAGGTTTTCTGTGTCTGACAAAGTATCTTTTTTTTTTTTTGAAGGATATTTTCTCTTCCTGTAGCATTTTCAGTTGACAGGATTTTTTGTTTTTTGTTGTTTCTTGGATCTTTTTAAAGATGTTGTTCCATTGTCTAATGGCTTGGATTTCTGATGGGAAATGTGTGGCAATTCTTTGTCTCTTTTTCTCTGGCAGCGTTTAATACTTCTTTATCATTTATTTTCAGGAATTTTATTATAGTTTGTCATAGTGCAATTTTGTGTCTATTCTGCTGGAGTTTCTTCCATGTTCTTGGATCTCTGTGTTTAGAGTTTCCATCATATTTGGGAAAGTCCTAGTCATTAATTCTTCAAATAATTTTCCTTCATCTTTCCAATTCCAACTTCTTTGTTGGCTGCTATTTTCCCATTGATAATTGAGTCTCTGTTCAGCTTTTTTTCCACTTTATTTTTACTCTCACAGCTTCATTGTGGTAGTTTCTATTGCTGTGTTTTCGGATTTACTGATGTTTTCTCATGCAGATTTCTTTACATTAAATGCTATATTTTTGATCACCAGAAGTAGTGCATGCCTCTTTTTACATCTTCTATTTATCTTTGTATGTTCATGTCTTAAGTTTTAATCACATTTATTTCAAGTTCCTTTCTGCTAATTGCTTTATTTCTTTATTTGCTTTATTTCTGTCCATTCTAAGTCTATTTTCATTGACTGAATTTTCTTCTGGTTATGGGTCACATTTTCCTGTTTGTTTATGTGTCTGGTGATTTTTTTTTAATTGGATGTTTGACTTTGTAGATGCTCTCTTACTACACAACTTGATTTTACTGTTTTCTTTATAGTGTATGAAATTTCATTTTGCCTGGCAATTATGTTACTTGCAAATTAACTTGGTATTTTTAAGATTTGTTTGGTAAGGTCTCTAGGAGCTTTTATTACAGGGCTATTTTAGCCATACTCTAAGATTTTACTCTTCTGGGATTTTTATTAAATGCCCTGGTATTCTAAGGGGATTTTCCACTCTGGATAAACTTGAATGTATCCCAGTCTTACGTAAGCTTCAGAAATTGACAATCTTTAAGTTTCTCTGTGTTATTTTATTTTTTGCCTAGATTCATGAACTTTCACCCTATATAAAGACAATTTATTATTCAGCAACAGACTCAAGGGGACCCCGGGCAGACTTTTAGAACTATTTTTCTGCATAGCTGCCTCTTTTACAGTAATGAGCTTTGAAAAGTCTCACTGACTTATTTTTCTGAAATCATATCTTTGATACCTCTTTTTTTCTCCTTTCTTAAGGACCATAGACATGTGTTGCTAGTTATCCAATATCTTAAAATAGTAAAAATTTGTGGTTGTATATGGTAGAAAGCAAGATGAGTACTGCTTTTTCTATTGTGACCTCAGTGTCACCAATATCTTCCTATTTCATGCAACATCAACTTATGTGCTAACCAGAGCCTGCACAATGTAGTATTTATTTTTAAAATGCTTTATATTATTTACAACATTTTCAACCAACCTATTGGCCCCCATTATATACAATTTTATGTTTAAGATCTTTTCTGCTCTTACTTGAAGGTATCAATGGACAATTTTCAAACAACAAACAAGACCTATATTCTACGCTCAAATGGGTCACAACTTATTGGTTTGTATGTTGACTAGATATAGTTGTCAAGCCATGCCACCAAGACAAAAACAAACAAACACAAGTTTGAAGGTTTAAGAAAATGAAAACTGTATCAATGGTAGACCTACGGATATTTTTAAATACTTTCAATAAGTTGTAACCTCATTTTCTAAAGTAAAAATGTTAAATATGAATAATTAATAAATTATTAGAATTGATAAAACATTGTATTTTCTCACCAAAAGCGACTTTATGTAAGATTGTTAAATTTCCAGAACACCATGGGCTGGTCCAAATGAGCTGAGATTTAGTGGCCTTATTATATGTCCTCTGAAAAATATCCTCTTCCTCCTTTGAAATGAGGAATTGATTCTTTGTTTTTTAATTTTAGTAGAGCGTACAGGGTTGGAGAGGAAACAGAAATGAAATAAAAGCTGGTAGTAATTGACATTAAAAGAGACCATCCTCTCTAACGCTGTTTTACACAACCCTCTTCTTTAATGACTGTGAAATGTCAGAAAAACATCACAAGTTCCCACAATAATTGAGACAAATTAGGTCCAGGTAAATCACCATTGAAGCAGTATAGTGGCAGTCCTAACTTCCACTAATAGAAGCTTAGGTGTCTGAAAACCAAGACCTTCCTATCTTGGTTCTTTCCTCTAGTCCTTTACATAGTGCTCATCTTTTCCTAAAGGAATCTTTCTTGCTACCTATCCTATTGCTTTTACTGTGAATTCTAATATTATTTCCATATCATGGATGTCCTGGGTTTATATTCAGTAATACCAAGTACTATAAAGAAAAATAAAGGGAAAATATTAACAAAACCTAAATTATCTAGGTACCTCTCTTTCTGAAACTCTTGCTAAGGATCATGAACTCATTTTAGTTTTCATTACCTTTTTTTATATCTATAACAAATATTTTGTTCCATTTTGTTATAACAAAACTGAGTTAAATATATATTTATGTATCGATATCATCGATACATAAATATATATGTTCTTTCACTCAATTAATGTAAACCTGTATCTTGAAGCATTAAAGAAAATATTGTTTTTCTTTCTTTTTTTTTTTGAGATGGAGTTTCCCTCTTTCGCCCAGGCTGTAGCGCAGTTGTGTGATCTCAGCTCACTGCAACCTCCGCCTCCCAGGTTCAAGCGATTCTCCTTCCTCAGCCTCCCAAGTAGCTGGGATTACAGGCACCCACCACCACGCCTTGCTAATTTTTGTATTTTTAGTAGAGACGGCATTTTGCCACGTTGGCCAGGCTGGTCTCAAACTCCTGACCTCAGGTGATCCACCTGCCTCGGCCTCCCAAAGTGCTGGGATTACAGGTGTGAACCACCATGCCTGGCCCATATTGTTTTTTTCTATGTAATTCAATATGTGTTCTTGCCAGATTTAGACCTCAGTAATGTGAGACCAAATGAAGTTCTGGGCAAACTATCTCTTAACTTTTGTGTGGCAATTTTTGGGAAACTCTAGAAATACATGATCTTTTTTTCCCTCTCCACAATTCTACTTTCTATTCTCCAATCTATGACATTCATCTTATTTTAAATAACACATTTACAGTGTTATAGAAGCCTTGTAAGTCTAAAATATTAATACTATGAAATAATGTTTAGATGATGAATTTAGGACTGAAGAGACAAGAGAAAACTAGGGGGCACTAAATAAAGGGAAGCAGAGAGAGAAAACTAAAGACATTTCTAGGTCGAAATATAAAGTATCTCGGGAAATCAGTGTAAGAGAAACTTCAAAAGAAGTGAATATGTATTTTTTCCAAATATTCAGTTTTGCAAAAGTCACCATCAAAGACTTAAGATATAATATTTGATATGCTTTCAAAAATGATCAATTCTTGAAATTACTGAGTTTCTTATGTCCATGAATATCACCCAATGTTTTAGTAATTACTCCATTGGTTTAAACAGCTGGCATGACAGACAGATTGTAGCTACTACAATTTATCATTACTTTATATCACTTGTTCAGCAGTCATATTGGTCAATCATTAGATTAGTAATATAAACAATACAAGTATCTGATAAAGAGAATGTCACCAGATTTGCAGCATTTGGGGCAAATGTAAGGAGAAATGTTGAGAAATATTATCTTACTTTGACAAAACAAAAGGAAAGACAATGTAGGATAAAACTGGAGCTGAATATGGTTTGTGCTTCCATGAAATGAGCTACTAGATATAAAAGAAGTCACCATCGCAAACCTGTCTTGAAAGGCCTTATGAAAACAGCAACAAGAACGAAATAAAAATTACAAACAATAACAAGAATAAAAAAACACATCTAATCAATATCTAGCAATATATGTCACGGCTGAGGGCCACATTTTAGCTGTTGTCTCTTATTGGCTTGCTGGCTGCTCTTCATTTGACCTTTGATCATCCAGATTCATTCTCTGTCATTTCCAGCCTTGCTTTAGCAGGGCTCCCTTTGCTGGGCTGACATCTGGTAGAAATTGACCACAGAGTGGCATTGGAAGATCACAGAGTAGGAGGGGACAGCAAATAAGCAAAGCAGTTCTTGTTGCTTCATTCCTGGTGAAGCAGGGCAGTAGCTGTCAACTTCCCTGTCCACAGAGGAGTCCACAGCTCCTCAGGATTTCATGGGCTCCTGGAATATTGATCTCTCACTGATCCCTTCATCCTTAGAAACAACAAGAGCTTCCAGCTACTGCTGGCCTCAGAATTTTCCCTGGTTACCTTAATGCAACCCACAATTCTGTAAGCAGTCCCTTCATTAAAGTCTCTTAATTTGAACCATCTGGAGGGAGTTATGTTTCCTACCAAGAACCTGATTTATGTAACAGGTATTTATTTGTTATATCCACTAGCAAGGATTCCATTTATGTTTTCCATTGTGAACAATATATAAATATAATTATGTGTGTATTTATATAAACACACACACTTAGATGTAGCTCTCCTGAGGGAATACAGACATTTACTAAATCTAAGAAATTAAGACAGTCAGGTTGATGTGAAACACTGATGTCAAAATCTGCACATAGTTCCTAAAGATACTGAGTTACTGTTTCTGGAATGGAGGTTGAAAGGGCCAACCAGGGTCTTGCTCTTTTCCTAATGCTCAACTAGCCAGAGTAATCTTAAGAGTTCCACAAAGTCATAGCAGACTGAGTTTTGTTGTGTGAGGGTTTATTAAGAACTTTATAGTTATGAATCTGTTAGACTCTTGGATTCTCCTTTGATACAGTTTGGATATCTGTCCCCTCCAAAAATCTCATGTTGAAATGTGATTCCCCAGTGTTGGAGGTGGGATCTATTGGGAGTTATTTGGGTGATGGGTGTGGATTCCTCGTGAAGGGCTTGGTGCCATCCTGGCAGTAATGAGTGAGTTCTCGCTCTATTAGTTACTATGGGATCTGATTGTTAAAAAGACCCTGGCATCTCCTCCTCTCTGTCTTGCTCCCTCTCTCACCATGTGACACACGGCCTCCACCTGCCTTCCGTTGTAAGTGAAAGCTTCCTGAAGCCCTCACCAGAAGCACAGCAGATGCTGGTGCCATGCTTCTTGTACAGCCTGCAGAGCCGTGAGTCAAACAAACCTCTTTTCTTTATAAAATTACCCAGTCTTAGGTATTGCTTTATAGCAATGCAAACGGACTAATACATCCTTATGCTGCTTTCATTATGACATTAAGCCTGTATTTGAACACCACCAATGATAAGAGTAAACTACTCATTTCTAAAGCTATTACTATTTTGAACACTTTTTGCTCTTGGAAACTTTCTCCTCATGTTCACATAAATATGTTTTCATGTAACTTTCCCCACTGGTCCTAGTTCTTTCAGTGACATCCTCTAGATGTCTAACCCCAATGCCACATGATCATCTTTCAGATATTCAAACATGCTTATTCTAATCTTATTAATTTTTTTCAACTTTTTCCAACAGCTTTACAATTTTTTCCATAGCTATATAATTAGACAGCACTTAAAAATAATTTATTTCTATTTCCTCAGCTTTTCTGTCTCTCTGAGAAAATCCCCCTTATCAGCAGAATTAACTTTACAGTTTCCCAATTTATTTCAAACCACCTTGATCTCTGATATGCTTTCAAAACCTGCCTGTGTTTCTGTGTAAGCTCCTCATTTACCTCACATGTTAGAGCAATTAGTCTGCAAACTCACCATGGCTAGAAATCAAATCTTGCTTAATTTGCCATGAATGTACCTACTCTACTATGATTACTCTTTTTCATCCAGACAGGATGATATTCAGGTCCATATAGAAATGAAGAAGTGTTTGGTCTTGTACATTTTTATTTTATCCATTTTTATTTAATCCTAGCATTATAGGGAATATTTTCCAATTAATAATATTGTTTCTCTCCCAGGTACAACTGGTTTCAGAGGTGGGATTCCCACTCTTCAGATATCAGGTTCTGATCCTGCTCTGATGTATGGCTAACTTAACAGACTTTGTGACTTCTTTCCATATTATTGCTAAACACTCTAATAATATCTGCATCAATTTCTTTGTTCTAATATATAAAACCTGGAATAAAACAGGCCTTTATCACAGGAAATATCATTCAAAGATTCATATATTTCCTACATGCTAGGGCCTCTGTTAAAGTTGGGCATATGGGGAAATGGGAACCTTCTGCTTGGTCTGGCTATTAGACTTTTCCCTTAAGTCCCTGGGCTTTGGCTGTGAGACATTTTGTCCTATTCCAGTAGAAATACTTTTAATATTAAAACAAAAATACCCCTGTAGCTCCTATAATGTCCCTATCATTATAAGCAAAAAATAAAAAAAAAAGAAGAGCCTGTAATCCCAGCACTTTGGGAGGCTGAGGCGGGCAGATCACAAGGTCAGGAGATCGAGACCATCCTGGCTAACAGGGTGAAACCCCGTCTCTACTAAAACTACAAAAAATTAGCCAGGCATGGTGGCGGGAGCCTGTGGTCCCAGCTACTTGGGAGGCTGAAGCAGGAGAATGGCATGAACCCGGGAGGCAGAGCTTGCAGTGAGCCAAGATTACGCCACTGCACTCCAGTCTGGGCAACAGAACAAGACTCCGTCAAAAAAAAAAAAAAAAAGAAAAAGAAAAAGGAAAAGAAAAGGAAGAAGTAAAGATGAAAGAGATGTGGGAATACACAGAGTACCAGTCATAGGAATCATAGCATTGAGTGTACGTTTCAAGTTGTGTTTTTACAGCTACAGTCATCACTTGTTTGTCTTTTTATTTTTTTGACATTTTTATATTCCTACGCAGGAGTGAGGTAGCCTCTCACCTACTCCTAGCTTTACTGAATATATTTGTTAAAGCATGAGAGCTATAGTGGCTACAACTGAGACATCCTCATATCATAGAAAGAGCACTGGCCCAGGAGCCAGAATATAGGGCTTCTAACTCTAGCTCTGCCTATAAGAAGCATATGAAATTGAATGATTTCCACAATGTTCCAGGTCCTCCATTTCTCTTCAGTAAGTGAGACACTGGAATTTGAGCATCTAAGGGCTCTTTATAGCTCTAATTTTCTGATACATCATTTTGCTTGAAATGCTGGTGAAGGAAATAGAAGGTGCCAGCTTTGCAAAGGGAGTTGAATGCTGGCACAGGAATTCAGGACTGCATGTGGGAATATGTGATTATAGTACAATCATGATTCATCAAAAGAATAAATTCCCTTGTTGGTTACACATACACACTCCCCACCCCTTCCCACTCACAACTTTTACTTCCTGGTTCAGGAATAGTCTAAAAGTAGGGGGAGAATGTGGGTGGTGGGAAGAGGGGAGAGAAGGGAGCTGGATGTGTTCTCTATTTGGAAGAGATTTTTCGGAAGCTCTTTCTCATGCTTATTTATACCACCTACGGTGCTTTGATTCTTCCTTGCTGAATGTTTGATTATCCTAACCAGACAGAAAGTAATAAGTCAAAATAGTTATTGTCACTTCTTTTCAAGCATAATAAGCTCAGTTAAAACATTTTTATACAAACACAAATGATAGCTTAATTCTCTGAATAAAACTAAAAGAAATCAAAATTAAGAGACTCAGGCCTGGCAAGGAGAGAGAGGAAAATTCCATAAGACAACTCAGAACACATTTTTATGCCAATGAGATTAAAATGACCAATATTAACCCTTTAAAGCAATTTTCCACTTTTTGTTCTCTGATATAGTGAGTTCACTCTCACAGTAATCAAATAGCTTAAGAACAGAACTTATAAATTGGTTTTATTAACAGAATACTTAGCTCAGGGACTCCCTAGGTGAGGGTAGTTCGTTCTGGCTATTGACATCACAGCAGGAAAACCACTGGACTTGAAGTTGTTGAATAACTGTGGGAAGCTTATGGCAATAAGACATTGAGATTTAGCTGAGCTTTCTGTGGACTTCAAAATTAAATGCACTTTCTGGTGAGAACAAGTCAGCATAGACTCATTTCTCCCTGCTCATTCTTGTTAAGTACAACTAAAAATTCTGGAAATAATGCAAGAGGCAATCAAAAGAGAACACTGAAAAAAATGGGAAGAGGAAGGCAAACCGATTAAAGACCCAAGGACTAAAGGAATGATATAGTATCAAAGCTTCATAGGACCTCCCACCCAAAGAAAGGTGACCCAGGCCCAGCATCTCTAGACACTCAAGCTGCTCAAGCTGGCAACAGAAGGTGGCTATTATGGAATGAATGTTTGTATTCTCCAAAATTCATATATTGGAGCCCTAACCTCCAGTGTGATGGTATTTGGAAGTAGGGCCTTTGAGAGGTTTAAATGAAGTCACAGGGCAGAACCCTCATGATGGAAATAGTTCTAAGAGGAGAAAGACAGATTGGACACTCTCTTCTCTCCCTCTCTGTCTCCCTCCCTCTCCCCTCTCCCCTCACCCCACCCCTCTTCATTCTTTTCTCTCTCTCTCTCCCTCCCACACCCTCCCTCTTCATTTTCATGCCCTGTGGAAAGGCCATTTGAAAACACACTGAGAGGGCAATCACATGTGAGCCAGGAAAACAGCCCTGAGCAGAACCTGACCGTGGTGCTGGCATCCTGACTTCAGACCTCCAGAATCTTGAGCTGGAAGAAAATAAATGTCGGTTGTTTAAACTACACAGTCTATTGTATTTTGTTATAGCAGCTGAAACTGACTAAAACATTGGCCCAGTAGGTCATTCTTCCTCTAGATAAAACAGGGGCTCTGCTGACAACAACAGGAAAGCCTAGTGGCCCAGCAAGAGGGAATTATCAGATGTTCCAATAATAAAAATTGGCTAGAGACACACTTTCCTTCTCTGCTGCCTCTAAGACTCCCTGCCCTCACTGAGAGACATCAGTGGCCCGTGGCACCAGTAGGAGATATCATTCATTTTGCTCTTCACCAAATATTTACTTAGCATTTGTTTTGTGCCAGACATTGTTCTAGGTGCTGTGATATGTCCACGAACAACAACAACAAAATATCTATCAATAGTTACACTTGATCTTATTATTCAATTGAGAATGTTTAAAAGGCAAGAGAATGGGAACAACATAAAGCTCATCATAGCTAAACACAAATATTCATACACAAATTAAAGTTTAGGTACTCATTTTGAATTTAGTATTTTTCCAAGAAACTGATAGAAACCTGAAGCTGAGATTACTCATGTAATTTTCTCTGTTCCTTCCACTTTTTCAATCAGGCTTTGCAGATTTTCTTCCTTCTGTCTCATACTGTTGCAAACCTGGCAAGAAGTGCTGAATTAGCATTTCTCATCAGAATTCTTGCTCTCTGTATCAACAGTTATTCACACTTTAGATTTTAAATGCGGCTTTCTACATGACTACTAAGAAGATTGTTTCTCCCCAACGTACCCTGTAGAATGCCAGCTGCCTGCTTTAATCAAAAAAAAAAAAAAGGCGTCTGTTCATGCAATGTGGCACTCTGCTCTATGGTCAGCATCCAAGGGCTATTTGTTTGATTATTCTCTAGGATCTGCCCAACACTGTGGCAATGACAATAGTTTAACAGCCCCTAACCTGCTGTAATAAAAAGTAATTTCCTAACTGAAACCAAGCTTAAAATATATTCCACATGGAACAAAATTATGAAATCTCTGTGTTATGTTGTTAAACAGCCCAGTGACTGTACTTTTTTGAGGATTAATTACTTAAATATGTAAGACTAACTAGATAATATATGCTCAGTCAAAATAAGACAACATTCTTCTTTTTTCATGTTTGCTTCAAGTATAAAATACTGTTAATTCAATTTACAGTAATGGGATGTTGTTTACCTATGTTTAAAACAATTTATTTTAAAAAAATTGTTTTATGTTTTAAATGAAGTGTCTTTTAGAATAGTTTTGGATTTACAAAATAGTTACAAATATAATATGAAGAAATCTTGCATATGCCTTATCTAATTCCCTTATTGTTAGTATCTTACCTTATTTTGTTATATTTGTCAAAACTAAGAAATTGATATTGGTGTGTTACTATTAACTGAATTCCAGCCTATTTATGTTTCATCAGTTTTACCATTAGTTAATATACCCTCTTTCTGTTCCAGGATCTAATCCAGGGTACCACATTATTTTTAGTTTTCATGTTTCTCCATTTTCCCATGGCCTGTGATATTTTTATCAGTCTTTACTTGTTTTTTATGATCTTGGCAGTCTTGAGGAGTATTGGTCAGGTATCTTACAGTATGTTCCCTAATCTGAGTGTATTTAATGGTTTTCTTATCAATAGATTAAGGTTATGGGTTTTGGGGTCCTCTTGAATATCTGGAAAGCCTTCCCAAGAAGGATGGGTACAAACAAGCCCAGACTGCAAAGACTACAATAAATACCTAACTTTTCAATGCCCAAATACAGACAAGCATCAAGACAATCCATGAAAACACGAACCCACCAAATAAAGGAAATAAAGAACCAGGAGCCAATCCAGGAGAAAAAGAGATATGTGACCTTTCAGACAGACAAGTCAAAGTATCTGTATTGAGGAAACTCAAAGAAATTCAGGACAACACAGAGAAGGAAATCAGAATTCTATCAGATAAATTTTACAAACAAATTGAAATAATTTGAAAGAATCAAGTAAATATTCTGGAACTGAAAAATGTAATTGGCATACTGAAGAATGCATCAGTGTCTTCAATAGCAGGATTGATCAAGCAGAATTAGAAAGCTTGAAGTCAGGCTATTTGAAAATACACAGTCAGAGGAGATTAAAGAATAAATAATAAAAAGCAATAAAGCATACCAACAGGATCTACAAAATGGCCTCAAAACAGCAAATCTAAGAGTTATTGCTCCTTAAAGAGGAGGTAGGGACAGAGACAGAGGAAGAAAATTTATTCAAAGGGATAATAACAGAGAACTTCCCAAAGCTAGAGAAAGATATCAATATCCAAATACAAGGTTGTAGAATGCCAAGCAGAATTGATCCAAAAAAGACTACACAAGGCATTTAATAATCAAACCCCCAAAGATTAAGGATTAAAAAATGATTCCAAAAACAGCAAGAAAATAAATAAAGAAAATAAAATGGAGCTCCAATATGTCTGGCAACAGACTTTTCAGTGGAAATCTTACAGGCCAGGAGGGAAGACACGACATAGGTAAAGTGCTTAAGGAAACAAAACAAAACAAAACAAAATACTCTAGAATATTATATCCAGTGAAAATATCCTTTAAACTTCAAGGAGAAATAAAAACTTTCCCAGAGAAACAAAAGCTGAAGGATTTCATCATCAACAGACTTGTCCTACAAGAAATGATAAAGGGAGTAATTTAATCAGAAGGAAAAGGGCCTTAAGGGGAAATAAACAATCACCTGAAGGTCCAAAACTCACTAGTCATAGTAAGCACACAGAAAAACACAGAATATTATAACACTGTAACTGTGGCATGTGAACTACTCTTGTCCTAAGTAGGAAAAAATAAACAATGTACTGATTGAATATAATAACTACAACAACTTTTCAAAACATGGACAGTACAATAAGATATAGATGCAACAAAAAGTTAAAAAGCGGTGAAACAAAGTTAAAGCTAGAATTTTTATTTGTTTTCTTTTTGCTTGTTTGTTTATGCGGAGTGTTAAGTTGTTATCAGCTTAAAATAATAGGTTATAAGATAGCATTTGCAAGCCTCATGGTAATTTCAAACCAAAAAATATACAATGGATAAATAAAAAATCAAAAACAAGAAACTAAATCATATCACCAGAGAAAATCACCTTCAATAAAAGAAGACAGGAAGGAAAGAAAGAAGGAAGAGAAGACCACAAAACAACCAGAAAACATATAGCAAAATGGCAGAAATAAGTTCTTACTTATTAATAATAACATTGAATGTGAACTCAAATTTATTGGATTAAACTCGCCAGTCAAAAGACATAGAGGGGCTAAATGTTTAAAAAAAGCAAGATGCATTAATCTGTTGTCTACAAGAAACATTTTTTTCCTCTAAAGACATAAATAGACTGAAAATAAAGGGTTGGAAAAAGATAATCCATGCCAAAAAAGAGTAGGAGTAGCTCAACTTCTATCAGACAAAATAGACTTCTAGACAAAAACTTACGAAAAGACAAAGAAAGTCACTATATAATAATAGAGGGGTCAATTCAACAAGGAGATATAACTATTTTAAATGTATATACACCCAGCATTGGAGCACTCAGATGTACAAAGCAAATATTATAAGAGTTAGAGAGGAGATTCCAATGCAATCATAGCTGAAGACTTCAACACCTCACTTTCAGCCTTGGACAGATCTTCCAGACAGAATATCAATAAAGAAGCATCGGACTTAATCTGAACGATAGACCAAATGGATCTAATAAGTATTTACAGAACATTTCATCCAATGGATGCAGAATACACATTATTTTCCTCAGCACAGAGATCATTCTCAAGGATAGACCATATGTTAGGTCACAAAAGAAGTTTTGAATCATTCAAAAAATTGAAATAATATCAAGCTTCTTTTCTGATACAATGGGACAAAACTACAAATCAATAACAAGAGGAATTTTAGAAACTATACAAATATATGGAAATTAAACAATATGCTCCTGAATGACCAGTAAGTCAATGAGGAAATGAAGAAGGAAATTGAAAAATTTCTGGAAATATAATGGAAACACAACATATCAAAACCTCTGGTATATAGCAAAAGCAGTACTAAGAAGGAAGCTTATAGCCATAAGTGCTACATCAGAAAAGAAGAAAAACTTCAAATACTCTAATGATGCATCTTAAAGAACTAGAAAAGCAGGAGCAAACCAAACCCAAAATTAGTAGGAAAATAATAATAAAGGTCAGGGCAGAAATAAATGAAAGTGAAGATAAAAAATACAAAAGATCAAGGAAGCAAAAAGTGTTGTTTTTTTTTTTTTAAAGGTTGAACAAATGGACAAACCTTTAGCCTGGCTAACTAAGAATAAAGGGGAAAAAATCCAATCAATAAAATCAAAGATAAAAAAGGAAACATTACAACTGATAACTGCAGAAATGCTTAGATAACTAAGGTCCTTAGTGGCTACTCTGAACAACTACATGACAACAAATTGAAAAATCTAGAAGAAAGGGACAATTCCTAGACACATACACCTATGAAAATGGAACCATGAAGAAATCAAACCTGAATAGACCATAAAAAGTAACAATATTAAACCCATAATAAAGAGTCTCTCAGTCAAGAAAAGCCTGGGACCTGATGGCTCTACTGTTGAATTCTATCAAACATTTAAAGAAGAATGAATACCAATGCTACTCAAACTTATTTCAAAAGGAGGAGGTAACACTTCCAAACTTATTCTACAAGGCCAGTAGTACCCTGTACCAAAACCAGATTAAGACAAATCACAAAACGAAAACTAGTGACCAATATCTCTGATGAATATTGATGCAAAAATCCTCAACAAAATACTAGTAAATCAAATTCAACAATACATTGAAAATATCATTTATCATGACCAAGTAGGATTTATCCTTGGGATGCAAGGAGGGTTCAACATAAGCAAATCAATCAATGTGATACATCATATCTACAGAATGAAGAACTAAAACCATATGATCATTTCAATTGATGGTAAAAAAGCATTTGATAAAATTCACCATTCTTTTGTAATTAAAACTCTCAAAAAACTGGGTGTAGAAAGAACACAAGGAAACTAATGTTTTCATGCTTGCTAATACAATATCCTTTCTGTAGCCCAAGCATTATCGAGTAATTTCAAGTTTCAAGTCTTTTGCAGCAACATGGGTTAAATTGGAGGCCATTATCTTAAGTGAAACAAGTCAGTCACAGAAAGACGAATACTGCATATTCTCACTTATAAGTGGGAGCTAAATATTGCATGGATGTAAAATAGTTGAAAATTGGAAGGTTTGCAGGGCTAGGGAGCTGATGATGAAAAATTCTTTAATAAGTACAATATACATTATTTGAGTAATGGATATCCCAAAAGCCCTGACTTCACCAAGATGCTATCTAGTCACATAACAAAATTACACTTGTAACCCATACACATATACAAATAAAATTTTTTAAATCAAGTGTTATTGTTTAAGAAAAACATTTCATAAGGCTATAGCTGCCATAGGTAGTGATCCCTATGATGGATCTGGGCAAAATAAATTGAGAACCTTCTGAGAAGAATTCAGTATTCCACATGCCATTAAGAACATTCATTATTCATGGGAAGAGGTCAAAATATCAACATTAACAGGAGTTTGGAAGAAGTTATTCCAACTCTCATGATGACTTTGAGAGTATCAGACTTCAGTGGAAAGAGTAACTGCAGATGTGGGGGAAACAGCAAGAGAACTAGAACTAGAAGTGAAGTTTGAAAATGTGACTAAATTGCTGCAATCTCATGGTCAAATATGAATGGATGAGGAGTTGCTTATGGATGATGAAGGAATATGGTTTCTTTAGATAGAAACCATTCCTAGTAAAGGTGTTGTGAACATTGTTGAAATGATTTTTAAAAGATATAAAATATTGGGGCCGGGCGCTGTGGCTCACGCCTGTAATCCCAGCACTTTGGGAGGCCGAGGCGGGCGGATCACGAGGTCAGGAGATCGAGACCATCCCGGCTAAAACGGTGAAACCCCGTCTCTACTAAAAATACAAAAAAAATTAGCCGGGCGTAGTGGCGGGCGCCTGTAGTCCCAGCTACTTGGGAGGCTGAGGCAGGAGAATGGCGTGAACCCGGGAGGCGGAGCTTGCAGTGATCCGAGATCCCGCCACTGCACTCCAGCCTGGGCGACAGAGCGAGATTCCGTCTCAAAAAAAAAAAAAGAAAAAAAAAAAGATATAAAATATTATAAAAATAGTTAATAAAGGCAGTAGCAGGTTTTAAGAGGACTGACTCCAAATTTGAAAAAAAGTTCTATTATGGGGAAAATGCTACCAAATAGCATTGCATTCTTCAGATAATTATTTTTTGAAAGGAAGAGTACATTGATGTGGTAATCTTCATTGTTATTTTTGAAAATGTTCACAGCTACCCCACCGTTTATGAGCCATCACCCTGATCCATCAGCAGCCATCAACATCAAGGCAAGACCCTCCACCAGAAAAAAAAGATAACAACTCACTGAAAGCTTACATGATGGTATTTTTTTTAATCAATAAAGTATTTTTAAATTAATGTATGTTAAATTAATGTATGTTCTTTCTGCAGAAAGAACACTTCTTCATCACCACTTGTTATTTCACTTTGTAATTTTATGTTATAAAGATAGCTTTTTACCTTAGCCTCATAAACCAACTTCTGTTAGTTAACTTTTCTCCCACTGCTTGCTCACGTTCATAGAATTGAAGAGAGTTAGTGTGTCTGGAATTGGTTCCTTCTGGTTGGTTCTTGGTCTCACTGACTTCAAGAATGAAGCCGCGGACCTTCGGGGTGAGTGTTACAGCTCTTAAAGATGGCATGTCCTGAGTTTGTTCCTTCAGATGTGTCCAGAGTTTCTTCCTTCCAGTGGGTTCATGGTCTTGCTGACTTCAAGAATGAAGCTGCGGACCTTTGCAGCGAGTGTTACAGCTCTTAAAGGTGGTGCAGACCCAAGAGTGAGCAGCAGCAAGATTTATTGTGAAGAGCAAAGCTTCCACAGTGTGGAAGGGGTCCCGAGTGGGTTGCTGCTGCTGGCTGGGGTGGCCAGCTTTTATTCCCTTATTTGTCCCTTCCCATGTCCTGCTGATTGGTCTATTTTACAGAGCGCTGATTGATCCATTTTACAGGGGGCTGATTGGTCCATTTCACAGAGTGCTGATTGGTGCGTTTACAATCCTTTAGCTAGACACAGAGTGCTGATTTGGTGCATTTTTACAGAGTGCTGATTGGTGTGTTTACAATCCTTTAGCTAGACCCAGAGCGCTGATGGTGCGTTTTTACAGAGTGCTATGCTTTTACAATCCTTTAGCTAGACACAGAGCACTGATTGGTGCATTTACAATCCTCTAGCTAGACAGAAAAGTTCTCCAAGTCCCCACTCGACCCAGGAAGTCCAGCTGGCTTCACCTCTCATTAGGACATTGCTCTGGATTACACTTTGTCTTAAGGGGATGGTGTGGTTGGTTTGATCATCTATTTAGACTATTAAAGCTTTCTCCATATGAGCAATAAACCTGTTTCATTTTCTCACCATTTGTGTGTTCACTGGAGTAGCACTTTTAATTTTCTCCAAGAACACTTCCTTTGGATTCACAACTTGGCTAACTTTTTGGTACTAGAACCTAACTTTTGGCTTATCTCAGCTTTTGTCATGCCCTCCTCGCTAAGCATGATCATATTACCTTTCGATCTAAAGTGGGAGATGTGTGGCTCTGTTTAGGGTTATTATTTGGCCTAATTTTAATATTTGTTGTGTCTCAGGGAATAGGGACATCTGAAGAGAGGGAGAGGGAGAGAGATGGTGGAACAGATTGTTAGTGGAGCAGACAGAATACACAAAACATTTATTGGTTAAGTTCACCCTCTTGCATGGGCACAGTTTGTGGTACCTCAGAACAATTTCAATAGTAATATCAAAAATCACTGACTAGAAAGCATAAGAGATATAATAATATTAATATTAATAAAAGTTTAAAATATTAAGATAATTACCAAAATGTGACATACAGACCTAAGTGAGCCAATGCTCTTGGAAGAATAGCATCAAAAGAATTTCTTAATGTGGGGTTTCCACAAACCTTCAATTTATAAAAAATGTAATATCTGCAAAGTGCAATAAAGCAAGGCACAATAAAACAAGTTTTAAAAATGTACTTGGAATATGTTTAACTAAGGAAATGAAAGATCTCTATACTGAAAACTATACAACATTGATGTAAGAAATTGAATAAGACAGAAATGAAAAGATATACAGTCTTCATGTATTTGAAGAAAAGATATTGTTAAAATGTTCATACTACCCAAAGTGATCTAGAGATTTAAGGCAATCCCTATCAAAATATCAATGACACAGAAATAGAAAACGGATTCCTAAAATTTATATGGAACCACAAAAGACCCTGAAAAGGGAAAGCAATCCTGAACACAAAGAACAAAGCTTAAGGCATTACACCAGCTGACTTCAAAATCTATTACAAAGCAAAAGTAATGAAAATAGCATGGTACCAGCATAAAAACAGACATATAGACCAATGAATAGAATAGAGTGCCCAGAAAAATATCCACTCATTTATGGCCAACTGATTTTTGACAAGGTGTTGAGAATTCATAATGGAAAAAGAGGTCTCTTTAGTAAGTGGTGCTGGGAAAACTGCAAAAAGAATCTTTCTCACTACATAAAAAATTAACTCAAAGTGGATTAAACACCTGAAACTATGAATCTACTAGAAGAAAATCTAGGGGAAATTTTCCATGGCATTGGTATGGCAGGGATTTTTGAAAGATAAGACCTCAAAAGCACAAGCAACAAAAGCAAAAATAAACAAATGAGATTACATCAAACTAAAAAGCTTCTGTACAGCGAAGAAACAAAATCAACAGAGTGAATAGACAACCTATAGATTGGAAGAGCACATGTGCAAAGTATGCACTGATAAAGAGTTAATATTCAAAATACATAGAGAAGTCAAACAACTCGAAAGGAAAAAAAGCAAATAACCTAATTTTAAAATGAACAGAAGACCTGAATAGATACTTCTCAAAAGAAGACATACAAAACGGCCAACAGGTATGTGAAAAAAAATGATCAACATCACTAATCACCAGGGAAATGCAAGTCAAAATCACAATAACTTATCACCTCACTACAGTTAGAATGGCTATTACCAAATAGACAAAAGATAACAGGTGCTGGCAAGGATGTGGAGAAAGGGGAATCCTTGCACTCTATTGGTGGGAATGTAAATTAGTCAGTCATTAAGAAAAACAGCACGGAGGCTCCTCAAACAATTAAAAACAGAACTACCATGTGTTTTAGCAATTCCACTACTGGGTATTTATTTACAGAAAATTAAACCAGTATGCAGAAAAGAGATCTGCATTCCCATGTTTATTCCAGCACTATTCACAATAGCTAGGGTTATGGAATCAACCTGTATACAAGAATAAATTAATGGATAAAGAAAATATGGTATGTATACACAACTGAATACTAGTAAGCCATAAAAATGAAAAAAGTCCTGTTATTTGTGACAACATGGATGAACCTGGAGGACATTTTGTTAAGTGAAAAAAGCCAGGCACAGAAAGACAAATACCACATGATCTCACTTACATGTGGAATCTAATAAAATTGATCTCATAGATATAGAGAATAGAACAGGAGTCAGCACTAACTGATTTACCAGTGGCTATGGAATATGTAAAATTATCCCAAATTTTACAAACAAGGAAAATTAAGGCATAGAGATATTAAAAGTCTAGCTCAAATTTACACAGTCAAATGCTGGAGCTTTGATTCAAATTTTGGCACTCTGGCATCATCCTGTCTGAGGCCTTTAATCATTAGTCTATACTGCTTAAACTGTTATGCAATACTGCATAATAACATTTTTCTGTTTATGTTCTATGAGTTTCTGTATATCTCCAATTACATATCAAGCATCTAGAAAGTGGGAATGATATTGTTGGTCAGCAAAATTTTCATATTTCCATAACTAAAAATAAACGGAAATGATGTTCAGGTATTTCCAGTTAATATGGCAGGCTGTGATGACATGACAGAGCCATTCTAATCTCTCTTCTACAAACACTTAGAAATTCTGGATAAAATGTATTCAAAATTACTACTCAGGTTGAAAACTTTGAAGGAGAAAGTTTCAATTACTTATAAAGGGGGAGAGAATGTATCAGAAGAGAGCGAGCTTAGGTCCAAACATTCAGGAAAGCATCAAAATCACACAAGCCTTAATAGCTAGGAATAAGGCTTCAAATGCCTTCTAGAAATAAGAACATTTGGTCCAGAAGCATAGCTGAACCTGATCAATCACCACAAATCCAGATTTCACAAAGAACTCTTTGTCCTATAATTGGAAATCAGATAGTTCTGTCTACCAGCTGAGGAAAATTTTTCAATGGATTGGGGTCATAGTTTGAAAGACAGTCACCCACAAAGTATAAATGGTCAAAGGATCAATGGAGGAAGCTGACTCCAGAGTAATGTAAATAAAATTAAATCACATTTAGAAACAGCCCAATGAACATGAAATAGAGCATGAAAAACATAGTGAAAGTAAACAGAAGGAAAAGGTGGTTGACCTTCAAAGGAATCACTAATTAGACTGATGACAGCATTCTATAACAGATCCTAGAAAACAATAAAATTTTTACCTTCACATTCTGACAGGAAAAAACTTTCACCCTAAAATTCTATACCCAGCTAAAATATCATTCAATAATTAGGGTAAAATAAAGATAATTTTCAACATTGAGAAACTGACAGTTCAGTAACTCTCAAACTCTTGTGCTAAAGGAATATTACTAAATGATTTACTTAAGAATCTAATTCAAACAGAAGAGGAGAATTTGAGAGCAAAGATGAGGGGAAAAGCAATAAATATGTTTGATTCAATGACTTTGATACTATGTACATAGAAATTCATAAAATTTATAGTATTGCCTTGTATTTTTTAAATTTATATAAATGTCCCTCATTGCTCTATTGGTAACTTTTAAGGTATATTTTAATTTCCCCATTTTTATGTGATCTATTTGTCAAATAAACTAAATTATTCATTCTGTAGTTTCCACATTATTGGTTTGGCAGGTTGTATATGGGTTGTGTTTTTAACATGTTCCTCAATCATTTCTAAAACTGGAGGACTGACTAATTCAGATTCAATGACGATCATATCCTATGGATTTTTTGTGCTTGTTTGTTATTGCACTACATCAGGAAACATGAAATGTCTGATTATTTCACTTAGTAATGCTAAGATTAATAGGTAGGCTTCAGTGATGTCAGCCTAATGCATTTACTACAAAGTCATCATCAGTATTCTACCCATTAGTTTCAGAAACTAATGGTTTCCTAGAGCCATTATTTTATCAGAACTTTAAAAATGGTAACTTTCCAACCATAAAGTTCCCTTTTTTATTTAAACTCCGAAATGTTTTTGTAAGGAAAAAAGTTTTTCTCATCAACTATTTGGTTATCTTGAAGTGCAATCTGTATAGGAAAAGCAGGTAAATTCTTTGCTTCTTCCCTTTATCATGTTTCAAAAATAAGTGGATATTGCTCCAAAGATAAGCAGTAAATTTGTAGTTTGTTTTATATTAATGGACTTACAAAAATTCATATTTATAAGCTGTTTTAATTAATAGTCATTATTCTTTGTCATGCTCAGTCAAATCTTTGAACTGCTACTGGAGGTCTCTTCAGGTAGAATTTTTTTTTTGTCCTTGTGAGACAACTGAGAACTGAGATAGCTTTTTTCTTTCTTTCTTTCTTTCTTTCTTTCTTTCTTTCTTTCTTTCTTTTTTTTTTTTTGAGACAGAGTCTTGCTCTGTTGCTCAGGCTGGAGTGCAGTGGTGTGATCTTGGCTCACTGAAAACTCTGCCTCCCGGGTTCAAGCGATTCTCTTGCCTCAGCCTCCTGAGTTGCTGGGATTACAGGCACCCGCCACCACACCCGTCTATTTTTTGTATTTTTAGTAGAGATGGAGATTTACCATGTTGGCCAGGCTGGTTTTAAACTCCCAACCTGCCTGCCTCTGCCTCGCAAACTACTGGGATTACAGGTGTGAGCCACTGTGCCTGGCCACGATAGCTTTTTTAACTTGCTTTTCCATTTTTTGATATGACAAAATGCAGTCATGTGCCAATAATGACATTTTAGTCAACTGTGAACCGCATATGATAGTGGTCACATAAGATTATAAGGTAATTTTATTGTACTTTTTCTATGTTTAGCTATGTTTACATACACGTGTATTTACCATTGTATTACGATTGCCTACATTATTCAGTCCAGTAACATTCTGTGCAGATTGGTAGCACAGGAGCTATAGGTTACACGATAAAGCATTGGTGTGTAGCAGTCTATACCATCTAGGTTTACATAAGTACACTGTGTGATGTTCCCACATGATGAAATTGCCTAACAGTGCTTTTCTCAGAATGCATCCCCAACATTAAGTGATACATGACCGTATCCCAGGTTCAGCTTGCATATTTATCACCCTAAACCAGAATCAGCATTTTCTCAAAGAGTCCTGATTCATTTCAGTAAGAAATCATGTTTATAGACTGTAGTCTGGTTGTAGGAATGCTCATTTTTACTGGAGTACTGTTGGTTCTAAGGTTTCTCAATGTACAGAACAGAAAATATATGTTTTTAGAGTGAAATAAAGAACAATATATTTTATATTCAAATTTAAATAATAGGTTCATATTTGAATTACTTGATTATCTTAAACAAAAATGATTCTCAAGACATTAACACAATTGCTTATTTGTTTTATCTACGTCAAAATAATAATACCAATATTGCCGGGGGCAGTGGCTCACGCCTGTAATCCCAGCACTTTGGGAGGCCAAGATGGGAGGATCACGAAGTCAGGAGATCGAGACCATCCTGGGTAACGTGGTGAAACCCCGTCTCTACTAAAAATACAAAAAATTAGCAGGGCATGGTGGCGGGTGCCTGTGGTCCCAGCTACTCATGAGGCTGAGGCCAGAGAATGGAGTGAACCCAGGAGGCAGAGCTTGCAGTGAGCTGAGATCGTGCCACTGCACTCCAGCCTGGGTGACAAGAGCGAGAGACTCTGTCTCAAAAAAAAAGAAAAAATTCTTATTTAGAAGAAATACTGAGATAAGCCAAATATTTCTTTGTGGTTATATTTTTTCCCTTAAGAGATATATCATCAGGGATATATGGTCAAAATAGTTATTTCGGAATAAATTGAAATAATTATCTAATAAGTTTATATGATCAATTTTTTTTTGACTGTTAGAGTTTTTATATTTTCTTTTTTTTTTTTTTAATTATACTTTAAGTTTTAGGGTACATGTGCACATTGTGCAGGTTAGTTACATATGTATACCTGTGCCATGCTGGTGCGCTGCACCCACTAACTCGTCATCTTGCATTAGGTATATCTCCCAATGCTATCCCTCCCCCCTCCCCCCTCCCCACCACAGTCCCCAGAGTGTGATATTCCCCTTCCTGTGTCCATGTGATCTCATTGTTGAATTCCCACCTATGAGTGAGAATATGCGGTGTTTGGTTTTTTGTTCTTGCGATAGTTTACTGAGAATGATGGTTTCCAATTTCATCCTTATACAGTTAGGTTTATTTTACTTTTTATCTTATTGTTAAAATTTATAAACATTGTCCTTAGAGAGCCATATTAGACTAAAATTGTGGACTGTTGTTAAATTAAATCTTCTACAAGCTTTGATTGCCATTAGTCTTCTATGTATTTGTTATTCACATGCACACCCCACGTAATTATGGATACGATATTTCTGAACCAAAAATGGGACAAGGAGTCTGACCACATGATCAACTATTTGAAACAGGCATTGCCTTCCAAAATTAAGAATATGTCATTATTGAACCTTAATTCTCTTTGTGTTTTCCACTAGGTTATTTTCTAGCAGATGATGTCAAAGTTTTCCTGACTCAAGGACTAAAAGTTTTCAGGGGCATCATAAACCATATGATCACAGTCCTAAGGTGAAATTGGTGGTTTACTCTTTACATCTCAGAAGAACTTAAGGCTCTTAATAGATTCATTTCAGTCATGTTTTTGTTTCCTCAGACATTTGGGTATTTGAAATACTGGGCTAGGAACAAATATATCATTTTAACATTGTCAAATGCAATGAGCTCCAAATAGATTTTGAAAAGATGCTTTTCTACAAAAAGGACCATGCTGTGCTCTCTTTTCCTTCCTTGAATACTTTAATTCCTCCACTTTGAGAAACTTTTTTTTTTAATCCCAGAGTTTCACATATTCTAATAAGTAGTCAAAAGCAGAGGTTTTCAAACAGTTTTCAGGCAAAGCCGTAAAGTTCCATGAGCTTCTTAGTGTTCCAGTCCCATCACATGACTCTGAAAGGGCAGGAATCTGGACTCCAGTTAATTTTAGCCAAAATATATTTTTTGATAGATTTTATATAAAATTTGATTTTTGGAGCCTTTATCTGAAAAAACGTGCCCTCTGCTTAAAAAGTATTCCAAATCCTCCAGTGTATTCCAAATCCATCCGTAGTATATAAAAACTTATATACTCTGCTGTTTCTCTACTTACAAACTGACATGAGCACATCAAATACAGCTCTAGAGGAAGCAGAATGAAATCTGCACACTTTTCTCAAGTGAAAAAGTCTCATAGCACAAATCAATTGCATTTCGAGTTTAGAACTCCCTGCCTACCAGAAAGACACATATACATCTTAAATCCAATGGCAACCCAAAATTTGAATCCCATTCCATTGTTCCTAAAATACAGCTTCATTATTATTACCATCAGGCTTTTCTCCACCAAGACAAATAAGATGTACTAGGGAAGAAAAGAAAAATTTTCTCGTGGGCAGGAAGTGTTATGGGAAATGCCCTGAAATACTCAATTGGCTCTTTTCAAAAAGTTTTTTTTTAATGAAAAAGATTGTCCAATTATTCATAGTAAAAAACTAGAATCTTTGTCTTTGAATTTATTTCCTAATTGTGTTTAGTTCTTTAAATAGAAAAATAACATACATTATGTGAGAAACATAATAAAGAAATGTTAAACAGAAAAACTTTGTAAATTTCAAACCCATGCCTCCCAGGGGACACTTCAGATATTTCATATTTACCAAAAAATAAAAAAAGTTATGTCATTATGGTCTATCTTAAGATAATGTTATTTAAAGAGCTTCAGGAAATTTGTGTCAAATATAAAAATACACACATCATACATGATCTTCCATTACATGTATTCAAATTCATATAAGTCTCAATCATGTTCACATGATTTACATCATTTAGGCTTTTATTTAGTTCAATAACATTTTACTTTAAAAATCAAATATTAAGAAAGAACACTCCCAGCTTGTTAACTAAACTAAAAAGGGAGAATTTTGATTAGGAGATAATACTCTATAACTGGAGTGGCAATTTTGGTGCATGAAATACAATGTTAGAATTTTCAAAATTTTCATCTTCTGTTTCATGGTTTTTTAAACTATATTTGAATTTCCCAGGCCTATTTTTATTTTATTTTTATTTGTGTGTGTGTGTGTGTGGTTGAAGAAGTAAAGTGAAAATAAACATTGAGCTCTCTAAATGAGTTAATGCCTGGGTGGGGTCAATAAGAGGGAATACAAGAAGAGGGGTACCATAGCAGAGCTGGGAGTGAGACTCCGAGCTTCTGGCTATCTTCAGGTTTATTTCATTGGGCATTCTTCCTGGACACCAACATAAATGTATCAGGTTACAAACAGCCCACTGAAAGCATGCCATATTGAACTGGGCTGGACTTTCCCTTTCCTGTTTCTGTGTCCTGCTTAAAGTTCCTTGCTTTTCAGTATTTGTGCTTCATTATGGATCAGGAGATCCTTATGAAGACTCATGGTCCACTGCAATAGCTACTTCATCTCAATTCTGCTAGCACAGTCCACCACCCCATTCACTTGGTGTTTGTACATGGTCTGGATTGCTACTTTATTCTTAAAAACTGTTTTAGTGTAAGATGGTTGTTAAGAGTAAAACTCTGGAATTAGGTGACCCTGGGTTCCAAGTCAGCTTCTGCTACGTATTAGCCCTCTATGAGCTTGGGCAAATTATTTAAACTCCCTACTGTTGAGTTACCTCATTTGTAAAACTGAAATAGCAATTCTGTTGAGATTTTATGCGCTGTAGGGCAATTAAGATGGCATTCTGACATTTGACCAAAGCCACATGCCCCAATTTTGCCTTACCATAGTCACCTCTGCCCAAGAAGTCCTTGAAGCTAGCATGGAGCAGGCAGGGTTTTCTAAGCTCAAACTCTAGTGCAGAAGTGTGTAACAAAGTCTGGAAAACTTTGCTGTTTCCTCTTTTTCCTTTCGACCTCAAATCAAAGTAGGTAAGCCTGTTCCATTTATGTCTGCACCAAAGTCTGAATTTTATTTCAATTTAGCATTTTGATGGTGATATGGTTTGGCTGTGTCTTCACCCAAATCTCATCTTGAACTGCTCCCATAATCCCCACAGGTTGTGGGAGGGACCCAGTGGGAGGTAACTGAATCATGGGAGTGTTATTTTTCCCATGCTATTTTGGTGGTAGTGAATAAGTCTCATGAGATCTCATTGTTTTATAAAGGTCAGTTTCCCTGCACATGCTCTCTTGCCTGCCACCATGAAGACGTGACTTTGCTCCTCCTTCACCTTCTGTCACGATTGTGAGGCCTCCCCAGCCATGTGGAACTGTAAGTCCAATAAACCTCTCTTTCTTTATGAATTACCCAGTTTGGGGTATTTCTTTATAGCAGTATGAAAACATGAATACAATTGTGAAAAAATAAAATATAAAATGATACCTCTTAGTGACAAAGGAAAAGGAGTGAGAGTGATAGGGCCATTAATCCCAAAGCTTAGAGTGTAACCACCTCATGCCACTGTTCAAAGTCTGGTTACCAAATGAGAGTGAGTGAAGAACATTTCTAGCTGTTACTATTTCTGTGTTTTGTGCAAATTATTATACTTTAGGACTAAAGTCCAATATGAAACCTGAAGTTTGAGGGATCCAGATATGGATACCTCCTTTTTGAGGTGAGGCAACTAGATCTTGGTCTTAACTCATTTTTAGCAAATGACTGAAGAGAGGATTGGGAAATGGTCCAAGAGGAACACTGCATGCTTTTCTTGGGAAACCAACAAATATGCTCATCACTGGTTCATTATAAAGATTAAATAAAATAAAGTATAGAAAGCACAGAGAACAGTGCCGCAAATACACTAGGCTATTATAAGCAGGAGACAACAGAAGTATTCGTTGAATTGACTACATCATTTTGTTGAATTGTCTACCCTGCTTTCTTTCCTTTGTCTTCCCTGCAGGAGGCTGGATTTTAGGCTATACCATGACTTTGCAAGAGATCACTGCATTTTAACCCCTTTAGAAGAATTTCCCTTTGAGTCTTGGGCAATCAGGACATCAAGGTAAGACAACCTGTACCATTGCTTTGAAAAGCTCCAGACCATTCTAATTGCCTAGCAGGAGAGAGGGACTGTGCAGAGGGATTAAGCACTAAGAGGAGCTGTTACAAAAAGGGTTACATGTATCTTAGCTCTGTTGGTTCTTTGAAGATCAAAAAGTCTAACAATGCACCCTAGGGAAACAGCTGTGCTTGTGCTTTACAGGCAGATGAGCTTAATACTTGCCATAGCTGTGATTTCAAACACACTGCCTTTTGGGCAATGAGATTGCATTTCAAAGAACAGGCTCTTGTTCTCTATCTCTTTTCTTCCAAAGAACAGAAAAAAAAAAAAAAAGATGCTTTCTTTGAAAGGAAATTTTGATGTTGATTGTCACTTAACATGTTTGGAAATGTAGAACTAACTCCACTGATACTAATCATTTTCCTCCTAAGTACTGAGCATGCAGTACTGGAAGCTACCAACTAAAATCCGAATTTCTCCACTGCAGGGGGTTTTCCTAGACATAGGCCACTGGAAATATGAGAAATAATAAACAATTCCCTTCCAGATGCTTTTCTCTTTAAAACACAACTTCTTGTTAAGTTGGTAGCTTAAATATTTATCAGATACTTGTAATGACCTTTAAGAAAGCTTAAGATGTCTTTTAAAGCAAGAGCAGAAAAAGCATAAAATTTAAGAATAAATTGATATCTTTGACAGTAAATTCTCTTGTCACATATAAATCATCTCTTAACTGAACTTTTGTTTCTTTTCTATTTCTGGAAAAATATATGCCTGGCCACAGGTAGTCACTGGTTCTTTGTGTTTTAAAAGTCCCATCACGCTTATTTCAGCTTCTTGCCTTAAAAGAAATTCACTAATGTCAGGGCTGCTTCTTACTCGTTTTCATGATCATTTAATTAACCTGCCCTATTATGTAAGAGGAATTAAGTCTTATTTCACTCTTTATATTCCTTATTTCTTGATTTTTCTAAGGCAGAAAATATATGCCTTATATTTTCTTGATATATATACAATCTGTATTTAATTATATGATTATGTATAGCCCATAAGAAAAAAGTTAACTTGGAAACCAAATTGGTTTTTAATTCAACAAACTACCTCTATCCTTCAACTAAAATTTCATCACCACTTCTTGGCCAGGGCCTACAATTTAACACTCTGCTCAAACTAACCTATTCTCAAGGAAGCAATTATGTGTATCTAAATATTTTCAATACCCTTGTATAAAATATCTTGAAAGTATACCTGGCCACTTGTGATTGTCATAGAAAAACACTGGGCATGTTGAAGAAAAAGGAAATGGCTTTTGAGAACAGAAACCAAGAAGACAGAGATTTGGTGTTCTATGTTTGCCATACCTACACAATATTTGCTTAAATTCCCTTTTGATCAGAGCCTATAAGTGCATCACTATTTTTCTATCAGTCTTTTTTTCTTTCTAGCTCATGAAAATGTGTAAAGATCAGCTGGGCTCTGAGGAGACATCCCAAGGAACAGTATTGCTGCGGACTTTCTAAAAACAGAAAAAAAAAATCATGTAACATCAATGTCTTTAATAGGATTCCTAAAAATAAATAAACAAACTTCAAAAATCTTTGACCAAGATTACAACTGAATTGAATAAGATAGCTTTGATACTTAATGTAATTTTTGTGTATCCTATTTTAACATCTGTTGTCAGTCTTCTAAACATACTTAAAAGGTGACGTGGATGAGCATTAGTCTGTTAGTCTGTGAGCTGAGCAAATGGCTATGAAGATCTGAACCCGTAGACAAATTACTCATAATAGTATCCTGTGTCTTAAAACACAGCAAAAGTATTTTCTTCAAATTGGGATAGAGTCAAAGTATTTAAATTGCTAGCAGTAAAAGCAATGAATAATTTTTATAGAAGAATCCAAAATGTCTTGTTCAAAATATTACATAACCATTGGTGAAATGTATTAGCTATTCAAAAGTCCATGTTTGGGGGTAATAAAAAAGGAGAAATGGATCAGTAAAGGACAGAGAAAGTTGTGGTGGGAGGTTATGCAGAGAAAGAGAGAGAAAGTGAGAACAGTTTTCCCACTATTCCCTATGATGTTTCTGTGTCCCTGAAAACAGCTATATTTAGCTTACAACATTTGAAACAAAGAGAAAACATCCTATTTGGTTATAATCAGATAATGTTTTATTTAAGATCTGATTATAACCAGATGAGTGGTTATGTACTCTAAAGAAAAATGAGTCTGGTTTCAATCCTGAGAGGCTATTTAATCTCTCGTACCTAAATTTTTCTGTGTAAAATCAGGATCAAAATTTTTAATTCATAGTCTGCTATAGGATTAAATGAAATGTCATATTAAAAGTGCTTAACGTAGATACAAGCACTGGTAGTTATTTTATTTATATATTATAAGTAAGTGCCTACTATAAGATAAGACAAGCCTTGAGTCTTAATGGCCATTCTTGGCCTTGTAAATATGAAAAAGCAAACTAGAAGCGTTACATAAGAATAAAACAATATACATATACTAGAATAATTGACTATGTGCATATCAACATAGATACAGATGATTATGCAATGAGGCAAAGTGAGAATACAGAGTTGCATTCTAGAATGGCAGTGTGAAGATCTTCATGGACCATCTCTGCAACGAAACAACATAACTGGTGAACAATTCTTTAAAAAATAACAGTTTACAATCTCTAGAAATTGCCCTAACAACATCCAACAATTAAAGACACATTTATTCAAAAAACAACTTCTCAATGTTGATAAAAGAGCAAGAGTCAGTGACATTTGAACCATCACCGTTTCTCTTCCTTCTCCAAGGTTAACATTATGAAAGTAGTTGATTAATGGGTACAAATATACATTTAGATAAAAGAAATAAGACCTGGTGTTGATAGATCAGTAGGGTGACTATAGTAAACATTAATCGATTGTACATTTTAAAATAGCTAGATGGAATAATTAGAATGTTCTTAGCGTAAAGAAAAATATTTAAGGTGATAGATACTCCAGTTACTCTGATTTGATTATATGAATGTGTCAAATTATCACATGTACCTCCAAAATATGTACATCTAATATGTATCAACAAAAAAATTAAGTAAAAGGAAAGTTGTACTTTAGTTAAGTACAGCTAAGAACACAGGGCTCCCTCTTCCTCTAGATATAAAACAAAGATGGCCTTGTCTTCTTGGGAAGGGAATACACCAGCATTTCTTTCCTTTCTTAGCTCCATGTTGCAGAAACTGTATTCCAGGAAAGAGTTTCTGAGAATTTTGAGCCTCCGTTCTTCAACTCACCCTTCATTCATACAGTGGAGGCTCTACTTCCTGAGCAGAAGGTTGAGGATAATGGGCTCTGGATGAAACTTGCCCAAGTGCAGTCATAGGAAGGAGATGCCATGTTGGAAGAGAGAAGCCAAGAGGACCAGAGGCTACCAGCCCAGCCCAGTGCCCTGATCATGAAGAAGAGGTATTACTCTGAGAGACACAGGCCACTCTCCCTGCCTCCAGCTGTAGAACAGGGGTAAAAATGTTTAGCTCAGAAGGAAGAGACAGTAAGAACAGAGAACAGTGAACAGTGCAGCTCTCCCCAAGAGAGATAACTATGTGTAACAGAGTGTATGGAAGTCCAAACTTGAGGGTACTTTTTAAAACAATGGAAATTGTGATAGTAGGCAATTAAGAGGAGGGGCAGTAGTAGTGTTTTCTGACCACAATGAAATAAAATTATAACTCATTAAATAAAATTCAGAAAATTCACAAATATTAAGAAATTAAGCAATAAACTAATAATAATCAATGAATAAAGAAGAAATGCCAAGGAAAGTTAGAAAATACTTTTAGATAGATGAAAAAAATACAACATCCCCAAGCTTATGGAGTACATTTGAAATATTATTTAGAGGAAAATTTATGGTGACAAATAACTACATTTAAAAAGAAGAAGAGGAATGTAAAGAGATGTAAAGTCTGTATCATAACTCTCCACCTTAAGAAACTGTAAAAAGAAGAACAGAGTAAACTTAAAAAAAGAATAAAGAAAATTATAAAAATGAGATAAAACAAATTAAATGGAAAAACAATAGAGAAATTAATAAAACTAAATGTTCATTTTTGAAAAGATCAGCAAAACTGAGAAACCTTGAGCTTAAACTGAGTGAGACAAAAAGAAATTAGACTCAAGTCATTAAAATCTAGAATGGGTGGACCAGCAGACTTAGCCACTCCTCCTGGTAGTTCTCAGGAACCTGGGCAGCCCAGATGAGTGGGTTTCCCCCCAGCAAAACACACCCTCTTCGCCAAAGGACAAAGTGCTTTGTTAAATGGGTCTGGCTCCCCATGCCACCCAACTGGGTGAGAATCTCCAACAGGAGTTGTCAGACACCCTATACAGGAGTGACCTACTGGCATCAGATTGGTGGTCCTCGAGGTCAGAGATCCCAGAAGAAGGAGCAGGCACCCATTTTTGCTGCTCTCCAGCCTCCTTGAATGACATTTCCAGGCATGGGAGCGAATCAGATGAATAGGCCCTGAAGTGAACTCCCAACAAACTGAAGCAGCCCTACAGAAGAGGGACTGAGTGTTTGAAAGAAAAACAAAGGAAGTGATAACAACAGCATCAACAACAACAACAACAACAAGGCCCCCACAAAACCCCCATCCAAGGGTCAGCAGCCTCAAAGACTGAAACTAGACAAACTCATGAAGATGAGAAAGAATCAAAGAAAACATGCTGAAAACTCAAAAGGCCAGAGTGCCTCTTCTCCTCCAAATGATTGCAATGTCTCTCCATCAAGGGCGCAGAGCTGGACAGAGGATCAGATGGACAAACTGACAGAAGTAAGCTTCAGAAGATAGGTATTAAAAAACTATTATGAGCTAAAGGAGCATGTTCTAACCCAATGCAAAGAAGCTAAAATCCTTGATGAAAGGTTAGGGGAATTGCTGACTAGAATAACCAGTTTAGAGAGGAAAGTAAATGACCTGATGGAGCCGAAAAACACAGCAAGGTAACTTTGTGAAGCATACATGGGTATCGACAGCCAAATCGACGAAGCAGAAGAAAGAATATCAGAGTTTGACCACCATCTTACTGAAATAAGATATGCAGACAAGAATAGAGGAAAAAAAAAACAATGTAAAGGAATGAACAAAGCCTTCAAGAAATATAGGACTCAATGAAAAGACCAAGCCTGTGATGGATTAGAATGCCAGAAGGAGACAGGGAGAATGGAAAGAAGCCAAAAAAACACACTTCAGGATATTATCTAGGAGAACTTCCCTAATGCAGCAAGACAGGCCAACATGCAAATTCAGGAAATACAGAGAACACCATTAAGATACTCCACAAGAAGTTCAACTCCATGACACATAATCATCAGATTCTCCAAGGTCGAAATGAAGGAAAAAAAACATTAAGGGGAGCAGAGAGAAAGTCCAAGTCACCTTCAAAGGGAGGCCCATCAGACTAACAGCAGACCTCTCAGCAGAAACACTACAAGCCAGAAGAGACTGGATGCCAATATTCAACATTCTTAAAGACAAGAATTTTCTTTTTTTTTTTTTAATTATACTTTAAGTTTTAGGGTACATGTGCACAACGTGCAGGTTTGTTACATATGTATACATGTGCCATGTTGGTGTGCTGCACCCATTAACTCGTCATTTAACACTAGGTGTATCTCCTAATGCTATCCCTCCCCCTTTCCCCCCACCCCACAACAGGCCCCAGTGTGTCAAGTTCCCCTTCCTGTGTCCATGTGTTCTCATCGTTCAATTCCCACCTATGAGTGAGAACACGCGGTGTTTGGTTTTTTGTCCTTGAACAAGACAAGAATTTTCAACCAAGAATTTCATATCTAGCCAACCTAAGCTTCTTAAGCAAAGGAGAAATAAAATGCTTTCCAGAGAAGCAAATGTTCAGAGATTTCATTACTATCAGGTCTGCCCTGCAAGAGCTCCTGAAAGAAGTACTAAATATGGAAAGGAAAAAACAGTATGAGCCACTGCAAAAACACACCAAAATATAAAGACCAATGACACTATGAAGAAACTGCATCAACTAGTGTGCAAAATAACCAAATAGCATCATGATGACAGGGTCAAATTCACACATAACAATACTAACCTTAATGTAAATGTCCTAAATGCCCCAATTGAAAGATACAGACTGGCAAATTGGATAAGGAGTCAAGACCCATTGGTATGCTGTATTCAGGAGATCCATCTTATGTGCAAGAACACACAAAGGATCAAAATAAAGGGATGGAGGAAAAGTTACCAAGCAAATGGAAAGCAAAAGAAAAAGAAAAGCAGAGGTGTCAATCCTAGTCTCTGACAAAACAGACTTTAAGCCAACAAAGATCAAAAAAGACAAAGAAGGACATTACATAATGGTAAAAGGAACAATTCAACAAGAAGAGCTAACTCTCCTAAATATATATGCAACCAATACAGGAGCACCCAGATTCCTAAAACAACTTCTTAGAGACCTACAAAGAAACTTAGACTCCCACACAATAATTGTAAGAGAATTTAACACCCCACTATCAGTATTAGACAGATCAACAAGATAGAAAATTAACAAGGATATTCAGGACTTGAACTCAGCTCTGGATCAAGTAGACCTAGTAGATGTCTACAGAACTGTCTACCCCAAATCAACAGAATATACATTCTTCTCAGTGCCACATGGCACTTAAATCTAAAATCGACCACATATTTGGAAGTAAAACACTCCTCAGCAAATGCAAAAAATGGAAATCACAACAAACAGTGTCTCAGACCTCAGTGCAATCAAATTAGAACTCAGGACTAAGAAACTTACTCAAAACCACACAATTTCATGGAAATTAAACAAGCTGCTCCTGAATTACTCCTGGGTAAATAATTAAATGAAGGCAGAAATCAAGAAATTCCTTGAAACCTGTGAGAATAAAGAGACAATGTACCAGAATCTCTGGGACACAGCTAAAGCAGTGTTAAGAGAGAAATTTATAGCACTAAATGCCCACATCATAAAGCTAGAGAGATCTGAAATCAACACCCTAACATAACAATTAAAAGAGCTAGAGAGGCAAGAGCAAACTAATACAAAAACTAGCAGAAGGTAAGAAATGACTAATATCAGAGCATAACTGAAGGAGGTAGAGACACAAAAACCCTCCCAAAAATCAATGAATCCAGGAGCTTGTTTTTTTTTCAAAAAGTTAACAAAATAGACCATTAGCTAGACTAATAAAGAAGAAGAGAGAGAAGAATCAAACAGACACAATAAAAAAAGATAAAGGGGATATCACCACTGACCCTACAGAAATATAAACTACCATCAACTATAAACTGTAAACACCTCTATGCAAATAAACTAGAAAATCTAGAAGAAATGAATAAATTCCTCGATGCATACACCCTACCAAGTCTAAACCAGGAAGAAGTTGAATCCCTGAATAGATCAATAACAAGCTCTGATATTGAGGCAGTAATTAATAGCCTACCAACCAACCAAAAAAAAAAAAAAAACAAAAAACTGCAGAACTAGACAGATTCACAGTTGAATTCTACAAGAAATACAAAGAGAAGCTGGTATCATTCCCTCTGAAACTATTCCAAATAATTGAAAAGGAGGGACTCCTCTTCAACTCATTTTATGAAGCCACCATCATCTTGCTACCAAAACAGGGAAGAGACTAAACAAAAAAAGAAAACTTTAAGCCAATATCCCTGATGACTATCATTGTAAAAATCCTCAATAATATACTGGCAAACTGCATCCAGCACACATCAAAAAACTTATCCACCACGATAAAGTTGGCTTCATCCCTGGATGCAAGGCTGGTTCAACACATGCAAATCAATAAACATAATCCATCACATAAACAAAACCAAAGACAAAAACCACATGATTATCTCAATAGATGCAGACAAGGGCTTTGATAAAATTCAACATCCCTTCATGTTAGAAACTCTCAATAAACTAGGTATTGATGGAACATATCTCAAAATAATAAGAGCTATTTATGACAAACCCACAGCCAATATCATATTTAATGGGCAAAAGCCAGAAGTATTCTTTTTGAAAACCAGTCCAAGACAAGGATGTCCTCTGTCACCATTCCTATTCAACATAGTATTGGAAGTTCTGGCCAGGGCAATGAGGCAAGTAAAAGAAATAATGGGTATTCAAATAGAAAGAGAGGAATTCAAGTTGTCTGTATGCAGATGACATGATTTTATATTTAGAAAGCTCCATCATCTCAGCCCAAAAACTTCTTGAACTGATAAGCAACTTCAATAATGTCTCAGGATATAAAATGAATGTGCAAACACCACAAGCAACCTTTACAACAACAATAGGCAAGCAGAGAGTCAAATCATGAATGAACTCCAATTCACAATTGCTACAAAAGAATAAAATACATAGGAATACAGCTAACAAGGGATGTGAAGGACTGCTTCAAGAGGAAGAACAAACCACTTCTCAAGGAAATAAGAGAAGACACAAACAAATGGAAAAACATTCCATTCTCATGGATAGGAAGAATCAATATAGTGAAAATGGCCATACTGCACAAAGTAATTTATAGATTCATGCTATTTCCATCAAACTACCATTGACATTATTCACAGAATTAGAAAAAAACTATTTTAAATTTCATAAGGAAACAAAGAAGATTCCGTATAGCCAAGACAATCCTAAGCAAAAAGAATAAAAGAATAAAAGAAAAAAAGAATAAAGCTGGAGGCATCACACTACCTAACTTCAAACTATACTACAAGGCTACAGTAACCAAAACAGCATGGTACTGGTACACTGGTACTGGTACCAAACCAACATATAGACCAATGGAGCAGAACAGAGACCTCAGAAATAACCCCACACATCTAAAACCATCTGATCTTCGACAAACCTGACAAAAACAAGCAATGCGGGGAAATGATCTCCTATTCAGTAAATGGTGCTGGGAAAACTGGCTAGCCATTTGCAGGAAACTGAAACTGGACTGCTTTCTTATAGGTTATATAAAAATTAACTCAAGATGGATTAACGACTTAAATGTAAAACCCAAAACCATTAAAACCCTAAAAGAAAACCTAGGCCATACCATTAAGGACAAAGACTTCATGACAAAAACACCAAAAGCAATTGCAACAAAAGCCAAAATTGACAAATGGGATCTAATTAAAGAGTTTTTGCACAGCGAAAGAAACTATCATCAGAGTGAACAGGCAACCTACAGAATGGGATAAATTTTTTGCAATTTACCCATCTGACAAAGTCTAATATCCAGAATTTACAAGGGACTTAAACACATTTACAAGAAAAAAACAACCCCATCAAAAAGTGGGCCAAGGATATGAACAGACATTTCTCAAAAGATGGGTGAAATTTATACTTAAAAACTATAAAACATGCTGAAAGAAATTAAAGAATTAAAGCAATCAAAGAAATTAAAATGAATAGAAACCACCCTACCATGTTTATGGATTGAAAAACTTAATATCATGAAAAGGATAATACTTTCTAAAAGGATCAATAGCTTTTACACAATGTCTATGAAAATCACAACTGCTTTTTCTTGTAGAAATTAACAAGCTTATTTTAAGTTTATATGGAAATATAAGAAACCTAGAATAGCCAAAATCATCCCAAAAATCAGAACTAAGTTGGAGAACTCACATATTTTACCTCAAAATATACTCCAAACACAAAGCTATAGTAAGACAGTATGATTTGCATAAGGATAGGCATATAAGTCAATGAAAAAGAATCAATGAAATAAATTGTGAATTTAGATATAAACTCTTATATTACGGTCAACTGATTTTTGACAAAGGTTTCAAGAAAAGAAAAGAGAGAAAAAACAGTCTTTTGAGCAAACGGTTTTAAAACTGAGTATCTACATTTAAAAAGACTGAGGTTGAACTCTTTTTTTCACTTCATCTACAAAAATAACTCAAAATGAATCATGGAACAAAATAAAAGAGTGAAAATTATAAAACTCAAGAGAAAGTATAAAAATAAATCTTTTTTAAAATGTTAATTTAAGTTTGGGGGTACAAGTGCAGGTTTGTAACACAGATAATGTACAAATTATTTCATCATGCAGGTATTAAGCCTAGTACCCATTAGTTATTTTTTTCCTGACCTCTCCCTCCTCCCACCCTCTACGTTCTGAAAGACCCAAGTGTGTGTTGTTCCCCCTATGTGTCCATGTGTTCTCATCACTTATAAGTGAGAATATGTGGTATTTGGCTTTCTGTTCCTGTATTATTTTGCTAAGGATAATGGCCTCCAGCTTCATCCATGTCCCTGCAAAGGACATGATCACATATACACTGTTGGTGGAACTGTAAATTAGTTCAGTCACTGTGATTCCTGAAAGACCTAAAGACAGAAATACCATTCTAACCAGGAATTCCATTTCTGGGTATATACCCAAATAAATATAAATCATTCCATTATAAAGACATATGCATGCATATGTTCATTGCAGCACTATTGACAATAGCAAAGATATGGAATCAACCTAAATGCCCATCAGTGATAGACTAGATAAAGAAAGTGTGGTACATTTAAACCATGGAATACCATACAGCCATAAAAGGAGCAAGATCATGTCTTTTGCAGGGACATGGATGGAGTTGGAAGCCATTATCCTCAGCAAACTAACACAGAAACAGAAAACCAAACACTGCATGATCTCACTTATAAGTGGGATCTAAACGATGAGAACACATAGACACATAGAGGGGAACAACACACACTGGGGCCTTTCAGAGGGTAGTTGAGAGGGAGGAGAGAGAGGATCAGGAAAAATAACTAACGGTTACTAGGCTTAATACCTGGGTGATGAAATAATCAGTACAACAAACACCCATGAAACAAGTTTACCTATGCAAAATACCTGCACCTGTACCCCTGAACTTAAAAGTTAAAACAACAACAAAAATGTAAGGTCTTTAAATCACAGTGCTTTAAAGTCTCTCCAGGAATTATCTTCACAACTTCTTTATCTTTATATTGGCATTTTACCTCCTATCTCATTGCCATAGATAAAAATTCTGTTATTTGTTTTGATGACTAACAATTGTATGTATGGGATATTCATGTGCAAATCATCATTCCATTTTCAAGAGCAATGGAGAAGATTGGTATTAGGGTTACCCAGAGGAACAGAGGCAGAGATTGAGACAGAGAGAGGTTACAGGAATTGGTCCATGTGCCTACGGAGGCTAAGTCTCATGATCTGCTGTCTGCAAGCTGGAGAAACAGGAAAGCTGGTGATGTAATTCAATCTGAGTCCAAAGGCCTGAGAACCAGGGCAGATGTCCAAGGGCAGGAGAAAAATGGATGCACCAT
Organism: Homo sapiens; assembly: GCF_000001405.40. Classification (NCBI taxonomy): domain Eukaryota; kingdom Metazoa; phylum Chordata; class Mammalia; order Primates; family Hominidae; genus Homo; species Homo sapiens. Next base: position 136,607,758 of record NC_000007.14, on the reverse strand, counting down.
CTCCGAGATTGCAAATTCACCCTTCCTCCAGCTTTTTTTGTTTTATGTGGGCCTTCAGTGGATTGGGTGATGCCCACTGCATTGGTGAAGACCATATTCTTTATTCAGTCTACAGATTCAAATCCTAATCTCTTTAGAAACGCCCTCACAGATACCCTCAGATACAATGTTTTACCAGCTATCTGGGCATCCCTTAGGCCAATCAAATTGACACATAAAATTACCTGTCACAATGGCTATCTCCATTCTTTCAATATTCTTTCATATAGGTGAACTTTTAAAATTTTTTATTTCTATAGGTTTTTGGGGAACAGGTGGGATTTGGTTACATGAGTAATTTCTTTAGCGGCGATTTGTGGGATTTTGGTGAATGTTTTTATCATAACCTCTACAACATCTGTTTATTACAATAAATAACCCTCACTTCCTTTTACTTGTCATTCAAAAAGACAAAATGGAACAAACAAAAATTGCTACAAATCTGTCCTCAAATATATAAAATTAAATTAGGTAACCACTTCATGCAATATAATATTAAAAATAAGAGCTAGCATTTACTGTTCTAAGCAGTTTATATGTTCTGTATCATTTAATAGTCATAGCAATATTTTAAGGAAGTCTATTATTATCTCCATTTTACAATGAAGGAAACGTGGAGGCACAGGGCTGTTATTTGCTCAAAGTCACAATTAAGCACATTTTAAATATTTTAAAATATTTGAAAGTAGAACATGTAGATCAAGAAAGAGAACTGAAAACACAAAATTATTGGAAGAGAAATCAAATAGCTGATATCATTCCTGCTGATTATTTTAGGTATAAATATTCAAATACACACAAAAGTAGAGACCAGTCCAATTAATCCTCATTAATTTTTAATTCACCATCCACCTTGATTCATTTATACCATCATCTTTGACTCAGACCCCTTGAATACTTTAAAGCAAATCTCAGAACTTGATGATATCCCATAATTTTTCTATAAATATTTTTCATGTATCTCTCAAGAATGGAGTCCCTTTTAACGTAATGACAATACTCTTATAATACCTAAAGAATATTCTTTTAATACCATAAAATATAAACTTAGTTTTCATGCTTTCCCATTAAGCTTTTTATGATAGCTTGTTTGAATTGAAATTCAAATAAGGTTAATACATTGCCATTGGCTAATACGTCTCTTAATCTATAGGCTTCTCTTCTATCATTTTTTTTTTGAAATGTATTTGTTCCAGAAACCACTCCCAGTGGATATGGAGCTTTATCCACAATCTATATTTTTCAGATTACCTCACAGTGGTGTATTTCATCAGGCCCCTCTGCACCCTGTTCTTTTTGTACTCTTTGTAGTTAATTCCAAAACACTGATAGCCTCAGAGTTTGAAGTTTTAGCAAGAATATTTCATAGGCAGCATGGATTTTTTTTAAAGAAATGTTGATCTTTCTGAAGAATTGAGAATGCAAGCAGAAAACCTTCTACTGTCCATATCAATTCAGTTAAGATTAAACATAAAAATGAATAGAGCAAAATATTTTGTCTGCAATTTAACATCCAAGACAGACTCTAGACTGTGGAGGAGCAGACTTAAAAATAATAATAAAAGTATTTCTCTGAAGCTTAGTCAGCATTTACTGGATCAATCAACATGGATAAATCACTTTCTAAGCCTTTAATTTGAAATCTTTCAAACTGACTCAAAAGTTACAAACAGGTAGCCTTGGTTCTTTGTTCTTTCATGGTTTGTTTTTTAGCATTCACTACGAGAGTTAAGACCAGGTTCATGTGTCACACATTTCTCGGTGACACTGTTTAATTTTCATAAAAGAGAGCATGAAATTGACTTTGAAAAGTAGTGAAGGAAATTGGCAATAGGAGCAATTCCAAGCTTTCCTGAGGGAAAAAAAAGAGACTAGAGAAAGGATTTGTTGACAGTATCACAAAATAATTTTTTTAATTTTGAAAAATAGTAGAATAAAAGCAGATTATTGCCACTTACTCTAAATCCAATTGTACAGAATGGATTGCAAGAGGGAAAATCATTAGTCATAAATATTGTACTTTTCCATCTTCATGCCATGAAAATATGCAGAAATAGCACAGATATTTCTTTTACTAATAGATATGATAGAAATAGTACAGTCTTTTAGGACATAGAGCCCTGGTTTAAGTCAGATCTATCAGTTTACCAGCCTCATAATTTTGGCATGTCTCTTACCCTAAAAGCAAAATATAAAAATAAAACATATTGCTTTTTAGACGGGACATTATTATTCCTATTCTTATCAGAATCTGTGAGGGTGTGGCCTAAATATATATCTAATGATTTTCATAGCTGTTTCTGATACATATCCAGATATGATAAATACTGCTTCATAGCACTATTTTATCCTTTTAAAAATATGCATGCCTTAGGTAACTAAACACAGTTTATATAACTTCATTGACCATTAATTTTTCATTTTTTGTGAGTTATCCTAGTTGTGTGCTTTTGCTCATTTTTCTGCTTGGTTGTTTTATATATCTCATTGGTTTCTCACCGCTCATTAAGTATATTAACCCATGGCATATGATTTGAGAAATTTTTCCATTTTATGCTTTTTTCCAATATATTATGCTGAAGCCTTTTGAAATAATGTTTATAAATATTTGGTAATAAATATTTACGTACTGATTTGTTCTTATTTGTATGAGAAGAATCCCTCCAAAACCTAAGATCACATTAATATTTATATGTAGTATATATATGCTGTATTTGTCCATTTTCATATTGCTGTGAAGAAATATCCAAGACTGGGTAATTTATTTTAAAAAAGAGGTTTAATGGACTCACAGTTAGACATGGCTGGTGAGGTCTCTCAATCATGGTGAAAGGCAAAGGAGGAACAAAGGCACATCTTACATGACGGCAGGCAAGAGAGCATGTGCAGGGGAACTGTCCTTTATAAAACCATCAGATCTCATAAGAATTATTCACTGTCATGAGAACAGCACAGAAAAACCTGCACCCATGGCCCAATTATGTCCCACTGGGTCCCTCCCACAACACACAGGGATTATAGGAGCTACAATTCAAGATGAGACTTTGGTAGGGACACAGCCAAACTGTATCATTCCACCCCAGACCCTCCCAAATCTCATGTCCTCGCATTTCAAAATAAAATCATGCCCTTCCAACAGTTCCCCAAAGTCTTATCTCATTTCAGCATTAACTCAAAAGTCCACAGTTCATCTTAGACAAGGCAAGTCCCTTCTGCCTATGAGCCTGTAAAATCAAAAGCAAGTAAATTACTTCCTAAATACAATAGGGGTACAGGCATTGGGTAAATACACCAATTCCAAATAAAATAAACTGGCCAAAACCAAGGGGCTTCAGGTCCCATGCAAGTCTGAAATCTAGTGGGGCAGTCAAATCTTAAAGTTCCAAAATGATTTCCTTTGACTTCATGTCTCACATCCAGGTTACACTGATGCAACAGGTGGGTTTCCATAGTCCTGGGCAGCTCTGCCAGTGTCGCTTTGCAGGGTACAACCCCATTTCCTGGCTACTTTCATGGGCTGGTGTTGAGTATCTGAGGCTTTTCCAGGCATACAGGGCAAGCTGTCAGTGGACCTACGATTCTGGGGTCTGGAAGACAGTGGCCCTCATCTCACAGCCCCACTAGGCAGTGCCCTAGTAGGGACTCTGTATGGGGACTCCCATCCCATATTTCCCTTCCACACTGCTCTAGCAAAGGTTCTCCATGAGGGCCCCACCCCTGGAGCAAACTTTGGCCTGGATATCCAGGTGTTTCCATACATCCTCTGAAATCTAGGTGGAGGTTCCCAAACCTCAATTCTTGACTTCTGTGCACCCTCAGGCTCAACACCACGTGTAAGCTGCCAAGGCTTGGGGCTTGCACCCTCTGAAGCAATGGCCTGAGCTGTATGTTGGCCCATTTTAGACATGGCTGGGACACAGGGCACCAAGTCCCAAGACTGCACAAAGCAGCAAGGCCCTGAGCCTGGCCTATGAAACCACATTTTTCTCCTAGGCCTCCTGGCTTGTGATGGGAGAGGCTGCCATGAAGACCTCTGACATGGCCTGGAGACATTTTCACCGTTGTTTTGGTGATTAACACTTGGTTCCTCATTACTTAAGTAAATTTCTACAGCAGGCTTGAATTTCTCCTCAGAAAATGGGTTTTTCTTTTCTATTGCTTTGTCAGGATGCAAATTTTCCAAGCATTTCTGCTCTGCTTCCCTTTTAAACACAAGTTCCTATTCCAAACCATATCTTTGTGAATGAATAAAACTGAGTGATTTTAAGAGCACCCAAGTCATCTCTTGAATGCTTTGCTGCTTAAAAATTTCTTCCACCAGCTACCCTAAATCATCTCTCTCAAGTTCAAAGTTCCACAGATCTTTAAGGCAGTCTTAATGCTGAATGCTGCCAGTCTCTTGGTTAAAGCATAGCAAGAATCACGTTTTCTTCAGTTCCCAATAAATTCCTCATCTCTATCTGAGACCACTCAGCCTGGACATTTTGGTCTCTAGGAAGCTCCAAACTTTGCCATATCTCTCTGTCTTCTTCTGAGCCCTCCAAACTGTTTCAACCTCTGTTACCCAGTTCCAAAGTCACTTCCACATTTTTGGGTATCTTAGTAGCATTATCCCACTCTACTGGTACCAATTTACTGTATTAGCCCATTTTCATACTGCTATGAAGAAATACTAGATATTGGGTAATTTATAAAGAAAAAAAGGTTTAATAGACTCACAGTTCCACATGGCTGGGAAGGCTTCACAATTATGGCAGAAGGAGAAGGAGGAACAAAGGCACGTCTTAAATGGTGGCAGGCAAGAGAGCATGTGCAGGGGAACTGCCCTTTATAAAACCATCCAATATTGTGAGACTTATTTACTATCATAAGAACAGCATGGAAAACCCACCCCCAAGGTTCAGTTACCACTGGGTCTCTCCCAGGACATGTGGGGATTATGGGAACTACAATTCAAGGTGAGATTTGGGTGGGGACACAGCCAAACCATATCATATGCAATATCTAATATAAATTATAATGTATATATACAGATATATACAGATAGTATATATACAGATAGTTCTTGCTTTGCATTGTAGTGCAGCATCATAAAATGACTGTTTTAGCTAAAACAGAGAAAATGATAATCTATGGAGAAAATTAAAAGAGATATCTTTGAAATTTTTTGTCAAAATGTTACAAACCCCCCTTATTTTTGTCATAAATGTGTAGGAGAATTTAAAAATAGTAAAACTAATATTTTCTAAGCACACTGAAATTTAAATATTAGGGGCTTTAAGATTTGAAATGTTTCGTATTTTTGCTGAAAGCAAATGTACGAAGAGTAGCTTGAAGAATGCTTTCCTTCACATATAACATAGGACACAGAGTGAACCTCCTTCCTACACCTTGCTGAATTGTCATTTTCTTTCTAAGTTTGGATCAGTTTCCACCATTTTATCCTTTGCACATTCAATGTTGTGAGATATCTCCAAGAGTCCCTTTAATGTAAAAGTTTTGCCAATGTCAGTTGCTCTGGGGTATTTACATCCTCTTTCATTCCAACCACTTTCCAAGTTTACATCCAGCATTATCACTTTCCATTTCTAGGCTATTCTTCTTGGCTAATTCCCTCTTTTGACTATTAATTTTTGTAAAATGTCACGAGTCCATCACTGGCTGTATAAACTGACAGATGTACAGGGAACAGTCACCATAAACTTTGAAATAAATGATATGCTTGGTCACTGATTACTTATCTAGTAATTTGCTGAATCAGTGATTTGCTGAAAAGCCAGCAGCAAAGTCTATACTTTATGCAGTTACTCACAGTTAATATACTGTGGTAACTGAAATTTAAACTGGTTGTTCGGGGACCAATACTTTTTAATAAAACTGTGATAACAAAAATTCATGAAAAAATACATGAATGTCAGACCATATAAAGTGAGGACTGCCTGTCTATAACAACCAATATTTTATTCCATTTATTTTGGATTATTATATATTACATGTAACTTTATTAACTAGGCCAAAAATTTTAAAAATTTATTTGCCTTTGGAGACCAGGTTGATAGCTTAAGAGTATAAAGAACAAATTATACAATAGATAGCTCATATAAAATGAATAGTATAGTTTACATAGCAACAAAAATAATTTAAATCCAAAAATGTTTTTTGCAAATTTTGTTGCTGAACACACTTTTAATTCTCCTACTTATTCTAAATTCTACTTATTCTACTACTTATTCTAAATAATCCACATTTTTGTTATATTTATGAGGATGGAAATAATCAATATTTTCACAAAGTTGCACCTGCAAAAAAAAGTCCTTGATAAAAATTATACATTTATTGGCTCATGCCTGTAATCCCAGAATTTGGGAGGCCGAGGCAAGTGAATCATGAGGTCAGGAGTTCAAGACAAGCCTGATCAATTACAGTAAGTGGATTGATAGTTTTGTTCAGGTCATTTATGTGTTTATCAATGTTCTGTCTACTTGTTCTATCAATTACTAAGATAGGAGGTTAGAGTCTGAAACTGTAGTAGTGAATCTGCCTATTTCTATTTTATGTTTTTCTATATCTATTTTGTATTTTTCTTTGTATATTTTTCTCCATGTATTTTGAAGCCCTGTTGTTAAGATACATGACTCTTATGTCTCTTTGGAGAACTGACCACTTCCTTTTGCACAGTGTCCATCTTTATCATAACTTGATAATATTCCTATTCTTAAAACTACTACTTTGAAATTATGATAGCTACTATAGTTCTATTTTGATTGGTGTTTGTATGGTATACCTTTCTCAACAGTTTTCTCTTTAACACAAATATTTGTTTATATTTAAAGTGTATTTTTTGTAGATAGCACATAGATGCATCTTACATTTTTATCCAATTTAATGAATTCTGTCTTTTAACTTGTATGTTTAGACCATTCTCAATCACTATTTCTTCAAGTATTTCTTCTTCCTATTCTTGTTTCCCTTTTGGCATTCCAATTACTCATATTTCAATAACTCAATTACACATTATATGGTTATGTATTATCACAGATATAGATATTTCATTCCTGTCAAACTCTGTTTCTCAAACTCTCTCTCCCACTCTCTCTCAGACACACACACACATTTCAGTTTGGTTAATTTCTATTAACCTGTCCTCAAGTTTAGTGATTTTTTTTTTCCTCAGCTCTGTCAAGTCTCCTCATGAGCCTGTTTCAAGCATTCTTTACTTCTCTTACTTTGATTTTGAAATCTAGTATAGATGCTCCTTGATTTACAATGGGGTTACATACTAAAAAAGCCATTATAAGTTGAAAATACCATGTTGTAAGGCATTTAATACTCTGATAAACCTATCATAAAGTCAAAAAGTTATAAGTTGAATCATCATATTTCCAGATTTTCCTCAACTTACTGTGGGGCTATATCCTGATAAACCCATTATACAGTCAAAAATCTTAAGTCAAATCCTTGTAAGCTGGAGACCGCCTATATTTTTATTTGGTTCTTTTTAAAAATTTCCAATTGCTCTGTTTAAATTACCTGTATGAGCTTCCATGTTGTCTACCTTTTTCATTAGAGACTTTAATATATTAATCATAATTAAAGTTTCTGTCTGATGGTATGACACTTCCAATGTCTATGACATACATAAATCTTGTTTGGGCGATTGTTTTGTCTTTTCTGTGTTTTGTTGCCTTTTTGGTATGTTTTCAAATTTTTTTGTTAAAAGCCTAATATGTTATATAGAACAGAGACACTAAAGTAAATAATCTTGGAGATAAACATCCTTCTACTAGATCTGTAGTGTGGGAGTTTTTATTAATTCAAGAATTGAAAAATTATTGTTGCTATGGTTAGCCTCAGTTTGCCATAAGCTTCAAATTTCTCAAGTGATATCTTCTGCTTAGTGTGTGGACTAATTAGCCAAAGGATGTTTTTTTCCCGTCAGTGTCCACTCCTGGCTTGGCAATGAGCCTCTTCTCTTGGCTTTTAATCTTCCCTTTGAGTTAGTGCCCAGAGATAATCTGTCCTTTTCAGCTCTATCAGATGTTTAGACTATTATTTTTACTCAATACTGGTTAGTGTGGTGGGGCTGATTGGGTAAGGAAGTAGGAGAAAATGTTTTCTATAATTTTCATTAAGCCCAAGTCTTAGGCAGGCATCTGTGTACTTGGTCCTCAGAGGCTTGTTATTCAGAAGTATTTCTGCCCTTCCTGGACTTCTGGCCAATATGTATTCCTGATCTTCCACCAGGTATAGAACTGATTTTGTGGGGTTTTTTTTTTTCTTTCCTTTTTTCCGTTCCCTTCCCCTGGCTGGAGTTGGTTTCCATCAATTCTCTCTGGCCACAATTTTTGTTTTCCTTCCCCTTTAGATTAAGCCTTTATTCTTTGAGGGAGATAAAGAAGGTGAATTTGGTTGAATTCTGGTAGTGGCTGCTGCTATCCCCCAGCCAGCCCCACTGGATGAGTTTTCTCAGTGTTCCCCCTGGTCTTCTCTGTGAATAACTGATGTGGTTCCCAAAAGAAAAGCATGTGAAGCCCCCTACGTCTGTGTCTCCCAGGGCCGCCTCACTTTCCCGCTTGCCTGGTACCGGTGGTTCCTTTGCATGTTTAGGGCTTCTTTCAGGAACTCTTGTAAGCCAGGCTTGGTGATGACAAAATCTCTCAGCATTTGCTTGTCTGTAAAGGATCTTATTTCTCCTTTGCTTAGGAAGCTTAGTTTGGCTGGATATGAAATTCTGAGTTGAAAATTCTTTTAAAAATGTTGAATATTAGCTTCCACTCTCTTCTGGATTGTAGGGTTTCTGCCGAGAGATCTGCTGTTAGTCTGATCGGCTTCCCTTTGTGGGTAACCCGACCTTTCTCTCTGGCTGCCCTTAACATTTTTTTCTTCATTTCAACCTTGGTGAATCTGACGACTATATGTCTTGGGGTTGCTCTTCTCAAGGAGTATCTTTGTGGTGTTCTCTGTATTTCCTGAATTTGAATGTTGGCCTGTCTTGCTAGGTTGGGGAAGTTCTCCTGGATAATATCCTGAAGAGTGTTTTCCAACTTGGTTCCATTCTCCCCATCACTTTCAGGTACAATAATCAAACATATGTGGAGAAATAGGAACACTTTTACACTGTTGATGGGAGTGTAAATTAGTTTAACCATTGTGGAAGACAGTGTGGTGATTCCTCAAGGATCCAGAACTAGAAATATTTGACCCTGCAATCCCATTACTGGGTATATACCCAAAGGATTATAAATCATTCTGCTATAAAGACACACGCACACTTATGTTTATTGCGGTACTGTTTACAATAGCAAAGACTTGGAACCAACCCAAATGCCATCAATGACAGACTGGATAAAGAAAACGTGGCACATATACACCATGGAATACTATGCAGTCATAAAAAAGGATGAGTTCATGTCCTTTGCAGGGGCATGGATGAAACTGGAAACCATCATTCTCAGCAAACTAACACAGGAACAGAAAGCCAAACACCACATAGTCTCACTCATAAGTAGGAATCGAACAACGAGAACACAGGGACACACAGAGGGGAACATCACACACTGGGGCCTGTCGGGGGTTGGGGGCTAGGGGAGGGAGAGCATTAGGAGAAACACCTAATGTAGATGACAGGTTGATAGGTGCAGCAAACCACCATGGCATGTGTATACCTATGTAACAAACCTGCACACTCTGCACATGCACCTCAGAACTGAAAGTATAATAAAATGAAGCATTTGAAATATGCATTGAAACAGACGTATATATATAAAGCAACATTAGAGACCTATTTTTTTTCTCATGTAGATACCTGTATAGATACCTATATAGTAGTAAAAATCTTAAGAACTGGGAGGTTAAATGCTATTTATTAATTTTTTAAATATTAATTTGTGGAATTTCATTTATCTTTCAAGACTAAGTTAATTTCCAAGAGATAGAATACCAAGGAGGAGATGATATTGACTAGTCCCTTTACAGCCATTCTCCAAATGTCCAGAGTCCACATTTGCCTTTTTTGATTTCTTGGTTTAACTTGGAAGCCTCTATGTTCTCTCACTATCCCTTGTCTGCACTTAACCAAAACCACTGGTCCTTATTACTAATATCTCTACAGGAGTCCCACAGGTAACCTCCATTATCTCCATCCAAACCTGTGCCTTCTCGTGCCAGTCCTTCTGATTGGAGCACATTCCTTCCCATATGACAATTGACTTCTTTGTCTTCATCTGTCATGTCACATTCCTTATACTTAATATTTTTTTAAAAAATCATTTTTCCATTAATTATGATATTTCATTCCTTTCAAACATTAGTGATTCGTTCATACCTGCTAATTCGTTCTCCTTCGTTTGGTAATGCATTTCCTATTTCTTGTGCTTGATGAATCCTGATACTAAGTAACATACTATGGAAAAGCTGCCCATGTAGATAGCCCCATCCTTCCTGTTTTATCACCTCAGGCCCTAATGAAACTCCCTGTTCAATGCTCAGTGAGGATCCCTGTCATCATTTTAGGCCTCCACTATTTGACACTGAATATTGAGAAAAAACTTAAAATAAACTCAATGCTGGACTAGGGTTTGTCATGATGTTACATTATACCAACAGTTAAAATAATCAAATTTTTTTTTATTTTATAAAATGGCGGAATTGACAACTTTGACATTTTATGCAAAACACTTATACATAGAAATAAATACATGTAAAAGTTTAAATTTTGAAGTCAAGATCATACAGTCTTCTCACTTTGATTTGAGAACATCTCATTTGCTACATTTCACTACAGCCCATTTACATGATATTGTCAGCATAGAATAGAATATAAAAAAAAAGTATAATGTAATACTGGAAGCATTTCTTTCCTGGTTTATATTTCATATTTTAAGTATAAAGGAGGAAGCAGTTTTAACTACTTTCCCTCACACTCACACATCCCAAACTGTATTTTCGACTAGGGTTCAAGCTATAACTCCAAGCTGATGTTGAAGCCTTTGGTCCATTGCAATACTTTTTCTATCCAATTTGCAGAAACATTTGTGCTTCAGGCCCTTGGCCTGCAAAAGCTAATTTAAGATGATGTGACAGGAATTTCGAGCTTTTGCTGAGAATATAAGAAGTAATGCAATCGAAGCAAAAAATGGAAAAGAATAAATATATACTGACTTTCCCTATGCTGTCTCCATATAATACCTAGTTTTTTTATTTTCTTATATTTTGCTTTAGCTTTAGTTTATTATCAATAAGTTTGATTTTTATTATGTGTATGTTGTTTAAATATTTATTTTTGCCAGTTGCAATCAACTGCAAAAATATAAAAATACTAAAGTGGCAATGTGACACAATAATTAGCATTGGCTATTGAGTAAGAAACACAAATGTGAGGAAGTGGTCCAAGTTCTACTAGATCTGTGACCTAGGGCAAACTGGCTAAACAATCCTACACTCAGGTTCTGTAACTGTATCATGGGAAACATAGTAACACCTAAATAATAACATCAGTGTCTCCATTTGTGCTGTATATTTTCTAATTGCTTGGCTCCCTTTTCCTCACTAGAACAACTTTCAGTCTTCTCAGTTCTGTTCTATACAATACACCAGGAGGGTTGATCCCCAAGTGCTTGATTATGTAGGATCCTTGGCTTTCTTTAATGGGTTTGAATTAATGAGAGAAACCAGCAAGAAATCTAAAAATGGAAAGAGATAATTCTGGGTACTTTTTCCTCTCCATCTTTAATTTAGTATTGTGGTTGTGGCAGGTGGCGTGTCCCTTGACTTCTCAGGCTCCTGTTGGTGGCTCTTCCCTTTGTAGCTCCAGGTCGTCCTATATCCCAGTAACATGACTTCCCTCCTTGCCCTCTTAGGTTTAAGGGTAGTAATGGCTTTCTACTAATGCTAAACTCTGGATACCTGAATATTGCTCATACATTTCCTAACTCTGCCAACAGTGTTGAAAATAGTATCTTCATCCAAAAATAGCACTATTAAAAGCAACATCCAGTTAATTCTGTTATTTGCGGGTTTGATAGAAATGGACTTCATAATTTTATAAATAACAACTTTCATCCAATTTTACTTTCATTTGGGTTTTTGTATCTCTCAGATTATTTACATTCTTTCTATATGAATCTTTTCTATTTCAGCTATTTTTTCTCTTAAAGTGCAGTGAATTAGAAACGCACATAGACCTTTAGGTATAGAAACATCATGGGTTTGAAGATGAAAGGTTAAACTTTTAAAATAATTTCCCATACCTTACTTAATATGAATATTTAATTATTCTTCTTGGGCCTAGAAAATACGTTGAGAAACATTGTTTAGGGGACAGTCTATGATCACATATACACACATGCTCACACGTGCCCTGGGTCACAATTTAGAAAAATAGTCCCACTGACTTTTACTAATCATTAGCAGTATTTTTCAGTCTTCTTCACATTCCTATTATAAGTCACAGGGCAGGCTCTTCTCGTAGCCATAGGTACCCTTGGCTCCTATGAAACTATCCAAGGTTTCATCCAGCTCCCTTGGCTCTACAGACAGAGGCAGAAGGAATTATTTCTTTGACGTCTTAAGAACTGTGAACTTTGCCCTCCTCCTGTACTCTTATGACTAAAAATAAAGGCAGCGAAAAAGAATTGTAACTGTGTTTGAACTGCAAGCTTTCAGAGCAGCACTGCTGTTTTAGCAGATGCCACTGCCTTATATTAACTGTGACAGAAGTTGCATGTCCTGAGCCAAAGGAGAAAATAAATGTTTATTATCAGACTGCAGAGCTAAAAGCCAAAGGCAGGGGATGAGAGACAAATGCACAGAAAACCACAGATGAAGGAAGTGCCATGGAGACCAGCTCACTAAATCTGTGCACATCCACACTTACATAAATCAAAGTAATTCAATCAGGCAGATTCCAGATATGTTCCTATTGGGTGCCAGAATTGTATCTGAGGAAATAAACAGAAACTAGCATAATCTTTATCAAAGTGACTAATTTTCCAAAGTATATCCTGGTCCCTCAATACTTCCTGGTTTAAAGTTAGCTCCCTCTGAAGAGACTGGAATTATTCTGGAAATACTAGTATGATAAATCAGGGAATCCCTGAACCACTAAACACATTTATCAGATGGGGTGTACTTTGAAAAATTGGTATGATGCTTCCATGGTTTTGGATCTTAATGGAACAGCCTGAGAAGGGGTCCACTATAGTCCTAAATTAACAACTAAGTTAGATCCAGAATGTTTCTAGCATTGTCCCCCAAAAAAGCACAGTGTTGAAACTTCCCCAATGGAATCAACAGAAGTGCTCTAGGGAACATCTAAACCAACCAGGCTTCCACGATTCATCTAGTTTTAGACAGCTTTTGGGAAACATAATGCTCCCAGAAACTTTAAGCCAGCTCAACCTTTAGGTTGCACATGTGAAGACCTAAAGGTTTAACACATACCCAAATATTTGTCACACATAGAAGCTTTAACAATAATTTTTCAAAATTTACAGAAACATGAAAAAACAGATACCCATTCAATGAGTATATGAATTAGGAAAACCATATACCTGATCCAAACAAATACACTTATAAAAATGAGAGCAGTGGTTTTAATACTGTGCTAAGAGAGCAGTTATAAGCCATGTCCAAACTGGGCAAACCAGGGTGTACAATCTTTCAAACATAATTCAACATGGCTAGACTGTTTCGTATGGAGGAAGAAGGCATGGAGTTGAGAGTAAAAGTCAGTCAGTGGCAAATTATTCTGGAGGATTTTGAATTTCAGCCAAAGATACTTTGGTTTTCTTTATAGATATGAGAAAATAATTCTATAAATCTATCAATTTGAGAGATTAGGTGCCATATCAATGTGTTTTTCTGTATAAATCTAAAAATCAAGGGCAAATATATTCTTTATCATTCATTTTACAAAGTGTCTTGCTCCTATCAGACTAAGTCGTCTAAGTGTTATATGTTCCAAACATTTATTTACCACTTGCTCTACACAAAGTATGATATTTGGATGGGGAGATACAAAAATGATGTAGGCCCTGACCTCTAAGGAAAACATAATGATTTACATACACTAGCTAGATTTACCATGGAGCAGAATAAAGTTAGATGGGATAGTACAAGCAGAGTCTCTGTTTCCTATTCCCTTTGTTTTCTGCTTAATATGCAATACAGTCCTCTGATCAAGGGCTCAATAAATTGTTTAGTTTATAAATTATGGAAATATTCATTTTCAAAAACACAGGTATTCCCAGTAAGATGGATATTAGAATGAAATGCCTTTATTGGACCAATTATTCGCAACCCAGGGCACTTAGTAAAAGATAGCATGCAGAGAGTTGATTGAGAAATTGTATTAGCACAATCAATTTTGTCAAAATGCATTTTCTTTTTGGTTTTTATTATCCTGCAAAACCTAGCCTGCAGGATCAACTCTTTCCACACACACAGGATTAATCCATTTTCAAATGCATAGCAATTTAATGTGGGGGAGTTCCTTATGCAAGCAATTCTCTGAGAAATTTAACAGGCTACAAAGAAAGTGGAGTTGATTATTATTAAGCAGTGTAAACAAGCCATGAGATTGTTGTACATTTAGGACAACAAGATAAATACACATCTCATCTCAAATTATACCTATCACAGTCTAATGAAACAGTGCACATGGATTTTCTTTTTCTCTAGACTATGATACTTAGCTTCTGTAATTCTTTGTAAATACTGCTCTAACCCCTTGATTTAAAATCTGAGCGTTCGAATCTTATAGTTTAGTCATGTTGCTAGTTACTGAGAAATAAAATAATAAAAATGAGGGAAAAGATATTGTTATACATTAAACATAATGGTATATTCCAAATACAACCCAGTTATTTTCATAAATTTGAGTAAATAAAAGCTTGAGAGAGTATATGGCTATATTCTAGATATATTTCAAAGTAGACCTTAGTCTTGTCCTTCCAAAATATAGATATTAATCAAATGTTTTCTGATGCTTATAAAACATTGAATTTGGCATCATCTTCAATTCAACTTATCATAAATAGGAACTGAATAAACCAGAAATTTAAAGCTCTTAATTGGACACTGGACATCCTTTAAGCTTCACAAATCTATTCATGATGGATTTCATACAGTAAGGGATAATATGGCAGCCTAAAAAGCTTAATGCAGTGATAAAGTTTATACTACTAAAGGCCATTTTAGGACTTAGAAGAATTTGGTTATTTTTTTTTTAACATAGTGATACATGAGGTTTTGAAAAGACAAGCAAATTCTTTAAAGATTAATACATTTAACATACTATTATTATAATATATAGACTTTCTTTTCCATGAATTCCATAGGAAGTAATACAAACTAAGAAACTGAGGCTAGAGAGACATTCACCAGCAAGTTAATGAGTGACAAAAATCGAGGCAAATTCATGGGTCTCTTGAATCTTGATTTAAGATTCCTTCAATTAGGGGTGTGTGTGTGTAAGAGAGACAGAGAGAGAAAGAAAGATGGGGAGAAAGAGCAAGAGAGAGAGAAAGACAGACTTCAAATTAAACATCAAATGCTACCTTATCATTTATGAATTATAACTTTATTTTCATTCTTATAGCTAATCAGCTGCACTTTGTTTGTTTTTAGTTGTCAAGAAAAAGCACCTGAAACTATTATAAGAGCATTACTCTTCAAAATGAAATCCAATAATAGTTTCCATTTGACTTAACTCTAGTGGCTATAATCAAGGCATTATTTACCATTTAAGATAATATTCAATGTAGAGAACATATATATAAATTAAAATATCATTACATATTTATCAATTATCCCTTGTATTGATGCACATACAAACAGATGTACCATTGTTCTCCATTCTAATATAGGAAAAGTGAGTCTCAAAAAAAATACCTTTGAAAAGTTTAAGCAAATAGTTGATGAAGTATTTATTGTTACTTCTTTTTATCAAGTTGAGGGAAATGAGTTAGTAGTTTTACATGGTAAATGCCAAAACTTCTAGAAACCCTTCTCACACACTAGCAACAAGAGGCAACTCAAAATAAACTGTCTAAACAGTATATTACTTAATTAGGTAGCAGATTGATCAATGTTCTCAGTGGAATTCTTTCCCATAACTTATCAGACAAGTGGGAGTTACCCAATAGGTATGATTTTAGTACATTCTGCATCAGCTGAATCTACCTTAATGAACTTGGTCTGAATTCCCTATCTCCTTCAAGGGGGGGCAAATTCCTGCCACAGATGACTTTTTACCATTCCCAGTGAAGAAAAGGGCCAATTGCATATAACGTTTATAAAACTGTATAAACATAGCTTATTAATCCTTTGGGTTGAAAGGTAGTATATAAATGTAAGATATTAAACTGCTTAACCAAAAGCACCTTTTTTATATCATCCGTCAAGCTGAATAAACAAAAATGAAAAAGGACATAATATATAACTGCTGGCATATCCATCAAAAATAGCCACAGCTATTCCATTTTTGGTCAATTATTTTTGTACAGCCTTAAGTTCCAAAGATTTCAAAATCCTTGTTGAAATGTAACTCCACACTTTCACCTACCTCCTCCATCACTGCTTAAATAACTTTCTAAGTGCTAGCATAAACAAAACTGCGTATCCTTGCTTTATAAGGTTTTATAGTATAAATATCCTCTCTGGATATCAAGCCATTAAAGGTAATAGTTAAATTTTAAAAGAACTCAAAGTCAGGGGGATATTACTCAAATGAAATTAATTTCCATTTTCCTCAGGACTAGTTGGAGCATGGTCATGTTCTTCATTTTTCCTGTAGATTCTATGGTCCAACTGAAGTGGATTTGGAGACAACCTGAGTCCATCAGTGAGGGCTCCTATCCCTTTTTAGAACAAGTAACTTACTTGTTTCTTACTTGATTTCTGATTTCAATTCAAACATCCCCTGGCACTCCCTAAGTATGGGATAAGGCATATTTTAGTGTGGGAAATAGGGGGCCTATTCCAATATATTGTTGAGGGGGGCTGGAGTGGGGTTAGTATGAATTAAAGTTATTGGCAATATATGACTAAGAACAAATGGGTTCATGTCATCATCAAGGTCATCATTATCAGAGCCTAAACTTATTCACTATTCAATATGTGCTATTCACTGTGCTAAGCACTTTGCATCCACTCTTTAATTATCCTAATAACCTTATAAGGGCGATATTAATATTTATTTATTTATTTATTTGAGACGGAGTTTCACTCTTGTTGCCCAGGCTAGAGTGCAGTGGCACGACCTTGGCTCACTGCAACCTCCACCTTCCAGTTTCAAACAATTCTCCTACCTCAGCCTCCCACATAGCTGGGATTAAAGGTGCCCACCACTACACTCCACTAATTTTTTTATTTGTAGTAGAGACAGGGTTTCACCATGTTGGTCAGGCTGGTCTCGAACTGCTGACCTTGTGATCCACCCACCTCAGCCTCCCAAAGTGCTGGGATTACAGGTGTGAGCCACCACACCCAGCCAGGAGATATTAATACTATAGATTCCAGTTCAGAGACTAAGTAACTGAGATTACACTCTTAAAACAAAGATGAAAGTTTTATAAGGGCATGGAGCTAATCTAGGGTTGACTTCTAGAACACATTGCTCTGGAAGATCTATCAATGTTCATACTCAGGCCAAAGGCAATGGTAAGACATCTATAAGCAGCTTTTGGGCTGAATTTTTAAGGTCAATGGTGAAGTTAGTATTTCTATATGATGTGGTATAAGGTAAGGAATCTCTTTGGGATGGGGAGGGGCTTCAGCTAAAAGATTTGTCTTTCACTGTGCAAAGTATATAACATAAGAAAGAGAAAATGTCATTTGCCCACCTGTAAGAAGTATGGGTGTGGAGTGAGGAGAAAAAATATTGACAGATATTGTAGAGAAGGAGGAAGAATTTCAGTGGCCAGCCATTGGTAGCCAAATGTCTAAGGCACTACCACAATTGTAGGCAAAAGTTCTGAGCTTTCAATCATAGCTTGACCTGTGAATGCACTAGGTTGATCTTACAGTAGAATCACCCCTCAGGTATCCCAGGAAGACCCTTATACTAATATTAGCACTAATATTTGTGCTGTTCTCTAATTTTCTTAGGTTCCTTCCATTATTCCACTCTTTATGTCCTGTGGAAATTTGGAAATCAAATCCAAAAATCCTACTTTCATATCAAAGCAAACCAAGATTCAGAATGAGTCCCAGCTTGACACTTGACAACTGTGTTGAATTTAAGGAGAACTCTTTTATATATGGTTTAAAAACATGGTCTTGGCTGGGCGCGGTGGCTCACGCCTGTAATCCCAGCACTTTGGGAGGCCGAGGCGGGTGGATCATGAGGTCAGGAGATCGAGACCATCCTGGCTAACAAGGTGAAACCCCGTCTCTACTAAAAATACAAAAAATTAGCTGGGCGCGGTGGCGGGCGCCTGTAGTCCCAGCTACTCGGGAGGCTGAGGCAGGAGAATGGCGTGAACCCGGGAAGCGGAGCTTGCAGTGAGCCGAGATTGCGCCACTGCAGTCCGCAGTCCGGCCTGGGTGACAGAGCGAGACTCCGTCTCAAAAAAAAAAAAAAAAAAAAAAAAAAAAAAAAAACATGGTCTTGGAGGCTGAACTGATTTTAGTCATTTTTTCAGAGGTAGAATAACGTACATGGTGTGGAAGAGCAGAGGGAAGTTGCTTCAAAGTTCCATTCATGAAACTTTTAGTTGATGTCATACAAAAGTATTGTGTTATATTCTCAAACCATCAAATTAATAATAGCACACAAGCAACTGTTATATAATTTAGAATAAGAAAAATTTCCATAAGAGGGTAACAAAGAGCTATGTGAGATTCTATGGGGAAGAATTAAAATGAAAAACAGAAATTCTCCTTGAAAGATATGGCAGCACAGAAGAACACCAAAATCTTATGCCACTTTGTTAGGCCATTATTGGAGGAGGTTTGAAGATAGATTAAACAAAAAAATCATACAATGTTGGGCTAGAATTTACACATATCTAGGATACCAGACGTTAGAAACACCACCATGGGAAAAAATAGGGTATTGGATTAGAAAAGTTCTAGACCATGGAATATCTGTGGAGGAAACCTGACTTGTCAGACGAACACAAAAGTAGTATAAGATAGCCCTTGATTTGAAGCTAATAGGGGCACGGAGCATAGAGTTCCTCATACACTGATCTGTAAGCCTCCTCTGTGTAAGGAAGGACTAGTTGCCTGCTATTCTTACTAAAGCTCTTTAAGGTTATGGGCATATTTTCATCATTATAGTCTTAGCACAAAAATAGAGCTGGGTATAGAACTATCATTCAACAAATATTGGATGAATGGATGAGTAAAAGAAGTGTTATGCACATGAATGGTGAAAAGGCTACAGGAATTAGGAATCACTGGGAACTAAGGTGAAATTGGGAATCATGGATTCATATTTATTTACTATGAGTTTAAGACTTGCTCTTCTCTAGCCCTAGACTTGGTGCTATTGAACCTCTAAAGTCTACACCTATCTTGTGTATGGATGGGTGTATGTTGGAGCAAATTGCAGTGTCTCTAGGACTGGGAATAGCAAAAGAGAATGAATTGGGCATGTAGCTTTGGGCATGATACATGAAAATATCTCACATCCTTCAGATCATGGCCTTAACTCTCCAGTATCTTTCCTGATCATTTCACTGGATAGCTGCAGAGACAACTTACAGGTTAAGGGAGGCTGCTGGAGAGTGCAATTCAAGCACAGATATGAAGAGTTTGCCCAAAATGCATTGTAGATTTAAAAGAATAAGTGAAGGGACAAGGTGTTAATAACAGTAAGAGAGAACAGAACTTAATGGCTTTATGTTCTTTATCTTCATGGTCAGGAAGAGTAAATATTTGTCAGAAAATGTATGCATGAAATAACTAAGGTAGAGGACAACTGTTTGTCTAAGGTGGTAGCATTGCACATTATATATACTAATACTGTTCTTATCTTAAAAAGCTCTTAAATCAATGTTTATGGTAGATGTTTGTTTTCATCATTTCCAGGTATTAATAAACAGGGATCACTTGGATTACATACTCATGAAAATTTACAGTTAGTCATGTTTATTTATGGACACTTAGTATTTTTGAGGCCTCTGACAAAGCCATCTCTCTCACATACTTTTTAAAGTTAGGCCAGATTTAATTTAAGCTCTACTGCTTTGTACCTCAGGCATTTATTATCTTTTTGTCATGTAAAATGTTAACTTGGAAAAGTAGTTAGGCTATTTTTTTTCCTGTATTCCAATGGTCTATTATTACAAATATTTATACACAAAAATATATTAATTATTTTTAAAAGATGAATGGAAGTATAATTTGAAAAGTAAGAAAAGAAGAGCATGATTTGGATGACATGATTAACAGTACCACAGCAACAAATATATTTCTAGAACACTGTATATAATGTAGCCTTTCTGACCCAGCCATCAGCAGGGAATTCTA
This sequence comes from Homo sapiens, assembly GCF_000001405.40. Lineage (NCBI taxonomy): Eukaryota > Metazoa > Chordata > Mammalia > Primates > Hominidae > Homo > Homo sapiens. Next base: position 136,587,241 of record NC_000007.14, on the reverse strand, counting down.
TTTTGAGTTGGTTTCCTAAGAGGAAAACGAGTCATTCTGAAACATTTACCTTTATTCGCCCTACCCTTTATATCCAATGGCATTATTTAGAAATAGGTAGTCGGTAGTCACCGTTGGAAATTAAGGGGGTTTGTGGTTATTGAAAAGTTCCTACTATAAATCTACTATGACTACCACCTGACAAGATATAAAATGGCTAAATTTTGAGCTGAGATTGTTTTTAGATTTACTCATTAACATTTATTGCTTTCTCTATGACAGATACTTCTCAAATTAGGTTTCTGAGACACACACACACATACCCCACACATACACACATCCATAGACACACACGATAGGCAAAGACACAGAGCAGGTGTATCTCCTCCACAGGAATTTTTGTATGACGCCAGAAAAATAAATCCCATGTTCCGACTACAAAAGCACATATTTTTATTATAATAGATGTGAACTTAAAATGAATCCATGTGAAAACAGAGAGACAATATTCTTAGAGGCAAAGATTAAAGAAACTGGACATATTGAATTCAGATTTCTAATTAATAACAACATACCTAGGGTGCAAATATTGGCCCATTTTCTGAAATGCAAGTCTATTTTCAGCTTTTTTCTGTACTACTGTCTTTCATATCATTTGTTCACAAATCTCCACATTGACTGTCTGCCTCTTCTGGAATCATAAACCATGATAACATTTTTAGGATGTCATAACATTCATATTGCCAACCGCATGGCATATATTTACTTCAGTCTGAGAATCTAAAGCATTTGGCACTATTGACCACTTCCTCTTGCACAATTTTCTCCTTTCTATAATACTCCTCTCTCCTGAAGCTCCTTTCTCTTTTCCCATTACATGTCTTATTTATGGACCACTTTTATTCTGGCTTGCTTCTAGATACTGGTACATTACTCAACTCTGTTCTCAGTAGTATTTTTTGTTGTTTTAGGTGAAATAATCAAATTATGAGGCTTAAGTTATCCCTCTATGTTATGCCTCTCCAACTTGAATCCCCAACTGGACCTTCCCCCAGAGCTTACATTTATATATTTGATCCTATTAATCAATTCAATGGAGAGATTGCACAATCTCACTTTGTTCAAACCAAAGTTATCATGTACCTCTTCGAACCTGTCTACATCTTTTATTTTCTATTTTAGGTGATGACTCCTAGGGTTGTTCCCTCACCCTTATCTAATATTCAACAATAATCTGCATATCTTACCTTCTACTTCACATGTATTCCCTCAGGAAAAGTCTCAGTTCATGTTTTTATTGTATCTTATCTAGATCATAAAATTAACTCTTAACTGTCTCCCCTAAATATATTGTCTCTGACACAATATTTCCAAAATATTCCTTTATATTAATAGGAATTAAAGAATTCTTATTAATAAAGTAATATCTCTGCTTAATACCTTCAAGAGGCTATCCCCAACATTTATAATGAAGTTCAATAATTTTTACATAGGACATAAGCTCCTGCATAATTTCCTGTTTCCTACTTGTCTCTCACTATTTCTCTACCTATACTCTTTCTCCTTCCTCCTTTTTTATTTACTAACTTCCCACATTCTGAATCATTATCTTCCCTTTTTTTTAACCTAACAAAGATCTACTCATGTTACCAAAAGTCAGTTGAAATATTATCTTTTCTAGGTAGTCTTCCCTAACACTATAACTCATTTCAATAAGGCAACACTAGGCTCCTTGTTAACCTCATTGGTACCTTTATAATAGCACTACCTGGTAACCAGTGATTTTCTTCACCATTTCATTAAGTAAACTATGAAACCTTAGATTCATCCTTTGAGCATAAGGATGAGTCTGTATCTCCTTTCTTTCATAACCTACACACATTTTATCAGAAAATCCTCTTGATTCTACCTTCAAAATACATGTGGAATCTTGCCATTTCACACTACTGTTTCTACCTCCCTAGTACAACATACCAACATGAGCCAGAATTTCTACGACAACTTTTTAACTGGCCTCCCGTGACTTCCCTTGACTCCAAACAGTTCATTATAAACACAGCAGCCAGAGTGATCATTTTTAAACGTAAGTCAGTTCATGCCATTTCTCTGCTCAAAACTCCAGCATGGTTCCTCATTTCACATGCAGAAAAAGCCAAACTCTGCAAGGGCCTACATAATCAGGTTCTCTAAACCCTCTCTGACTTCAACTCCTCCCCACTCCACCTGCCATCACACTTGGCTTCTCTACCACTGGATCATATCACCTCAGGGCTTTAGTGTTGGCTATTCTTGCCTCATAGAGCCACGTGGGTAACCCTCTTACCTATATGAAATTTGTGTCCAAGTGTTACTTTCTCACTGAGACTTAACTATAGCACCATACTTAAAATTGCAGCCTGCAATTCCTATTAGCCTCTTCTTGCCACTTTACTCATTTATCCCATAGTATTTATTCCCTTCTAATGTATTACTAATTGTGTTATTTATTTATTTTCTGCTTCACTCTTCTTGAATATGGTTCACAGGGGCAGTGTTTTCTGTTTTGTTCACTTATGTATTCCCATCGAGAACCCCAGGTTTGGCTGACTGTGAAGGTCTTTTCCTGACAAAGTGAACCTGTAAAGACTGGAAAAGGTGACTGATTTTTAAATGTGCAGAAACAATGCAAGAATATAAAGATCACAGAGAATTAAAGCAACACGACACCTTCAAAGAAACTAACAAAGCTCCAATAACTGATGATATGGTTTGGCTGTGTCCCTACCCAAATTTCATCTTAAATAAGGAAGAAAAAATAAAGGACTTCAGAGCAGTCAGAGAACAATTAACAAAATAGCAAGTTCTTACCTATCAATAATTAGTTTAGATGTAAATGTACTCTTTTTAAATCAAAAGACATAGAGTGGCTGTATAGATTTAGAAAAAATTTAAAAACAAGGTACAATGGGCCAGGTGCGGTGGCTCACGCCTGTAATCCCAGCACTTTGGGAGGCCAAGGTGGGTGGATCACGAGGTCAGGAGTGCCAAGGTGGGTGGATCACGAGGTCAGGAGTACGAGACCAGCCTGACCAACATGGTTAAACCCTGTCTCTACTAAAAATACAAAAATTAGCCAGGTGTGGTGGCGTGTGCCTATAATTCCAGCTACTCAGGAGGCTGAGGCAGGAGAATCGCTTGAACCCAGGAGGCGGAGGTTGCAGTGAGCCAAGATCAGCCTGGGCGACAGAGCGAGACTCCATCTCAAACAAACAAACAAACAAACAAAAACAAAACAAAACAAAACAAAAAAACAAGGTATAGTGATATGCTACCTACAAGCTATCACTTTAGCTTTAAGGACAAACATAGTCTGAAAGTGAAAAGATGGAAAAAAAATATTTCATGCATATGGTAAACAAAAGAGAGCAGAGGTAGCCATACTTACATCAGATAAGATAGACTTTAAGTCACGAATGTATTCCAAATGCCTAAAGCAATGCCTGTCAAATAGCGGTATTTAAGTAAATATTTACTAAATCAAGGAGTAAACAAATCAATAAATGAAAATAGAATTCATAAATTATTTCTCTATTTCTAATCCTAGTATAGTGCATGACACACACATACAGTGGTGGCTGAACAATTGTTATTACTAGATTAAACATGTAAATGAATTAATGAATCCAAGAATGAACATAAAAATAAAGGCAGTAGTGATTAAAGGAAAGGTTGGAAGACATAGTGGGGTACACAAAAATAAAGATATAGCCTCTGATTTAAAGATGCTTCCCATCTGGAAAGTATAGGCAACATATGCAATTGTAAAACACATCTAAAATTCAGAAACAATTTCTAGTCTTGACTCTCCTATTCTGCTTTGGACACTACACTATTGCTGGTTAGCTAAACTGCCAAACTTTCATCAGCATTTCTCACAATTTCCACTAGGACCCTAACTATTTTTATATCTTAAATTCTCTCTTATTCCACAGACTAGCTAATGTTCTCTTCATAGAGAGTCCTAACATCATTTTTTGTTATTGCATATGAGAAGATGGAAGCAACACAAAAAGATGTTGCTATAGTTTTAGATGAGATGGTTATTTTTTCTTCAAAAGAAAGCCATTTGAGTATTTTGCTTTTAATCAATATTTGCTCACAGTTTATTGTGTTTGGATTAATGGAGACGATTTTGTCTGTTTCTGAATTCTATTTTCCATCATGTAGATTTTTGTGTGAAATAAATGAAAAAGTTAACCTACACAAGACATTCATTTCTTCTGTAATTTAAATTTTTATTTAATTTGTATAAGATGCTTAAGAAAGAATAATTAGAATAACAGTGAGATACAAGAATATGGAGAAGCCAGCAAGGAGAAAATAAAGGAGAACCCAGATAAACAAAGGACCTTTATACAAATAGAATGCAGAAGGTTCTGAAATGTTGTATAAGACTTGTGAGTCCTTTTGAATCTTAAAAGAAAGGTTTTTTGCATCTTAGTATGAGCAGTCACTCTGCCACTCTAAGTATGAAAAGAGAAATGGTCAATAGGGTTTCTAATACAAATACTTAAACACTCTTGCCAAAGGCAGTAGAGGTTTTATATTAGTTCATTCTCACACTGCTATCAAGCTACTACCTGAGACTGGGTAAGTTATATATAATTATATATACATATATACATATACACACACACACATACACACACATACATATATATACATATATACATATTGTATGTATATATGTATATAAATACATATACATATTGTATGTATATATGTATATAAATACATATACATATTGTATGTATATATGTATATAAATACATATACATATTGTATGTATATATGTATATAAATACATATACATATTGTATGTATATATGTATATAAATACATATACATATTGTATGTATATATGTATATAAATACATATACATATTGTATGTATATATGTATATAAATACATATACATATTGTATGTATATATGTATATAAATACATATACATATTGTATGTATATATGTATATAAATACATATACATATTGTATGTATATATGTATATAAATACATATACATATTGTATGTATATATGTATATAAATACATATACATATTGTATGTATATATGTATATAAATACATATACATATATGTGTATATAAATGTATATAAAAATATATATGTATATATAAATGTATATATGTATATATAAATATATATACACATATATGTATATAAATATATATATTTACATATATTTATATATAAAGGTTTATATATTTATATATATAAAGGTTTAATTGACTCACAGTTCTTCATGGCTGGGAAGGCCTCAGGAAACTTACAATTATGGCAGAAGATGAAAGGGAAGCAAGACACATCTTACATGGCAGCAGGAGAAAGAAAAGAGAGAGCGAGGAAGTACCACACTTTAAAACCAGCAGCTGTCATGAAAACTCACTCACTATCACAAGAACAGCATGGAGGAAACCACCCCCGTGATCCAATTACCTCCCACCAGGTCCCTCACTCAACACACGGGAATTACAATTTGAGATGAGATTTGGGTGGGGACACAGAGACAAACTATATCAGGTGTTATTTATTATGCTGTGACAATAAATGCTTTAGTTTGGTGCCAGTCAGTATACTATCTAGAGTACCAATTCCCTAGATAACCAAATTCAAGCTAACATTAAATTAGCCCAGTATTAATCATCAGAAAAAGTGCAGTGCTAAATACTGAAAAGAGCACTTAAATGAAGGGGGTGGCTTAAAAAGATTGTAGCTGTAAGGCACATAAATAAAAGCAAAAATAATTGCATTCTATTTTAAGCAAAGTTCATGGAAACTCCTATTTTCTTGAGTTATGGCAAAAATCAATTAGTCTACAATTGGAAATTTTTTCTGTCAGACAGTGCCAAGCCCAGGAGAAATCATTAAGTTTGACATCACTAATAAAACAGACAGTTTTTCATTTAATATGTAGTTCTCCCTAAGAATATCACCTCAGAAAATTATCCATCAATAGAAAAGCCTGCACTTCTATGTATACACTTTTATCTGCTATCTGAGAAGAAAAAAATCCACATGAGACAATTAGAAAGATAGACAATGGGTGTGTGCATTACCGAAGATGCAGTTAATATTAAAAGAAAAAAAGTGATTTGAGAACTATATGGCCCAGGTTTTAATTCTACTTCAGCACTCACTGTGAGATCTCAGACAGATTACTCAATCTCTTTAAATCTTAGTTATAACAATTTTTTAAAACTTTAGATATGATGTCACAAAGATGGTATGGTAAGATATACCAGCCTACATTCTCCCACCAAAAGACAAACATAGACAGCTAGCCATAAACATAAGTAGTTAAAAAAGGGTTCAAGGGCTCATTAAAGAAGCTGCAGCAACACTGTGGACCACCCTCCCCCTCCCCCAAGCCTCAAAAAAAATAACCTGGAGAATATCCATTTATAAAGGATCACTAGTGAGACCAGTACTAGGTATGCTAGTGAGACCAGCATACCTAGGACACCAGGAGGCAGCTAGAAACAAAGAAGAAGGGGGAAGGCTACAGGTATTACCCACAAATCTGGAACCACTGTGGTTCCCAGTGGCCTCCTCTGCAGAGGACAGTGGCATTTTTTTCTACTGAGGTAATGAACAGCCCATCATGCTGAGGAAATCCACAGAAGGAGACATTGGCACACCCCTCCTTCTGCCAATAAATGGCAGTGGAGGCACCTGCACCCCAAGCTTCAGCTCAGCCACTAAAGAGAGTGACCCCACCCTGACTCCCGAGCTGCTATAACTCTGTACAAGCCTGTGTTTCTATTTTCAGCTCCCCAGCTGCTTCACAAGCATCTGCTTACATATTGGTACCAAAACAGAAGTAGAGGTACCTGTGTCCTGGGCACCAGTGCTCTTATCATCACAAATCCCAAAACTATAGTCCTTTACATATGCTAATGTGTCAGGTCTCAGGTAAGTGGCCACTGCCTGGGTGCCACTCAACAGACAGCAATACCACCATCACCATGAACTGGCCTGCAAGCCAGACCCAGGCCAAGAGTGATCCCCTTAGCTAAAACATCTCCAGTGGGAGAAAAAGAGATTGAGAGGATCTTAGCAGCCATCAGCTCTGAAGACCTCAATAACCATTGCCGTCACTGAGGATACCTGCAATCTTTGTCAACACCAATCTCGGCTGACAAAGCTGTACAGAGACTACAGAGCTGAACTCCCTCGTATCAGAGCCACTGCACTTCATCCAGAAGCACCCTCACAAACCCTGTAGGGGAAGATCTTCCAGAAAAACTAGCTGTACAATCTGGAAGAGGAGATAGCTCCATCAATGTATAGACATCAATATAAAGCAATAAGAAACATGAAAAACAGAGGAGATATAACACCACCAAAAGAACACAATAATTTCACAGTAACTTATCCAAAAGAAATGGAGATTAAAAAAAAACTGCTAGACAAAGAATTCGAAATGTTCTAAGGAAACTTAGTAAACTTTATTTAAGAAAATACAGAGCAACAGTTTAACAAAATCAGAAAACAATAAACAACCAAAACAAGCAATGTAACAGAGAGATAGAAATAATTTTTAAATATAAATTTTATGGCCAAAAATATACAATGAATAAAATTTAAAATGCAATAGAGTATTGACAGCAGCATTGATCAGGCAAAAGAAAAAATCTGTTAACTTGAAGACAGGTTACTGGAACATGTACAATCAAAAGAAAAAAAAGAATGAAAAGTGTGATGGTTAATACTGAGTGTCAACTTGATTGGATTGAAAGATACAAAGTATTCGTCCTGGGTGTGTGTGTGAGAGAGAGTATTGCCAAAAGAGATTAAAATCTGAGTCCAGTGGGCTGGGAAAGGCAGACCCACTCTTAATCTGAGTGGGCACAATCTAATCAGCTGCCAGCGTGGCTAGAATATAAGCAAGCAAAGAAAAACATGTGAAAAGAGAGAGTGGCCTAGCCTCCCAGCCTACATCTTTCTCCTGTGCTGGATGCTCCCTGCCCTTGAACATCAGACTCCAAGTTCTTCAGTTTTGGACCTTGAATTTGCTCTCCTTGCTCCTCAACCTGCAGATGGCCTATTGTGGGACCTTGTGATCATATGAGTTAATACTTAATAAACTCATGTATACACACACACACACACACACACACACACACACACACACATATATATATATATATATTGTCATTAGTTCTGTCGCTCTAGAGAACCCTGACTAATACAGATTTTGGTACCAGGAGTGGTTCTAGAGGAGCAGAATATTAAGGAAGGAGTTCTTTCATTGGTTTTGGGGATTCTGGAGTTGGATGCTTAATATGATTAGACCATAAAATGCTAAGGACTCTACTTCTAATAGTATGGAGAACACTGATAGTCATTGGAGTGAACTCTTTAGAGAGTTATGCAAAACAAATGCCTTTCACACTCCTGATTCATTGCTCATAAGAGGCAAGGAGTTTAGTGACTCTATACATAGAACCTTTGACTGTATGTGGAGAACCAAGAACAAAATGAAGTTGGTTGGTTGCTCCTAAATTCAGTGAACAAAGTGATGAAAGAAAATGATGCACTCAGGGATTCTATCTCCCAGCTCTAGAAGCCAATACTGAGCCTCAAATTTTCTAAGATTGCCATGAGTGAGTCTTATCTCCTGTAGAGAAAGAGCTGAAATTGTAGAAAAACAGAAACAAGGTCTTATGTGACTGGCTGACCTGCAACCAAAGGTGCATGCACAGCCTCGTCAGGTATCTACTGTTAAAGTGAGTGCATTGATTGGAAAATAATGGGAACCCGCAACTTGGAATGGGGACATGTGGGAGGACCCTAATGAATCTGGGGATGCTGAGTTTGTAAACTCTGATGAAACTTTGTCAGAAGAGATGGCTTCCCCATCCCCAGTAGCAACAACATCCCCTCCTCAACCTATGCTGCCCTCAGCCTTTCCACCTTTGAGGAGATAAACCCTACACTGCCTAACAGTGATGGCCTCCCCTGAGGCAGTTGCTAGGAAAGATAACATTGATTCTTCTCAGGAGCCACCCCCATGTATGACCCATGAGGAGATGCACTATTCTTGAAAAGAACTGCTTGAGTTTTCTAATTTATATAAACAGAAATCTGGAGAACAGGCATGGGAATGGATGTTAAGGGTGTGGGATAATGGTGGAAGGAACACAGAGTTGCATCAGGATGAATTTATTGATTTGGGCCCACTAAGCAGGGACTCTACATTTAATGTTGCAGCTCGGGAGTTATACAAGGCTCTAATAGTTTATTTTCTTGGTTAGTTGAAATATGGATTAAAAGATGGCCCACCGTGAATGAGCTGGGAATGCCTGATCTCCCTTGGTTTAATGTAGAGAAAGGGATCCAAAAGCTTAGGGAGATTGGAATGGAGGAGTGGATTAGTCACTTTAGACTTATTCCTCCAAGCTGGGAGGGTCCAGAAGATATGCCCTTGATCAATGCCTCGCAAAATAGATTTGTGAAGTCAGCACCTGCATCTTTGAAAAGCCCTACAATTGCTCTTCTCTGTATGTCAGATATAATGGTGGGAACCACAGCCACTCCACTACAAAATTTAAATACAATGGGAATAATTGGATCTTAAGGTAGCAGGGGCCAGGTGGCAGCAGTCAACTGTCAAAGGCAAGGTGGGCATAGGTACTGTACTGGACGGCAGAGACAAAGCAGCAATCAAAATAGTCTGACTCATGTAGAGCTCTGGCATTGGCTAATTAATCACGGTGTTCCTAGAAGTGAAATTGATAGGAAGCCATCTGCATTCCTACTTAATTTATACAAGCAGAAAACTTCTAGGTCAAATGAACAAAAGACTAATTTGAATTATAAAAACAGAGAATCATGGCCCCTCAATTTCCAGACTTGAGCCAGTTTACAGACCCAGAATCCCTTGAGTGAAGGGGAGGCCAGGTCCCCTTGAAGAAAGACCCCACTACATTACTGACAATTTATGCAGTGAATCTTTCTCCCATCCTTCCTCAAGGTGACCTCTAGCCTTTTACTAGGGTAACTGTGCACAGGGGAAAGGGAAACGATCAGACATTCCTGGGACTACTGGACACTGGATCTGAGCTGACATTGATTCCAGGGGACCCAAAACATCATTGTGGTCCTCCAGTTAAAGCAGGAGCTTATGAAGGTCAGGTAATTAATGGAGTTTTAGCTCAGGTCTGACTTACAGTGGGTCCAGAGGGTTCCCAAACTCATCCTGTGGTCATTTTCCAAGCGCCAGAATGCATAATTGGCATAATTAGCAGCTGGCAGAACCCCAACATTGGTGCCCTGACTGGTAGGGTGAGGGTTATTATGGTGGGAAAGGCCAAATGGAAGCCATTAGAGCTGCCTTTACCTAGAAAAATAGTAAATCAAAAACAACACCACATTCCTGAAGGGATTGCAGAGATTGCTGCCACCATCAAGGACTTGAAAGATGCAGGGGTGGTGATTCCCACCACATCCCCATTCAACTCTCCCATTTGTCCTGTGCAGAAGACAGATGGATCTTGGAGAATGACAGTGGATTATTGTAAACTTAACCAAGTGGTGACTCCAATTGCAGCTGCTGTACCAGATGTGGTTTCATTTCTTGAGGAAATTAACACATCTCTTGGTACCTGGTATGCAGCCATTGACTTGGCAAATGCCTTTTTCTCCATTCCTGTCCATAAGGTCCATCAGAAGCCATTTGCCTTCAGCTGGCAAGGCCACAATATACCTTTACTGTACTACCTCAGGACTATATCAACTCTCTGGCTTTGTGACATAATCTTATTTGGAGGGACCTTGACTACTTTTTTGCTTCTGCAAGATATCACACTAGTCCATTACATTGATGACATTATGCTGATTGGATCCAATGAGTAAGAAGTAGCAAACACATTCGACTTATTGGTGAGACATCTGCATGCCAGATGATAGGAAATAAATCCAACTAAAATTCAGGGAACTTCTACCTCAGTAAAATTTCTAGGGGTCCAGTGGTGTGGAGCCTGTTGAGATAGTTCTTCTAAGGTGAAGGATAAGTTGCACCATTTGGCCCCTCCTACAACATCTTCTGCAGATAACTACTCTCCTTTTGAGAGACAGCTCTTGGCCTGTTACTGGGCTTTGGTAGAAACTGAACATTTGACTATGGGTCATCAAGTCACCATGAGACCTCAACTGCCTATCATGAACTGAGTGCTATCTGACTCATCTAGCCATAAAGTGGGTGGTGCACAGCAGCATTCCATCATCAAATGGAAGTTGTATATACATGATCAGGCTCAAACAGGTCCTGAAGGCACAAGTAAGTTTCACGAAGTGGCTCAAATACCCATTGGTCTCCACTCCTGCCACCCTGCCTTCTCTCCCCTAGCCTGCACCAATGGCCTCATGGGGAGTTCTCTATGATCAGTTGACAGAGGAAGAGAATACTAGGGCCTGGTTCACAGATGGTTCTGCATGATATGCAGGCACCACCTGAAAGTGGACAGCTGCAGCACTACAGCCCCTTTCTAGGACATACCTCAAAGACAGCAGTGAAGGAAATTCTTCCCAGTGAGCAGAACTTTGAGCAGTGCACCTGGTCGCGCACTTTGCGTGGAAGGAGAAATGGCAAGATGTGTGATTATATACTGTAGCCACTGGTTTCGCTGGATGGTCAGGGACTTGGAAGAAGCATGATAGCAAAATTGGTCACAAAGAAATTTAGGGAAGAGGTATGTGGATGGACCTCTCTGAGTGGTCAAAAACTGAAGATATTTGTATCGCATGTGAGTGCTCACCAATGAGTGACCTCAGCAGAGAAGGATTTTAATAATCAAGTGGATAGGATCACCTGTTCTCTGGACACCACTCAGCCTCTTTCCCCAGCCACCTCTGTCATTGCCCAATGGGCCCATGAACAAAGTGGCCCTGGTAGCAGGGATGGAGGTTACGCATGGGCTCAGCAACATGGACTTCCACTCACCAAGGCTGACCTGGCGACAACCACTGCCGAGTGCCCAGTTTGCCAGCAGCAGAGACCAACTCTGAGCCCTCGATATGGCACCATTCCTTGTGGGTGATCAGCCAGCTACGTGGTGGCAGATTGATTATATTGGACCTCTTCCATCATGGAAAGGGCAAAGACGCTTACACTTACTCTGGATATGGGTTTGCCTATCCTGGATGCAATGCTTCTGCCAAGACTACACCAATGGACTCATGGAATGTCTCATCCACTGTTATGGTATTCCACACAGCATTGCCTCTGACCAAGGCACTCACTTTACAGCTAAAGAAGTGTAGCAGTGGACCCATGCTTATGGAATTCACTGGTCTTGCCATGTTCCCCATCATCCTGAAGCAGCTGGATTGATAGAACGGTGAAATGGCCTTTTGAAGTCACAATTACAAGGCCAACTAGGTGACAATACTTTGCAGGGCTGGGGCAAAGTTCTCCAGAAGGCTGTGTATGCTCTGAATCAGCATCTAATATATGGTACTGTTTCTCCCATAGCTACGATTCATGGGTCCAGGAATCAAGGGGTGGAAGTGTAAGTGGCACCACTTACCCTCACCCGGAGTGATCCACTAGCAAAATTTTAGTTTCCTGTTCCTGCGACATTATGTTCCACTAGCCTAGAGGCCATAGTTCCAAAGGGAGAAATGCTGCCACCAGGAGACACAACAATGATTCCATTAAACTGGAAGTTAAGATTGCCACCTGGACACTTTGGGGTCCTCCTACCTTGAAGCCAACAGGGTAACAAGAAAGTTATAGGGTTGGCTGGGGTGGCTGACCTGGACTATCAAGATGAAATCAGTCTAGTACTCCACAACAGAGGTAAGTAAGAATATGAATGGAATACAGGAGATCCATTAGGGCATCTCTTACTATTACCATGTCCTGTGATTAAGGTCAATGAGAAACTACAACAGCCCAATTGAGGCAGGACTACAAATGACCCAGACCCTTCAGGAACAAAGGTTTGGGTCACTCCATCAGGAAAAAACCCACGACCTGCAGAGGTGCTTGCTGAAGGCAAAGGGAATACAGAATGGGTAGTAGAAGAAGGTAGTCATCAATACCAGCTACGAACACGAGACCACCTGTAGAAAAGAGGACTGTAATTGTTATGAGTATTTCCTCCTTCTTTTGTTAAACACGTTTGTGCATGTATACACTTGAACTAAGAAAATATTTTTATTATTTCCTTTCTTTTATCATGTGACATAAGATTTATTGACTTCACATCAGCATTTAAGTATTGCTAACTTTATGTAATAGTATGTGGGTTGGGGATTCATGCGTTTCCAGTTGTACAAAGGATAGTTGTATTACATTAGATGTAATTATGACCTCACTGTCTTTATTGAAAATTATGTATGATCTCAGGGAATGTATAATGGTTCAAGTTGACAAAGGGTGGACTTGTGATGGTTAATACTGAGTGTCAACTTGATTGGATTGAAGGATGCAAAGTATTGATCCTTGGTGTTTCTGGGAGGGTGTAGGCAAAAGAGATTAATATCTGAGTCTGGCTGGGAAATGCAGACCCACCCTTAATCTGGGTGGGCACAATCTAATCAGCTGCTAGCATGGCTAGAATACAAGCAGGCAAAAAAATGTGAAAAGAGAGACTGGCCTAGCATCCCAACCTACATCTTTCTCCCATGCTGGGTGCTTCCTGGCCTCAAACATTGGACTCCAAGTTCTTCAGTTTTGGAACTTGAACCGGCTCTCCTTGCTCCTCAGCCTGCAGATGGCCTACTGCGGGACCTTGTGATCATGTGAGTTAGTACTTGACAAACTCCCATTTACATATATATACACGCACATATATATATAGATATATATACACACACACACATATATACATATATACACACATATACATATATATATACACACATATATATATTCCATTAGTTCTGTCCTCTAGAGAACCGTAAAACATACAGAAAGCTACTAAGAATGCTAACAAAATTTATGGGACAACATCTAAAGAGCAAATATTTGAAATATAGGATATCAAGAACAATAAGAAAGAAAAAAGCCAGAAAGCTTATTTAAAGAAATAGCAAAAAAGAAATGTCCAAATCTGAGGAAACATATAAATATCGAGGCACAAGGAAATCAAAGGTCTCCAATTAGATGCAATCTAAAAAGAATGTATCAAGACATAAGTAAACTGTCAAAAAATTTTTTAAAAAGGAATCTGAAAACAGCAATACAAAATAAGCATATCACATATCAATAACTTCCAGGACGGGTAGCAGTGGACTTCCCAGCAGAAATCTTACAGGACTAGAGGACATAGAGCTAATGTACTGAAGGACAAAACTTCCCAACCAACCAAGAATAGTTTACCTAGTAAATCTGTAATTCAGAAGCAAAGGAGAGAAAATCTTCCCCAGACAAACCTAAGCTGAGAGAGTTCATCACCACAAGATCTGTCTTTCTAGAAATGCTAAAGGGAGCTCTTCAAGATGAAAGGAAAGGATGCTAATTCATAACTAGAAAACATGAACGTATAAAACTCACTGGCAAAAATAAACACACAGCCAAATTCAGAACACTCTAGTAATGTAACGGTGGGAAGTAACTTATATCTTTAATAAAAACATGAGAAGACTAAATTATTTCAAATAATAGGTACAATAAATTGTTAAGGAAGACACAATTAAAAAATGTAAATTGTGACATCAAAAACGTAAAATGTGAGGTGATATGGAGTAAAAGTGTAGAATTATTAGGTTGGTGCAAAATTGCCGTTAATTTTAATGGCAAAAACTGCAATTATTGTTGCACCAAACTAATATTTTGTGTGATTAAAGCTAACTTGTTACTAGCTTAAAATAGATTGCTGTAAGGGTAAACTATTTTATGTGAACCTAATAGTAATAACAAAGTAATAACAAAATAGTAATAACAAAGTAATAAAAAGTAATAACAAAAAAACCTAAGTAGAGCTACAAAATATAAAATTTAAGGCATCAAAGCAAACTACTAGAGAAAGTCATCTAATCCACAAAGGAAAACTGAAAGAAAGGAACAAAGGAACTGCAAAACAACTAGAAAACAATTAACAAAATGGCAGTAGTGAGCCCTTATATATCAGTAATTACCCTGAAGGTAAATGGATTAAGTTCTCCAATCAAAAGACATAAAATGGCTGAATAGATTTAAAAAATAAGACACAACTATATGTTGTCTATATGGCTCACATCACCTTTAAGACCACACAGGCTAAAAGTGATGAAATGGGAAAAGATATTCCATGGAAATGGAAATCAAAAGAGAACAAGATAGCTATGCTTATATCAGATAAAACTGACTTTAATCAATAACTATAAAATGAAATAAATAAGGTCATTATATAATGATAAAGGGATCAATTCATGAAGAAGATGAATTCATCAATTATATTTATAATTGTCATAACAGTTATAAATATATATGCATCTAATATTGGAGCACCTAAATATATAAAGCAAATATTAATATATATGAAAAGATAAATGTAATGACATTAGGAGATTTCAATACTACTTTCAAAAATGGACAAGTCATTCAGGAAGAAAATCGATAGGGAAACATTGGACTTGAACTGTTCTTTAGACCAAATGGACCTACCAGACATATACAGAACATTCCACCCAACAACATCAAAACACATATTCTTTTCAAGCACACATGGTACATTATCCAGGATAGATCACATGTTAAGTCAAAAAGCAAATACTAACAAATTTAAGAAGATTTAAATTTTATTGAGTATCTTTTCTGACCACAATGGTATGAAACTAGAAATCAGTTATAGAAATAATGTCAGAAAATTTACAAATATGGGGAGATTAAATAGCGCATCGTAGAACATGCAATGGAACAAAGAATAAACTAAAGGAGAAGCTAAAAAATACCCTAGACAGAAATGGAAATACAACATACTAAAAATTATGGGATACAGCAGAGGCAATTCTCAGAGTAAAGTTTATATTAATAAATGGCTACATTATAAAGAAGAAATATCCCAAATGAACAGCCTAACTTTACACCACAAGAAAATAAAGAAAAATGAACTAAGCCCAAAGTTAGTACAAAAAAGGGAATAATTAAGCAGAGAGCAGAAATAAAAGTAGAGACTGGGAAAAACAATAGAAAAGATCAATAAAACAAAGAGTGTTTTGTAAAAGATAAAATCAATATATCTTTAGCTATATGAAGTAAGAAAATAAGAGAAGACTCAAATACATAAAATCAAAAATGAAAGAGGAGACATTACCAGCGATACCACAGAGATATAAAGGATCATGAGATTATTATGAACAATTATACACCATAAAATAAAAAAATGGATAAATTCCTAGACATATGCTACCTACTAAGATTGAATTAGAAAAGTATCGAAAGTCTGAGCACCCCTATAACTAATATGGAGGCTGACACAGTAATAAAAAAGTCTCCTATCAGAGAAAAAAGCTTAGGATCTGATGGCTTCACAGCTGAATTCTATCAAATATTTAAAGAGCTAATATCAATGCTTCCTACACTCTTTCAGAAAAATTGAAGGGTAGGAAATAGTTCCAAACTCATTTGATGAGGCCAGTATTATTCTTGACTAAACCCAGACAAGGGCACTGTAAGAAAAGAAAATTACAGGCTATGGCCAGGGTGAGTATAGATGCAATAATTCTCAAGAAAATACTAGCAGACTGAATTCGACAACACATTTAAATGATCGTATAACATCATTAAATGGGATTTATCACTGAGATGCAAGAATGGTTCAATACAGTAAATGTGACACACTACACTAGCAGAATAAAGAACAACAAAAAACCTATATGATCATCCCAGTCGATGCAGAAAAGGCATTCAAAAAAATTCAACATTTTTTCATAATACATACTCTCAACAAATTAAAAGTAGAAGGAATGTACCTTTATATAACAATAAAAGTTGTACACAACAAGGCCACATTTAACATTATACTCAATACTGAAAAGCTGAACACTTCTAACGTACAATCAGGAATTAAAAAAAGCATTCTCAGTCTATTCAGCATAGTGCTAGAAGTCCTCACCAAGGGCAACTAGACAAGAGAAAAAATATAAAAGCCACTCAAAGCATAATGAAAGAACTTAAATTTCCTCTGTTTTCAGATAACTTGATCTTTTATATATGTATTTAAAAAAAGAAACACTGGGGGCACAAGAGCTCATGCCTGTAATCCCAGTGCTTTGGGAGGCCAAGTATGAAAGATCAGTGGAGCCCAGGAGTTCAAGGTTACAGTAATCTATAACAGTGCCACTTCAGTCCAACCCTGGCAACAGAACAAGACCCTCAAAAGAACACCAAAAAACAAAAAACAAAAAACCTGGAGACTCCACCAAAAACCTGTTAAAACTAATAAATTCAGTAAAGTTTCAGGATACAAAGTCAACATACAAAAACCTAGCATTTTTGTACATTGACAATGAACTATCAAAGAAAGAAATCAAGAAAGCAATCCCATCTATAGTAGCTACAGAAATAATTAAAACACTTAGGAATAAATTTAAACAGAATGTGAAAGACCTATACACTGAGAACTATAAAAGACTGATGAAATAAAGAAGACACAAATAAATGGAAAGGTATCTCATGTTCGTGGATTCAAAGGATTAATATTGTTTCAATGTGCATACTACCCTATGTAATTTAATGCAATCTGTATAAAAATTCAAATAACTTTTTTATATAAATTTTAAAATATTCTAAAATTTGTATGGAACCACCAAAAACCCTGAATAGCCAAAGCAATCTTGAACAAAAAGAACAAAGCCAGAGACGTCAC
Organism: Homo sapiens; assembly: GCF_000001405.40. Classification (NCBI taxonomy): domain Eukaryota; kingdom Metazoa; phylum Chordata; class Mammalia; order Primates; family Hominidae; genus Homo; species Homo sapiens. The sequence continues at coordinate 136,569,405 of NC_000007.14, read as the reverse complement.
AATAACTTGTATTCAAAATACACTACAAAGCTATATATCCAAACAGCCTGGTACTGGTGTGAAAACAGACACACAGACCAATGAAATAGAATGGAGAACTTAGAAATTCTTAGAGTCAACTGATTTCAACAATGATGTCAAGAATACACAATGATGAAAGAAAAGTCTCTTTAATAAACTGTGTTGGGGCTGGGCACGGTGGCTCACACCTATAATCCCAGCACTTTGGGAGGCCGAGGTGGGCAGATCATCTGAGGTCAGGAGTTCGAGACCAGCCTGGCCAACATGGTAAAACGCTGTCTCTACTAAAAATACAAAAACTAGCTAGGCATGGTGGCACATGCCTGTAATCGCAGCTACTCGGGAGGCTGAGGCAGGAGAATCGCTTGAACCCGGGAGGCAGAGGTTTCAGTGAGCCGAGATCACACCATTGCACTCTAGCCTGGGCAACAAGAGTGAAACTCCGTCTCAAAATAAATAAATAAATAAATAAATAGTGTTGGGAAAACTGGATATCCACATACAGAATAATGAAACTACACCCTCATTTCACGACATGTACCAAAAAAACGAACAAACAAAAAAAATCAAAATGATAAACTACCAGGAGAAAACATAAGGGAAAACATTCACATCATTAGTCTGGGCAAAAAAATTTTGGATATGATTCCAAAACCACAGCAACAAAAGCAAAAATAGACAAATAGGATTACTTCAAACTAGAAAGCTTCTTTCTAGTTTCTATTTCAGGAATCACCTGAATAAAGAGAGAGCCTACGGAATAGGCTACGGAATAAACAGAGCCTACGTAATAAGAAATTGTATTTGCAAGCCATACATCAGGTAAGATGTTAGTATCTAAAATATATTTAAAAACTCAAACTCAATGGTAAAAATGGAAAAGAAACCAAATAGGCATTTATCTAAAAAAGATAGCTAAATGGCCAACAGATATATAAAAAACTGCTCAACATCACTAATCATCAAAGAAATGCAAATTAAAACTTCAATGAGATATCACTTCACACCCGTTAAACTGGCTATCATCAAAAAGACAAAACGTAAGTGGTGGTGAGAATGTGGAGAAAATAAATCCCTTGTACATTGTTGGTGGGAATGTAAACTAGGACAGCCATTATGAAAAACAGTATGGAGTTTTCTAAAAAATTAAAAATAGAATTACCATATGATCCAGCAGTCCCACAATTGGGTACACATCCAAAAGATATGAAATTAGAATGTAAGAAATACCTGCATTCCAATATTTATTGCAACACTATTCACAATAGCTAAAATAAAGAATTAACCTATGCATCCATAAATGGATGAATAAAGAAAATGTGGTGCATATATATATATATATGTGTGTGTGTGTGTATATATATGTATGTATATATATGTGTGTGTGTGTATATACATGTGTGTGTGTGTGTGTGTGTATATATATATATATATATATATCTCCATCCAATGGACTATTGTTCAGTCTTTAAAAAAATTGTTGTCATTTGGGGGTCATTGCAGAGAGGAGGCAGGACTAGATTGCAGCTCCCACTCAGATGGACAGAGCAGTGTGTGGAGGCCCACATCATGAACTTTTGCTCCAGAACAACTGCAGGAATAGAGAGAATGCACAGACCTTCTGAAAGAAGCGGATTGCTCCTGCAGGACTTGGGAGACACCCCAAATACTTTGAGTGCCCAAACTGTGGAAGTGGGAAAGGAAGATTGTCAACCCTGAAACTTACACCCCCACTGGGGAACCTGAAGGTCTAGATTACAAGAGAAGATTCTGACCTTATTTGGAGCTGAGTCAATTTAGAAAGCTGAGAGAATTACAGGGGTAGAGGAATCAGCGGGAAAAGCCCTGTGGGCTCACTGAGTCCCCTAGAAAGCCATTTCTTCCCTGCCTCACAGAGGTTTTTGAGGATGGTGCCCAGAGGCACTGGGAGAAGGGCACAGGGAGATGGAAACCTCTAGCTGAACTTTGTAACAATCTGAACCAATTGAGAATTCTCCTGGCCAGAACTCAGGGGAGGGCATGAATCTGGTGTGCAGATTCCACAGGCAGGGTAAGAACAAACTCCCTACTTGCTTTCACAGCTGGGAGGCAGGTACCTGGGGCAAGTTCTCAGCCCTGCTCACCCACTGCCTGGAAACAGACTTGGTGCTGTTGTTGTTGCGGGGGTGGGTGGGATGGTGGGAGTGGGAGTTGGGTAGGAGCTTGGTGTGTGGGAGCTAGGTGAGGCCTGTGTTGTGTGGGAGCTGGGTGAGGCCTGTGACTGCTGGCTTTCCTTCACTTCCCTGGCAACCCACATGACACAGTAGAGGCAGCCATAATCCTCCTAGGAACATAGCTCCATTGACCTAGAGAACCTCACCACCATCCCCCACAGTAGCTGCAGCAAGACCCGCCCAAGGAGAGTCAGCTCAGACACGCCCAGCCCTGCCCCCACCTAATGGTCCTCCCCTACCCACCCTGATAACTGAAGACAAAGGATATATACTCCTGGGAGTTCTAGGACCTCATCCACCACCTCTTCCTCCTTATACTACCACAGCTGATGCTAGCTGATGCTCTCTTGAAAGCACCACCTCCAGGCAGGAGGGCAACCACCACAAAAACAGTACATTAAGAGATCAAAGCCAAAGATTCTCAGAGTCCATTTTACCGCCCCCACCCTCCCCCCCCCCGCCCCACCACCACCTCTACCAGAGCAGGTGCTGTTATCCACAGCTGAGAGACCCACACATGGTTTATATCACAGGACTCTGTGCAGACAACCCCCAGTACCAGCCTGGAGCCTGGTAGACTTGCTGGGTGGCTAGATCCAGAAGGGAGATAACAATCACTACTGCTCAGCTCTCAGGAAGCTACAACCCTAGAAAAAGAGGGAGGGTACTACATCAAGGGAACACCCCATGGGACAAAAGAATCTGAACAACAGCCTTGAGCCCTAGACCTTCCCTCTGACAGATCCTACCCAAATAAGACCAGAAAACCAACTCTGGTGATATGACAAAACAAGGTTCTTTAACATCTGCAAAAAAATCACTAGCTCACCAGCAATGGATCCAAACCAAGAAGAAATCCCTGATTTACCTGAAAAATAATTCAGAAGGTTAGTTATTAAGCTAATCAGGGAGGCACCAGTGAAAGGTGAAGCCCTACCTAAGGAAATCAAAAAAATAATACAAGAAGTGAAGGGAGAAATATTCAATGAAATAGATAGCATGAATAAAAAACAATCAAAACTTCAGGAAAAAATGGACACATTTATAGAATTGCAAAATGCTCTGGAAGGTCTCAGCAATGGAATCAAACAAGCAGAAGAAAGAACTTCAGAGCTCAAAGACAAGGTTTTTGAATTAGCCCAATCCAACAAAGACAAAGAAAAAAGAGTAAGAAAATATAAACAAAGCCTCCAAGAAGTCTGGGATTATGTTAAATGACCAAACCTAAGTATAATTGGCATTCCTGAGGAAGAAGAGAAATGTAATAGGTTGGAAAACATATTTTGGGGAATAATCAAGGAAAACTTCCCCAGCCTTGCTAGAGATCAAGACATCCAAATACAAGAAGCTCAACGAACACCTGGGAAATTCATTGCAAGAAGATCATCACCTAGGCAAATTGTCATCAGGTTATCTAAAGTTAAGATGAGGAAAGAATCTTAAGAACTGTGAGAAAAAAGCACCAGGTAACCTGTAAAGGAAAACCTGTAGGATTAACGCAGATTTTTTAGCAGAAACCCTACAAGCTAGAAGGAATTGGGGCCCTATCTTCAGCCTCTTCAAAACAATTATCAGCCTAGAATGTTGTATCTAGTGAAACTAAGATTCGTAAGTGAAGGAAAGATATAGTCTTTTTCAGACAAATGCTGAGATAATTTGCCACTTCCAAGCCACCACTACAAGAACTGTTAAAACGAGCTCTAAATCTTGAAATAAATCCTGGAAACATATCAAAACAGAACCTCTTTAAAGCATAAATCTCACAGGACCTATGAAACAAAAATACAATTAAAAAAAAAAAACAAGGTATACAGGCAACAAATAGCATGATGAATGGAATGGTACCTCACATCTCAATACTATGGTTAAATGTAAATGGTCTAAATGCTCCACTTAAAAGATACAGAATTGCAGAATGGAGAAGACCTCACCAACCATCTGCTGTCTTCAAGAGACTCACCTAACACATAAGTAGTCACATAAACTTAAGGTAAAGGCGTGGATAAAGACATTCTATGCAAATGGACATCAAAAGCAAACAGTAGTAGCTATTCTTTTATTAGACAAAACAAACTTTAAAGTAATAGCAGTTAAAAAAGACAAAGAGGGACATTATATAATGATAAAAGGCCTTGTCCAACAGGAAAATATCACATTCTAAAAATATATGCATCTAACACTGGCGCTCCCAAATTTACAAATACTAATACAAATAGCAATTACTAATAGACCAAAGAAATGAGATAGACAGGAATACAATATAGTGAGGGGCATCAATACTCCACTGACAGCACTAGACAGGTCATCAAGACAGAAAGTCAACAAAGAAAAAACGAATCTAACCTACATCCTGGAACAAATGGACTTAACAGGTATATACAGAACATTCTACCCAACAACCATATAATATACATTCTATTCAACAGTACATGAAACTTTCCCCAAGATAGACCATATGATAAGCCACAAAACAAGCCTCAATAAATTAAATTGAAGTTCTATCAAGCACTCTCTCAGACCACAGTGGAATAAAACTGGAAATCAACTCCAAAAGGAATCTTCAAAACAATGCAAATACATGGAAATTAAATAACCTGCTTCTGAATGATCACTGGGTCAAAAATGAAATCAAGACGGAAATTTAAAAAATTATTCCAACCGAATGACAATAGTGGCAGAACCTATCAAAACTTCTGGAGTACAGCAAAGGTGGTGCTAAGAAGAAAGTTCATAGCCCTAAACACCTACATCAAAAAGTCTGAAAGAGCACAAACAGAAAATCTAAGGTCAGACCTGCAGGAACTAGAGAAACAAGAATAAACCAAACCCAAACCCAACAGAAGGAAGGAAATAACCGAGATCAGAGCAGAACTAAATGAAATTGAAACAAACAAACAAAAAACACAAAAGATAAATGAAACGAAAAGCTGCTTTGTTGAAAAGATAAATAAAACTGATGGACCATTAGCAAGATTAACCAAGAAAAGAAGAGAGAAAATCCAAATAAGTTCAATTAGAAACAAAACAGGAAATATTACAACTGACATCACAGAAATACAAAAGATCATTCAAGTCTACTATGAACACCTTTACACACACAAACTAGATAACCTAGAGGAGATGGACAAATTACTGAAAATATACAACCCTCCTAGCTTAAATCAGGAAGAATAAGATGCCCTGAACAGACCGATAATAAGCAGCAAGAGTGAAATGGTAATAAAATAGTTACCAACAAAAAAAGTCCAGGATCAGATGGATTCACAGCAGAATTCTACTAGACATTCAAAGAAGAATTGGTACCAATCCTATTGACACTATTCCACAAGAAGAGTAAGAGGGAACCCTTTCTAAATCATTCTATGAAGCCAGTACCGCCCTAATACCAAAACCAGGAAAGGACATAACCAAAAAAGAAAACTACAGACCAAAATCCCTGATGAACATAGATGCTAAAATTCTTAACCAAATACTAGCTAACCAAATCCAACAATGTATCAAAAAGATAATCTATCATGATGAAGTGGGTTTCATACCAGGGATGCAGGGATAGTTTAACATATGCAAGTCAATAAATGTGATACATCACATAAACAGAATTAAAAACAAAAATCACATCATCTCTATAGATGCAGAAAAAGCATTCAACAAAATCCAGCATCACTTTATACTTAAAACTCTGAACAAAATCGGCATATGAGGGACATACTTCAATGTAATAAAAGCTATCTATGAAAAACTCACAGCCAACATAATATTGAATGGAGAAAAGGTGAAAGCATTCCCTCTGAGAACTAGAACAAGACAAGCATGCCCACTCTCACCACTCCTCTTCAACCTAGTACTGGAAGTCCGAGCCAGAACAATCAGACAAAAGAAAGAAATAAAGGGCATACAAATTAGTAAAGACGAAATCAAACTGTCACTGCTTACTGATGATATGATTGTTTACCTAGAAAACCCTAAAGACTCCTCCAGAAAGCTCCTAAAACTGATAAAAGAATTCAGCAAAGCCTCCGGATATGAAATCACAAATCATTATACAAATCAGTAGCTCTGCTATACACCAACAGTGACCAAGCTGAGAAACAAATCAGGAACTCAACCTCTTTTACAATAGCTGCAAGCAAAATAAAGTACTTGGAAATAAAGTACTTAGAAATACAAGGACGTGAAAGACCTCTACAAGGAAAAATATAAAACACTGCTGAAAGAAATCACAGATGACACAAACAAAGGGAAACACATCCCATGCTCATGGATGAGTAGAATTAATATTGTGAAAATGACCATACTGCCAAAAGCAATCTATAAATTCAGTGCAATTCCCATCCAAACGCCATCATCATTTTTCACAGAATTAGCAAAAACAATCCTAAAATTTATATGGAACCAAAAAACAGCCCACATAACCAAAGCAAGACTAAGCAAAAGATCAAATCTGGAGGCAACACACTAGCAGGGGTTGCAACTCTAGTCTCTGACAAAACAGACTTTAAACCAACAAAGATCAAAAAAGACAAAGAAGAGCATTACATAATGATAAACAGATCAGGTCAACAAGAAGAGCTTACTCTCCTAAATATATATATACACCCAATACGGGAGCATCCATATTCATAAAACAAGTTCTTACAGACCTACAAAAAGACTTAGACTCCCACACAATAATAGTGGGAGACTTTAACACCCTACTTTCAATATTAGACAGATCAACAACATGGAAAATTAACAACGATATTCAGGACTTAAACTCAGCTTGGGATCAAGTGGTCCTAATAGACATCTACAGAACTCTCCACCCCAAATCTACAGAATATACATTCTTCTCAGTGCCACATGACACTTATTCTAAAATCAACCATATAATTGGAAGTAAAACACTTCCCAGCAAATACAAAAAACATCTGAAATTATAACAAACAGTTCCTCAGACCACAGTGCAATCAAATTAGAGCTCAAGATTAAGAAACTCACTCAAAACCACACAACCACATGAAAATTGAACAAACTGCTCCTGAGTGGCTCCTGCGTAAATAATGAAATTAACGCAGAAATCAAGAAATTCTTCGAAACCAATGAGAACAAAGAGACAACATACCAGAATGTCTGGACACAGCTAAAACAGTGTTAAGAGGGAAATTTATAGCACTAAATGCCCACATCAGAAAGCTAGAAAGATCTCAAATTGACACCCTAACATCACAATTAAAAGAGCTAGAGAAGCAAGAGCAAACAAAACCAAAGGCTAGCCTCAGAAGACAAGAAATAACTAAGATCAGAACAGAACCGAAGGAGGTAGAGACATGAAAAACCCCTCAAAAAAGTCAAGGAATCCAGGAGATTTTTTTTTTGAAAAAATTAGCAAAATAGATAACTAGCTAGACTAATAAAGAAGAAAAGAGATAAAAGTCAAATAGACTCAATAATAAATGATAAAGAGGCTATCACCACTGACCCCAGAGAAATACAAACTACTACCAGAGAATATTATAAACATCTCGATGCAAATAAACTAGAAAATGTAGAAGAAATGCATAAATCCCTGGACACATACACCCTCCCAAGACTAAACCAGGAAGAAGTCAAATCCCTGAATAGGCCAACAAGTTCTGAAGTTGAGGCAGTAATTGATAGCCTACCAACCAACAAAAGCCCAGGACCCAACAGATTCACAGCTGAATTCTACCAGAGATACAAAGAGGAGCTGGTACCATTCCTTCCAAAACTATTGCAAACAATTGAAAAAGAGGGACCCCTCCCTAACTCATTTTATGAGGCCAGCATCATCCTGATACCAAAACTTGGCAGAGACACAACAAAAGAAGAAAACTTCAGGCCAATATGCCTGGTGAATATTGATGTGAAAATCCTCAATAAGATACTGGCAAACTGAATCCAGCAGCACATCAAAAAGTGTATTCACCACAAACAAGTCAGTTTCATACCTGTGATGCAAGGCTGGTTCAACATATGCAAATCAATAAACATAATTCATCACATAAACAGAACCAATGACAAAAACCACATGATCTAAAATTCATATGAAACCAAAAAAGAGCCTGCATAGCTGAAGCAAGACTTAGCAAAAAGAACAAATCTGAAGGTATAACACTACCTGATTTCAAACTATACTATAAGGCCATGGTCACAAAAACAGTGTGGTACTGGTATAAAAATAGGCATATAGACCAATGGGACAGAATCAAGAACCCAGAAATAAATCCAAATACTTAGAGCCAACTGATCTTTGACAAAGCAAACAAAAACATAAAGTGGGGAAAGGACACCCTTTTCAACAAATGGTGCTGGAATAATTGGCTAGCTACATGTAGGAGAATGAAACTGGATCCTCATCACTCACCTTTCTACAAAAATCCACTCAAGATGGATTAAGGACTTAAACCTAAGACCTGAAACTGTAAAACTTCTAGATGACATCAGAAAAACCTTTCCAGACACTGGCTTAAGCGAGTATTTCATGAGCAAGAACCCAAAAACAAATGCAATAAAAACAAAGATAAATACCTGGGACCTAATTAAACTAAAGAGCTTTTGCATGGCAAAAGGAACAATCAGCAGAGTAAACAGACAACCCACAGAGTGGAAGAAAATCTTCACAATCTATAGATTTGACAAAGGACTAATATCTAGAATCCACAACAAACTCAAATCAGCAAAAAAAAAAAAAAACAAAAAAACAATCCCATCAAAAATTGGGCTAAGGACATGAATAGAAAATTATCAAAAGAAGATATACAAATGGCCAACAGACATATGAAAAAATGCTCAACATCACTAATGATCAGGGAAATGCAAATCAAAACCACAATGAGATCACCTTACTCCTGCAAGAATGGCCATAACCAAAAAATCAAATTGGGTGCATTGTATACTGCTCAGGTGATGGGTGCACCAAAATCTCACAAATCACCACTCAAGAATTTACTCATGAAAATAAACACAACCTGTTCCCTAATAATCTATGAAAATAAAAAAAATATATTAAAAAAAATTAAAAACTGAAAACAGCCCGGGCGCGATGGCTCTCGCCTGCAATCTCAGCACTTTGGGAGGCCGAGGCGGGCAAATCACGAGGTCAGGAGATTGAGTCCATCCTGGGTAACACGGTGAAAACCCACCTCTACTAAAAATACAAAAAATTAGCCGGGCTTCGTGGCATGCACCTGTAGTCTCAGTTACTTGGGAGGCTGAGGCAGGAGAAACGCTTGAACCCGGGAGGCCGAGGTTGCCAAGATTGTGCCACTGCACTCCAGCTTGGGCAACAGAGCAAGACTCCATCTCAACAACAACAACAAAAAAAAAAAAAAAAAAAAAAGAAAATGCTGTCATTTGAGAAAACATAGATGAACCTGGAGGACGTTATGTAAATGAAATAAGCCAGGCAAAGATAGACAAATGCCACATGATTTCACTTATGTGTGGAATCTAAAACAGTTTAACTCATAGAAACAGAGACTTAAATGATGGTTACTGTAGACTGGAGGTGGAATAATTAAAGAGTTGTTGGTCAAAGAACACAAAATTTCAATTAGACAAGAATAAGCTCAAGTGATTTATTGTGCATCATAATGAGTATAGTTAACAATATTTCATATATTTGAAAGCTGGTAAGAGAGTATATATTAAGACTTCTCACCACAAAAAATATTAAGTATGTGAAATAATGCATATCTTAAATAGCCTGATCTAGCCATAATACAATGTATACATATGTCAGAACATCTTGTCGTGTATCATAAACTTATACATTTTTACTTATCAATTAAAATAAGTAATAATAAAATTTAAAATGGAGTTCACAATATCAGATTTATTTTTTATTTATTTATTTTGAGACAGAGTCTTGCTCTGTTGCTCAGGCTGGAGTGCAGTGGTGTGATCTCCGCTCACTGAAACCTCTGCCTCCTGGGTTCAAACGATACTCCAGCCTCACTCTCCCCAGTAGCTGGGATTATAGGTGCCTGCCACCATGTAGAGATGGGGTTTCACCATATTGGCCAGGCTGGTCTTGAACTCCTGACCTCAAGTGATTTGCCCACCTGGGCCTCCCAAAGTGCTGGAATTACAGGCATGAGCCACCACACCTGACCCACAACATCAGCTTTTATGAGAAGTTGACCATATAAAGTATACGTAAATTATAATTATTGTACCTGGCACAGAATTAGTACTTGATACGTCATAGTTATAGGTAAGATGATGATGATGATTAACTGTTTTAAATATATTTTCATGACAATTTATTAGATTATCATTTAATATACCCATGTGTATTAATCTATGTAAGACCACTGCCACCTCATCCTCCACCCTCCACACATCTCTGGCAGGTAAAATGTGATCCCAAACTCTGTATGCTACTAAAAATATGCCTACTCCTCCCTTTTCACCAACCCAGAACCCAGCCCCAATAGGCTTGAGACCAACAGCACTAAGATCCATTGTCCTAATTTTACCTGTTTTTTTTTTCCTGTCACCATAAGAAACCCACAACTCTCAGGTTACCTCTGAACCCCCAACTCTAATTCTGTAGAAGCTCTTTATGCCCCATTTCCCATTTCTTGCCAACTGCTAAAGCTCATGCACTTTTTCCTTTGAAATTCATGGTCAGCCATTGGCAAAATACAAATATTCTTCACCTTTCTTTGGTATTTCCATTTCAACTTCCTTCTGTACTAAAACCTGACTTTCCTGGAAGTCCTACAAATTAACAGTTGTTTTCTCTTTCACATCCTCCCTACCATGGGGATTATGTACTCCTTGCTGGTTATAAACCATCGTCTTTCTACTCTGGCTAAAAATCAGCAAGTGTTGAATCTCCTGCTGTTCAACTATACCACCACCACCCATCCTTGTTATTACCACATATCACCTTGGAAGTGTCACTCATACTTATCCTTGAAGAGTTTAGCTAATGACTGTCACTTTCTACAACATATTGTAACAAATATTAGTAGTTTAAAATTCCAATAGATGATTATTCCAAAACCCAGACTTCTAATTCCCTAATTATCTAAAATTAATTTATTTCCCATTCCACCAAAGCCATAACTTCATGGTCATATCCCATACTCCATGATTACCAAAAACTACAACTCCCTTTTCAAATCTCCTTTTTAAGTACCCTACTCCCTATCCACCACTTCCTATCTTTCTAGTTTCTTCTATCTAGTACCTCAACTTCTACAATTCTTCAACACCATCAGTTCCTATAATCCATGAATCTTGCCCTCCTTTTGCTGCCCTTTATTTTCCTCAATTTTTACGTCCTCCTCTAAACAATTTAGAAAATATGGTCCGAATTAAAATCCCTCATTGCATTCACCTCAAATTTTTTGTTGCTTTCTTGCTTCCATTTAATTGATAAAATCCAGTGCTTTTCTATGCTGCAGATGAGAAGTAGCTGGAGAAAAGTCAGGCATGCTGGCTGGTCTCATATTCAGTTGATAGCCACCCACGAATCTCAGGTAGGCCCTTCATAGCTACCTTTCATCATTTCCCCACAAACAACTATTTCCTAAGTTACCCTCTCCTCAAACACCAACCCTCCTGCCCCAATATTTATGTTCAGCTGATGACCTTGCTTCCTTTTGACCAAGAAGACAGAAGAAATCAAGAGGATTTCCATAAGTTCTCACAACACATCTATTTACACACTTGTGTCTGTGCCTTGCTTTCCTCCCTTGTATGATGGCTGAAGTATCAACCTCAGATAAGGATGATAACACTGGGATATAGAATTTGAAAAGGATGTTAGTGAGACAATTATGGAAAGCTTCTTATATTGACCAGTAAAAACTATTATGGCCATAAACTCTATAATCATAATTTTTTAAAAAGTATAAGTTTGTCCTCATTTATGTAACAATCATCAAAGCATGCACTCTACTAATGAAGAAATAATAGAAACATTATTGACCACATTTCAAGAGGATGAATTATCAAACCAATCTCTGATATCTGAGCCTCCTTTCCATTCATAATCTCATCAATTAATTCTACTGCTTTCCATTCCTGTGAAGCAACAGTCTCCTGGCCTTCTCTGCTTACATTTTGTTTTCTTCCTCTGGATGATTCTGACTTCTTTCCAGTAATGTCAGAAGTTTTAATTGTCAGTTATAGCAGAAAACAGATGACAAACTAAAGCTAGACAATTTAAAGTGATATTAATAAAGGCCCATTTTCAAAGACACGGTCAAGGTTTGTGGGGGAAAATGCAATGATGCAGCATCCCAGGCTTACTGAGATCAGGGGGCTACCCTAAGACCTGAAAAAGATAACGGACAGGAGCAATAACTCAGAGAGAGTCCTCTATAGAAAGTGCCACCTAAGAGGAACTGTGGATCTTGGTAGAAGACAAGGAACCCACAGTCACTCTTCCCTATAGCCTCCAGACCTCTTTTTGGTGTCTCCCATTGAGAAAATCCAACCAGAAGCCACAGGACTAGGGATATAGTCCTGTGGAGTCTGTACGGGTCATTCTCTCAGCATAGAATGAGAAAGAGAAGAGTGGAGAATGGATCTGGAGCACTAAATGTCATCACTGGCTAATTGTAATCTCTAAGTCAATTAAGTACTTTTCACAGGCATTTCTTAGCTCAATCAAAATACTCAGCTCATGGAGATAGAATTAGCATGTTTTTTAAAAAACGGCATACAGCTTTCGGTTCATATTGCATAAGACATTTAATATGTGGGATCAGATTCTCATTCCAGGTAAATTCCTGGGAGGATTTTTTTTTAATTTTTTCAGGTTAAAAGTTAATCATGACTACGTTCCTAAATTTGTCAGACAGCATGACTAACAGGGCTTAAGAATCTGTATTAAATAAACCTCATTCTTTGTATCTAAAACACAAACTCAGAGGGGTTTTGAACTGGAATGACAGCTCCCTCTGCTTCTTTGCTCCTTCCAAACTTGCTCTGTCCCTGCTCCCGTTCCAGGTCACTGCTCAGCATACTAATGCCAAGCCTGCTTTTACCCTAAGTGCCTGTTTCGTATGCTGTCATATAGATACTGCTGGTTGGATCTCAGCCAGTGGAATTAAATGAAATGGTTTTCTGTCAGACTGAATACTAATTAAGTCTTCGTGCCAAAGCTAGGTCTGCATAATGACATCATTTGCAAGTAGGTTGGAGGTTGAAGCTCAAATAGAGTTTGCTCTGATATTTATATTTATGGACGCAAGCAAAATGGTGCTATGCTATTTAGCGTACCTGTTTTTTTTTTTTGTTTTTTTGTTTTTTTTTTTTCCTCCAAGAGAGATCTGGCTTTGAAAATCCAAAGTGGGCAAGATTGTGGATTAAGTAAATTTTTCATTGCCTAAATCAGTTTTTCTGAGCATTTCAAGCCCTCAGAACCATGAGTCACTTCCCTAGGGCGGCCTTTGGGACACAAACTTTATGTAGTGTCAAGGGCCTGAGATCCCCTCATACCTGCCTGGCATGATAATATATCTCTTTTATGAGGCAGTATAGTTCATACCTGTTAGTTCATACCCTTTTATCTCAAAAAGTATCTCATTTTGTGCATAAATTATTTTATTACCCCACCTAAACCCCAACCGTTTCTATAAATGGTCCACTCTTCTACTGCCTGCATGCACCTTGACCTAAACTGCCTGTCAGAAATAATAATGTATTTTAGTCTTCAAGCAAGGCTTATATATCTTGCAACATTTATTGTGCTCCATTAACTAAAAGACTAATAAATCCATGTTATAATAATAATGAGAGGAATCCCTCCAAGGGCTTCATTGTACTCTCTGTTGGGATTTTAACAGTGCCTTTCTATAAGGCTAACTTTACTCATGGGAACAAACAGCCAAAGAACAGAGTGAAGTTAAGGGAGGCCCGTTGGGAAGACAAAGCTTAGGTCAGGGGAAAGTATGTGATGTCTATTCAATTCGACACATACATATCACAGTCTTTTAGAGTTTAAGGCATCCTGCTAGATATATAAAGCATAGAAAGACTAGCATGTGAATCCTGCACTCTAGCATCTCATAATTATATGGAATTATGGAAGAAGATTCAGGCTAGCTGTATGTAGGTGTCATTTTTAAGTCAATCTGTATTAATAATTAGTTGTGTGACCTTGGCAAACAATTTTAACATACTGGACCTTGAATGATGGGAATATAATAAATGATCAGAGGTATCTACAGCCTCTACAATTATCTTATCTTCTTAGGCCATCATATATTACTATTGAAATAATTAAGTTCTAGAAATATTCAGTTATACAAGCATAATTGCTTCCAATTCTGTCAGAGAACAGCCACTATCCCTGAACATTATGGCATGTTCCATTGATTTTTAGAGTGGCCGTAGAAGTTAGGAACTCAAGATGCTGGTGACTTTTTAAATCTGAATATATGGCCTACAACTCGAGAGTGAGAGATATGTACTGCTTAATCTCTCACTCATTTTCCAAATGAGTGATCTGTGCTGCTTAATGTCCTTCATATGGCTTATATCTATGTTTAACTGAAAGGAAGTTTACATTCCTTTCCATGTTATTATGTAGCACAGTGGAAGCAATCAAGAAGCAACATGTAAATAGTCAAACAAGAAAATGTCAACAAGGTTCAAGGCTGTGAAATATACAATCTGAGGATGCTGGGGTCAAGTCTCCAGACCAGTGTTCCAGGCAGCCTAATGGCAATCCATCACTAACTCTTTTAACAAAAATGTATTTCTTATATTTGCTTTTAGCACTATAGTTGTAAGACATGACTCTAGGTGATCCCCCAGGAGTTGAAAAGACCTTTTTAAGTTCATGTTCTGATCCACCTAGGGAAAAAGCTCATCTTCATCTGCCAAAGACTTGTGCAGCTGTGTTAGACAAAAAAAAATCATGGAACATCATCACAAGGAGGTTGCAAACATACCAGTCAGTATCGTGTACTTGATTTGGTGTAATTGATTTTTTCTTATACTTCAGAGTTTTAACCCCTTAGGTTTCCTAGATTTCCTGAAAGACTGGCAAGATACTGACCGAGCTAATTAGCTCACTGGCCTCTCTATGAAGATGGTATGCACAATTGCATTTCATTCTGGTGTCCATGCCATAAAAGAAGTTTTTTAATTAAAGTATCACCAGAGAGGCTGGCCAACAAATAGGAAGCCAGGTCAAATGAGCAATGGTTCACTATCAAAAACTATACAAAAACATGATCACCAGCTTTAAATATTTTAAAACCCAACAAATGGAAAAAAGAAGTTCAATGTAAGAAAAATCTATCTGATCCTTTGTGCTGTCTCGTAATGACATAAACTCTTTGGGGAAACATGTTTTCCTACTGCTTCAAAATGAATTTAAGTTTTTATTCAAAGACAAATAAAATATTGGAAAGTTACATACTTTAAGTAAAGACAAGAATATTCAAGAAATAGTAGGTGTCTCATTATTTGAATTGTGATAAGTCTAGTGGCTCCATGATCACATGCCAGAGTGGTGTGGAAGGGAAGTCCAAGTGAAAGATTCAACTAAATAATGAAAAAGTCACTAAATGTTAATGTTATGAGTGAGTTAACATCTGGACCAAATATCTCACCCAAATGCAGAAAATCCTTTTTCAGTGATAATCAATACTGTTTTTAGTTGTCATTATCCTTTTTGGTCAGCACCTCCTGCCTGGGGCAGTCGATTCTGTTGAGGGATAACCAATTCAGATAGTTATTTAAAATGAGCTAAAATCTACCTGTGTTTAACAACTTTTCTTTATTCTGAGCTATAGAACCTCTGGAATGGCCCAGGTGAAACCTATTCCTTTTGGAGATCAGCTCTTTTTGTAACTGAAGACAGCGATTTTCCTGTGAATCTTCTCTTCTACAGTGGTTAAGAGATTGGGCTTTGAAGTGAAATAAAGTTGGGTTTGAATTCTATATTCACAACAAAACAGTTTTTGCTTTTACAATAGTTATTTAAATGTTCTGAGTCTGTTTCCTCAGTTTCAAATGTGGAAATAACATCTACCTAAACAGGTTATTGTGAACATTAAAGTAAGTAATGCAAATTAAGGACAGTAAATAAGTGTGGCATTTGGTCTATAATATATCTTCAATAAATTTTTCTTTCTCATTCTCTTCATGCCCAGATAGCTGTCATTTTTCTAAATGCCCTGTATTCTGGGTTCCTTATTATCATATCATATGCCACTAGGTCTATTAGAATTCTAAATTCTAGAGGAAATTAAATATTTTGTAAGCGAGATGCAGATATTTATGGCAATATTTTTCAAATCTATGTGACATGACACCTCTTTTTATAATAAATATTTTGCTATGCTGTCTTTACTATCTTCAAGATGCATTAGTAGAAATTTACCCAACCTAATAACTTCAAAAAATCAATATAATATCCTACATGTAATATAAACGAGACGTTTTTAAAAGGTAACATGTAACACATACTTCAATATATAAATGTTTGCACAAGGGTACAATGGTGTGCATAGTAAATAAAATAGATGATTACACTTATACATAAAATGTCCATTAATGCATCAACCTCAAACATAGGCCGATAAAGGTGTAAATGATATAGCAGTAACATAATTTTCTGAAATTATAAATAGCTCCTGGTAAAGTCCTAAACAAAACCTAAAGTATAATCTACCATTTCATACATAGTTGTATCCCTGGGAAATTCAACAAATTAATATCTTGCAAAAATACCTCAAGATTTTATGTTGCATGAAGTCACATGCTAAACTCAGATGATCATAAACGATTTTTACCTATAATAATATTCTTCAGGACATTTCAAGTTCACAAATATTGTAGAAGGGTTCTCTGGAATTTGTCCTAGTTTGTGCAATGTTTAGCATTGCTAGCCAGTAATACTCACAGTACAAAAAGCATTAAGACAATTTAAAAAAATACACCCATAAATTTTCAAAACATCTCCACTGAGAAGCACTGTTGTAAGGATTCCAGATATATCTGTTCTTCTATTCTTTATCTGGGCCAGTTCTTAGGAACAACTATAGAATCATTTTGGTGGTATACCTGGCAAGTTGTGAATTTTGAAGAAATGCCACTTCCTTCTGAAATGCCCTCATTTTTGTCCTTTTAAATAAGTTGTATCTATCTTATAAAGGTAATTTACATTAAAACTAAATTTAGTGTCCTATTTTTATTTTTGCTAAATTTCATTTTCTTTGCTTCAGCCCATCTTTTAGTCTATCATTTTGAATCCTGATTGTGGCATATCATATTATCTCTTTCTGGTTCTCATCATCTATACATTAGATAATGATCTCATCTATCTTTAAGCTACTACTGAAAATGAGGAATCAGATATTGTGAATAATGGAGCTTTGTGGAATTTTACTAACATTTCCTTTCAGGTTGACACAGTCCATTACACATCACCCTTATAATATTAAGTACAGAGCTTAAAGGGATCTGTGAGAGACATGGCCAATTTCTTTGCTGAAACTAAGATAAACTGGAACATAAGTTATTTCTCTTACGTCCCAAGTTACTGATGTTATCATCTACATCTAATTTTAGGGCAAAATGCTCAGCAAACATATGTTCGCCCTTAGTGGCAAAAATTCTCTTTTCTAAATTATTTCACATGCCATATTTTTATTATAGCTTTAAGAATTCTGACATAAATAAAAAACTGCAAATTGGGTTCAGTGTAAACTGCTTGGGTGATGGGTGCACCAAAGTCTCACAAATAACCACTAAAGAACTTACCCATGTAACCACCTGTTCCCCAAAGTCCTATGGAAATAAAAAAATAAAGAAAAATAAAAATAAACATAACTGAAAAAAAGAATTCTGACAGAAATATACAGTCTTAAAATTCTAATGTATTAGTTTATCTTCTATAACAGCGAGGCCCTGAAATCTCAGTGGTCTAAGGCAATAGAAGTGCATTCATTACTCAAACTGTGGTGAGGAGGAAGGACTCTGGGGTGGAAAGACTATCTTTAGTATATAGACAGGTTACCCTGTGTATTGATATACTTCCAATAAAGCAAGGGAAAAGAGAGGAGAAGGTTATATAGGAAGTGTTTATGAGTTAGGTTGGGAAAATGACATAAATCACTTCTGTCCACATTTTACTAGCTAGAACTCAACTTCAAGGAAGCCTTGAAAATATGATTTGACTGTCTGACTTGAAATAAGGGAAATAGGTTTGGATAAACTAATAGCAGTCTCTCTCAGTATCATCCTTAGACCTGGGCTAGGGTCCCCCTGCTCTGAGACCCCATGCTTCAGATGTCCACACATTTTGGAATGCCTTCCTGAAAATGTTCTAAGGCACTCTCCTGGGCCTTGGACTAACCAGGGACAGCAGTGTTTTCTTGGCAGCACACTTAGAGCCCAGACCTCGGCCATTGACAGTGTCCATCACTGGAAGCATCAAGCTTGACATTTCCTTGGTTCCACTCAAGTAACTGGAACCTGCTAAGGCTAGTAGTCCTTGCCAGGTGGGGTACCATGAGTCCACACCAGGAGTTGTGTGAGCTGCAATCTCCTTTTTCTCCCCTTCCAGATATTCTTTGACCCTCTACCTAGTTTTTGGTATTGACCAGATGCCGTAATGACCTCCAAGACTGGGGCCAGTGGAGTCCTCCTGGGGCCCTATGGCTGGATCCCAGTTCCACAAGGGTGATCTGTGCTCGCTGGCTGGTATGGTGTTTCTTTCATGGCATGGTGTGAGATGGGGCCACCAGAATGATGCTGACACACTTGTTTTAGATCACTTTTACCCAAAGAAGAAGGTACAACACGTTCAGGGCTTTGGGCTGCCAGTGATGTATTGTCAGCTCTTGAGTATGAGCCTCATGAGTGGGTCCCTGCATGGACTTTCACTCTTCTTTGTTGGTCTCAGTTCTGCCTCATGCCTACAGCATCTGAAGGAAACAGGGATGGCAGTAGCCAATATTTACTCTTGGGACCATCCCCATCAGTACCCAGGGAGACCACCCACACCCTCTACCAGTTCGGCACCATGTTCTAGGCAATCTCTCAGGGATATGGCACCTAATTCCTCAGAGGGCTTATGAGAAACTTACTCTGAAGTGCCAAAGTACCCTTCTTATTGATTTCTCTCTGTCTAATCAGTGTGGTGATATGGTGCTCTCCTGAGTCAGGCTTAAGCCACGCTATTTGAGGGATTCTTTACATGAATTCCTTATATGAATGAGGTCATTCTTCTTGCTTTGAACACTGGGTCCTTGTCTTTTCTTCCTACTAGTGACAGTGTGTGGAAGTTAGGGCTATAGACAACATTCTAGGAATGTAGCAATTACAGGCTGGAAAGTTGAAGAAAAGATGTGGTTGGAAATGTGTTATTTCATGCTTCAAATCACAAAGTTAACATGACCAGAAAATGAATTCTTATTCACATTTTCCTACATACTTTGGATAGTATTTATCTTTGTAATTAGGAACAATTAATCATAGTAACAACCTTTGAGTAAGTCATTGGAAACTAGCAATCATGGGTTACACAATGGAAGATGCAGCATCATTTGTAACAATATATCCAGCATTATATAAATGGTATTAGGGAATGGCAGAAGCAAGAACATCCATATTGTTTTCATACAATTCTTATAATTCAGCCAAACCAATTTGAATATGAATGGCATTCCTACCTTTTTCTGTCAGTGACAGATGTGAAATTAGTGAGGAATGATGCATTCAACAATATGAAGCATGAAAACAGCATTCCAGAACTTGGAAAAGAAGCAATGGTGTCTGGTCACTACAAAGAATCCTCAGAGGCAGATAGGACGATACACAAAGGTGTATGTGCATTTTTGATAGCTCACTGTACCACCCATGGGCCTGTAAATTTTGTAATTTTAATCAAATTGTTTATATAGACAGAGGCCCTGCAAAAAAAATTGTGTAAGCCTTGCATACCTGAAAAATAACGCTAGAATTGTAATATGTACTATCCAGTATTCAATAACTTCCCTGATTTTTCTAAATCTGTAAACCAATTTGACCTGTTGAAGAACTTTAAAGTTGGAGTGTCTTCTCCCTACCATGCTAAACAATCTTTTAAGTCCTATCCATCCCTACTCCAAAGGATATTTATGCCAACAACAGGACAAATCTCACCTTGATCCTCAACTCATTAGCCTCACTCACATGAGCATGCTTGTTCACCTGTTAAAACACTGAGTCTTATTTCTCTCTCTGAGCTGTCTTCCAACTACTCTCTCCTACTGGATACACATTGTCTGGAAAGTGCTAGCTAACCGATTTTCCCCCAAGATACTGGGAAATTTCTGATGCTGCATTCGACTTCCTTTTAAAATGTCCTGCCCACACTTCTCCTGGGTGGCTGATCTCACATTAGAAATGTTTTATCAGAATATGCCTTGTGATCCACACACTTTGCTGACCAACTCTTACCCTCTCTGAGCTATAAGTTTCTTAAGAGAAAGACTAGGTTTGATTCACCTTTGCATCTCCAGCACTTGGAGCAATGCCTAGAATTTTAAGACTTACTATTTTTCTTGCCATTCTCTATCCTTTGTGTTATCTTTGTCTCAGTTTGCATGTAACCCATGTCACACATTTCCGTGTATAATTGTATGAGCAAAATAAAAGCATATAAATAAGGAAAATCATATTATCAGTTGATTTTACAAAATATAAACCACATTTTCCCTTCTTTTGCTTCTTGCTTTTCTCAACCATCATCATAAAACTCCTCCCAGTCAACTAGCATTGTTTTAACTAATTCATAATGGCTGTCTGATATTTCTGATTTGGGTTTACCATAATTTACTCAGCCTTTCCCTGATTGAGGGAATTTAGCTCTTTTCTTTTCTTGTTTTTTCCTTTGCCAGTGTGTACAATGCCACTTTGTTTAAATGTCATTACATATAAAAATGTTTACTATAATTACATATATACCCAGCAATAGAATTGCTAAACCAAGTCTCATATTTTAACGGATGCTGCTGAATTCCTCTTAGAAAATCCTGCTAAAATTTACATTTATATTAGCAATACATGACAAGATAAATCATTTATCCTATATCCTGCCAGCAAAAAGGTATTATCATTCTCTCAAACATTTGCCAGTCTGGTACTCCTTGTTACTTTAAATTGTATTTTGCTGAGAAAAACTGAATTTGAGCATTTTTATGTGTTTATTGTATATTCAGATGTGTTATTTTATAAATTGTATAATCATACCCTTTACTTACTTTTTTCTATTGAGCTATTTGTCACTTTTGACAATTTATAAGGGTTCTTTGTATGTTATTACTATTAAATATTTGTCATCTTGCTAGAAACTATTTTTCATATCTAATATTTATCTATATACTTTGTTAAGGATATTTTTGATACCAAAAATATAATTTTATGTAGTCAAATATATCCATTTGCATTTTTAAACATTAAAAACAAATATTTTGTATGGCTTCAGTTGTCTTGTTTTGGTTAAGAAGTTATTTCCCAAGACTAGAGTACACTTATAGTCTCCATCTTTTCCTAAGATTTTGTTTTTTTTCAATTACATTTATAATCATTCATAATATATTTTTATGTAAAGAGAGGCATTTCATACTTAAAAAATAAGCTTTCTTTTTAGATAATAAAATTATATGATTCTTTACAAAAACAAAAATGAACATAAATATTTTACTACTAAATTATAGTCATGATTAATATTTTGGTGTACAACAAGAGATAAACATAGCTACTCAAAACATACACAGTTTCAGCATTGACACATACAGCATGATATATATCAATTGCACTGTATTGTGACTTTACATTACTTTAGAAGTAACACATGACAAACGTGGGAAAGTAAAAAACATGGAAAAATAAATACAGTAAAAGAATTGGAGCACTCAAACCCAACCCTCCAGTGATAAAACCTGTTATTTTAAAATTGATGTTGTTGTTGTTTCATGGAAAGTTTCAATCTGCTGTGCTTGGATTGCTTTTTATCTTTATGTTTAGATTTCAGAAATTTGGTAGCATGTGCCTAGTTATAGGTCTTCTTTTTACTGATATTGCCTGATAATTTTTATTCCTCTTTCTCTATTCTCAGAATCTAAAATACATTTAACTATATCTTTGGTTATTGATTTTATTATGTTAGTTCGTTCCTCAAAATATATATAATTGGATCATAAATCCAATTTTCTTTTGTTAGTGTAAATTTTCTTACACATCCTTTGTAATTATTTTCAAAACTTTGTCAATTCTGTTATATAATATATGAATTTATTTGTTCAGTGCCTAACTACCTATTCTGATAAATATTCTGATTCTGCTATTGTAGTTACAATTTTCTTGAAATTCTTATAATTTCACCTCAACTTCCTTTTCATTTTATTCTATAGTTTTTCATACATTCTGTTTACTTTTTGTTTAACTTAGTGTCTTTTGCAAGGGTAGGGGGAGCACAGGAAAGGATTCCACATTGTGTTGCATTTTATCAGCAATTCTACACACTGTTTTGTACAATTTTACCCAGACTCAAATATATATTGTTTTCAGTGTTTTATCTCCCTGTATTATAAATGTCTTCTGTTTAATATGATTTTATTGAGACATATCTTAAAATAAAAAAAGATTTGTCCAGATTCACAATTTTCCAGTTACATGACTAATTATCTGTCTTGTACAGTAGCTGGACCCTCTTCTCAGACAAACTTCTGAAGGACAAATTGCAACTCGCAAATAGCTCAACATCCAGCAGGCATTCATACAGTGTTCGCCCACTTGACTAAGGAGAAAATCTCTACAATGGTCACTGTCTGGCTGTCAGGAACTCCCAAAAGATGGAATATTACAATGAAACCAAACCACCATATACAATGTGTTCTGGGAACATTTTTTCTTTAACCTGTAAGAAGATTTATCTTCCCAGTATGCAATGAAGCCTATGTACCTTACCTCTAATATTGTTTCTTTCTAGAAGATTAGATGTTCTATTTCTTAAAGGTGCTTAAAGCACAATGACGTGAGAAAGGCAGAAAAAATCTTTCAGCTACTTCAGAAGGTCTGTACTTTATAAAATAGACATTCAAGTAGCTATCAAATTTATGGCCAGTAAAATTACGGCCCCTGTAATTCTGAGATAGCAATTAGAAAGAGAAAAAAAGGTATATTATTTAGCAACCTCCAAGCAATGATTGAGATTGCTGCTTTGAACAGGAGAGCACAAGTGAATCTTCAACTATAATTTTTCAACCCGGTCCTAATGATCTTGGATTTACTGGTAAATCTTCCTGCTGTGCAGCCACAACTTGACTGTCATTCTGAGTTTCTGTGAGTGGTGTGAGATTTTCTTTCTTCTCTATATATTTTGCTATTAGAGTCAGTTCAGAGAGTCCCCTTCAGGCTCCTCAACTCAGATGCCATTTTAATCCAGATTCCTATGATTTGGAATTAATCAACATTTTTCTAATCTTCCTTTTTTTTTCTGCTAGAGAAGACTGAAACAGACAAAAAGTGCATTCTCTCCATTGGAAGTTATGCCCTCTCAAGCAGCTGTTATGTGCATTTCCTAGTTGGAGTTTATAAGCCAGCATCTGGCTAATACTCATGCATTTGCTGAGATATTCTCTGAGCACCTCTGAGATATCAAGGACTTGTATCTAAGTTTGGAGGTGGAAAAAAATCACATAGTACCTTCTCTCATGGAATTGACAATAAATTATGGAAGACAATGGTTAAATACAATGAACACCCACACACATACCAATATGCATGCAGAGACATAAGAAGCGCCAACCTTGAGCAAAATCATTGTCTTCTGACTTTGGGCAAAACAGAAAATAAAGAGTATGGCTTAGCATGCAGTGTCTGCATCACTCTCCTTCTGTTCCCTATTGAACCTCCTCCTGATGTCTCAAGAAAACCATTTATCCTTAGTAAAATCCCTTCCTTTGTCTTTTCTTTTCAGATTCTTCTGGTGAAGAATGGCGGAGACTGCCTCTGTGGCAACCATTTATTTCTTCTGCCAATATTCCTTTCTGTATTCGTCACAAGTGGCTTAATGCATTCTCACTTATGCTTTCCCTGCAAGTAAGTCTCTATCGAATTGAACCTTCCCTGACCTGGAAAAGAGAGGGCAACTGCTCCTAGTCTTATAGTTGTCACCTTTTGGAAGATCTTATCACCTACCAGGTAACCATTTCTCACATGGAATGGGTTTGTCCTGTATTATAATAGTTCCTCCCCTTTTTCTAAACATAAGTTTAAAATCACCATATGATATATTTGAAAACCATTTACTTTGAAATTTTTTCTTCCTGACACTGACCCATGACTAAAACTATATGTGTACAAATGTGTGGCTTTTTGAGATTTTCTTTATCAATTTTTCCAACTTACATTCACGTATTTTATAAATCTGATATAATTGGAAAATACCTTATATAAATCCACTAACTTGTTAGATCACCCCATTTTTTCATCACTATGACTGTACAAAGATATTTGTCTTATAGAATCTGTCTACACTCCTTAATTACGTTCTTTTAGCATTTCTGGCCTTAAGATGATGCCTATGCTTTTCTCTAAAATTTTATATCAAACCTGCTCAAAGCTACCATCTTAAGCCTAAATAATATTTACTGTTGAAGTTCAGAAATGTCTGAATATATCTGCTGAATTACTGAAGGCAGACAGCCAGGAATTCATCTGAATGAAAATGGAGCCAGACAAACTTTACCGGGCTGTAAAATCCTAGTTGTTACAAGATAGAAACATTGTGGAATGTGGCTGGATAATTACTGAGAAGTTGTTGCCTTATTGCCTCATGATTTTGTCCTTGTGGGACACAAAGAGCTGCAGGTAAATAATGGAAGGAAAGATAGAGTAATTTTCCTAACTGAGAGGAAAAGACAAAGTGGGTACAAAGGATTATGAGCTCATTGTTTTGGTTAACGAAAAGTGGAAAGGGAAGACAAAGAAATTTCCTCCATTTTTATCACTGAATACTTTTGGTATCTCAAGGGCCTGTTGGCAGTGCAGAAGCAGAAGCAGAAGCAGGACCAAATGCATAAGAGCAGTATCAGGTTAAAAAATGGAAACCTGGCATGACAGGGTCTGCTGTGTACTACTCAGGTGATAAGGTGATATCTTCCAGACGTAACAGCAGTACCAGTAGACACCATACTGTGAAAGACTGGATTTGTTTCTGAAAGCATGTGAATATAACATAGAACATCAAAAAGTAGCTGCATGTATGGTGGGGATTTAGTAATAAGGTTCCATTAATCAGGATGGGTTAAGTTACACGGAACTATCATAACAACTATAAATGTTCAGTGGTTTAACCCAGCAAATGGATGTTTCTCACTCATAGAAAATGTGTAGTGGGTCTAGACAGGTTCTCCAGGCAAGTCAGTGATCTGGGCTAATGCAGTCTCCAGCTTCCTCTAGTTGCAACCTCAGTTAATGAAGTTGAAAAAGAGAACCTGGAAACTATACATTGACAAAGTCTTCAGCCTGGCAGTGACAGACATCTCTGGTTAGGACTCATGATATGACCCCCAACCAATCACAGTTGTCCCCTTCTTAAACTAGAAAGTATGAAGCACTAATAAGGTCTAAAACAGAGGTCTGGATCTTACATGAGTAGATGGTTAAAAATTTACTGAAATTTGGGTTATGAAACTTAACATTATACAATTTGTACCCACAGGCTGGTAAGGTCAGGAGAAGCTCTGTGTGTGCATGTAAGTAATTTCTGCTTGTAAAAGTGCTAGATGTAATTATAAACTCTACATCAGTGCTTCTCGATCACAGGCAGTTTTCCCCTCTGGGGGACATTTGGCAATGCTTGGAGATACTTTTGGTTATACTACTGGCACCTAATGGGTGAAGGCCAGAAATGTTGATAAACATTCTACAATGCACAGAACAGTCCCATAACAAAATCTGTATATATATATATATATATTTGGTCTATATATACACATATAGACCAAAATGTCAATAGTGCTGAGGTTAAGAAAAGCTGTTATACAACAATGAAACTGCACAATGAAGTTGTAGCTGAGGCACAAGTTTGGAGAACTTATCCTTTGAGAATAGAAATCTAACTTCCAAGACACAGTAGAAACCTTTAGTCAATGATTGTTATACAGTGCTGTGTCCCCAGTAAGCAGCATGCATAGGTTCAGGAACAAAGAGCAGAAGTAGATGTGGCTGTACTAACTTCCCAGTAATCTACTCACAAAACTTGTATTTCCCTTTTCCATAACTCTAAGCTTTGTGGGTCTAGTTTTCAGTATTCCGCTGTCTAACTGTGAAGGCAAATGACAAGTGCAGTAACCACTGACCAAGAAGGGCATGGTAACCAAAGATTCAGACCCCTCAAGGTGTCACCACCAGGGAAGTCACCAAGACCAGCAGCGGTATTTTCTCAGGATGGTGGCAATCCAGAGTGAGTAGTGTAGGAGGGAAATGGTGAACATCAGTTACTTTTGGAAACCAGCTACAGTAGTTGTGGCTTTTCCAACTAATCTTCTTCCTTTATATTTCCCCAGGAAAATAGACTAATAAACCTTCACTACAACATGTTTTCATTTCTCTAGGATATATGCCTAGAAGTAGAATGGCTGAGCCATTGGTAAATAGAGGTTTATCTTTCTGAAGAACTGCCCAACTATTCTCCAAGAAGCTACAGCATTTTACATTCCTACTTGGAGCATACGAAGGATCTAATTACTTACCAAAACACTATTGTCCATCTTGTTGATACAGCCATCATATTGGCTATGAATTGATATCTTATGCTTTACATTTCCCAAATTGGTATTGATTTGAGCATCTTTTTATTTATTTCTTGAAATATTGGCTTATATACTTTGTCCATTTTTAATTGTTTTTTTTTTTAATCATTGAGTTGTAAGAGTCTCTATATATTCAGGATGCAAGTATGTTGTCAGATTACATAATTTTTCAAATATTTTCTCCCATTCTGTGATTGTCTATACTCAAAAAATTTGACCATATTAAAAAATTAATTAAAAATAAATAATACACCTATATATGAGCTAAGTATGTAAAGAGCAATCAAAATTAAATCCTTTATTTAAATTTAATTAGGGTTAATTAAATATAATTAAATTAGGGTTGTACAATAATTTCTTAAGTATGACAATAAAACACAAATGACAAAATATAAAATAGATGGAACATTATTAACAATAAAACTTTTGTTATGCAAATGATACTATCAAGAAAGTAAAAAAGCAGGCCACACAATGGGAGAAAATACATGCAGATATATTTTTGATAGGGGACTTATATATCCAAAGTAAATAAGGACTTCCATAATTCAATAATAAAAAGGTAAATAACCAATTTTAAAAACTGGAAAAGTATTAATATTTGAATCAATGTTGCTCCAAAGAAGATATACAAATGACCAATGAACAGATTCAAAGATGTTTATCTACTAAGTCAATCAAAACCACAATGAGATAGCACTTCACACCCATCCACTAAGATGGCTATAATCAAAATGACAGACAATAAGAAGTGTTGACAAGGATGTGAAGAAATTGGAAGCCTCATACACTGCTGTGGGCAAAGTAAAATGTTGCGTCTGCTTTGTAAGTCATGTTAGCAGATGCTCAAAGTGTTAAACATACAGATACCTGTGGCCCAAAAATTCTACTTCTAGGCTTATACCCATTCAAGAGAATGGAAAAATGCATTCACACAAAAATGTAAATGAATGGTCATAGAAGCATTATTTATAATAGTAAATGAAGTGGAAATAATCCAAATGTCCATAATCTGATGGATGAATAAAGAATGTGATCAATCCACACAAAAAAATATGGGAACATAAAGGAATGAAGTATGATACACGCTATAACATGATGAACCTTTAAAACATTACAGTAAGTAAAAGACAACAGTCAACAAAAGAATATATACTGTATGATTTGATTGCTATGAAATTCCAGAATAAGCAAATATATAGTGACAGAAATTAGATTAGCAATTGTTTAGGGCTTGGTAGGGAAAAGATGGGAAGGGGTGATAAGGAGAGAGGAAGAGCAGTGACTGCTAATGACTGCTAAGGGATTTCTTTTGGGCAGGGGCAATAATGTTTAAAATTCATGTGATGATTGTTATGCAGCCCTATGACTATACTAATAACAATTTAATTGCATACTTTAAATAATGGCATGTATGTTACATGATTTATATCTTAATAAAGCTTTAAAAACCTTTACTGCCCCTATGTCCTGTTCTTCATGAAAAATATTCATACATCACATTACAAATTATCTCACCATAGTTCAAAATGCTTCTTTCTCTAAATCTCAAGTGCTGAGAATTATCTCTGTTAATGGACAATGCTTCCACCTCTGCCACTCCATATCTTGTTTTAAAATTTCCTTTTAGCTTCATGATTGTTCCTACTTCTTAACACTCTTCACATCTATATCAAGACTTCATGTTGGCCATATCAAATCTTCTCCCTAGAGGTCAGGAACTTCTCTTTCTTTATATCCCACCATATTTTCTTCATCAATTACATTTCATTGAAAACAAGCATTTTATATTCTTCAGCTTTTAATCCAAAGCAATAAAAAATTATATCTATAGAATAAATAGTATGTACTTAATATACATTATCTATAGTGTGTATGTATATATATGTGTGTATACACACACACTGCAACTATTGGCAGCTCTAAAAATTCATGGTATCTTCTATATTAAATGCAACTGTAATATAACTGATTAGTCTTTCTTAGTTTGTTTTCTTACATAGAGTTGCTGTCTCATGAATGCAACATCTGCTTCTTCACACCAGTGGTTGATCTCTTTTTTGATGAAAAATGAATTCATCCCGTATTAACTAGCTCAGCTTACCTGCCACCAAGTTCAATTCATTTGTGTATCTGCCCATTATGTTATCATTCTCTATTATGTCAGAGGACCAAGTATTCTTGTTATTTTTATTTTTTATTTTTTTTAATTTCCGGGATACAAGTGCAGAACGTGTAGGTTTGTTACATAGGTATATGTGTGCCATGGTGGTTTGCTGCACCTATCATCCTATTATCTAGGTTTAAAGCCCCACATGGATCAGCTATTTGTCCTAATGCTCTCCCTTCCCCTTGCCCCCAAACCCCCCAACTGGCCCCAGTGTGTGTTGTTCCCCTCCCTGTGTCCATGTTTTCCCATTATTCAACTCCCACTTATGAGTGAGAACATGTGGTGTTTGGTCTTCTGTTCCTGTGTTAGTTTGCTGAGGATGATGGCTTCCAGCTTCACCCATGTCCCTGGCAAAGGACATGATCTCGTTTCTTTTTATGATCACATTTTCTTTATCCAGTCTGTCACTGATGGGCATTTTTGTTGGTTCCATGTCTTTGCTATTGCAAATAGTGCTGCAATAAACATACATGTGCATGTGTCTTTACAGTAAAATGATTTATAATCCTTTGAGTATATACCCAGCAATTCCATTGCTGGGTCAAACGGTACTTCTTCTTATAGATCCTTGAGGAATTGCCACACTGTCTTCCACAATGATTGAATGAATTTACATTCCCACCAACAGTGTAAAAGCATTCCTATTTCTCCACAGCCTTGCCAGTATCTATTGTTGCTTTTTTCTTTCTTTCTTTCTTTTTTTAGATGGAGTCTTGCTCTTGTCACCCAGGCTGGAGTGCCCTGGCATGATTTTGGCTCACTGCAACCTCTGTCTCCTGGGTTAAACAATTCTCCTGCCTCAGCCTCCTGAGTAGCTGGGATTACAGGCACCAGCCACCACACCCAGCTAATTTTTGTATTTTTAGTAGAGACAGGGTTTCACCATGTTGGCCAGGCTGGTCTCGAACTCCTGACCTCAGGTGATCCACCTGCCTTGGCCTCCCAAAGTGCTGGGATGTTTCTTGACTTTTTAATAATCACCATCCTGACCGGCATGAGATGGTATCTCGTTGTGGTTTTGATTTACATTTCTGTAGTGATCAGTGATGTTGAGCTTTTTTTCGTATGTTTGTTAGCCATGTAAGTGTCTTCTTTTGAGAAGTGTCTGTTCATATCCTTTGCCCACTTTTTGATGGAATTTTTTTTCTTGTAGATTTAAGTTCCTTGTAGATTATGAATATTAGACCTGCATATAAATAGATAGATATATATATATGTGTGTATATATATATAGATATATATATATGTGTATATATATATATAGATATATATATATGTGTATATATATATATAGATATATATAGATATATATATATACACACACACCACAGTTTATCCACTCGTTGATTGATAGGCATTTGGGTTGGCTCCACGATTTTGCTATTGTAAATTGTGCTGCTATAAACATGTGTGTGCAAGTATCTTTTTCGAATAATGACTTCTTTTCCTCTGGGTAGATAACCAGTGGTGGGATTTCTGGATCAAATGGTAGCTCTACTTTTAGCTCTTTAAGGAATCTCCACACTGTTTTCCATAGTGGCTATACTAGTTTACATTTGCACCAGCAGTGTAGAAGTGTTCCCTGATCACTGCATCTACACCAACATCTGTTTTTTTTTTAATTTTTTGATTATGGCTATTCTTGCAGCAGTAAGGTGGTGTCACATGGTGGTTTTGATTTGCAGTTCCTTGAACATTAGTAATGTTGAGCATTTTTTCATATGTTTGTTGGCCATTTGTATATCTTCTTTTGAGAATTGTCTATTCATGTCCTTAGCCCACTTTTTTTTTTCCTTGCTGATTTGAGTTCATTGTAGATCCAGGATATTAGTACTTTGTCAGATGTACAGATTGTGAAGATATATTCTCCCACTCTGTGAGTTGTCCATTCAGTCTGCTGACTGTTCCTTTTGCCATGCAAAAGCTCTTTAGTTTAATTAGGTCCCAGCTATTTATCTTTGTTTTATTGCATTTGCTTTTGGGTTCTTGGTCATGAAATTCTTGCCTAAGCCAAAGTCTAGAAGGGTTTTTCCAATGTTATCTTCTAGAATTTTTATAGTTTCTGGTCCTAGGTTTAAGTCCTTAAACAATCCTGAGTTGATTTTTCTATAAGGTGAGAGATGAGGATTCAGTTTCATTCTCCTACATGAAGCGAGCCAATCATTCCAGCACCATTTGTTGAAGAGTGTCCTTTCCCCACTTTATGTTTTTGTTTGCTTTGTTGAAGATTAGTTGGCTGTAAGTATTTCTATTTATTTCTGGGTTCTCCATTCTGTTCCATTGGTCTATGTGCCTATTTTTATACCAATACCACACTGTTTTGGTGACTACGGCCTTACAGTATAATTTGAAATCAGGTAGTGTGATGCCTCCAGATTTGTTCATTTTGATTAGTCTTGCTTTGGCTATGGGGGCTCTTTTTGGTTCCATATGAATTTTAGATCATGTGGTTTTTGTCATTTGTTCTGTTTATGTGATGAATTACATTGATTGATTTTCATATGTTGAACCAGCCTTGCATGTCAGGGATGAAACTGACTTCTTCATTGTGGATAAACTTTTTGATGTGCTGCTGGATTCAGTTTGCCAGTATCATACTGAGGATTTTTACATCAATGTTCATCAGAGATATTGGCCTGAAGTTTTATTCTTTTGTTGTGTCTCTGCCAGGTTTTGGTATCAGGATGATACTAGACTCATAAAATGAGTTAGGGAGGGGTCCCTCCTTTTCAGTTGTTTGGAATAGCTTCAGAAGGAATGGTACCAGCTTTTCTTTGTATCTCTGGTAGTATTCAGCTGTGAATCCATCTTGTCCTGGGCTTTTTTTGGTTGGTAGGCTATTAATTACTGCCTCAATTTCAGAATTTGTTACTGGTCTATTTAGGAATTTGACTTCTTCGTGGTTTAGTCTTGGGAGCATGTATGTGTCCAGGAATTTATCCATTTCTTCTAGATTTTCTATTTTATTTGCACAGAGTTGTTTATAGTATTCACTGATAGTCTGTATTTCTGTGGGGTCAGTGGTGATATCCCCTTTATCATTTTTTACTGTGTCTATTTGATTCTCTCTCCTTTATTAATCTAGCTAATGGTCTATTTTATTAATTTTTTCAAAAAATAGTCTCCTGGATTCATTGACTTCGAGTGTTTTTTTGTGTCTCTACCTCCTTCAGTTCTACTGATCTTAGTTGTTCTTGTCTTCTGCTAGCTTTGGGTTTTGTTTGCTCTTGCTTCTCTAGCTCTTTTAATTGTATGTCAGGGTGTCGATTTAAGATTTTTCTAGCTTTCTGATGTGGGCATTTAGTGCTATAAATTTCCCTCTTAACACTGTTTTAGCTGTGTCTCAGAGATTCTGGCACAGTGTCTCTTTGTTCTCAATTGTTTCAAAGAACTTCTTGATTCCTACCTTAATTTCATTATTTACCCAGGAGTCTCTCAGGAGCAGGTAGTTCAATTTCCATGTGGTTTTGAGTGAGTTTCTTAATCTTGAGTTCTAATTTGATTACACTGTGGTTTGAGTGGCTGTTTGTTATAATTTCAGTTCTTTTGCATTTGCTGAGGGGTCTTTTACTTCCAATTATATGGTTGATTTTAGAATAAGTGTCATGTGGCACTGAGAAGAATGTATATTCTGTTGATTTGGGGTGAAGAGTTCTGTAGATGTGTATTAGGTCCACTTGATCCATGGCTGAGTTTCAGTCCTGAATATCTTTGTTAATTTTCTGTCTCATTGATCTGTCTAATATTGACAGTAGGATGCTACAATCTCCTACTATTAATGTGTGGGAATCTAAGTCTCTTTGTAGGTGTCTAAGAACTTGCTTTATGAATCTGGATGCTCCTGTGTTGGGTGCATGTATATTTAGGATAGTTAGCTCTTCTTGTTGAACTGATCTATTTACCATTATGTAATGCCCTTTTTCATCTTTTTTGATCTTTGTTGGTTTAAAGTCTGTTTTGTCAGAGACTAGGATTGCAACCCCTGCCTTTTTTCTTTTTTGCTTTCCATTTGCTTGGTAAATTTTCCTTCATCCTTTTACCTTGAACCTATGTGCGTCTTTGCACATGAGATGGGTCTCCTGAATACAGCACACTGATGGGTCATGACTCTATCCAATTTGCTATTCTGTGTTGTTTAATTGGGGCATTTAGCCCATTTACATTTAAGGTTAATATTGTTATTTGTGAATTTGATCCTGTCATCACGATTCTATCTGGTTATTTTGCACACTAGTTGCAGTTTCATCATTGTGTCATTGGTCTTTATATTTTGGTGTGTTTTTGCAGTGGCTGGTACCAGTTTTTCCTTTCCATATTTAGTGCTTCCTTCAGGAGCTTTTGCAAGGTAGGCCTGGTGGGTTACAAAATCCCTCATCATTTGCTTGTCTGGAAAGGATGCTATTTCTCCTTCACTTATGAAGCTTAGTTTGGCTGGATATAAAACTCTGGACTGAAAATTCTTTTCTTTAAGAATGTTGAATATTGGCCCCCAGTCTCTTCTGACTTGTAGAATTTCTGCTGAGAGGTCTGCCACTATGGGCTTCCCTTTGTGAGTAACCCAACCTTTCCCTCTGGCTGTCCTTAACATTTTTTCTTTTATTTCAACCTTAGTAAATCTGATGATTATGTGTCTTGGCGTTGCTCCTCTCGAGGAGTAGGTGATCGGGCCTTCCTCTCTTGTTGCCCTTAACATTTCTTCCTTCATTTTGACATTGGAGAATATGATGATTATGTTTCTTAGGGTTGATTTTCTCGTGAAGTATCTTAGTGATGTTCTCTGTATTTCCTGAATTTAAATGTTGGCCTTTCTTGCTAAATTGGGGAAGTTCCCCCTGGATAATATCCTGAAGTGTGTTTTCCAACTTGGTTACATTCTTCCTGTCTCTTTCAGTACTCCAGTCAATCATAGGTGCGGTCTTTTTACATAGTCCCATGTTTCTAGGAGGTTTTGTTTGTTTCTTTTTATTCTTTTTTCTCTAATCTTGTCTGCATGCCTTTATTATCTTATTATCAAGATGGTCTTCAAACTCTGATATCCTTTCTCCCACTTGGTGGATTCAGCTATTGATATTTGTGTGTGCTTCACAAAGTTCTAGTGCTGTGTTTTTCAGCTCCATCAGGTCCTTTATGTTCCTCTCTATACTGGTTATTCTAGTTAACAGTCCTGTAACCTTTTATCAAGGTTCTTACTTTCTTTGCATTGGGTTAGAACATGCTCCTTTAGCACAGCAGAATTTGTTATTTCCCACCTTCTGAAGCCTACTTATGTCAATTTGTCCATCTTGTCCTCTGTCCAGTTCTGCACCCTTGCTGGAGAGAGAGGCATTGCAATCATTTGGAGAGGAAGCACTCTGGCCTTTTGGGTTTTCAGTATTTTTTGTTGTTGTTGTTGTTGATTCTTTCTCATCTTCATGAGTTTGTCTAGTATCAATCTTTGGGGCTACTGACCCTTGGATGGGGTTTCTGTGACTTTTTTTGTTAATACTGTTGTTGTTGCTTTCTGTTTGATTTTCTTGCAGTGGGCAGGTCCCCCTTCTGTAGGGCTGCTGTGGTTTGCTGGGGGTTCACTTCAGGCCCTGTTCATCTGGTTCACTCCTGCACGTGGAGTTGTCACTCAAGGAGGCTGGAGAACAGCAAAGATGGTTACCTGCTCTTTCCTCTGGGATCTCTGACATCGAGGGGCACTGGCCTGATGCCAGTAGGAATGCTCCTGTTTAGGCTGTCTGACAGCCACTGTTGGAGGTTCTCACCCAATTGGTTGGCACGGGGAGCAGGACCCATTTAACGAAGCACTTTGTCCCTTGGTAGAGGGGATGTGCTTCACCGAGAGAAACCCGCTCATCTGGGCTGCCTGGATTCCTCAGAACTAGCAGAAGGAAAGACTAAGTTCGCTGGTCTGTGGAGACTGTGGCCATCCCTCCCGCTAGGGTCTCAGGCCCAGGGAGATCAGAGTTCTGTTCCTGAGCCCTTGGCTGGAGTTGTCAGAGTTCCTGCAGGGAGGCCCCACCCAGTGAGGAGGAATGGATCAAGGTCAGGCCTGAAGAGGCACTCTGTCCACAGTCTGTCACAGCCAGTGTGTTGGGCTGTGGGTGATACCTCTTGGGACCAAGCCATCCAGCCTCCCTGGCTTCAGCAGGGGAAAAGCACCACCTGGAACTATAGAGATGGCTGCCGCCCTTCCCCGGTCCTGGAAGCTTAATGTCTTAGGCAGATATCAGTTCCAGTGTTGGCTGTCACTCCTTCCCCAGGGAGCTCAAGCTGCTTAGACAGCAGGCAGCCACAGCTGTGGTGCTAGTTGCTCCTCCCCTCCGGGAACTCGGCAGGCTTAAGCAGATTCTAGCTTAGCAGCTGTAGAGAATCTGCACCACTTCGTGGTTGGGAACGTGGGCCCCAGTGGCATGAGCTAACAAGTGGGATATTCTGATCCATGGGTTGTACAGTTCCGTGGGAGAAGCACGTTTTCCTAGGCTGGGTAGGATGCTCACTCACCACCTCTCTTGGCTCCTGCCCCACGTGGCTCTCAGGTGGGCCACCTCACCACACTGCTCTTCCTTCCTCTCTATGGGTCACACCAGCAGCCTAGTCAATTCTGATGACAGAACCTGGATACCTCAGTTGCTGGTGCAGGATTTGCATGCTGTTATGGTTCTTTTTGATGGGAGCCTCGGATTGCCCACTTCTACTCGGCCATCTTGGCCCCGCCCTATTCTTGTTATTTTTCAGAGTAAATCCTTCAGACTTTACACCTGATGTTACCCTATGTCATGTTCAAAAAAGCTTCCCCTGAGGATCTTTATGTATCTTCATTTTTCACCTGTGGACCATTCTTCATAAATACTCAGACATTCTGTATAAAAATAAACCTGACCTGAATGCTACTTGCCCTCATTACGCCATCTTTTGTACTAAACTGTGGAAACTAAAATGTTGGTTATATCCTGCTTCTAATCTTCTTCTGGTCATTCCACAATTTAAGACAAACTGTCTTCAATCTCAATATTTTTAAAAAGTATTTGCCATCCTAAAAGTCAGCAATATAAATCCAGTAGGCACTTCCTAGTGTTTTTCCCTTTCTGCAGCAGCAGAACACTGAACAGTGCCTTTTTGTGGAAATCATGTCATCACTTCCTTGCTATACACTCAGTTGATGAACTTTTTTGCAATTTTCACTCTTCTTTGCTATCTTCTCTTTCCTCATCCTTTTCTATTTTGCAGACCTTCCTACAACGTCCTTTCACAGATATGATTTTTAATTCCACAGATTACTCTTGGGCTTGTTTTCTAATTCCAGATTCCCTCTTAATCTTTAAATCTTTCCAGCTACCTTCAAAAGACCTCCCACAAATTGTACAATCTGAAACTCCTCAAGCACATTCCCAACCTCTGTCTTGACTCTTGCACCCTGTGTCAAGCAATGTCTTCACTATTCTCTTAGTCATTCATGCTTTGAGGATCAGGGTTATTGTCTACACTTCCTTTATGAACTCTCCATATCTAATCAGTGGCCACATTCTATGGGTTCTGACTCATTTCTTCTCTTAATTATCCCGTTTAGTAACTTTTCACCTCTTTCTTGGTATTTTATAATGTCTCCCAACCTGTTTCCAATTTCTACATCTTGAAAAATATGACCTACATTGTCATCAGTTATTATTCTAAAACCCAATTTTATCAAGCCATGGATATAAAACTTGAATGTGACAATGATATCCTTACTCCATGCCACATATTAGCTAAACAATTCACGTACAATATCTAAGCTATACTCAAGTAAATCTTTGAGGGAAATAGTTTTACCATTAGCCGACAGATTAATGAACTTGCCCCAAATCATACAGTTAGTGAGTGCTAGAGGTGAGAAGTAGAATTTAAATTCTGGTCTGAGTCCAGAGACCAGCATAGACTGCCAAGCATACTTAAAGAAAAAACTTCATTGGCTCTTCACGGGAATGCAAATTCCCAAATTGAACATTCAATTATTATATAAGATGAAATTTCATCTATAAATAATTATTTCATCCATAAGATGAATGTCATTTTCCTTTTTCAAGTTAATGTTTCTCTTGCAACCTTCTTTCCTTCTGCAATAAGCACTCATACAAATAAAATAGATGCAAAATATTTATTTGGGATTTGATTTCTACATCACTGAAAATTCTGTAGAGGAAACAATCTCTGTAGACTCATCCAAATCTAATATTATATGATTCTATGCTACCTTCACGCTATGAAAACTTCAAACTGTCTCCCTCCCTTACTAAAATAAGCAATTTAGAAACAAGCCTGGCCTTTCTTTTCTGTGACGCATACATTTTCCTCTACCCTGAAACTGCATCTCCATGACTGTACTTGTCCAAGCCTTCCACAAATCTTCAAGGGCATGCTCGATTGTCACCTTTTCCATAACGCTTTATCTGATGCTATAAGAAAAATTATAAATTTATACTTCTGAGCCTGCTATTCAATTTGTACTTGTAGTATAGCACAATACCCACTACCTTACATTTTAATTAGCTTAGCTCTTTCTTGTCTAATTTGCTGGATGAAAAGTTTACTTAACTAAGCAACTATATTTTACCTGCATTAGTATCTAGCCTACTTTGCTACTACAATTATGCTGCAAACATTAGCCACTCAGTAAATTTTTAATAAATGTATTCCTTCCAAATCTACAAGCTTAATTCACTTTTTTAGGTTTTTAGCCAAGTGAAAAAAAGAGCTTAGCAGAGTCATTAATAACTCAGAAGGTATATATTTAAATCTCTACTCCATTATCTACTCAAATTCTTCAAACCTTACTTTCTTCGTCTATAAAATAGTGATAATAACAGTACCTAGTTCTTAGGGTTTTCTGAGATTTTAATCAAGTAATATAAAGAACTGGAAGAGTATTTGTAATGTTGTAAGGACTCAGTAAATGTTAGCTATCACTATTGTATATTTTAAAACAAACAAAGGTTTTAAAGAGAGATCTAAAATAGTTTCCAACAAATGGGCTTTTATGTGCATTGTACAGGACTTCCTGGCAGGTGAAAAATCACAATAAACTTAATTAAGGGGTGACTTTTCTGGTCAGTATAAAGAGCAGAGCAGTTTTAATCCTGGCAAGAAACAGGGTCTGGAAGCTTTTCATATTCAATCATTTTCTTTAACATGAATAAGTCAAGTGCTCCATTAGTTCTGGAAAGGAGAGTATAATAGAATCAGTTCTATAATAGGGGCATTAAGCCCTCTTGCATTATATAAAATTATAGAAAAAGACTGCCAGGCTCTGGTTTCCTTGCCAAAATATGGCTATGAATGTTCAACAGTGACATCAAGCCTGATAAAAACTTTTACTTTAAATAGCTAGAAACTCAAAAGGCAGCATAGAATGACAGTCTTGAGCAGGAATAGGAACGGAAGGAAATAGGCACAACCCTGTGTCTTAAAGCAGGTGCTTATTTAGTGCCATCATTCTAAGATGGCTTAATTAAAATGAAATGGTATATACATTGCTCGTTTCAAACTTGCATTGCAAATGTATGTTAGAATTAAAATTTGAGCTGACATCAGAAATCCAAGTAAAATAGTGACATTTTAAACCTTTTTAATGTTGACATTACAGAAGGTCAGCTCTATCATAGTAAATAAGGAAAATTTAGCTTTCTCTTTATTTTTATTACCTTTCTTGAGAGTTGAGCTTATTTTCCTTCTATTACATTCTTTATTACCACATTTCTGGAAGGTGCTAATTTGTCTATCCATTACACACTTGTTTTCTGAGTTGAGAGGGGAAATGTTGATTCAACCTCTCACCCATTAGAAAATTCTATTCAGGCATTCGCAGGGCTTGCTCCAGTCCTTTGTAATCAGCGATACTGTGTATGGGGCTTATGACATAAAGAATAAGACAAATAACTATTCAGAAGCAGAGACACCTCTTTGCAATAGTATCAGAAACCTCCAGAGAAGCACTCTGAGGCACAGAGCATGAAGTAGGGTGACATTAATATACCAAACTGAGAGATAATATAGAACTCATTGCCAGAGCACACAGATATTCCTTTAATATAATACAAATTAGTAAAGCAGACCTCATGCCCACCTTTTCCTCATAAAGCCTGCCCTAACTACTTTATAGCCTCACTTCCTAGAGGCTGGAATGAAATACAAACTTCAGAATAATTCCCCCACTGGATTTTCCTTCTGCTTCTTATTTAGAACTCCATGAATCCATATGGATTCATATCACCAATGAACCCAGATAACTAACATCAGCTCTCTCTTCCACATTACAAATAGAAGAGTTATTTCCTCTCCTTCTAGTCTCAGTGTTATCAGCCCAAATATCTTATTCAAAAAGACATTTTAAAATAAAGAATTCAAAAGTGAAGATAAAATTATTCAATGACACCACAAATGCATATCTTCCCAATAGTTTAAACCCAGCAGATTTTCTATTTAACCTTCTACTTCATTTAACAATTGAACAAAGATTTTAATAACAGCTTCCCATGTTCTTTTTTGTGTCTTTTAAATGAGAACCATTAGTGCTTTTTCAGATTTCTTCTTTACTAACCATTATCAGATCTTAAAAACTCAAAAACAGAGAACAATAAAAAAAACTCAGAGAGGTGCTTAGAGATATAATTAAGCTAAAATAAAGACGGATAAAATTTCATCACCACATTATTTTGAGACAGGCATTCCCAGTATTTGCCAGGAATCTAAGAAGTAATTTCAACAGTATCAATATACACTAAAAGTACAGATTTTTCTATACTGCTGCTTCTCAACACCCGCCCTCCCACCCCCATATCCTTGGCTATGGTAAAGAAATGTCTTCTTTATTTTTACCAATAAAAGAACTCTAATTTAAGACACTGACTGGGAAGATAAAGAAAAAGTAAGAAGTAACAATTTAAAGGCCACAGTTTGGAGTCCGACCTCCCAGGACCCCGATTCTATATTTTATAGTATGCCAAGGATATGTTTATAGTAAGTAGTGAAATACATGAAAACTGAATGTAAGTGGAAAGTAGTTTCAATTTAGTTTGTGACTTTTATGCATATATGTGCTATTACTCTCTTTTGAAAGGAATAAGGGACTAGTGGAAGACTCTGGAGGAAATAAGGCACAGTAGAATGCAATGACATCCAAATACTATAAAGTTATCAGAGATACTGCATAGAAAAAAAGAATCACTACCTGATATAGTTTGGATATTTGTCCTCTCCAAATCTCATGTTGAAATGTGATCCTCAATATTGGAGTTGGGGCCTGGTGGGAGGTGTTTGGATTATGGGGGCAGATCCCTCATGAACGGCTTAGTGCAGTCCTCACAGTAATGAGTGAGTTCATTTGAGAGCTGATTATTTAAAGACATGGCACCTCCCCTCTCTCTCTGGTACTCTTCTCTTGCCAAGTGATACACCTGTTCTCTTTTGCCTTCCCCCATGATTGGAAGCTTTCTGAGGCCTCATCAGAAGCAGATGCCAGCCCCATGCTTCTTATGCAGTCTACAGGACCATAATCCAAATAAACTTCTTCTCTACAAATTACCCAGCTTCAGATATTCCTTTATAGCAATGCAAAATGGACTAACCCACCGCCTTTCTAATGAAAAGCCAGATCCACCACATTGGAGATAGAGGGAAGTCCTCCACATGAGAAACGTGATCTACACCAGAATCACCATACATTCCTCATGAATCATCCTCTCTATGAATAGTGACTCACTCTACTATTGCTCTGGGGAGGAGGAGGAGCTAGGCTGCTTTAAAACACTCTTAAGCTGATTCACAAGACCCTTTTCATAATGTTCTCCAGCTTCACTGAGACAAGGCTGAAATACTAAATCAAGTACAGCAAGTAGGAATCTCAGTCTACAAAATATCTTCCCTCCCTCCCTTCCTTTCCTCTTTCTTTCCTTCCTTCCTTCTTTCCATTTGTTTCTCTTTAGGACCTTTGTTCAGCCTTAGATGTGTTTCTGCCATGGGAGGTTTATGTAAATACCAGATATCAGAACTTCTATGGGTATATTAGAGAGTGGGTCTGTCAGGGAGAAGCAACACCAGACAGTCAGTATAAACTGACCCATCATGAACCCCTTAAGGCACCCCTCATTGATGGCAGTGGTGGCCCATCTGGAGCAGCTGCTGTAAAGATGCCAGCTGCAGCAGGGGAATTGCAGCTGGGGATGAATACTCCATGGATCTGGCAGGAGCTGGCAATAGGCAGGAGCCCAGCCCCCTTCTGAGTTGAAAGTGTAGGATCCCCACTCTCCTGGGCACAGCTGCAGCTGTGGACCCAGGCATCCCTGTGCTCTTGGGAACCCAGGAAGCCCCGCTCCTCATGCAGGCTCAGAAATGTCTGCTCCTGCTCCTGGGCCTGGCCTCTCCTCACTCCTGGCAATGGCTCCAATTCTGGAGCAAAGTTGAGGCCAAGCCCAGGTGCTGTCACAACCCAGCTGGGTGTGCACAAGCTTGGGGCAATGCTGTCACAGCAGCCCTCTGCCATTTCAGCCCATGTGGACTGTGGCTGCCAACAAGCACAGGAAGGAGCCTGAGGTAGGGCTGAGGGCAGCTTAGTGCAGTCCTGCAGGTGCCCCTCAGCAGGAACAACCTTGTTGCCACAGATGATATGATTGATGGTGGCAGGAGGCAGACAGGCTCCTGGGCAGAAAGAAGTGGGTCCCCAGTGAAGTTCCACTTTGAAGCCAGGGACAGCCTGAAGCATGGGGGCTGGGCTGTCAGTTCTGGGTGGAGTTCACAGGCCCCAAGTGAGAACTTAGGATGCTTTTCCTGGGCGTACCCATGGCTACCCATGGACCAATCAGCACACATTTTGTTTCTTCTGAAGCCCATAAAACCCCTGGACTCAGCCAGAGTCAGAGAGACCTCAGGATGACCTGCCTGTGGAAAGAAGCTACCCATTCTGTGTCTCCTCTGAATTGAGAGATGGACACTCAATGGGAGGATCTGCCTGCAGAAAGCAGCTACCCACTCTGGGTCTCCTGTGAGCTGTTCTGTTGCTCAGTGAATCTCCTCTCTGCCTTATTCTAGTTGTCCACATACCTAATTCTTCCTGGACATGAAACAAGAACTCAGGACCTACTGAATGGCGAGACTAAAAGAGCCGTAACACAGACAGGCCTGAAACATGCCCCCTG
Source organism: Homo sapiens (assembly GCF_000001405.40). Lineage (NCBI taxonomy): Eukaryota > Metazoa > Chordata > Mammalia > Primates > Hominidae > Homo > Homo sapiens. Next base: position 136,527,065 of record NC_000007.14, on the reverse strand, counting down.
CTCACCACATTGCAGGTGACAAGGAGAGAAGAGCTGTAGCTTTTCAGAGATCCCAGATCTAGGGGCTCCCCAGGGCAGGGTAGTGGCCCACCCTCTTTGGGGCTCTGCAGTTCCTGACATCTCCAAGCTCCCGGGTGCCACTGCATTCCCTGGTGCCCACAGTAGAAGCTGCTTGCAATACACCTAGTCCAGCCACAGCCTTGCAGAGATGGCACCTGTGCCAATGCCTGGAGCTGCCCACTCCACTGCAGGTGACATGCCTGGCTGTGCACAGTTACTGGACCCCACACTCGCTCACTCACCCCTCACCACTCCATGTCTGGCTTATCCTTGGCAGGTGTGGGATTCAGGCCAGGAGCATGAGCCAAGTGGAGTCTGCTGGGCTGAGTGGGCGGAATGAACCCGGCAAGCACTAACAATACTCAGGCAGAAGGTGCTTCCGGCCACAGAGGTTTCAGCTGGTGAAGTGACACCCCAAGGATCCCGTGACATCATTACTACAGGGCTTTGTAGACCTGACCACACAGGCTGTCACAGATATGAAGCTCATTTCTGTTCACATGGCACATTTGGGTCTGACAGCTCTATTATGCCTCCACCATCTGAATTGCAGAGTAACCATTTTGTTGCTTTGACAATATGCTAGCTCTTGGGAAACTGAGATTACCTAAGACTACCTCTGCCCAGATGCATCATTCAGCCATTTGTTTTCCAGCATCTTACCATCTTACGTGGGAGTTCTACCTCAGAATAGATTCAAATAATCATCTTCTTAGATCCCAAAAACCTATCTGGGAGTTATTTCTTCACCCCAGGATTTATCCAGGGGGAATAGCTAGTCTTGAGAAATTGATGACTCTGCTCCAGTTGCTTTCACTGAGCTCTCTCAATCTTGCTACCTTTGTTGTAAGTGATTTTATTCTACTTATTATGTCTCACTGTGTTGCCCAGGCTGGTCTCAAATTCCTCAGCTCAAGAGATCCTCCTGCCTCAGCCTCTAAAGTAACTGGGACTACAGGTGCCACTGTGCCTAACTTTGTTGTAAGTGATTTTATTTTTCCCCAGGATCTAAGCTTTTGAAACATACCTTAGAGAGAAACTTTGAGTTTTATCTATCCCTGGAGACAAGGATCATGGAATGATCAAGCTACTTTAACAGGAGAAGGGCAATAAGTTCATTAGAAACCTAGAAAAGAATAAGTGGTTTAAGATGAGATTTTAGACAAGGCTAAAGAATAGCAAAATTGAAGTAAGCATGTAATGTTAGATGGAAGTCAGATTACATTTCACACAAGGAATAGTCAACTCATTAGCATGGGTCTGCTATGGAAATGTCTCCTGGTCAAGTTCAAATTCCTCTTTTAAAATATATATAATTTTAATTGACAAATAATTGTGTTGTGCTTATTTGTCTGTTGGGTACAATGTAGTGTTTTAAGATGTAAACATTGTAAAATATTCAAATCAGGGTAATTGGCATATGCATCACCTTAAATATTTATTCTTTTCTTGTGATGAGAACATTTAAAATCCTCTTTCAGCTGTTTTGAAATACGCAATATATTAACTGTAGTAACCATGGTGTGCAATATATCACCAGAATTTATTCCTATCTATCTGAAACTTTGTACCCTTTGACCAATGTCTCCCTTTCCTCATTCAACGCCCTTCCCCCAGCCCCTGGAAACCACCATTTTATGCTCTACATACTTACAGAAGTATGTAGGATTTATGTAGGATTTTTTAGATCCTACATAAAAGTGAGACCATGTGGTATTTGTTTCTCTGTTCCTGGCTTATTTCACTTAATAGAATATCTTCCAGGTTAATGCATGTTTCCACAAATGACAGGATTTTGTCTTTTTATTTCTGAAGTATTCCATTATGTATATTTACCACATTTAAAAAAATCTATTCATCTATTGATGCATACTTCAGTTGTTTCCATATCTTGGGTCAAGTTCCTTTTATGACTTCCTATACAGAAGCCTTCTTCTGCTCCTGTCACCTAAATACAACCACTCTAACCTCTGCATGTTCTGAACACAAATACCAGAGAGCAAGGACCAGAAATATAAAGGAGCCTCACCTTGCCAGAGCGTTTCTTCTCAATCTTGTGCCCTTCCTAGACTGTAATTAAACACCAGGACACATGTTCCACGAGGTTAATGACTTTCTCTCTCTTGTTCATTGCTGATTGCCAGAACTTAAAACAGAGCCTGCCCATAGTAGCTGCTCAAGAAACATTTACTGAATAAACAAACACTGTACCATCCCTTTTCTGTATTTACATATACGAAGACACATTTTAGCAATCCCTGCTGCTAAATATTATTCATTTTTCATTATTCCCTAAGGCACCAGGTAAAAAAAATAAACACCAAAAAAAATGGTAGAAAACTCCTGGAGGAGTTAATGGTTGGAATGAGAGTAGAGACAAGATGGGCACCTGCAGTGCAGTCCAGAGACATATAGATTTCTCCAAACTTTCAGGTGAAAATTAAGTGAATTATTTTATACATTAGGATGCTATAATTGTGTAAGAGAGATGTTGGAGGACAAATTTTTCAGAGATCTTAAAAACAATAGCAACAGATCCTGTTCTCCCTCCAACATATTCTGAATCATAAAGGCTAAATGGGTTTTCTGTGAGGAGGGTTTCAGTGGGCTGATCATATAAAGTTGGCTTCCAGACCTGTTCCATTATTCACACTCCATATTATGCTCTAGAAATAGAGCACAGAAGTAGAGTTAGGGCCAAAGTACACCCTAGACAAATTCCTGATTTGAATCTGAGGCTCATGAGTTTTCTTATTCAGCTAACAGATTAGATCTTCTTTGTGACAGCTAAGGCTGTCTGAAAGCTGAATGCCTGATCAAGAGTTCCTAGTAACAGCCCTGAATTCTCTCACCTCTAACCTTTTTCTCAAAGATCTAGGTGGCATAACTCAACAAAATATCCCTTCAGTCACCAAGTTAAATTTCTGTAAACTTAAATCTTTATACCAGAGGGGTGTTTTATTTTTCCTCTATAAACTATAAATGGGATATTTTATTAAAACTATCTCTTGAGCTGTGGCTAGAGTGTTATAACTAGAATGCCTTGCCAGTGAAGAATGAAACACACTTCCATTATTAGGTCCACAATAATGTGGATAATGTGAACCAAATTCAATCAGCCTAACTAAATGTGGATCTACAGAGTAATCTCCCGGATATGGAATAAGTGCTACACACAGTGATTCATTTTAACACGCACCAGTGCAGAACAATCTCATGTGATGAGGTAGTTACATTCTTAGAATACTGACGCTTTTATTAAGATGTTTTGCATAAAATGAACACATTCAAGATTTGAAGCTACATCTCTCATGACTGGAGATAATCCAAATCTGTATGATGTTGGAAAATAGATGGAAGATTAGAGCCCATTACAGATCCCTGAATTAATCATAGCACTTTCTAGAAGCTCTGCTACTGGATGCACTTCCTAAAAGCAGCCTGCTCTCCTCTCAAGGCTCTGATGATTTTGCTTCTTTTGCTTGGAGCAGCCGTCTCATCATTCATCAAGTGGGCAGCTTCTTGTCTGTTAGAACTCAGCTGATGTACCATGTTTCACACGAAGACTTCCCTAAACCTTAGTCCGCTAGCCATGCCAGGTGCCTTTCCTCCAACTTCCTAATCACCGAGTACACCACTTTTATAGAATTGATCACAATACTACCAGCATGTATTGATTTATTTTCATGCCTCACTATGTTATAAACTGCTTCAATAGAATAACCTTGACCTTAATCTCTCTAGTTTCTGACCTTGTATTTTGCTTAGTATATACAGCAGGAGCTCAATAATTATACGTTGATGTCTCTTTCTTTGGCCAAATCTTTCTCATAGGTGAGACCTGGATTTGTATATGATTTTCACCTAGAGTCCTTGACATCTCTAGTTACTTTGATATCTTTGCATGGGTTCTCATAATAGCTTTATGTCAACTGTAATTATGTGACTATTTGTTTAAAATCTTCCCTCACTAGGTTTCAAGCTGTATGAGGACAGGCATCATGTTCCCCCATTTGTAGTTATATTCCTAGTTAGAGAGCCTGGTATACAACTCACACACGAAAATAGTTGTTGAATGAATTATTGGTCCCTGCTACAATACGGATGAACCTTGAAATTTTTATGCTAAGTGAAAGAAGCTAGTCACTAAAGAGTTGTATTGTATGACTCCATAAATGTCAAATATCCATAATTAACAAATCGATAGAGATCCAAAGATGATAAATGATGCCTAGGCCTGTAGCAGGGGAGAGTAGGGGAGCAGTGAGGAATGGAGAGAGACTGGTAATGGATATGGGGAATTTGGTGATAATGAAAATACTCAAAAATTAGACTGTGGTGGTGATAGTGAAACTCTGTAAATATAGTACTCCCACTGTATACTACAGTATGAAAATATTAAATGAAAATCTCTGGAAATACACAATTCATAAATTTTAAATTGAACACCACCTTGAGTAGTGTGAAGTATCACACTTCACCCTGCATGGAATGTGAATCATTCCTTTGTCCGGACCACCCACCCACCCAGTCTATGCTACCCAACCCATAGTTACTTAGCAGCACAGAGAGAGACCACATTTACATATTTTTTATTACAGCATGTTGTTACAATTGTTTTATTTTATAAGTAGTTGTTAATCTCTTACTGTGCCTAATTTATAAATTAAACTTTAAACTTTATCCTAGGTTTGTATCTATAGGAAAAAACATAGTATAGTTGAGGTTCAGTACTATCCAGAGTTTCAGGCATCCACTGAAGGGTCTTGAAATGCATCCCTTGCAGATAAGGGGGAACTACTGTATACTAAAAACCACTGAACTGTACAATTTAAATGGATGAATACTATGGTAGGTGAATTATATCTTAATGAAGCTATTAAAATTGTTGAATGAATGAAATGAAAGATCAACTTGAAGTTAAGGTGTCCCCTCATTTAGTAAGGTAGAGATATTTCTGAGAAGGGGAACCCTGTTACACACAATTCTTTCATAATAATCTCTTCAAATTTGCATTTTAGCATAAAATATTGTCAATTATTCTTCATTTCTTTTAATATCTTCTGAATCCACAGGATGATGATTGCTGTAGTTAATAAGATCTAGTCACACAATCTAGCTCCAGTTCTCCTAGGCTGCAGTATGTTTATAAGATTTTCTGCCAACCCAAATTGCCATCTGATTCCTCTGCCCATTCCTTAAAGGTCCTATGGACCCCTAAAAAATCAGCTTTAAACAACAGCTAGAAGTGGCTACATGATTTCAATGAAGTTCTACCTTTCCCTTCTCCTCCATCATTCTGCTTGTTAACATGAGTGATGGCTGTAGACCTAGCAGTCATTTTGGATAATGAGTATCAGTTCCACATCTTAGGAGTGTCAGGATCAAGCGGAAAGAAAATTATGAAACTTTTTCAGATTAATTATACAAGATATAAATTTCAAACTACTAAATTCTAAAACATGGGTACATCTGGTCTAAACTTTGAGGAAATAACTTTCAAGCTATGGAAAGCATATCTTACGGAAATAATGATGGCAGGAATATCAGCACCTTGAATAAGAAAGCATGGGCTTTGGAGTTAAAAAGATGTCCTTAATTATTAATTTCATCCTTTATTAGCTGCAAGACCTTGGGAGGTAATTCATCATTGGGCCAGTATTTTAATCTACAGAATGTTGTCAACAACACTAAGTTAACAAAGGATAAAAAATATGCAATGAGTTTGATAGTACCCATCAAATACTAGGACATAAGGAACTATTGGGACATTGTAGGTGCTCTAAACATATTTGTTCCCTTCCAATCTAATTGCTTGAATCAAAAAGATTGTTGAACCTTATCCTTCCAAAAGAATAGTTAAGACAATAAGCCAATCAAGAATCATTACTTGTATATTTACATTATGCTCTATAATGTGCCTGGAGTCATAGAAGAAACAGAAGTCAAAGGTACTATTCCTTGTCATGAAGCTGGAAAGTCATGACTGACCCAAGAGAAACTAAGGAGAAAATTACATGACAGTAGCGTGTGTGTCTGTGTGTGTGTGTATATATATTGTTTTCTTTTGAGATGGAGTCTCACTCTGTCACCAGGCTGGAGTGCAGTGGCACCATCTCAGCTCACTGCAACCTCTGCCTCCCGGGTTCAAGAAATTCTCCTGCCTCAGCCTTCTGAGTAGCTGGGACTACAGGCGTGTGCCACCACGCCTGGCTAATTTTTGTACTTTCAGTAGAGACAGGGTTTCACAATGTTGGCCAGGATGGTCTCGATCTCTTGACCTCATGATCCACCTGCCTGGGACTCCCAAAGTGCTGGGATTACAGGCGTGAGCCACCGCACCCGGCCAACAGTAGTATATATTTACCATAGCATCACATGTTAACAGGAAGCTTCATAAGAATACAAAAATGGAAAATATTACTGTGATGTGGGATAGTAGAAAAAGGTTTAATGAAAGGATATGTTTTGTCTGAGCTTAACAAGTCTTAATAGAAAACTTTATATGTAATAATGCATTAGTCATCTATTTATTATGTCAAAATACTAGTGTAGTTAGCTTCTTAGTTCCCTTGGCCAGGATAATTAATGGATTCTCCAGACAGAGAAAAAATAATCTGAGATAGGATTGAGGGAGACAATTCAAATGATAAGATTAACAAAGAGGTTAGTCCAGAAAAAGTTTCTTTCAAAATCTGGAGGCAAATAGTAGCCTGGGAATGAATTGCTTTCATTTGTGTAAGGCAATAAGCAAAACAGGTAATAAAATAAGGAAATATAGATGAAAAATTCTTTGGAAAATATATCCAAAGGAAACAGAAGAAAATGTGAAAAAATTCTCTGTATTCCTAAGGAATTTAAAGACAACATAGAGTCTGTGAACAAACTGATAAAGACACCAAAACTAATGCAAGATATCAAGAGATTCAAAAATAGAATACAATGGAAAGGTAGCTGACAAACCTAAGAAAGAAACTGAAGAGGAAATTAAAACCTTTAAAGTATTTGAAACCCTGTAAAAAGTGGAAAGAACTGAATTAAAGTAGAGTAAGCCTATCCAGTGATAAGAAGGTAACATTTGAGGGTGGGGGAAATCACACGAAATTCAGAATAAAAAGATAAAGAGATTGCAATGATTACATAGAAAACAACACCATGAAGAAAAGGCAATGAAAACAAATTTATGGATGATTGCTCTTGGGGAAGACAAGGAAGAAAATTGCTCTTGCAGAACACATGGAAGAAAAAGTTTCCAAATATATAATATGGGGAAAAATTCCTGAAATAAAAGACCTTGAGATGTAAGATTCAAAGGAAAGATGATTAACAGGAATTTGCGCTAAAGCATATCCCAGTAGATTTACAGAAACTCAAAAATAAAGGAATTTCCTAATTATCTGGGCCAAACCTGCGTATCATTCAGCAAGAAAAATAAATAGAGCCAGCCTCTGACTCCTCTCCTAAGCAACATTAGATGCCAGGACGTTGATCTACAATGTCTCGGAAACAAAGATGTGACTGAAAAACTGTGCACACACCTAAGTTTTTATTCCAGTTGGAAGACAGTTTCCTAAACAAACAAAAAATCAGGAAATAGAGTGTTAATGTTTTCTTCATTTCACACCCATTTGAAGATGAGAAATCCTAGGAACCAAAAGCTGCATTAGAATTTTAAAAACTCTAATTCAGTGGTTTAATTGTAGAAAGACCAGGCAGAAAGCATCAAATCTGAATGTAGAAGAAGGTCAATAACATTATTCATAATGAGGACAAACAGATGTATATTTTATAAATCCTGAAAGAAACCTATAATAGTCATAGTGAATTGTTAATAGTGGACTGGGACTAAGATCATAAATATGCCAATGAAAGAGAAGTAAAAAGGAAGAGAAAGGAGATAATATAAATTAATCAGTTTTACAATGTGTTATGAAGGGAGTCAACACATTCACTTTTATATTGGACATTTTATATGTATATATATTTATCTACATACATACACACATTTATATTTGACATATAGTTTTAAATCCAACACTTTTTAACTTACAAAGGTAACTATTGTTAGAATTATGTAGCTTCCAAATAAAAAGATTACAGAAAAGCAAAAATCAAGTATCAAAAGATAGAAAACTAAAGTAAGTGGTAAGGAAGAATAAAAAGAAGCAATTGCTCATTATTTCAAACTATTGAATTCCTACTGTCAAGTAAACTGTAAAACTCTGGACAATATATAATAAAAAATAGAAAAGGCATGTTCCCAGGCCAGGCATAGTGGCTTATGCCTGTAATCCCAACACTGGGAAGCCAAGACAAAAGGATTGCATGAGGCCAGGGGTTCAAGACCAGCTCTGGCAACACAGTGAGACTCCATCTCTACTAAAAATTTTAAAAATTAGCTGGCTATGGTGGCACATGCTTGTAATCTTGGCTACTCGGGAGGCTGAGGTGGGAGGATTGCTTGAGCCTGACAGGTCTAGGCTACAGTGAGCTATGATTGCACCACTGCCCTCCAGCCTTGGTGACAGAGGAGAAACTGCCACCCCCACCCCTACCCCTCTCCCCCACTCACCAAAAAAAAAGGAAGGGAAGGGAAGGGAAGGGAAGGGAAGGGAAGGGAAGGGAAGGGAAGGGAAAGGAAAGGAAAGGAAGGGAAAGGAAAGGAAGAGAAAAGGAGACATGTTCTCCATTCCCAGGGAATTCATAGTCCAAGAGCTACACCACACACACACACACACACACACACACACTCCAGATTAAAATCCTCAACTTCAAAACCTCTGCCTTCTTCACCTCTACTGCAGCTCAAGAGAAGACCTCCTGTCAGCATGATATTTATGTGGAACAGATGGTCATCTTTTCCATGGGACATACCCATCACCTGTACTAATCACTCACATGCTTCATTCATGAATAGGAAGTGACAATAATGTTTCACCCAAGATAGATTTGAGGAAATATTGCACCCATGAACAAGACAAAATATGACATAATTATTGGCAAACGAATGTATGATATATAAAGAAAGGAGGGAAGGGACAGAGGGGAGGAAGGGAAGAGAAGGGAAAGGAGAAAAAGGAGAGAAGAGGGGTGGGAGGAAATACAGAGAGTGTAAAATGCACAAAAACTTAATAACAAAAATTACAATAATGCAAAATGTCTCAATAAATTTCATATTATCTACATGTTTAATAAATTTTATATAAAATTATATAAAATTTAAATTATTTTTATGTGTTACATTTAAATGTATTTGAACTATTTTCAGTGGTTACTTTTTAGTTTTTAAATGTGGCTACAAGAAAATTTAAAATTATATAAATGTCTTTCCTTACATGTTTATTGGATATTGCTGTAACAAAGTTTCAGAAATAGAGAACAGATGGAGAAAAGGAGGTCTAGAGATTAGCCAAAAAAAAAAAAAAAAAAAAAAAAAAAAAAAAAACAGAAGATATTTTCCAGAGTGAATATAGGATAATAGTATTCATATTGAAAGAAGCTACCTAGTGCTAAGAATAATAAATACCTACAGCAAGACACACTGTTGAACTTAGAACTCCAAGAATGAAGACAAAATATTAAAAACTTTAACAATTGACATAAATCCACATAATTTAAAAAGCAAACTGACATCACACTTCTCAGCATTACTGGATGTTGAAATACAATTTCTTTGAATGTGTTTTTGCCCTAAGAAATGTATACTCAGATAAGCTGTCAGTCAAATATACAAGACCAAAATGAGAAATTTTCAAATAGGCAAGTACTCTGAAACTTACATATCATCCAGAAAAAGAAAGATTTACTGAAGAAAATTCAGTAGAGAGCTAAAAAAAATGAAGAAATGTTTTTTAATAAGAAGAAAATATGGGATACTCTTTAATAGAAATAATAGCTAATGAATCATGGTATAACTAGATTAGAATTGACTGTAAAATTTTTAATCCTGTACCTAAATTTTCTACCCTCAAACCTGGCTGGAAAAAAAATCAGAATCTCTAAGAGTGGCACTCAGTTATCAACATTTTTCAAAGTTCCCAAGGTAACTCTAATGCGCAATCAAGTTTGACAATTACTGATGAATTCAAAACAATTGAGGCTAATCTGTGGGACCATAACATTTTAAATTTATGTTCAAGTAGTAGAGTGTACATAACGACTCCATACTGCAACCACATTACGTGATTCCGCTGTGTATAATTTTTTTTTTTTTTTTTTTTTTGAGACAGAGTCTTGCTCTGTCACCCAGGCTGGAGTACAGTAGTGCGATCTTGGCTCACTGCAGCCTCCGCCTCCCAGGTTCAAGCAATTCTCCTGTCTCAGCCTCTGGAGCAGCTGGGATTGCAGGTACCCGCCACCATGCTTGACTAATTTTTGTATTTTTAGTAGAGATGGGGTTTCACCATGTTGGCCAGGTTGGTCTTGATATCCTGACCTCAGGTGATCCACAAGCCTCAGACTCCCAAAGTGCTGGGCTTACAGATGTGAGCCACCTTAAAGTGATGAAAATGTAAATGTTTACTGCAGTTAAATATTCACACTCAACCTTTAGAGAAAGCTCAGTCAGCTTCAATGCAATTAAAACAGAAAATGTTATAATAGTTGACAACATAAATATAGTAATCTAATAAATATCAGGGTTCAGAGAAGGAAAAGTGACAAGGAATATAACCAATTGCACAAAATCCTGTAGTTTTTACCATAGGAGTCAAAAGATACCATATAAATTTGATAAACAAAAAGCAAATTTTATTACTTGATTTGTGATTTCATATATTTAAAAATGACTTATATATATAAAGTAAGCACAAAATATCTCCAAGATTATATTCTGCATATATAAATGATAATGAAATTATGGTCAAGACATGTACCCATTACCCAACTTAATAAATAGAACTTTACCTATTCAATTAAATTTCCCCATGTTTTCCTCACCATTTCTCTCCCTCCCACTCTCAATGATGTAGGTATTACCCCGAATTTTATGTTTAACATTTCTTACCTTTATAATTTTATTACATTTGAATGTTTCCTTATTTTTTAGGTTTATCTGTTTTGACCTTTATAAAAATGTTGGAAATAGCATTATATGTCTTCTCCAACCTATTTTTGTTTAAATACTATGTGATACATCCACATAATGCCAGTTCAACACACTTCATAGCTCTATAATACCAAATTATATTAATGTACTACAATTTATTCATTCCCCTGTTGATGGGTATTTGGCTTGCATATGATATTTTACTAGCACAATTCTAACATACACACTTTCATTCAGTTTTCTAGTAAGTATCTGCAAGCGTTTCTGTATCTCCAAGTCTGATTGCTAGATAAAAAGCTTTGCCCAAGTTTAATAGGCAGTTTCAATTTCATCATATGAATTTTGGAGGAACGTACACATTTAAACCATAGCATCCCACTAATCTATAATAATACATTGATCAAATATAAAGTTTTTGTCAATATTCACAGATCTGTTCCCCAGGCTCTCTCTTTCCCTGTGATATATTTGTCTAACTCTCTCTAGCAATAGGATGGTCTTCATTATCAAGGCCTAATAATAAGCCCTACAACACGGTAAAGCAAGGCTGCTTGCCTTCTTCTGTAAATGTGTCTTCATGTCTTCATCATTCTTGTACCTCTTCTTATGATACAGATTTTGTGAACTGGTATTGATTTTTATTAGAATTACACTGAATTAATAGATTTATTAAAGGCCAATACATTTTTTTATAATACTAAATCTTACAAATAATTTAATCTTTTCAATGTTTTCCTATGAAGTCATACAATTTTCTAAATAAAGGCAATGCATTACTTTTGTGAGATTTAGGTACTTATATTAGTTTTGTTTGGCTACCATAACAAAATACCTTGGATTGAGTGGTTTAAATGACAGAAATTTATTTTCTTACAGTTCTGAAGTCTGAGAAATCCACAACCAAAGTGCTAGCCAATTCAGTTTCTGGTGAAGGCTCTCTTCCTTACTTGGAACAAAAAACACCACACAAATGGGTGCCTCCCTGCTGTGTTACCCCATGAGGGAGAGAGAGAGCAAATTTCTAATGTCTCTCATAAGAACACTAATCCTATTAGATCAGGGCTCACCTTTACGACCTCATTTATTCTTATCTACTTTCATATTCATCCCACATAGATGTATGCATGCACGCACCCACACACACACAGACACACACACACATACACACACACAAACATACACCTTATTTCCAAATAGTCACATGGGGGGTTGGGTCTTTAACATATGAATTTTAAGGGGACACTGTTTCATCCATAACAGTACTTTAATTTTTGTTGCTATTAGAAATGGTAATTTAAATGGTAGGCATGAAAACTCATTTTTTCCTAAGTCTTTTCTGATGATAAAAAGAAATTCAACTGGACTAGCTCCTATTTTTAAGCTATAAAAGCCTTGGGACTTTAAGCATGACTGTAGAGGGAGATAGTAGCTCAGGCCACCTCAAAGGGCTACCGTGTGATCCAGACATTCCACTTAAGGCATTTACCCAAAAGAAATAAATGCAAATGTCCATACAAAGACTTGTATTCAAATGTTCATGGAGGGCTTTTTCCTCTTAGAGAAAAGGTCTCGCTCTGTAGCCTAGGCTGGAGTACAGTGGCGCAATCGTAGCTTACTACAGCCTCAGGCTCCTGGGCTCAAGTGGTCCTTCCACCTCAGCCTTCCAAGTATCTGCAACTATAGGCATGAACCACCATGCCTGGCTATTTTTTTTATTTTTATTTTTTATAAAAACAGGATCTTGCTGTGTTGTCCAGGCTGGTCTCGAACTCCTGGCTTCAAGCAAACCTCCTGCCTTAGCCTCCCAAAGTGTTGGGACTATAGGAGTGTGGCCCCATGCCAGGCCAAGGGTTAATTTTTAATAGACAAAAACTTAAAACAACCAAAATGTCAATTAACAGGTAAATGAGTAAACAAATCTTGGTATATCATACAACAAAAGAGTACTCAGTAATAAAAAGGGTGAGCTACTGATGTATGTAAGGAGACGAATTAATCTCAAAATAATTAGGCTGAGTGAAAGAAACCAGACAAAAAGATTATGTGCTGTTTATATAATCCTATTTGTGTAAAATTATAGGAAATGCAAACTAATCTATTTAACAGAAAACCAAAGACTGGTTGTCTGGGAATGCTAAAGAAGGGGGATGGGAATCGAAGGAAAAGATTACATAGGGTCATGAGGAAACTTTTGAAGGTGATGGCTATGTTTAGTATTTTGATTGTACTAGTTTCATGAGAATGTGCATTTGCCAAAATTAATGTGTATAATTTAAATATGTATATGTTATTTTATGTCAATTCAATAAAACATCCATCTTTCATGGTATTTTCTTTTTCATGAGCATTATAAACTCAGGTAAAGATCAAACTGAGCTTCTTAAAGATGGCAAACTGATTATGTTAATTTCTCACTATCCTAAGACTACCAATACATTTAGAGTAAAGGAATGAAAAAGTGTAGTCATATAACAAGCAATAAATAGAAAATGAGCTATCTAAAAATGAGAGACTTTATCCAATAACAAACTACGGAATGGTGACAGAGATGTAATAATTGATACAACAGGCTAGAGGAAGTACTGACCTAAATACGTACAGAGGCATCCATGACTGAGGAAAGAGTTGATTTGCTGGGAAGAATGCCAGAGATACTTGGAATAAGAAACACCAAGTAAAATGGAGAGATGGTAGAAGTGAGTTTATGATGCTAATATTGAGCTGGCATTTCAGGTCAGAACTTCTGTTTGACATTTAGAAGTCCAATATGTATTATCTTTATGACTCCAATTGTAGCTCAACATGTAAGAAACTTTGCATGAGTATGTAGATATCTCAAATAGGTGTCCATTTCCTCATGGTTCCACGTGAACAAATGTTGAGGAAATCCTGAAAACCAAAAGAGACTAATACAAATGATACAGGTGTGGGGGAAGGGAATCACAAAGAAAAATGAAAAATTGGGGTGGGACCTCTTATTAGTGTTTTCAGATGGTTCCTAAAAGTTAGGAAGCTATGAAAAATATCAGAACAAGAGAATACTCTTGAAATATTAAATATAATTGGTACAGAAAATAGAAGTTTTAGACCATGTTGAAGGAATCATCCATAATTTAAAAAGAAAACATGAAAAAATAGAAAAGGGGAAAGATAAAACAGTATGAATACAGGAGAACATCTACCTAATAGGAAAAAAAAGAAAGAAAAATTCCAAGAAAATTATCAAAGGACAAATAACTCACTTTTTTTTTTCCCTGAAAGAGACCAAATCTACAACTCCTACCTTAGCACTCTGCTTATGATAGTAAAGCAGCAGAGAAGTGACCTCACTGGCTGATAATTGCAGATTTGGCAAGGCCCATCTGGGACTTAATCTAAATGAATCCATTCACCCCCCGAGACACCTTTTTGTCCCAAACTCAATTCTAAACTTCAGGTTGAAGCTTTTGAAAGGAAAACCAGGTCTGAGGGATCTAAAGCCAAGCAACAGGTACAGTATAAATGGGCAGGACTAATTCATGTCGATTAAGTCCCCGCTTCATGGAAGGACACCATGCTCCATGGCATAGACGAGGCCCAGGGAACCCAAAGGTTGATGACAGTAGGGGAGTTGGAGGTATCGGTGAGAGCAGATAATTTTTATTCTCTAGGCCCTCCCTGCTTCATGGGTGCAGGCTGCACTGGCACCCATGGGTGACGTCCCAGGTCACCAGGACTTGGTGATGAAAAGATGAAACAAGAAAGGGGGATGCCTGTTTTCTCTCTCCCTCACACCCTGAATTTTCACTGAAAAAGGGAAGAGAAATGAGAAACATCTACTTCCCTCTCTTTCAGAATGGGCAACCCACTATCCTCACCATCCTCAGTCTGTACTCCTCCGGAGTATATCCTGAATCACTGGGATGGCTTTGACCCTCAGAGTCTAGAGGAAAAACACCTCATAGCCCTTTGCACAAAGGTTTGGCCAAATTATGATCTGCAGGAAGGACTGGCTTGGCCTCAGGAAGAAACCACTTATTTTGATAGCATCCTATAATTGGACATTTTCTGTACATGTGAGGGCAAACGGTCTGAGGCCCCATATGTGCAGGCTTTCTCTTCCTTGCAGGGTAATCTTGACCTTTGCTGGCAATACAGGATTGATCTAGCCCTCCTGTTTGCCATCTCAGGAGACGCTGCAAGGGACAATCCCAGGGAACTAAGGAAATGAACCCCAGAGACACCTATAGAAGGGGAGCCAGCTCCTCCCTCTGGCCCTGCTCCTCTGAGTCTGCCCCAGCCTCCCTCTCCAGCTCCTCTCACTTGCCCCCTCCTTGAAATCCTCACCCTCACCCTAGACAAGCCCCAGTCTCACTCTTACCCCTCCAACAGATGCCTAGCGAATTTGGCCCCAGTAAGGCCCAGGTCCCCTTCTCTCTACAGGACTTAAGGCAATCAAGGGGACTTAAGGCAAGTTTTCAGATGACCCTGCCAGATACATAGAGGCTTTCCAGAATTTAACCAAATTATTTGAACTCTCCCGGAAAGACATCATGTTCCTTTTGAATCAAACACTAACACTGAGAAGCAGGTCGCTTTACAAGCAGCAGAGAGATTTGGGGATGAGCTTTGTATCACATATGGTGTCAGGGATGGGGTCGAACTTTATCCAACTGGAAGAGAAGTAGGTCTTTGGATGAACTTAAATGGGATCCCAGTGACAAGATGGGAGAATGGAAGAGGAGACATTTTCAGGTATGCATAATGGAGGGCTTACATAGAACTAGAACTAACCCTCTCAATTATACAAAGTTATCCATGATAGACCAGGGATTCGATGAGAATCCCACTGCCTTCCTGGAGAGGCTAAGAGGGGCCTTGGTAAAGCTCACCTCTTTATCTCCCGATTCAGTGGAGAGACAACTAATTCTAAAGGATAAATTTATCACTCAAGCAGCCCCTGATTATCAGGAGGAAGCTGCAGAAATAGGCCCTGGGACCAGATAGTACTTTAGAGAACCTCCTGCAAGTGGCCACCTGAGTCTTTTACAATAGGTCATTGGAATGGGTTTTTGAATCCATTATACCCGAGGAAAGGTCTAGGAAGCTTGTGGAGTTACTTACCTCTGTCAACCCAGAAGAGTACCCAAAGTACCAATGTGAAGTGGTCAAGCACCTCAAGCAAAAAATCACAAAAGATAAGTGCTAATAATTGACCTTCTGTGGATATCCTCTTTATAGTCTTGCCTATGCTTGCTGTTTTTACCTTCATTCTGTTCTATACCATGGGGCACCTTTACCAAAGACCCCTTAATCCTGAACGCCCATGGGAATGTCTATACCCCAAACAGTTATCTCTTTCCTAAAGTTTAACTGCTCCCATAAAAGCTTAATTTTCTTTCACCAGGATGAAATAGTTTAGGGCATAATATTGTCTGAATGATTAGTATATTTCACTTCTTATTTCTATAATTTTTGGCACTAGATTCTTTCCTTTTAACCCCTCTTTGTATTATAGATGCATTTGATCCATGCATACTTAACCTTGTAAAACTTGCTTCTTGTCACCAAGAGGCCATCAAACTCTAGTCAGGCAACCAGAGCCTCGGACAATGGCTCCCTTTGGCCAAGAGCCCTTAGGCAGACCTCTAGGAGTCTGACTGCCATTTTCCCCAAAACAATGCCCCCTGTCAGCAGGAAGTAGCTAAAATCAGTCATTGTCCAAATTCTAAGCAAAGTTAGATGTGCCTCTTTAGAGGGGGAAATGATGGGGATAGGAGGCAGAGAAATTCTAGGCAGAAAAGGATGGGTCCCTGGAGAAAACCCTACCCCTCAAGCTAAAAAGCCTGAAAATGTGGCCCAAAGTCATAACTTCTATCCCTGTTTTCCCGCTCCGATGTTGTATTTTCCTAAACCACCCATAGCCCCACCCAACCACATCCTGTGCCTATAAAAACCCCAGACTCAGCCAGTAGACAGCACTATGGCTGGACGTCAGAGAGAAGCAGCTTGACTTCAGAGGGACAGCTTTATGGTGTGACTTTGGAGAAGAATCTGGCTGGAGACAGCCAGACTTCAGGGGAAGATTATCTAGCCTCCCCATCCCCTTTTCAGCTCCCTTTCCGAGAGCCACTTTCATCAGCAACAAAATCCCCTGCCATTTACAACCCTTCAATTCATTTGTGTGACCTCATTTTTCCTGGACACCAGACGAGAGCTTAGGAGCCACAAGTGCAGATACAAAAGGCTGTTGTACTGGCCCTTTGCCCTTATTGGCAGAGGGCAGCTGCCTCACCCAAAAAGGCAAAGGGCCCACTGAGCTGTTAACACTTAAGCCACCCATGGATGGCAAAGCTGAAAGAACACTAACAAACCCTCTCAGGCTTCAGGAGTCACAGGCATTGCTACCTGGATGCTGCTGCAGGCCTACACAAAGTTTGCTCCTGCTGGCACCCAAAAGCAGCCAGCCAGATCCTGTGCTAGCTCACCTACTTGCCCCCTCCCGTAAGGAGTTGAGTGTGGTGAGCCAAGTAAACAGAATTTGTTCCTGCCAGTACCCAAAACACACTCCACTTCCAGTGCTCATGCATTCCACTTTCTGCCTTGTTCACTCATGAACTCCCACTTCTGAGGAGATGAGAGTGGCAGGCTGAGTAAACAAGGCACCCCTGTTACGAGTCCTGCAACAGGGGTCAGGGAAATATCCTGCTTCACTAATATCCACATATTATACAAATTATTTACTCCTCCCCACAATAAAATTATAAATCTGGCCAGGTGTAGTGACTCATGCCTGTAATCCCAACACTTTGGGAGGCCAAGGCAGGTGAATCACCTGAGATCGGGAGATTGAGACCAGCCTAACCAACATAGAGAAACTCTGTCTCTATTAAAAACATAAAAATATAAAATTAGCTGAGCGTGATGGTGCATGCCTGCAATCCCAGCTACTTGGGAGGCTGAAGCAGGAGAATCGCTTGAACCTGGGATACAGAGGTTGCGTTAAGCCAAGATCACGTGATTGCACTCCAGCCTGGGCAACAAGAGGGAAACTGTCTCAAAAGAAAAAAGAAATCGTAAATCTGTGCCAGTTACCTTTAGCAATCTTTTTTTCCCAGGAAAAAAAAAAAAAAGCAGAGGATATCCTGCAACATGCAAAGTTGAGCCAAGATAAACTGAGAAAACGTCCTTAGTGAGTGCCATTAGTATTTGAAGGAAAACATTAACATCAATTACATAGATTAAACATATTAATATCACGCAACCATACCCAAATTTACCTTCTATGATTATGGTACACTCAGATAATACATAATTATGTATTTTTTAAATGTTAATGCCACTAGTTTTTTGATCTGGAAGGTTTTTTCCCCATCTTTTAAATTAAAATCCAATAAATTTCCAAGCTGTAGATTTTATCCAATTAAAACTATGTGCAACTCAATTAGAGTCATAATTGTATTCTGTGAGAAGGAATGTGTATCCTTTCCGAGCTTTGTCTTATCCAAATCAGTGTTATGTCTTGTTGATCTGTACCAGACAATAAGAATGCTGAAAGTTTTCAACAAATAGGTTCCTGATATTGCTCCTAATAGGTTTTTACATCATATTTTGAATGCCAACACAGAAGTTAAAACTTTATTATACTTTTATTGACATATGACTTTCTCATTTTTTTAAATTTTGTCCTATATTGTCTGATTAATATTGAAACTCCTTTGCCTTTTTATATTATTGAATCTTTAAGCTCTTTTCTATATTTGTGTTATATATCTTGAAAGGGGCAAGTAGTGGTATTGGCTTTAATAGAATCTCAAACAATTTGCTTTTGTAATAAAGTAGCTTCTACCACTTAAATATATTGTCAAACCAGCTATACTTGCCATATTTTCCACTCCTTTGATTTTTCATTTATCAACTATCTTGCTTTTTTATTGATAAAATAAAAATTTTATCAATTACCAACTTCATGATTTTTAAATATATATTTGAGCTTCCCTTAACTTTATGTGAATACAAAGAATATACATCATACTTTTTGCTTTGTAGAAACGTATTTCAAAAAGGTATAATTTTTTCCCAACTCTTCAAATGACTGTTCCTTATATTAGCTGAAAAACTTCATATACTCCCCATTGGTCTGTCATTAAATCTTGCTGTTACCTAACTGTACTAAGAATTTTTATTTTATAGAAATTTAAGTAGTTGTAGTTCTTCTTGACTATATATAGTATACTCCTTCAACAAGTTCTTTATTCACATCTCCTCCCATTCTCTGACACCTCTCCAAGGTTTCTATGGAGAGATTACATCACTGAGTATGGTTCCCAACCACTCATTTCCCCTCACACATTACCTATTTTGTACCAGGAATTATATTGTCTAACTATATACAGAAATAGCATTTTCAATGTGGTATAAAGGATGTATGTGGTATAAAAACATGGAATATAAAGAGAAAACTTAACCTGAAGAAGCTAAGAAGACAATTTCTAAATTTCTACCAAGGTATTGGAGTTTAGATTTTAAGACAGGTGTAAACAACATTTTGTTGGATGAAAATAATGATTAATCAACTGATTTTTTTTTGCTACAAATTTATCCATCTAAAAAGTAGAATTTTTTCCTGCACTAAATTTGTTAGTTTCCAAATTTAATGGGATATCTTTATTTGTCATTATTATTTTAATGAGAAGATAGAAGAAGATATAATGGAGATTGCTAATCTAACTCCATCATAGTCCAGATGGGCAGAGGTTCTTATGCACCCAAGTCTAATTATATGATTCTTATTTACATTGGACATTGGGTGAAATATTAGCTCTGTGAAATCTATTGTAGCTATAGAAAGACCTCGAGCAAAGAGGAACTCATTCACCTAAAAGTAAAACTGGAAAGACAACAAAGCAAAAGACAAGAAAAATATATGTAAATTCATCAGAGAAATTGAAAGTTTCTTAAAACTGTCACTGAGGGATGGAGGCTTATTTCCTCCTCAATATTCTTTGATGGTCCTTGAGGATGCTTTAGGCCTGAAATGCTTCAACATTTAAGAGTGACAGCTATTAGAAAGGTAAAGAATACCGATGATTTATTGACCCCAATCAACAAGTGTCAACCGTTAGCCAAAAAGGTGGATACAGTGTAATCCTCTGGGGTCTTAGTGTTTCTGAAATTACCAGCATTCAAATAAGATAATCCAATATCAAAACCTTACTAAACATAGCCATCAAACAACTAATGAGAAGTAGGACACCCTCACTATTACAAATCTCCCTGTTTAGGTACACTTGAAAATGAAAGCTGTATCAACGTGTTTTGTAGACAAAGTAAAAGAACATTAATATTTAGATACTTAGAGGTAGCATGTAGACATTAGGCCTTTGGTTAAAGCCAATGCTCTCATCTACTTAACAGAAAATTCTTTGATCAGTAATTCACTTTTTTTTTTTTATTTTTTTTTTGGAGGCAGTCTTACTTTGTTGCCCAGACTAGAGTACAGTGATGTGATCTCGGCTCACTGCAAGCTCTGCCTCCCAGGTTCAAGTGATTCTCGTGCCTCAGCCTCCCAAGTAGCTGAGACTACATGCGTGTACCACCACACCCTGCTAATCTTTATATTTTTAGCAGAGACAGGGTTTTACCATGTTAGCCAGGCTGGTCTCAAACTCCTGACCTCATGTGATCTGCCTCAGCCTCCCAAAGTGCTGGGATTACAGGCATGAGCCACTGTGCCTGGGCTAGCAATTCCTTTTGAAAGATTTACAAAGCAGAGATTTTCTACCACCTGTTGTTTAGTGGATAGTAATGCAAAGGCAGGATGAGCTGACCTTCCCTTGTATTGCTTAGTGATACTAAGCCATAGACATTCTTGCACCAACCTATGGAATTTAGTATCATTTCTGGCAATTTTTCAGAAATGACACTCTAATTCTTCAAAAAATACATTGATGGTCACATACATGGCATGTTGGGATGCAGTAAGGGAGAAAAGTATAGTCCAGTTAATAATATTAAATATATCAACCATGGGTACTAACAGGGTAAATAATGCTCTCAGATCCCTAAACCCTGCCCTAAATGCTGGTTCTGGCTCTTCTACATTGTTCTTTTTCCTTTCTTGTAATAGGTTTCTGATGAAGACATTTAAACATGTATTTTTCCCTAGAAAACAAATCACTTGAATAAAAATATATTGGTAAGAACAGTGGAATCATTTCTCTCATAAAACACTGACAAACCTAAACATAATTTTATTTCTGATAAACAACGAGCACTTGCTTTATACTCACAAGCACTGTGCTAACAGCTGGGGTAGAAAGAAAGTTATCATTAATTCCTGGCTCCTTCAGACTGGGCCAGGTGTTCTCCTCCTCCTCTATTCCCGTGTTATGCTACACACATCTCCACCATTGAACTTACTGTGTTGTGATTGTCTTTGTGCACCTTCTTCCTCCTCCTATTGCCATTGCACCAGACTTCCCTTTGAGCAGGGACAGTGTATATTCCTCTTCATGTCTTCAACATAGTGCATTGTCTAGTGTCGTGCCTCACACACAGCCTGTACTCTTATTCCATAATGATCTGGATGAGGATATGTAATCACAATCTCATGCTGGAGACAAACATGCAACTATGGTAAACATAATGGAAAAGCAGGTGGTAATTAGTGCTAAATCTAACTACAAATTGCTCTTTGGTGTTTCTTCAGCTCTAGAGTGCAGTTCTCTGCAAACTGCTCTCAGAAAGACGTGCCTTTATTTTTCAGACTTGTCACTAAAGTAGTTAGAAATATTAAGCACTCCAACTTCCTAATGAATTTGAAAAAAATAGTAAAGACAAAAAATGAGATAAGGGTGATATAAGGGGGGATGTTAAACCATGGAAAAGCAATAGGTTAGCATATTTGGTGATTTGACTCTGTTGCCATCTATCATGGCAAAAAAAAAAATCCTTGGTGTATCCGACTACACTCATTAAGTATGAATACTATAAAAGATGATACAACTGTATACTGAGAAGAAAAGTTGCTATTTTTGTAGGCAAGACTTTACATTTTACAATCCTGTTTTTTCAGTAGTATAACACCAAGACTACCAGAATGAAGTCAGAAGGCCTCTGTCTACTATTTCACATATGCCATCACTATTTAAATCACAAAGAAACATCCACTAAGATTTCCCCAGAAAGCAACAACGTGCTAGCATAGTCTGTGAGTTAATTCTTCCCCTTCAATATCTGTCATAAAGATTGTAATTAAATAGAAATAATGTCTGTTAAAGCACCATGGGAAGTTCAACTTATATAAATATGACATGATATTTTTAGCATAATTTACATGCACACTTGTCTCTGATTACATGATTTTGTTACTGTTATGAACTTTGAATGTAGAACTATATAAAAAAATGTTTACTCTAAAAGCATTACTGTGTTTGGCTGGGATTCCATATTGTTATTATTACTATTATTATTGCCATTATCATTATTATTTCTTAGTGGTACAACCTATTCTATTATCCCAGAAAAGTCTATCAGGACAATTCCATGCTTCATCTTTGAATGTGAAACCAAGTATTCAACTGTAGCTCTCTTTCTTGGATTTTAGAAAGCAAAATTTCTACTTCATTTGGTCATGAAATTGCTTCCTCTTGTTCCCTCAAGAAAGGTACTCCGAGGCCGGGCGCAGTGGCTCACGCCTGTAATCCCGGCACTTTGGGAGGCCGAGGCGGGCGCATCACGAGGTCAGGAGATTGAGACCATCCTGGCTAACACTGTGAAACCCCGTCTCTACTAAAAATACAAAAAATTAGCCGGGCATGGTGGCGCGCACCTGTAGTCCCAGCTACTTAGGAGGCTGAGGCAGGAGAATGGAGTGAACCCGGGAGGCGGAGCTTGCAGTGAGCCGAGATCACGCCACTGCACTCCAGCCTGGGCGACAGAGCAAGGCTCCGACTCAAAAAACAAAAAAAAGAAAGGTACTCTGGTTGACCCTTCTGGATCTATTCACTCCTAAGTTTACAACTTCAGCACTCTTGATATAAAAATGACTCTGGGATGTCAGCATCAATGAGAGTATTAGAGTCTAGTAGAGTCATATAGACAGGACTGAGCAGCCAGGCAAAATGGCTACTGGCCCAAGAAGGGACACATTTAAGCACCAGTAAAAATAGTAAGTACAATGGACAAACACATTCAATATGTTAGCATAATGATTCTAAATACAGCATACACACTCCACTGATCACCTTTGGGAGATGCTAGTGAATTCTCATTATTTTTAAAAGATATACAATAGGAAGGTGAGCATTCATTCTTATTTTCTTGTATCTTCACTTCATAGGAACTCAATAGTTGAAGAAGATGTATTTCTTTTTAAGGTAAGTATTCTAGCTAATAAATAGAAAATGAATGACAGAATATGAACATCATACAATGCCTACATTAATGAATCTATGCAATGATCATCAATGGCTGCAAATATCACAGAAAGAGAATCAACCAAACATTATACTACATGTATACTTACTTTGATACATGGCCGCCTTTTGTTTATGTCCAGTTTCCAAACCTTCTAGATTGAGGAGTTTAAGTGCTCCAGGAGGAGTTTGAGTGCTCCAGTGTTCATCTAACAAGTTGTGTAAATCTTTTGTTGTGCCTAACAACACTGACTTATTCCTTTAAGGTGGCAATGGAAGAGTTAATGGTTAATTTCAAAGACATCTGAAAAAGCACTTCCTGCATTCGCAGCTCTGACTTGGTACAGGCTTGTCCTTCTAATGGAAGGACACAGCAGAGTATCATCTATGAAGTAGTCTTGCAAAAGTAAATTAATAGAACACAAATTTCATCAAGTGTCTAGATCTAACTAATGCATTCTAGAAAATTTAAAGGACAGAAACACACAAAACATATTAGGTGATACCATGTGGATGCAATCAGAAAAATCCAGACTACGGGAAACTCTCCAAGCCAAAAAAGAAATATATGTAATTTCTTCCAAAATAATATATCAAGAAAAGAAAAAAAAACAAAATTATAGAGATAAAAAGAGCCTTGAGAGACAAGAGGTATACAAACCAGTTGCAATATATACACTTTATATGCACTGATTGAAAAAAAAAAAAAAGAAAAAAAACAGAAGATTAGAAAAAAATAAAACAAGATAAATCAATATAAAAGACAATCCAGGAAATGTAAACACTAACTGGATATGTGATAATACTAGGAAGTGTTGTTATTGCTTTTTAGTTGTGAAAGTGATATTGCGGTTTTGTTAAAACAAAAACACTTTATTTGTTTACATATATAACAAAATAGAGGAAAAAATAATTTCTGAGATTGCTTTAAATATAATGCAAGAAAAGCGGTAGGAATATAGACTAAACAAGGTTGTCCATGTATTGATAATTATTGAATTCACATATATTATAAAAGATAGATATATTGGATTACACCATTCTTTCTTTTTGTATACATTTAAAATGTCTAAAGTAAAATATGTTTTAAAAACTTCTCGTACAACTCTCTAATCAAATGTATGATAAATAGATTTGATGATCCTAAGTGACTCACAAATCATGACACTCAGTAAAATATCCTATTTCTGGCACATTGATGAAAACCAGAAGAAATCAACATCCTCTTCCTAAATGACCACAAGAATCCAGATGGTCAGGATAGCTGCTGCTTAATATCCCCTTCATGATCTGGGAGCATTCAATATTCATTTTTTGATTCAAAAATATCTTTACTATAAAATACATTAAAATAAAAATTAATGGAAATCAGTGTAATATAATTTACATTGGTGCAATTGTAAGTCAAAATAATGGACTTTGGAAATAACACATGAATATGAGGTAATTTAGTAGACAGGAAGCTCAATGAAAGTTAAACAAATAATGTGGTCACCAAAGAAGGTGAATATTTCAGTGAATTCATAGCCATGTACAAGGACAAAGTAGGGGTCAGTCCCAATCTTCTCTCTGTCACTTAAAACACACCTACTCTATCATGCCCATTAAAGGTAGCTGGTTATACTGGAAAGGTTATGGAATTAAACAGGATGGTTAGAAAGTCTAAAGATCTGCCACATCAGGAATGTTTGCAGTAAAATATGTTTATCTTAGTGAATAAAAGTTCTAGTGGCTCCAGTGAGCTGGCAGCAAGTGAGATCAGAGTGGGGGCCTGGTAGCCTGACAGGCCTATGCAGAGAATAGGAGGGCGACCATATAAAATGAGTAGCTCTTCTCTACTGGACCCAATAGGGAAGGATTACAGGGAGATCAAAGCCAGAGACAAAAAACTTTCAACTGTAGATAAGGTATCCTGAAAAGGCAGAGGTCCTCCCTTGTTGATGGCGTGCATATATACACCAGACAACCTTTACCCTCTAAAAGGGATGCTTTTCAGTTCAAGAAACCCTGAGAGTCTGAAATCAGAACTATACTTTATCATAATCACTCTGCTTGTTTGCCTTTTTTGTTCTTATTCTAAATGGTGGTACTTTAAGGGATTATTACCAACCTATTTGTGTCCAAATCACAGCTTCTATTCTTCAAAATTAGCCACCTTTTCCTCCTCCTGCCTAGCATGTTCACTGTTGTCATGATATGTGGCTTGAAGTATAGCATTTGATCACAGATAGGCGGTTGTTACCTACTTTGAGCTCAGCAAGAAGCAGATGGGCGACTAGACGGGAAAAAGCTTCTATATATACACACACCTAAGTATAAGTGATGGGGAAAGGAAGAATCAAGATAAAGAACATGGCAAGTAAATTGTAGTCATTATATTAAAAGTTTTTGAGTGAAATAAAAGGCTTACATAGCAGTATGTCTTAAGTGGAAACTCTGCTCTGTAGATTTAGATTTCTAATTTACTGAAGAATATCAGAAACTTTGAGCCAGTGGGAATACTTTACCTATAACTGGGACATTATTCTACATTATTCCTTTGTCACTCCTTGACCTAAAGGTGGGACTATTGCCAGCACTTGAAAACCAAATAAATACAAAGAATAATATTAGCATTATTCTGAGATGATTGAATTCTTGCCCTAGCAAGTCCTTTAAATTGTTTTGAAATGTGTAGCATCACAATTAAGAATTCTTTTTCCCTTTTGTCCCCAACATGCTAAATTAGCAATTTGTTGAGATAAGAAATATAGAGGACTTCCCTCCCAATCAGGATAGATTCTGTTTTTATATTACCCTAGATATTTTTGCCAGATTTTTCAAGTGCATGACATGATTAAGTCTAATAAAACCTAATGTACACTGAAAACAAAATAGAATTCTATTTAGGTATTCTAGTGTAAACTTATTTAATCATGTCATGCCACCACTAAAGCTAAAATAACCCAAAATGACTAATACAAAGTTTGTGTTTTATAACTCTGTTCATACATGTGTTTATAATTTCACAGCAGAAATTAGTTTTATATATGACATCAGAATCCAAGCTACTTCCATGCTTTACAAACTGTGTGACATTTGTGAAGTCTCGGTTTTCCTATTAGTGGAATAAAAGAGAATCAGATAATCGTTGGTTCCTTCCAGTTTCAATAGGCTTTAAGTCTGAATTCAGAAATTAGAGCTAAATTATATATATTATTTTTAAAAAAGCAATTCATAGAAAGACGACAGTATGTGGAAAGATATAAGAAAATTTACCCAAAAGATGACATGCTATTTTGGAGAAACAGGGTCAGAAGTAGTTCAAGGATAATTTATTTCTCTACCACTTATGTTTTCGTTTTATTTTACAAAGTTTTATGAATCACTGTGGTGGATGTATAATTAGGAAAAATAGAGCCTTTTTGGCATTTAAAAGAGCAATGCTTATTTCAGACCCCTACTTTGTCTAAGGGTATAAGGCATCTAATATTGTCAGCATGGAAAATAAGATTTGCTTTGCACGCGCTTCTTGTTTAGGATAAGTTTCCAAAGCAAGGTAGCATCAGTTGAGTAAAGTCCATGATATTGGCAGTGTTATTGGGCTAGTCATAAATAGAAGATAAGAATCAGAGACTGAAATGAGCAAATGTGCAGTTTAGGTAACACAGTATTTTACATTGTAGTGCAATCATTTAAGTTCCAGTTTAAGATGTTTTGCTAGACTAAAAATGCTAAACCAAAAGCTGTAACATATCTGTCTATATCCCACACACCACTAAATTTTATCATGGGAACTGGATGAGCATAGTTTCATTCATTTCAAATATTTAGTTGGAATTTCAAAATTTTTAACATCCATATCTGAGGTCTGAGACCCAGCTCAAGTCTTCTCCCTAAATAATGCAGATTTGCCTATAGATGAGGGAACAGCCTAGTCATACATCATGTATTCACATTGCTTTAGCGGAAAGGAAACAATGGTCAATTCTCTGGCAGAGAAGGGGGCCATAAGAAAATTAGAGAGTGCCCTTTGATAAGTTAATGGGTGCAGCACACCAACATGGCACATGTATACATATGTAACAAACCTGAACATTGTGCATATGTACCCTAGAACTTAAATTATATATATATACACACATATATACATATACATATATATATATACACATACATATACGTATATATATACATATATATACGTATATGTATATATATATATATACAGAAAAGTAGAGAGTGTGGTGCTTAGAGTGAATTCTGGCAGATCAGTGGGTGCCGCCTCCTACATTAGAAAGTATGGAGGAGAGGCAAGGGAGAGATGGAGAGGCCATTCTAAAGAGAGGAAGGTAAAACAATTTTGGTCAGATTATGAAGAGTTTGCATTACTTGTATAAAGTGTGAACTTCAACATTTAGGCAATGAGCCAGAGAAGGAATATTTCACAGCAATGACAGACTAAGATTCACATTTTACAGAGATTAGTGTGAAAAATCAGTGTAGAAACAGGATTCAAGGATGGGGGAAGGAAAAAAAAAAACAGAAAATAAATTTATTTTAAAAACTAAGAGTTTTTTTTAAAAAAACAGCAAGCCTGGGTTTGAATTTAGTACATTTTTCATGGTATACATTTATAACTGAAAGATAATATTAATAAGAAATGTATAATAAATGTTTTCATATATTTTGACTTCTAGGATGTGTGCGAATTATGCCGTCATTCACTGCTGGGATTGGCTTTTATTAAGCATGAATTTCCAAAAGATATATTATAACATTAACAAAACTCATTGAGGGAAGATCTCTTGCTCTTCTGTTCCCTTAGCCTGAAGTTTTCTTTTTTTATTGTATCTCTGCCAGGTTTGGGTATCAAGATGCTGGTCTCATAGACTAACTTGAGGGAGGATTTCCTCCTCAGGTTTTTGAAATAGTTTCTGTAGGAAAGGTACCAGCTCAAAACCATGCAATTATATGGAAATTAAATAACATGATCTTGAATGACTTGACTTCTGAGTATATACCCAAAATAATTGAAAGCAGAATCTCAAAATGCATTTGTATGCCCATGTTCATAGCAACATGATTCACAACAGCTAAAACATGGAAGCAACCCAAGTGTCCATTCGTGTATGAATGGATAAGATGTGGTATATACATACAATGAAATATCACTCAGCCTTGACAAGGAAGAAACTGCTGATGTATGCTACAACATGAACCTTGAAAACTTTCTGCTAAGTGAAATCAGCCAGTCACAAAAAGACCAATACTACATGATTCCATTTCTATCAGATACTTAGAGTAGCCAAAATCAGGGAGACAGAAAGTGGGAGGCTGGATGTCAGGGGCTGAGGTGGATGAGGAGCTATTGTTTAATGAATACAGAGTTTCCGTTTTGCAAGATGAAAAAAATTATGGAAATGGATACTGAGGATGATTGCATGACACTGTAAATGTATTTAATAACACTGAAATATAAATTTTTAAAGGGTTAAGATGGTAAATCTTATGTGTATTTTACCACAATAAAAAAATGTGAAAACAAAAGCCCCTAGAATGACTATAACTTACAGGAGAGTGGAATAACCTGTTGGAATGAAGATGATTCTGAGGTTCAGGCAAGTCTTTTACTTTGTGTGGTTGAGATAGGACAGTCAACATTAAGTAAGAAGTCTGGAAGACAGGAAATGTACAAGACTATGTGAAGGAATGTAAATCATAAAAGAGGTAATTGTGGAATCTATCAGAGGCAAGAAGAAAAAGAGTGGAGGAAAAGTACATAAAACTCAAAATATAGGCCAGGTGTGGTGGCTCACGCCTGTAATCCTAGCACTTTGGGAGGCCGAGGTGGACAGATCACGAGTTCAGCAGATCGAGACCATCCTGGCTAACACAGGGAAACACTGTCTCTACTAAAAATACAAAAAATTAGCCAGGCATGGTGGCGGGCACCTGTAGTCCCAGCTACTCAGGAGGCTGAGGCCGGAGAATGGCATGAATCCGGGTGGCAGAGCTTGCAGTGAGCCGAGATCGCACCACTGCGCTCCAGTCTGAGCAACAGAGCGAGATTCCGTCTCAAAAAAAAGAAAAAGAAAAAAATCTCAAAATATAAATTAAGTCCAACAATGGTAAAATAACAAGGATACCAGAGAAAATAAGAGCAGAGATAATAAATGCTACATTGAGTTAATCTGGTAATGCCTTAGACTGTCAGCAAAGACAGGGGACTGAGGGCTCAGATTTGTATTGTGATACAAAATGGACATCTATGCCTATTTGAATGTATGTAGAAATCCCCCTGGAAATAGTTTAATAAAAAGTATAAGAATTGGTATAGAGTTTGGGGTCACATCAGGAGAAAAGATCCAAAATTTTGCAGGAAGAATTGGTAAATACCAATGGGAAATTCACTAACAAGAGGTGGGATGGTAGAAATTATGAAGAGACAACTGGGATCACAAAAAAGCAGATAACATTTGCATATTTGATAAAAAGAAATAGCACCACATGATGCCTTGGTTTTGGGATACCTGAGAGCTCCCTACATGAACTTGGACAAATTCCTTTACCTGGTTTGCTTCTGTACAAAAGAGCATAATTTTATCTTCTACAACAGGGCTGTTGAGTTACCACAATTAGAACACTCTTGAAAGGCATAGAGATGATAGCTAAAAAGGTCTACAGCAGTACAACTTATAATATCAGGAAAAATATCCCCCAGCTGCAGCCACTAAACAAACCCTGTCCCCAGCCCTGAGCTGAGGTCAATGTATGAAGCTGGTACACAAAGAAGTACTTTGGCAGCAGCAGGAGCTGCATGAATCAATGTCGTGAAACAAAACGACTGTCAGCTGCATTCAAGCCCCATTGTGGAAGGGAATCAGTATTTGACAGGCATTTTGTAAAAGGACACAAATTGGAAAGACAAAACATTTAAAAATATTTCATAGGAGGCAGACAAAGAGCAGGAAGTCAAATCCTAGACTATAAGAATAGGCATGCTTTATTAGTGAGAACCTAAGCCATGCTATGAGAATGCACTGGTATTTATGATAGGCTCTGGATCATCTAAATCAACAAATACTCTACCTTACTGAGAAGCCGACTATATCCAATACATGGGCCAGGCAAAATCCCATGGTTGCCAACACTTATTCAATAAACAGGTTTAATAAGTGATTTTAATCAATATGAAGCAACTACATGTAAGAATTTAATAATTCTAGGATGAACTGATGGACAGCAGGAATAAATATGACTCTAACTCACTGAAGAATAAAAATAACTCTTTCTTGGTAGGTTAATAGATGCTTAATGTATAAAGCATGGTATAATGGATTTTACTCTTGTAGCAGAGGGCCAGCAAACTTTTTCTATAAAGCACTAGAGAGATAATATTCTAGACTTGCAGATCATACAGCCTCAGTCTCATCTACTCAATCTACAGCTGTTTCATGAAAGCAGCCATAGACAATATAGTAACAAATGCAGCTGTGTTCAAATAAAACTTTATTTACACTAACAGATGGCAGATTCAACTTGACTCACTATCCTTAAGGCCTCAACATATCAAATGAATAGACACTAAATAGCTCTGTCTTCTCCTTTGTAGCTTGCCCCACACACTCCAGGTGAATCATCCAGTCACCTAGTAGATCTGGTTTTAACTCTGCATAGTTAACATGAATGTGAACCTGCTATTTTTTTTTTTATTTTGTTCACTGTCTGTTTCCTCTAACTTTCCTCCACTCTCCAAGATGAACGTGAGTTCAGTGAAAGCAAAGACCTTGTTTGTGATCTTGAGTATTGCAAACAGTATCTGGCATTTATAGAACCAGTAAATGATATAGGTTGAATAAACGTATACTAGGACATTGAGTGGGTTTTTACCAGTATTCAGATTTTCAGCTAAAGCTTTGAGCAAAAGATAATTGATATCCCCTTATTAGAAAGAAAAATTAGTAGACGCATCCTCACAGATGGATTAACCTCATCCCCCCAACTACCTTCAGCCTTATGCAGAGAGCACACTAGATATTTGACTGAAAGTCATGGAAAATACAGGTCTGAGGGAGAATGCTTTTGCTACATTTGTTCCTACCTTCTTCCAAACCAAGGGACAGTGGCTCCAAGAGACCACTCTTCAAGATAGTGGGGGGGGGGGGGGGGTGGGGGCCGGGTGGGGGCCGGTCTGGAAGAAAAAGGAAATGACAGCTCATTTCCCCGAGGCAGCTTGAACTTCAGAAACTCACAGGCCTAAGTTCGTACACTGAGCACTGTATATCTGATACTGAAACTTGGGGACAAACAGTATCATAGATACTGGTGGCAATTTCTAGCATGGAGTGTTCTGAGTGAAGGAGGTCTCTGGAGCAGCCTGATGGCAAGGTAGGAAGAGACAGTATTTGAAAGGCATTTCTGCTGCTTGAAATAGCAAAATGTATGAAGTCAGCCTCAGAACATCTTACACACACCTTCTGAGGATGTTGATAGGCAATGGTGAACTGTAAGGGATACGGGCTGGATGGCTTTGCTTAGGCAGGACCTGAGCGGGGTAGACACTTGTCAGAAAGTATATTGTCTATGTCACAAAACTGTTTAAGGGAAACATCATTAAAAATGGATGACCACAGAACCATTCAAAAATGTGTTCAGAAGACAGCCACCTTGTGGGGGTGGGTGCCTACTATACAGGTAACTACATAAAACATCAGCCTAGAAAACATTAGCTTCTTTTTATATTATCCATCTATTGTGTTACTTATGAATTCTCCTTCCCCAACAATGGATTATCTCACAGACTAGGAAACCAGGCAGAGAGGAAGAGTAAAAAAAAAAAAAAAAAAAAAGATGAGAAAATGTTAGATTATACTCCTTTTCCAGTATAATCTATACCCCTGAGAGTCAGAAGAAGCCAGAAATGGCAAGATCTGAATATGAGATTCAACTTGTAAAGCACAGGGTTGTACTTTAGTATCTCAAAGAGTTTTAATGACAAAAATGAGACCGTTCTGATAACCAAATGATTAGAAAACATAAAATCCATAAAAAGATGTCATCAAGGGTCATGGAAATTAGATCCAGAGAATGTTTAAACGTGATTAGAAAAAATAAAACCATTTATGCCAAAGTTCAATCATTTAAATAAACTCATTAAAAGCCTTCGATCTTTCTCTCCAAGTCCTACTGGTCATTCAAAAATAAAGTATTTGTTGTGTGCCAGGCACAAAATTCAGAATAAAACTTGCTCTCCAGGTGTAACCTCCTTCCATACAGCCTGTGAGGCACATGGTTTGCTTACCTTGGTGTTGCTAGTATATATGTAATAATGCTTAAAAGCAAACTTTTTTTCTCTCTCCAATGAAATGTCTGTTCTAATTCATTTAATAGCCTTCTATTGCCCTTGAAACAGAAGGTTTAGAGATTTGAGTCATGGGTTTTATTTCTTTTTCTAATTTTTTATGCCTCTCACTTTTGCATCCCATAGTCACTGTCTTTCCATTTTCATTCTTTCAGGTATTCCCTGTTTTCTGTCACCTCAGTTGCCATCCTATTTCAGGTGGTCTGGACTACTGAAGTGAACCACGCTAGTTTCTCTAACCACTCGCCATCCATTTGAAGAAATAATATACATTGCTACTGAATAATCATCCCAAATTACTGACTACTATTCAAACCTTCACCAGTACTCTATTTCCTAGGCTAAAACTTCAGCCTCACATTGAAAGCTCTCTACAAACAAATTGGCATACTTCCTACCTGAACACCACTCACTACTTTTCATCAATCTACCTCAGTTACCTGTTCCCTTTTCCCTAAACGTGCCTTTTCTTCCCACTTTCTAACTTTACCCATTGTATCTCCCTCTGCTTCTAGGGGTCTTTTGAGAAGGACATAGAGCCGTGAGATTGGGGGACAATACTCCAAGCATCATCCAGATTGGGATTCCCATAAAAAGGGGTCACATGAGATTATGTACTCCCAAGGATCTGTCCATAGAATCATGGACAAAAGCTATTGTATCAGAGAAAAAAGAATCAGAATCACAGAAAACAGGAAGCTAAATTTTAAGAATAATTCCTCAAGCTAGTTCCCCAGCATCGAGTCTGATTTAGTAGCTCTAAGGTGGAATTTATAAATTTGTAGTTTAACAAGATTACTAATTCATTTTATTGATTAGACAGGTGTGGGAACTGTGATTCTCTGCCCAAAGGTATTTGGCCTGGGAGC
This sequence comes from Homo sapiens, assembly GCF_000001405.40. Taxonomy (NCBI): domain Eukaryota; kingdom Metazoa; phylum Chordata; class Mammalia; order Primates; family Hominidae; genus Homo; species Homo sapiens. The sequence continues at coordinate 136,493,348 of NC_000007.14, read as the reverse complement.
CTAAGAGTCAATGATGAGAAAACCTAAACCACCATCACTGGTATTGTACCTAATTACTGTTATAACATGGGGAGAATCATACTGTTTTCCCCGAGTCCATACACTACACCTTTGGAGAACCACATAGCACCGAATGGCCTATGTTCCAGGCTTTCTTTAAAAATCAGATCACTTGTCCTTAGCTCTGCAAAGCACAACCACCTAAAGGAAATGAGTTCATTAGCATGGCCTCAAAGTCTTAATTTGAATAAATTGTCATTCACCTGTCTGAAGAGAAAAAATGGACATCCCCAAGTTCACCTCACTCTCACCCACAATACCTTCTGCATATAACTTCTAAACGTAAAAGACCAGTGAGAAAAATTTCAGGCTCTATGTCAAAGTAGAAGAACGAAATTGAAGGGCCTAATAAGAACAAATGTTTCACCCACCTGGGGAATAGTCTCTGGCTAGAGAATGTTTACCCTTCATCTAAAAAAGTTGGCCAAAATACTAAGTCGCAGGCTGTTTGAGCAACAGCCTCTTTGAAAGGGCATCTCCAGAGCTAACAACTGTCCCAACACTGTAGCAACATATTGACAATCTGGAACAAGCTAACGTGCTGAACGACACTGGACCTCCTCATCCCCCAGGGAAGGCAAATAGGACAGAAAGTTCAGATCCAGCTCAACCAGAAGCCTCTCTCCTCTCCTGAGAGTGCTTTGCATTTCAACCAGGCTACATTGTATCAGCACTGTCATAACATTATGGTAATTGCCATAGCACTTGGCAATTAAAAAAAATGAGGCAGTTTTGCTGGAGGCTGTGAACCGGGTGAGACTAATTAGAGCTTAAGAAAGCCAAACTCTTTCCACTACCCTTGGCGAGCTCTGTCCAAGAGTCATTCATTGGCTTCCCTATCAAAATATAAGGGTTAGTTTTACTCCTTGGGGAAGCAGACTCCACTCTCTAAAACAAGCCCAGAAAGTAAGTAACCAGGGCTTTTGCTATTTGACAAAGACCTGACATACTTTTCATTAGTGATCAGTTAGAATTCATTCAAGTTATATTATTAAAAGAAAAAAAAAACCTTAATGACTTAAACGATATATTCTCAAAAACATGTCAAAGTTAGGCAGTGATGATTCAGCGGCTCGGCAATGTTGGGGCTTTGAGTGAGCATTTCCAGAATTACCTCTTATTTCCCTCATGGTCACAAGATGGCTACAGTGGTTACAAGCGTCACATCTTCATACAGCAGTGCATTAGTCCATTTTAACACTGCCATAAAGAAAGCCAGAGACTGGGTAATTTATAAAGGAAAGAGGTTTAATTGACTCACGGTTCTGCATAGCTGGGGAAGCCTCAGGAAACTTACAATCATGGTGGAAGGCAAAGCAGACAAAACTCACAAGGCAGCAGGCCAGAGAAGGTGAAAAGTGAAGGGGGAAGAGCCCCTTATAAAACCATCAGATCTCGTGAGAACTCACTCACTATCACGAGAACAGCATGGAAGGAACCGCCCCCATGTTCCAATCACCTCCCTGCCTCCACACGTGGGGATTACAATTCGAGATGAGATTTGGGTAGGCACACGGAGCCAAACCATATCAAGCAGTATCAAAATAGAAATAAAGAAGATGGAAAGAAAAGAGTTGTGTTTACACTCTTCCGAGGGAAAAAAATAATTCCCAGAAACCTCAAATTTCCTTCTGTCACTAATGAAAGTTAGTCACATGTTTTCCTCTAGACAAATCACTAGTAAAGAATTTGATTCCCATGGTTGACTTAAATAAGTCATATTTCATCCCCTATGGCTTGCGGTCTTACTGCTAGAACAAAGACTAATTGGGTGGTGGGTGCCTCTGCAGGTAAATGATACCTATGTAATTACCATGGTAATGCCCTTTACCTGATATGGCAGGAAAGGGATGGGGGGTGCTAAGTGTCCAGTTCAGTTGTCATAAGTAGTTGTGTTGTGTCTTCAATAGTTGTGCTGTAATCAACAGTTAAATGTTAGGTTTTAGGGTATTTAAAGTAAATAAGTGATGCAGCTCTGGAATTTTGAAGTGAAGTTGCCAACAAACATGTCTAGATACTACTATGTTAGGAATTCAGACAGCAGGATGGCAAACACTGCATTAAGAAGTCACTAATTAATTCACAGAATACACACCTTGGAGAATGTAGGGTGTTAGAGTTTTAAGGGGATGAGAAGGTATTTTATTGAAGATATCATCAAGAGGCTACAAAGTAAGAAAAATCTATGGGGACATGCTCACTTGCTTCAACAGAGAGGGCACCAAAAAGCCTAAGTATCATTATATTCAGAAGGTAACAGGATGGGAAAAAAGAGTCAAATTTAGAACTTTTGTATGAAAATAAGAACTAGAAATGGGAAGTTACTTCTATTAATATATCTCACATCCCACGACCACATCAACAACTAAGAGAGTTCTGAGCTGCAGTTAAAGGGAAAAATGTGTCTCATTACAAGATGAATAGAAAGGATGTGTTGTTGCAGTAATTCCTACATAGCAATAATTGTCATGAGAAAATTTTAGCAAACACTGTCTTCAACAGGTGTGACCAATGTTCTTATTACGATCAGGCCCCAACACAGCTGTAGCTCTTTAAAGCGGTGGTTCTCCCAGTGTAATCACAATAACAACATGAACATCATCTGGGAAGTTCTTAGAAATGAAGTTCACAGGCTGCACCTCATATTTTAAATTAGCATCTCTGGGGATGGGACCTAATAATCTGAGTTTCAGCAGCCCTCTGCATGATTTTTCCAATGTAAGCTAATGTTTGAGAGCCACCTCCAATGTTTCTGGCATCTTAATCTTTTCGTAATACTTAAGCCAGAATCAGATGGAAATTGAAAGGAGTTGTTTGGTCTCGGTTCTCTTTTTCTTTTTTTCCTTTTTTTTTTTTCTTTTGGTCTTCATTTCTGGTCAATTACTCATTCTCTAATGGATATTTCTAGCAACCAAACAGCTTTTGCTTGTGACCTACCGCTATAATTGTGAGCTGAATCTAGAAATGAACTATGGCCTTGTTTGAAAAAGTAATGCTGTTTGCATTAAAATGAGTTTATTGTTCTGCTCTGAGAAATCATTGAGGTGTCAAATCTAGAAATGGCCAATGAAAATTACATAACACACAGAGTGCTACCATTTAGAAGCCAACTTCCTGTTCAGCAGAAACAAATGAATTTGCCTTTCCTGCATTTTCTTTACAGAGTTGTTTAAGAAAACTTATGCCCAGCTATTCTGCCTCTTCCAAGAATTTCTATGTGAGTTCTGGCTATGCTGTAGAAGGGACAGTGGCTTATCTCCTTTCCCCAGGAGAGCATAAACCAAGACTATCACCAGAACCAGATTCATGCTATTCTGCAAAAGAGCTGTAGTTAAGAAAACCCATTTCTCTTCTCTCCCAATAATGAGGCTTAAACCTAAGGTAGTTAGCTAACCTAAGTATTTGTGGATTACAGAGCTCAATGTTTCCTTCTCAATGCTAGGATTTTAAAAGGCAATGAACATTTTCCTATAACTCAATTTAAAAATGCATCTCTAAACATGAGAAAAATATCAGCATTGTTTCTTTTTGCCTTTGGTCAAATTGTTTATTGTTTATTTAATTACCTTTGTTTTGACAGACAGTTCCGGGCATGAGTGTGGCAGATGGAGATGTTACTTGGAAAAAGTTCGTCAGATGATTCTGATGTCCTGCTTTCTATCATTTCCCATTCCTTACTTTTCTCAACACTTAAGACGTCATGGCTAGGGGGACCACAATCTCTGGGCCAATACATGGTAGTCAGAGAAATAAAGGCCCTAGTACTGAGCTTTAAAATCAGTACAAAGGAGTCTTGATGAATCCCATCCAAACTGAGATAACCAGAAAATAAAGATCATGTCTCTCCCAGTCTAAGGAAATCAGGAACAATGTATTGTGTCTGTAACCTGTATCCTTAAATACTTATACCCACAAAAAGCCAACTCAGCCTTACATAGTCCTACATCTGCAGGAGGCAGTAGATTAGAGCTAAAGAACCTAAGATTTGGAGGGTAACTGGGGTAGGGAGAACACTAAGACCCAGAAGCTTCCACTGAAAACAAGTTTACTGGAGGCAAAAACTGACTAAGGGTAAGGGGAGGAGATAAAATACCAGGAGGGAAAAACTTATTCTAGCTAAAGTGTGAATTGTTGACACTACAGCAAGAATTGTGGTTTCGGTGCAGATGAAATTCCCTGTAGTCCAGAATTCTTGTAATCCATTATGGTTTTGTTTCTCTTCTAGTTTTAAAAAGTCTCAAAGCAGCAAAACACAGAACTGCCCCTGATCGTGTACATCAATTTCTTATGATGGTGATAAATCTATTTCAACTTTCTGCAGTCTTCTGTATAGTAATGCTGTAGAGAAAACAGCAATATTTATAGTTCCAGCTCCAAAAGTCAATAGCAGCATGGTTTATGGTTTCTTCTTCTTACTTAGGGTAAAAAATAGAATATTAATGCCAGATGCTTAGAATCTTTGTTATCTACGTATGAGGGTCAATTATATCTTGGGACAAAGCTAGTTCCATTTGGCCACCAATATTGCTGATGTCTTGAGCCAAATCAGTGATGAAGAGTGGTCCAACTAATACAATCACCTCCATCTCTCTCCTAGAGCTTCCTGAATTTAGTAATAAGACACATCAGATGATCCCTTTAATAGAATATAGCTCCAGCCATCCTCAGCTTAGAGCATGAATTTTCAATAGATAGAATATCACGACCAAAATTGGTTCTTGGGGGCAAAAGTCTTAGATATTATAATGATTGTAACCCTCCAAGGACCATACCTGACAATATCCGATTCCTTAGTGTTTAACTTTTCTTCTTAGGGAGAATTTGATGTGTCTTGGTAAGGGAATGATCAAGAAAAAAAAAATTGAGAGACATTGGCGTATGAGCTCCCACATCTTTGCTGATTGACATAAGATCCCTAGCCTGCCTGACCACTCATCTTTCTCCCAGTGGCTTCAGGCCAGATTTGGGGAGAAATATAACTTTCCACAGGTATAGGTCTCACAGCAATTACAGATGTCAATGTTACCTTCTAGAAGAGACCACCTACAAGATGACAGCAAAAGGTTCTAATCCTTAATAGACTTCCAGCAGATAGTCTACTATGACAATACTCATCTAGTACGTTCACTGAGGTGACAGAAAATTGTAATAACAAAATTGGAATATGGGAATGATGTTAGTCATTTGACTGGTTATTTTATATTTTATGAAATCAAATTCCTAAGCAAGCAGTTTCTATATGCAAGTTTTAGGAAATTAGCCTCGCATTATGGTCAATTTGATTCAATTAATAGTTTCTTAAAGGAGCAAATAAACTAAATTTATATGAAATGTTTAGGTCAGGGTAAAAATAAATGAAAGTATGTGATAAGAGGGGAGAAAAGAAATTTAGTATGAAAAACCACTATTCCTCATCTTAACAGAATAAAAGGAGCATCATATTTGAATAAACATTGAGTTATATTTATCTCAAAAAGCAAGAATGATCAAAAAGATACATTAAAGAGGGCTCTGAAAGGTTCCAAATGTTACTTAGAAGAGCATCAAGTTCCTCTGAATTAAATTAAATCCCTAGTTGTATTGTTTTCATGGTGAACACAAGACAATCAGTTGATTGTACGGTTCAGTGCATAATCAGGGGGAGGACAGCAAACTAAGTTCAAACTAGAAATATAGGGGTTTAGCTCTGCATAAGCCATAGTAGGTAAAGAAGAATCCTTCATAGTAAGTTGGAGAAAGCAGTCTGAGATTCTACTCATATTCACTATTCTGCTCCTATTAGAGCTAACCCACTTTAATCTTCTACTGAATTGGTGTTTTTACACCTTGATGGTAACCTTTTTGGAGTAATTATTGAAGCCTAACTTTGAGCACTAAAGAAACAAAGTTTCTGATAACTTTTAAGTAACTTGTAATAAAGTTAAACTGGAGCTGTCCAGGTTACTCAAGTCACCTGTAATACAGGTGTCAGATATTGCCTGTAATGTGGCAGACTTGCTGATACACTGAGATACTATACTAACTAGTTTTGATTATTTTTTCAAAGCTTCATACTAGTGAGTAAGGTATTATTTAATGGACAAAGCAGTAGATGCTAATTTAACCTTTCCTTAAACTGTTAATAGTATTTATTTCAGACCAGTTTCCCAACCATAGATGCACATTGGAATCACCTGGGAAGTTTCAGCGTTACTGATATGTGAGTTCTGTACTATCTAGTTCATGATTTAATTGTTCTTGGTTAGGGCCTGGATACTAGAATTTTTAAGAGCTTCCCAGGTGATCTAACTTGCAGCCAAGTTTGAGAACTCCCCTAGATTCTTTAATTAGGAAAGAATATGGTTTTGGAACTGATTAAAATCCTAATTTGACAGCTCTCTCTGCCATTTTTAATGACTTCTGATTACCTGTATATAGAAAAAGGAGTACCTCTTAAATTAAAACCATAGTAAAATGCTTAGTTCCTTGACACAGCTGTTAAAAAATTAGCTAAACTGTATCGTAACAAACTATGGCTTTATTCTTTCTCTGCCTGCCCTAATATCTGGGAATAACCTAACTTATTCTGTGCAGTCTCAAAAGGCTACTTCCCCTCTCTAAACTCAGCATTTTTGGTGAATTTGCCTCTGCCTGGTCATAGTAGTTTACGTCTAACACCATTGGCATTCACATCAAAATCTATGAATGCTTCTGCTGCTATACTGGCAAATTGTTTCATCCATTAAAAGAGTAGGTCATGTTTGAAGAATCTGGCTCAGCTGATGCTTCAGCAGCCTTCAGATGGCATGTAATATAGATCTACAAAATAATTAAGAGTTGAAACTTAGATTCGACTCCTATGTTTAGCATACTAATGTTAGAGAGGAGCAAAAAAAGTAACTTAGCAGATTGTGACTGTAACCAGAAAAATCTAAAAGCACCAACTCTGAACTGAAGGATGTCTGTCTGATTTGAGCCTTGGTGATATGAAGGCAGACACAGCAACTTCTGATGACCATTCACCAAGTAACTAGGTATTTAAAGAGCACTGGTTAGTGAGTTGCTTTGTAGTTGGGAATTGACATGAGAACATCATGTAACTTACCCATTAAAATCAATAAGGACATGTCAAGGAGTAGATTCTGCGTTTGGAGTTAGTGTGGCTACACAAGTATCAATGAAGAAAAGCCTTAGAACAATATGACACCCAGTGTGGACATCTGCTTGAATGGAAATACATCTGCAAGTGGGAATCTAGAATCTCTCTCAGCACTATAAGAATCTCTATGGAGATGCCCCCATACAGCAACAGGGGTAAGGGGTAGCTTCTAATTTACTTGTGCATCCACTTACCTGTCATCAGGCTCATGGTGAACTCCAGTCTCTGCTGAAAGAAAAAGAGTAGAACTAATTTGGTAGGTTGGCCAGCTTTGCTGCTCACATTGCTTCTCCTAAAGGAGGCATTAATAATAAACCAGCTGAGGATGGTAAAGTTTGGTGGCATGGCAGGGCAGTAGCAGCCATGAGACACCTTACCTGGAATAAGAACATTTCATTGGAATGGCAGGCAGATTAGTTCTCAGGATCCTAAAGCTGTTGGCAGGCAATGTGTTGTAGTATAGAATTGTGGCATACAGCAACGTGTCAGGAGTCATCTAGATGCAGTCAGATAAATATTTCTCACTTTTCTAGGATGACTTCTAGAAAACAGAGCTAGAACACTGTGGCAATACTTTTTGTGGCATTTTCCACCATCCCTTAAGACTTAAGAAGCCTTACATGTAGCTAACTGGTATTGACATGTTAATGCCATATGAAATTTGCATTCTAGACTGGTTTCTCCAAAGACCCATGGAAAACAACTGTGGCATAGATCCAAAGTTAAGGATATGCATTAAGATAAATCTACATTTTACTCTTAATATTGCTATTTATTAGTTGTATGGCCTCAAACTACTCAAACTCTCTACACCTGTTCCCTCACCTATAATAACATGGTGAATGATAGGATTTATCTTAAAAAAGCTGAGAGAAGTTGTTAGTACATTGCATCCCACACTTTATCTTGTTGGCAGTTGTCCTCATAATTATATTAAGCTTATAGAAATGATTACTTTTAATAGCTTCATCTAGCTTAATAAGATAATTGACTCTTTTTCAAGGTAGAAAACATTAAAATGAAGCAACTTGAATGTTATCCACAACATTTAAAGAAAAATTATAGGAGCCAGACGATAGTCAGACCACCTAAAATGATGCTGACAGAGGCAGGAGAAGAATTCATATCTTCCACTTCGGTTAAAATATTATTATTATAGGTCACCATGGGATGACTTGTATTTCCAAACACACAAAAGAAAAAATGGCTTAGTATGATTGGCAAATCTAGTCTCAATTCTTAAGTAAGGTCTATCTACTTCCTTTGTAGCAAAAGATAATCCCGGAACCCCATGAAGTCACTTCATTTTTGTTGCTTGTTTCAACAACATAAGCCGTCTTGCCTAGAAACATCCCAAGAATGAGAGTTGATGAGTGTCAACAATGTATTTTACATTAGCTTTTGCACAAAGACCCCTAAAGAAGTTGATTTGATAGGTGATGAGAGTAAGGTAGTGTGAAATAAAAATAAAATCCTACCCCCTATAATTGACTGAGCAAACCCCCTTTTGGCTAAGGAGACTCCAAAAAAACTTAAAAACTGTTTCCCTGCCATGATAAGGGAGACTGATCACACCTCAGCACATCCTCTTCCTCACCAACCACTACCAGATTTTTTTCCAAAGCATTAACAGAAACCAGCCCTAGAAAACAAAGAAAGGAAGACAGACACTTCCACTGATTTCAACCAACCACCTCATGCTGTGGCCAGATTCCCCTCCTTTATTGTGGTTTCAACATGACAACTCAGCACAAAGCATTCCTTCCTAATAAATGGCCACCAACCAGGGATTGGTTCTGGCCAGTTTACAGAGGCAGCTTACTAAGTGCCCTTGCATCCTATGTTTCACTTTTTGATGTATAGGGCCCAATTTTACTGCATTTTAATGTTAAGTCTCCACCCCAAAGTGAACATGGGACATACGTTACATACATGTTTCCTTAACATGTGATATGGTTTGGCTGTGTCCCCACCCAAATCTCATCTTGAATTGTAGCTCCCACAATTCTCATATGTTTTTGGAGGGAACTAGTGGGAGATCATGGAATCATGGGGGCAGTTTCCCCCATACTGTTCTCGTGGTAGTGAATAAGTCTCATAAGAGCTAATGGTTTTGTAAGAGGAAACCCCTTTTGCTTGGCTCTCCTTCTCTCTCTGGACTGCCACCATGTAAGACATGCTTTTCACCTTCCATCATGATTGTGAGGCCATGTGGAACTATGAGTCCATTAAATCTCTTTTTCTTCATAAATTACCCAGTCTCGGGTATGTCTTTATCAGCAGCGTGAAAATGGACTAACACACCCTGCATGTGTGCAACGCCGCCACCCCCCCCACCCTGAATATTCACAGGTTCTGCTATAACCTATTAAAGATGTATGTTTAGCCAAGCTACTTAGCATAAGCCTCCTGTCCCACTCCTCCTTTTGTGAAGCAACTGTTCCACTTCCCAGCCTTCAGGTTGCAAGCCATTATAAGAAATAAGATTCTCCTTTCCAAATGTATAGATCTCATGATTTTAAGTTGACAATGGTTGGGTATTTTGATCAACCTCTCAATGAATTTTAGAAGCGACTAGTAAAACCAGTCTTAAAAAAAAAAAAAAAGACCTCTGCTTTCCACCTATACCCCAGTGTCCCCTTCTATTAGTCTCCTACTCAAACTGTGGCATCTTAAAAGCACCTAATGAGAAGTCTCACCCATCTTATACTGCCATATTCATGAAGCTCAACTTCATGAATGCATTGCTTACTGAATCTAAATAGTTGTATTGGCAGCCAGCTGGGCAGACACTCAAACAGGAAGGATTTACCAGCTGCCCTTTCCTAAATAACTCTCTCTGAATAGTTACCACCTTCTTGCCTTTCCAACATAGCACTTTAACAGGAAATTATGAAGAGGAAGCCCTAGAAAGTGGAGTACCCTAAGGGTCACAAGAAAGAGAAGGGGCAGAAGAAGACTCATAGTGGTCTTACTATCTTTAACCACATATTTGGAGGGAGCAGAACTCAAGGCATGAAAAGCCCAAAGAGCAGCAGACCCCAAATCATTCACTACCTACAAGACTAATAGAAGCCCCACCTGGTGCCACTGGCCCATCTCGCCTGCTTCCTACACCTAACTTCATAGCCACTTGGATGTGGCCTTTATAGCCATCCTCAAACCACTTGGCAGCTTTTGTAGGCTCTGAGGTCAGGTTAAAAATAATGGAAGCAAGAATGGTAATCTACACCTGGGATTCAGCCAGCCTTTCTCTGATTTAAGAAAGATCCTCAAGGAGGAAGGAATCAAATGTTGAAATATTTTTAACTTTTCTTAAGAAGGCACGTGTTGTATTCCTTTCGGGTGGTTGATGAGGCCCTGAATAGGATTGTAACTAACAAAGATGCAAGGTATACTTTCCCCGCAATCAACAACTGCCTTAAGTTGGTGAATAATTTGGTTAAATGGAATTCTAAATCAAAGACATAAGAGTTTAGGAACTATTCTTGTCCTACCAAAGTTAACAGGCAGCTGCGCTGATTTTCTTTTTCCTGCCAGAATTTTTTGACAAACTCACAGGGGAGAGGAATTTTAAAACAAGTAACACAATAGGTAGCACAACAACACAATAGACCATTAGATGCTTTCTACGCCAGCCATGAGGATTGATTAGGTGGAGAAGCCCAGCAGAAGATAGTGTGAGTCCTGAAAAGTGATAAAATTGTCCCAAATAAGCAGAGCCTAAGTTGTGCTTGCTTTATTTTTAATTCTTATTTATTTTATCCCATTTGGCACTTTTTTTTCTTGCTTCCCAATGTTTGAATTCTATGATTCCTACACTCTTATATGGTAATTCTCAAAGATCAATGTGAAGATACATTTTGCAAATTTACTTAAAATGCAGATTGCTCCCACTCTACCCCCAACTAGGTTTTAAAAGATCTGTGTTGGAATCCAGCAGGTGGTTTGGTGCAGTTGAGACATTTGCTAGGCCCATTGTGTCTGTTCTTTCAGCTGTTCACCCTCTACCATCACTATTTCCTACGCCTTATGTATCTCAATCCATGTGTTATCTGCCTTCCCAGTTCCCCTCATTCAAGGGCCACCTAATAAACTCAAAACCTTAGATTAAAAAAACAAAAACAAAAAAACTCTGGGGCATAACAATATACAATGCAGAAGGCAAAACCTATACAGCTGCGGTATTCCCTAAAAGGAAGTTAGCATTTTTACCAAGGATGGTAAGCTCCACATCATTCTAGATCCTGGGGAAGCCACCAAATTCTGAAGACTCTTGAAATTCTCTCTAGGAGGTTCTGGATGGTCCCAAGAAGTTAAAACAGAGGGGACATTGCAAGAATAAACCTTTGATTACAAAACTGGAAGGAACTTTAGAGACAATTTAGAATTTATAAGTCAGACGAGCAAACTCCAGAGAGATAAAGTAATAGACTGATGGCAAATTCATTGATTAGTCATTAGTGACATTTCTGAGAAGGCAGTCTATATGGCTGATTGCTTTCTGTTGGGCCTACTCCAATCCCAACCACCACATAAGCCTGAAAGGTAAGTGGGGAGTTCTGAAGAGCATTACTCCTATCAAATCCATTGGCTGTGGTTTTGCCAGAGAGGGATATATTTCTATATAACATAAAAATTTGAGGTCCAGAGATAGGATAGGGATACTCAAAATTATCCCAGGAGTACAGCATCAGAATTATACAGAAGCCCCCACCTAGTTGCAAATACCTTGCTGATTGAGTGCTGCTACCTCTCCTGCCAAGCATGGTTATGTTTACTCTTGATGGGCATTTATGACAGACATAAGTCTAATGTTTTATATATTTTCAGGAGGTATATCTCTAAAACTACATATGAATGAAAAACTTAACTTAAAAAGAACCAGTACTACTCAAAACTGTATGCCTTAGCTGTGAAATCCCATTCTGACTTCTGCTTTCCTGGTTCTTCAAGTAAGCAAACTTTTGAAAGCAGCCCACCCAGTTCCAACCTCCTCCCTAAAAAGGCCAATGTTCTTGAAAAAATAATGTGCAGACTCTGATAAGAACTACGCTAACGATAAGCAGAAAATCCGGACAGACTTTGTGTCATATATCTGTGGTGTGCGTATATGACTTTGTGTGTGGGAGGGGCTGGTGTATGTGTGTAAGAAAGAGAGAGAAATTGATTTAGATTTGATTTGAATGTGCTTTTGAAATTAAGAGACATTTTAAGAGTGGATAATACTAATTACTTAGAGTAATATAATTAAAAAGAGATGCAATGTAATGTATTATTATTAATGTTATTATGATTATCAAAATAGATTAAAATAATCATAGCAAAAAGCCAAATCACTAACAAAACCAAGGATGTCTTGCATAGAATGCCTTGGAGTTATTTCTCCACTCTTCACTCCTATGAGGTGTAAATTGTTCTAACTCTAGTCTTGGTCTCTTTTATTCACTCCTAGCAAGGTGGAAAGACTTATCAGATTACTAAACCTGAGAAAGGAACCTGAGCCAATGTAGTGGCCCCCACCCTTTGCTACAAGGGAGAGTCCGTAATGAGAGATCTCCCTGCTTCTGCATGGTGAAAGTCCTCCTGGGTACTGGTGGGTCATTCTGCTTAATTCTAGATTCTCGTGTTAGTAAGCCCTTGAGATAACAGATCTCAGTTGCTGTGTAACAACAAATATGGCATGTTGGCCACAACCACTTGTTTGCATTTTATGTCTGTCTTATTCAGAAAGCTGGTCAGAGTTGCAGGACACTTCGTCTTCATCCTTGTCCCCCTATAGTTTCCCTCCCCTTCTTGTGTCTTATTCCTGTGTCTGCAGAGTTTCCCTTTTCTTTGGTAGCAGACATCAGAAGCATGCTGTTTCACTGTATGTGTTAACTTGACTGTGCCTTGGGATGCCCAGCTATTTGGTCAAACATTATTCTGGGTGTTTCCCCAAATATGTTTTAGATGAGATTAACATTTAAATTGGTAGAGTGAGTAAAGCACATTGTTCTCCCTAATGTGGGTGGGCCTCGTCCAATCAGTTGACGGCCTGAATGGAACAAAAAGACTGATCCTCCTCTGAGTAAAAGAGGATTCTTCTTGTCTGACTCCCTTAAGACTGGGACATCAGCTTTTTTCCTGTCTTTGGATGCAAACCAAAGCACCAGCCCTGCCTCAGCCTTGAGTCTACTGGCCTTTAGACAGAAATTAAGCCCTTGGATTTCATGTATCTCCAGCTTGCAAACTCACCCTGTGTCAAATAGATAGATACATAGATATATAGATAATTCACCCACACACACACACCAACACACAAAGGAGTTAAATTTGCCAGGATATTTTTATGAATGGACTTGCATTAATCCTTCTTTTGTGGGCCTTCCTTCTCTCAGATCTCTTACCTGCATGAGCCCAGCAAGTATTGCACAGTCCATTTTTAAAGCCTGCCCAAGAGCTCCTTTTGGTTCCACAGATGGGTCTCAAAGCCTAATGGTTTTTAGTATTAAATATACCAAGCAAGAAAGCCTAACATCTCTTTTCACAGGCCAGTAAAATTCAAACAATCCTATCGTGGACATTCTAAATGTGGTAGGCCCTGGGTACAGCCAGGAATTTGAAGTTTTAGTAAATACTGTTAGGCTTATAAATCCTGGAATTTTGGTAAAAACAGCCACTAAGTAAGGGCATTAAAAAAGAGCTCCCAATTGTAAAGATAATTTATACCTTAACTGAGAAGTTGTATGTCTTCTCAATGGAGCATCCACTTTGATGCAGATTCAAATGATAAATGGATCATCAGATAATACCATATGGTCATTTTCTTTAAATAACAGAATGAGGACTAAATTTGGATCTCAGATTACCAAATTAATTTATTTTTTTCAATTCCAATAATACTGACACTTTAATAAAGGATCTCAGATGCTAAACAAGGAAGCACACTAAAGACTGGTGGTTCCACATTTTAAAATATGATGGGCTGAGAGAAAGGGCCCCAGACTCTGTGATGTATTAAATTAACACACAAAATAGCCCCCCAAATAGTGGCCTTTTGGAGTTCAGCAACCCTACTCTGAATTCCAGAAATTCTTTTTGCCACTTTTGAGCTTTACAACCAGGAAAAAAAATAATTAACATTTAATAAGGCTCACTTACACCATTCATCGAATAGGCTATTAAGATTCATCTTATGAGATTTTAAGGATTACATTAGTAGTTTAGGTGCTAACAGGTATCCAATAAATGATGGATGTTACTTCGTATTTGTTACCATTTTTAAGTTTCTAGTTATATTGGTCTTCTTTGAGATAACTTCATGTGGAGGAGAGAAAACATAAGACAGACCCTGGAAGAGATGGATGCAGTGACCTAGGTTCATCTGGGTGGGAAAGAGCCCCCCCCCTCCCCCCGGCACGTGGGTTAGTGGAATCTGCTCCAAGGCGTTTCTCCAAGGTTAGTTCCTGGGTCACCTGCAGTAGAATCACCTAAGGCAAATTCTGGAGCCTTGCCTAGGACCTCTTCCATCAGTCAGTATTGGTGGTGGAGCCCAGGAATCTACATTTTTAAACAAGCGTCTCAGTTTCTTTTATATATAAAAGTTTGAGAACTACTAAAATAGAAGTACTCCCCTTATCTACAATACTGTCTAACACTGTCCTCAAATAAGAACATTTGAGATCTCTCAGGGGAGTTTCAAAAGCCTCAAATACATACCCTTTCTATCAAACATTTTCTGATTTTGTAAATTCCCATTTTTCATCCCAGCGCTTTCTTAGCTGGAAATCCATTTGTGGGCTAATAGGGGTCTGTGACACCTCCCAAGTTTATTAGATTTTGTATGCATGTGCATTTTTCTAGATAAAGGGTCCTGGGCCATAGATTTCAAGATTCCTACAGGATTTTATAATGGAGTTGCAAAATTTAAAGATAGTGTCCATGCAGAAAGATTTGAGAACAGATCTATTCTCAACATCTCTTTTGGGTGCCTAAAACATAGCAAAGTACAAGGCTTAACAGTTACATATTTGTTAAATGCCCTTATTTGTCTGCATGTCAGTTCCTTTAAGCATACTTTGACTCATTTGAATTAAGTATGCCTGCATTCTGAACTCTCCATTTGCCTTACACAAACAGAGAACAAAAGAACAGGCCTGTCTGTGCTCCTTTTTCAGTAATGTTACCTCTAAGGAGCATAGGGTGTCTTTGCTTTTCTGTGGAATAAATTAACTTTAACATTTCTCTGATGAGAGTTGTGGATTCATCTGATACCAGGTGCAGAAACAAATCTTTGAAACTCTAGACATTAAGGATAGAGGAGGACCCCAGGGCACAAAGCAGATGTTGTAAGTAATAATTGAGACAGAAATTTTAATCAGTTCTTCTGTTTTTCAGAGACAATTCTGTTTCCTGGATTAATAGGGAGCTGTTGAGATGTTGAATTGCCCAGGTGTGGCAAGATACTGTCCTACCCTCCTAACCTTGGGAAGCAGAGAGCCCAGGGTACACTTCTTTTCAAAGATTTAAAGTCATCTAGAAAAAACTGCCTGTTTATTCTTAAAATAATAATCCCGTTGATTTATAACCTGCTAGGCTTTGGAGTCAAAACAGGAGGTTGTTTGTTTGAATTTTGTTGTTGTTTCAAGGAGGTACATTACTAACATCTTTCAAACTCTTCCATAATCTTCAATGTGATAAAACATCACACACTGGGGCCTGTCGGGGGATGGGGAGCTGGGGGAGGGATAGCATTAGGAGAAATACCTAATGTCCATGACAGGTTGATGAGTGCAGAAAACCAACATGGCACATGTATACCTATGTAACAAACCTGCACATTCTGCACATGTATCCCAGAACTTAAAGTGTAATAGTAAAAATAAATAAATATTTAATTCATGAAGTTGATGAATATTACGTGAAAACATGTAAAATATTTTCCATTTGGTATGAAAATCCCCTTACCAAATTAGGATGGAAGACTAAACATTTTGAATGTTCAAATTTTCATTCCAATGATGTGGTAGGCAGTTTCTAAGATGGGCCTCAGTGATCCTCACCTCCTGATTTCCATCCCCTTGTGTAATCTGTACCCTTTGAGTATAGCTGAAACTAGTGACTACCTTCTAATGAATTGAACATAGTATAAGTGATGGGACGTCACTTGTAAAATTAGGTACCCAAAGACTGTGGCTTCTATACCCTGCCCACCCTCCATCTCTCTCTCTCTCTTTATCTCTCTGCCCTTGCTCTGGGGGAAGCAAACTACCACATTGTGAAGTACCCCTACAGAGAGGCCCACATACCTAGAAACGAATGTCTCTGACCAAACATCAGCAACAACCTGAAACCAGCCAAGCAGACATGTTATAAGCTCAGATGGGAGCTCTATCCCTTATTGACTGCGGAAATGACTCTAGTGTAAGCTGACACTTTTTGATTGCAACCTTAGGAGAGACCCAAAGACACAGGTTCAGCTAAGCTGAGCACTGATTCCTGACTGGCAGAAACTGTTTTTTTGTTGCTTTGGGCCACTAAGTTTTGAAATATTTTGTTACACAGCAGTAGAGAGCTAAAATAACTAGAAAGAAATCACAATTTACCCTCATGAGAAAAAGATGTATCTCTGGACAAAAATGACCCATTCAACTTATCCTATAAATCTATGGTTCTCACAATAAAAACTATTAAGATTTGAAGTTGAAAGAATGAGATGTGTGCATAAAGCCAGTTAAGTAGCTTTTTAAACATCACATGCATTACAGTACTAACTAGGCTTCTAGGAAATGAAATGATGAGAGTTTAGTATTTATTAAACTGTGAATATGTACCTGGTTCTGCATAAAGGCTTTGTATGGATCATTCCACTGAATCCTCATAGTTACCCAAGTGTTAATTAAGATGGACATTTTACTGCTGAGAAAATGGAGTTAAAGAGATGTTGAATACACTTAAGTACAGAGACCAGTGACACTGTAAAGCAACCATACAAACCAGACTGCATAATGAGCTAACAACATGACAGGATCAAATCCATACATGTCAACACTAACCTTAAATGGAAATGCCCCAGTTATAAGGCACAGAGTGGTAAGCTGGATAAAGAAGCAAGACCCAAAGGCACGCTGCTTCAAGAGATTCATCTCACATGCAGTGACAACCATAGGCTCAAAGATGCATCTCAATAGATGCAGAAAGGCTTTTGATAAAATTCAACATCTTTCATGTTATGAACCCTCAACAAATTAGGCATTGAAGGAACATACTTCAAAATAATAAGAGCCATCTATGACAAAATCATAGACAACACCATACTGAATGGGCAAAAGCTGGAAGCATTCCACTCTAAAACCAGCACAGGATAAAGTTTTCTCACCATTCCTATTTGACATGGTACTAGAAATTCTGGCCAGGGCAATCAGTCAAGAGAAAGAAATAAAAGGTATGCAAATAGGAAAAAAGGAAGTCAAATTATCCCGGTTTGCAGACAACATAATCCTATGTCTAGAAACTTCACACTCTCTACCCAAAAGCTCTTTTTCTTATAAACAACTTCAGCAAAGTTTCAGGATACAAAATCAGTGTACCAAAACCAGTAACATTCCTATGTACCAACAACAATATCCAAGGTGAGAGTCAAATCAAGAATGCAATTCCATTCACAACAGCCACCAAAAGGATAAAATGCATAGGAATACACATAATCAGGGAAGTGAAAGATCTCTACAACCAGAATTACAAAACACTGCTCAGAGAAATCAGAGATAACACAAACAAATGAAAAAATAGTCCATGCTCATGGATTGGAAGAATCAATATTGTTAAAATGGCCATACTGCCAAAAGCAGTTTATAGATTCAATTCTATTTCTATCAAACTACCACTGACATTCTTGGCACAATTAAAAATACTATTTTAAAATGTATGTGGAACTCAAAAAGAGCCTGAATAACCAAGGCTTTCCTAAGCAAAAAGAACAAAGCTGGAGGCATCATGTTTCCTGACTTCAAACTATATTATAGGTCTACAGTAACCAAAACAGCATGGTACTGGTAAAAAACAGACACATCATCCAGTGGAACAGAATAGAGAGCCCAGAAATAAGGCTACACACCTACAACCATCTGATCTTCAACAAATCAACAAAAACAAGCAATGGAGAAAGGACTCCCTATAAAATAATGCTGGAAGGCTAGCCACATGGAGAAGATTGAAACTGGACTACTTCCTTACACCATATACAAAAATTAACTCAAAATGGATTAAGTACTTAAATGTAAAACCTAAAACTATAAAAACCCTAGAAGATAACCTAGGAAATACTACTCTGGACATAGGACCTGGCAAAGTTTCCATGAAAAAGATGCCAAAAGCACTTGCAACAAAAGCAAAAATTGACAAATACAATCCTATTAACCTAAAGAGCTTCTACAGAGCAAAAGAAATTATCAGCAGAGTAAACAGACAACCTACAGAATAGAGGAAAATATTTGCAAGCTATATATCCAACAAACGTCTAATATCCAGAATCTATAAGGTACTTAAACAAAATTACAAGTAAAAAACAACCCCATTAAAAAGTGTACATAGGATATGAACAGACATTTTCAAAAGAAGACATACATGTGGCTAACGAGCTTATGAAAAAAAGTGCTCAAGACCACCAATAATTAGAGAAATGCAAATCAAAACTGCAATGAGATACCCTCACATACCAGTCAGATGACAATTATTAGAAAGTCAAAAAATAATAGATGCTGGCGAGGTTGCAGAAAAAAAAAGCATGCTTATTGACTGCCGGGGGAATGTAAATTAGTTCAGCCACTGTGCAAAACAGTTTGGCAATCTCTCGAATAACTCAAAGCAGAATTACCACTTGATCCAGCAATCCTAATATTGGATATAGACCCAAAGGATTACAAATCAGTCTGTGCTAAAGACACACCCACAAGTATGTTCATCACAACATTATTCACAACAGCAAAAACATGGAATCAACCTAAGTGCTCATCACTGGTTGACTGGAAAAAGAAAATATGGTAAATATACACCATGGAATACTATGGCTATAAAAAAGAATGAGATCATATCCTGAGCAGTAACATAGACGGATTTGGAGGACACTTCCCCAAGTGAACTAACAGAAAACCAATTACTGCACATTCTCACTTATAAGTGGGAGCCAAACACTGAGTCTATATGGACACAAAGAAGGGAACAACAGACACTGGGGCCTACTTAAGGATGGAAGGAGGAAGGAGACTGAGGATTGAAAACCTACCCATTGCGTACTAGGCTTATTACCTGAGTGGTAAAATAATCTGTACACCAAACCCCTGTTACATCCAATTTACCTATATAACAAACCTGCATATATACCCCTGAACCTGAGATTTTTTTAAAAAAGAGAAATACTAAATAACTTTTCCAATTCACCTAGCTAGAATTTAAATCCAGATCCTCCTGACACTACGACCTATGTTTATTTGAAAGCATCGCACTCTGGAGAAACCTAACAAGGAAGGCATAAAGTAAATAGTTTACATACGACTGTCTTTACTAAGTCTATTCAATGTTAATAGGGAAAGTCATTTTCCAAAGTGCAAAAAGTCCTAACTATTAAATTAAGCTGTGATTCTTTCAATGAACCATAGAAATACATAAAAACATTACAAAATATATATTTTTATATATACTGTATTATATATGTATGTATGTTATATATATGATACACACACACACACACACACACACACACACACACACAGTATTAGTCCATTTTCATGCTGCTGATAAAGACATACCCAAGACTGGGTAATTTATAAAGGAAAAGAGGTTTAATGGACTCACAATTCCATGTGGCTGGGGAGGCCTCACAATAATGGCAGAAGGTGAAAGGCAAGTCTTACATAGTGGCAGACAAGAAAGAATGGGAGCCAAGTGAAAGGGGGAACCCCTTATAAAATCATAAGATCTTCTGAGACTTATTCACTACCATAAGAACAGTATGAGGGAAACCACCCCTATGATTCAGTTATCTCCCACCAGGGCCCTCCCACAACACATGGGAATTATGGGAGCTACAATTCAAGATGAGATTAGGGTGGGAACACAGCCAAACCATATCATATACCATTTGACAGCAATCATTTTATATACTCTGAAGACAGTTAAATACAACCAAAATATTTTAGAATTGCATGGACCTACACAAAGGACATATATATGATAATAACATTTAAAATTTTTCTTTCCATTCTTTTTTCTTGCTCAGAAGAATCTTGACTAGACTTACAGAACCAAATAACCATAGAGAGTGGAAAGAGAATGAGGTCTTTTTATCTAGTCCAATAATTTCATTTACACATGAGAAAATGAAAGTCTTTATTTGCTTATAGCCACATAACTAGTTAAGTCAAGTAAGAATTAAAACTAGACCTTGGAAATTTTTAAAGAAATCAAGATAAACAAAGAACTGGCAAGACAAATAAAAATACAGAGGTACAGATTTTAACTCAATTATATTAGTAATTTTATTAATGTAAGTAGACTAAATATTCCACTTAAAGAACTATACTATTCTGTATAAAAAATAAAACTATATGTGCTTTTTACAGGAGACACATCTTAAATATAAGAATATAAAAGATTTAAAAGTCAATAGACAAAAAAACCTATATACTATGTGAATCATAAGCAAAAAAAGGGATTATAAGTATATTAATTTAGAAAGTATACTTCTAAGGAAGAAATACTAACAGAAAAATGACAGAAGAAAGAGGAGCAATAGACAAATCTATAGTCATAGCTGCAGATACTACCATATCCCTTTCAGTAACAGGAAGAATAGATTTTTAAAAAGTAAGGATTAGAATATTTGAACAACTTAATTGCTAAATATAACCTAATTAGCTATAATATTTTGTTCAAGAGCTGGAGGGTAATCTATTCCAAAATCTCACAGAAATTATAACAAATTAGTTTTGTTTAATCTTGTTATTTCGTCATTGAGCAAATCAACAAATTTTGAAAATCGAAATAATAAAATGTGCATTTAACAGTAATCTTAAGCTAGAAATCAATAACATAAAGTTGAACAAAAACTCAAGTATTTAGAAATTAAGCAATATACATCTAAGTTACTCAGGAGTCAGTGAACTAAACACAATGGAAAGGAAAACAATGAAATAATGACATTCTAAAACTTGTAAAATGCAGTTAAAGCATTTTAACTGTACATTTTAACTGTACACCAAACCCCTGTTACATCCAATTTACCTATATAACAAAAAAAGAAAATTTATAGCATTAAATACATATATTAGAAAAGAAGCTACAAAATCAATAGCAAACTAGAACTAACAGAGAAGGAAATAATAAACACAAAAGCAGAAATCAATGAAACAGAAAGCAGATATAAAATTGAGAAAATCAACAAAGCTAAAAGTCGATTTTTTAAATATCAATTAAAATTTAAACTTCCAATAATACTGTATAGGTAGAGAGCAGGGGGTGGGAGGGAGAAGACAAATTATAAAGACCAGGAATAATAAAGTCACCATTACTTGAGAAGCTACAGATACCAAAAAGATATGATAGTTTGTACTAATAAATACATAAGCATTTTTTTACTAATAAATGTGGTAATTTGAATGAAATATACAAAGTTTACATAAATTACATTATCACAGCTGACAAAAAGGATAATTTAATATTTATTAAGAAATTATTTATTTAAATATTTTTCATAATTAAGTAAGTCCAGATAGCTTTAATGGTGAATTCTTTAAAAACACTTAAGTAAGTGTTAATACCACATTTGTTGGCTTGATTTCAAAAAGGAAAATGTCACTTCACACTTGAAACTCAATCCATGTAATGAACTTCTTTAAAGAAATAAACGGAAAAAGCATATGATTATCTCAATAGGTGCAGAAAAATGTAGTTTATAAAATTAAATGAACATTCATGATATTCTTAGCAAGCTGGAAATAGAAAGGTATGTTTTTAAACAATTTACAAAATATGTAAAAATACTTAATGTTGACATTTTGAAAGCCTAATTTCTCAGATCTAACATGAGATAAGAATGTCTCAGTATCATGACTTCCACTTAACCTTGTGCTGGATACCCAACCCAGTGTTATAAGGCAAAAAATAAAATAAAATATATGATTGGAGAGAAGAAAATGGAAATATAATTATTTTGCAGCCAGTGAGATTTTTATACATAGAACATCTCAAATAACTGACAATTACAGTTAAATAATTTTAGCAGAGTTGCTAAGTCACAGAAAGACAAAGTCACCATTAAAATTGTTTCTATAAACTAGCACCTAACAAATGGAAAATTAAAAAGCTAAAAATCTGAAATAATAATTACATCAAATTCTATGAATAAATCTAACCAACACACCTCCAGGGAAAACAACAAGATATTATTGATAAAATTTTTTAAAACCGTAAATAAATGGAGGATTATATTAAGTCATGAATTGGTAGACTCAAAATTATAAAATTTTCAATTATTTTGTCCTAAAATATATTTATAAACTCAATGCAATACCAACCAAAATCCCAGCAGATTTCACTGGGAAAATTGACCCCTTAATTTTACCATTTACGTGGAAATCCAATCAGTCAAGAATATTGAAGACAATTTGGGAAAAGAGTTTAAAAAAAGAACTTACATTAAAAGATATCAAGACTATTTTGTACTAGCAAGCATTAAGGTAATAACCTTAAATGTAAATGGACTAAAGGCCCCAATTAAAAGACATAGAATGGCAAGCTGGGTAAAGAGCCAAGACCCATTGGTATGCTGTCTTCAAGAGACCTGTCTCAACTGCAGACACAAATAGGCTCAAAATAAAAGGATAAAGGAAATTTTACCAAGAAAATTAAAAAAAAAAAAATAGAGACTGCAATGCTAGTTCCTGACAAAACAGACTTTAAACCAACAAAGATCAAAAAAGACAAAGAAGGGCATTACATAATGGTAAAAGGTTCAATTCAACAAGAAGAGCTAACTATCCTAAATGTATATACAGCCAATACAGGAGTACCCAGGTTCATAAAGCAAGTACTTAGAGAACTGAAAGAGACTTAGACTGCCACACAAGAATAGTGAGAGTCTTTTACACCCCCCCTGACAATATTAGGCAGATCATTGAGACAAAGTTAGCAAGGATGTTCAGGATCTGAACTCAGCTCTGGGTCAAATGGACCTGATAGATATCTACAGAACACTCCACCCAAATTCAACAGACTGTACATTTTTCTCATCGCCACACAGCACTTACTGTAAAATTGACCACATAATACAAAGTAAAACACTCTTCAAGCTAATGCCAAAGAACTGAAATCATAAGTCTCTGAGACAACAACATAATCAAATTAGAACTCAAAATTAAGAAATTCACTCAAAACCACACAACTACATGGAAATTAAACAATCTGCTCCTGAATGACACTTGGATAAACAATGGAATGAAGACAGAAATCTAGAAGTTCTTTGAAACTAATGAGAACAAAGAGATGACATACCAGACCCTCTGAGATGCAGCTAAAGCAGCGTTAAGAGGAAAATTTATAGCTCTAAATGTCTACATCAACGAGCTAGAAAGATCTAAAGTTAACATAACATCTCAACTAAAAGAACTAGAGAAACAAGAGCAAAAAAAAAAAAACAAAAAACAAACAAACAAACAAACAAAACCAAAGCTAGCAGAAGACAAGAAATAACCAAGATCAGACTGAACTGAAGGAAATAAAGATATGAAAAGCTCTTCAAAAAATCAATGAATCCAGGAGCTGTTTTTTTGAAAAATAAAATAAAATAGATACACTGCTAGCTAGACTAGTAAAGAAGTAAACAGAGAAGAATAAAATAAACACAATCAGAAATGATATGGGGGATATCACCTCTGACCTCACAGAAATACAAACAACCATCAGAGAATACTACAAACACCTCTATGCACATAAACTAGAAAATCTACAAGAAGTGGATAAATTCCTGGACACATACACCCTCCCAAGTCTGAACCAGGACAAACTATATCTCTGAATAGACCAATACAGAGTCCTGAAATTGAGGCAGTAATAAATAACCTGCCGAGAAAAAAAGCCCAGGATCAGATGTATTCACAGCTGAATTCTACCAAAGATACAAAGAAGAGCTGGTACCATTTCTACTGAAACTACACCAAAAACAATGAAAAGAAGAGACTCCTCCCTAACTCATTCTATGAGGCTAACATTATCCTGATACCAAAACCCAGCACAGATACAACAAAAAAAGAAAACTTCAGGTCAATATCCTTGCTGAATATTGATGCAAAAATCCTCAATAAAATAGTGGCAAACCAAATTCAGCAGCACAACAAAAAGCTTAGCCACCACAATCAAGTTGGCTTCATCCCCAGGATGCAAGGTTGGTTCAATATACATAAGTAAATAAATGTGATTCATCACATAAACAGAACTAAAGACAAAAACCACATGATTATCTCAATAGATGCAGAAAAGGCCTTCAATAAGCTCCAACATCCCTTCATGTTAAAAACTCTCAATAAACTAGGTATTGAAAAAACATACCTCAAAATAATAAGAGCCATATATGACAAACCCACAGCCAATATCATACTGAATGGGCAAAAGCTGGAAGCATTCCCCTTGAGAACCAGTACAAAACAAGGATGCCCTCTCTCACCACTCCTATTTAACACAGTATTGCAAATTCAGGCAACAGAAAGAAATAGAGGATATTCAAACAGGAAGAGAGGAAGTCAAAAATTATTTTTGCTTGCAGATGACATGATCCTATATATGGAAAACCCCACTGTCTCAGGCCCAAAGCATCTTAAGCTTGTATGCAACTTCAGCAAAGTCTCCGAATATGAAATCAGGGTGCAAAAATCACTAGCGTTCCTATAAGCAACAACAGGTAAGCAGAAGGCCAAATCATGAATAAACTCCCATTCACAATTGCTACAAAAAGAATCAAATACCTAGGAATATAGCTAAGAAAGTAAGTAAAGAAAGTTTGTAGTTCTCTCTTTAAGGAGAACTACAAACCACTGCTCAAGGAAATCAGAGAAGATGCAAACAAATGGAAAAACATTCCATGTTCATGGATAGGAAGAATCAATATCATGAAAATGGGCATACTTTTCAAAGGAATTTACAGATTCAACGGTATTTCCATCAAACTACCATTAACATTCTTCACAGAATTGGAGAAAGCTATTTTAAAATTTATATGGAACCAAAAAAGAGCCTGAATAGCCAAGACAATCCTAAGCAAAAATAACAAAGATGGAGGCATCACACTACCCAAATTCAAACTATACTACTAGGCTACAGTAACCAAAACAGTATGGTACTGCTACAAAACAGACACATAGATCAATGCAACAGAATAGAGAACTCAGAAATAAGACTACACACCTACAACCATCTGATCTTCAACAAACTTGTCAAAAACAAGCAACCCTATTTAATACATAGTGCTAGGAATGCCGGCTAGCCATATTTAAAAAATTGAAACTAGATCCTTTTCTTACACCATATACAAAAATTAACTTAAGATAAATTAAAGACTTGAATGTAAAACCCAAAACTATAAAAACCCTAGAAGAAAATCTAGGCAATACCCTTCAGGACATGGGCACTGGCAAAAATTTCATGACAAAAACACCAAAAGCAATTGCATAAAAGCAAAAATTGACAAATGGGATCTAATTAAACTAAAGTTTCCACACAGCAAAGAAACTAATATCAGGGTAAACAGACAACCTACAGAATGGGAGAAAATTTTTGCAATCTCTCCATCTGACAAAGGTCTCATATCCAGCCTCTACAGAAACTTGAACAAATTTACAAAAACAAATAAACAAACAACCCCATTAAAAAGTGGGCAAAGAACATGAACAGACATTTCTTAAAAGAGGACATAAATGCAGTCAACAAACATTTCAAATAAAAAGTTAAACATCACTAATCATTGGAGAAATGCAAATCAAAACCACAATAAGATACCATCCCACACCAGTCAGAATAGCAATTATTAAAAAGTCAAAGAATAACAGATGTTGGTGAGGTTATGGAGAAAAAGAAATGCTTTTACACCATTGGTGGGAGTGTAAATTAGTTCAACCACTGTGAATGACAGTGTGGTGATTCCTCAAAGACCTAGAAGCAGAAATATCATTTGACCCAGAAATTCCATTACTGGGTATATATCCAAAGGAATATAAATCATTCTATTTTAAAGATACTTACACGTGTATGTTCATTGAAGCTCTATTCACAATAGCAAAGACATGGAATCAACCTGAATGCCCATCAATGACAGACTGGATAAAGAAAATGTGGTACCTATACACCATAAAATACCATGAAGCCATGTAAAGTAAAGAGATTATGTCTTTTGCAAGGACATGGATGGAGTTGGAGGCCATTATCTTCAGCAAACTAACCCAGAAAAAGAAAACCAAACATTGCATGTTCTCACTTATAAGGGGCTGGATGATGAGAACACGTGGACATGCAGAGTGGAACAACACACACCGGGGCCTGATGGGGAGTGGAGGCGTTGGGAGAGAGAGTACCAGGAAGAATAGCTAATGGACGCTGGTCTTAATACCTAGGTGATGGAATGATCTGTGCAGCAAATCACTATGCACACGTTTACCTATGTAACAAACCTGCACATCCTTCATATGTACCCCTGAACTTAAAATAAAAGTTGAGGAAAATAATCAACGTTTAAACAGAAAAAAAAATTTAAGTTAAAACTAATACAATTAAGACCATATGGCATTGATACAATATAGACAAATAGAGCTATGCAGAGTCCTAAAATGCATCCCCACAAATGCTATAAAGATGCCACTAAAACAGAGTAAGGAAAGAATTACTTTTACCATAAATAGCATTGGAATAACTGTTTATTCACATGGGTAAAAACCATACACAAGAATAAACTACACATAACACTGTGATAGGTAAAACAATACATACATGTCCTAGAATTTAGGAGAATACCTAAATACAACACAAAATGTACCAACAATAAAGAAAATATTGATGAATTAGACTACTCTAAAATCAAGATATCTATTTATTAAGACATTGATTGAGAGTGAAAAGATAAACCAAAGTTGAAGAACAAGTCTATAATTCAGTACATGATAAAGGACTTGTATCTAGACTGTATAAACAATGCATCTATAGGAAATTGATTGGCCAAAGACCTTTACAGGTACTTCTAACATAATTGGCCAATAAGTGTATGAAAAGTTGTTTTACAAAATTAGTCATCAGAAAAATGCAAAATGAAGTTACACTCCTTAGAATGACTATAAACAATCCTCAGAGTATCAAATATTGTCAAAGATGTGGAATAATTTAAACTCTTATTTATTGGTAGTATAAACAGATACCACAATTTTTGAAATAATTTGACGTTACCTACCAATGTTTAGAAGCTCATGCATACTCTCTATATATTAGTTTTTTATTGCCAAAAACTTAGTATTAATAGCAAATTACCACAAACTTAGCAGCTTGAAACATGCATTTATTCTTTTACACTTTCCAGGTCAGGAGTTTGGGGCACAGATTAGATGGGTCTTCTGTTCAGGGTCTCACACGATGCATCAAAGTGTCAGTTTGACTGTGTTCTCATCCAGAAGCTCAAGTGGGGAAGGATATGCTTCCAAGCTTATTCAGGTTGTTCGAAGAACTTATTTTCTTTGGACTATACGACTGAAGGTCCCAGCTTTACGCTGTTTACCAGAAAGAGGCTGGCCTCAAGTCTTAGAAGCCACCCACAGTTCCTGGCCAAGTGGGCTCTCTCAACATAACTGTTCACTTCAACAAACCAGCAAGTAGCACCTCTTGCTCCAATTACTATGCCACACTCTTAAGTAGCATAACATAATTACAGAAGTGCTATCTCATTACCTGTGCTACATAACGGAACCTCAGAAAAGGAGTGATATCTTATCACCTTTGCCATATTGTATGGGTTAAAAGCAAGTTGTAGGTCCTGTCCTCACTTTGTGGGGTGGGGAAGTACACAAAGGTTTAGACACCAGGAGGTAAAGATCATTGAGGGTCACCTTAGAGTCTATCTGCCACATTGTGTCCCAATAATTTGACTACCAGACTTTTTACAAGAACATTCACAGCAGTACAATTTTTAAATGTCAAAAACTGTAAATGACCCAAGTGTTCATCAACAGTGGAATGAATAAATAAATTATAGTATATTATAATAATAGAAACTATAAAACAATGAGAAAATAAACTACTGCTTCACTCAAAAATATGACTAACTCTGTTAGACACATGATGGGCAAAAATAGCAGACACAAAACAACCTGTGGTAAAATTCCATTTAATTCAAATTCAATTCAAAAAAGGCAAAAGTGGTTACAGAAATAAAATCGAGGTTGCAGAAATAAAATCCTTTTGAGGAGAATGACTGGCAAGTGCCATAAAGGAGGCTTCCGAGGTAAGATAAATGTTTATATTTTGATCTGAGTGTTGATTATATGGGTGTGTTCACCTTGTAAGAATCCATCAAGCTCTACAGTTAGATTTGTGCATTTTACTGTAGATATGCTTGGCTTCAAAACAAAATGTATCAGAATATTTTGAATAATTTTCATTCCCTACACAAAACATCAACTATTTCTGATTCTATATGTCTTAGTTGTCTAACGCTTTCCCTTCTTAGATTTTCCTGAAAAAAACAAATGATAGACTCTGTGATTGGCTGATACAGGATTAGAGAGGAAGAGAAGGGGGTAAACTGGCTAACAGCTTCTGTTCTATGTGGCATTTGCTCCCTTGTGTTCAGGTCTTCTCTTTTGTTTCATAACCATCATTCTCATCTTCTATGGGGCTCATGACCCAATGGTTAGGGTTTATCAGTTGATTGTTCAACAAAGTATTCTTTTAACCAATATTTTTAAGCACTGTGGCTAGGCTTCTAGAGGAGCCATATTACCAAACAATTACAACAAAATCTGCTCTTTAGAGGCTCATAGATGAATGAAAGAGAACTACTAAGTATTATCATGGAAACATGAATTAAACAGTATAAGTGATCAAAGAAAGAAACTAAGTGATCAAAGAAAGAAACACTTTACATAGAGAACACAGGCCTGCCTCTTCCAAAAAAGTGTTATCCAAACTGGTATTCAAGGATGAGTGGGAGATTCCTTGAAAAAAATGGTTCCACAGCAGCTAATATGTAAATGTCTACTACTTACTGGGTACTATTCCAAATGCTATAAATATATGTATATATGTATAAATTTATGTATATATAAATATATATATTTATTTAAAGGGAGAGAGAGAGCACATATTCACATATATATGAAATTAAATGTCATCATAAGAGGTAATAACTATGTTGTCAACTCTACTTTACAAATGAGAAAATAACAAAGAGGCAAAGTAAATTGCCCAAGCCTATAAGCCAGAAGCAGAAATGGAAAAGTCTAAAAGGAGCTCTGGAAGTCTGTCCTCCTCACTGCTTTGCAGCAACAGTAATAAATTCACTATTATCTGGGAGAATTTGGTCTGCTCTGAAGAAAAGCATCACAGCATGGCTGAGCAGTGGGAGATGAGGCTGGTGTGGTAGCAGGAACCAAAGAGTTCCATAAAGTTTTACTTAATTAAGTGAGGAGTCATGAAAACACTTTAAGGTATTGAGAGATTGTGTGGGGAAAAAAAAACCCACAAATTGTTTTTTCTCTGCTCTGTTTTTTCTCTGCTCTCACCCCACAACAATCAACACAGAAAAGTTATATGATTAAATGTGTGGGGGATTTCTCCCCATCAACAAGCAAGCAACATGCTTTGGCTGTGTCCCCACCAAAATCTCAACTGGAATTGTATCTCCCAGAATTCCCATGTGCTGTGGGAGAGACCCAGGGGGAGGTAATTGAATCATGGGGGCCTGTCTTTCCCATGCTATTCTCATGGTAGTGAATAAGTCTCAGGAGATCTGATGGGTTTATCAGGAGTTTCCGCTTTTGCTTCCTCATTTTCTCTTGTCACCACCATGTAAGAAGAGCCTTTCGCCTCTCGCCATGATTCTGAGGCCTCCCCAGCCATGTGGAACTTTAAGTTCAATTAAATCTTTTTTTGTTCCCAGTTTTGGGTATGTCTTTATAAGCAGCGTGAAAACAAACTAATATATAAGTAATCAATTCTGCAGTGGACACCAGCTGAATGTCCTCCAATCCAATTCAACTCTGACACTATCTACCCGGAGATGGTGTCAGATCCTAGAGGTTGAGGGCTCAATCCCACAAGACTCCCCACTACTTCGGACCCCATTTGCAAGTCCAGCCTCTGGAACTTCTGACTGATTGGCTTCAAGTTGGAGTTCCCATGACCCCCTCTTTAGGCTTAATTAATTTGCTAAAGCAGCTCATAAAACTCAGGGAAACACTTATTTACATTTATAAGTTTATTATAAAGGATATTTAAAGGATACAAATAAACAGCCATATGAAAAGACATACAAGACGAGGTCTGGAAGGGTCCTGAGCACAGGAGCTTCTGTCCCTGTGGAGTTGGGTTGCACCACCCTTTTGGGACATGATGAGTTCTCGTTCTCCTTCCTGCAAGCCTCCATGAATTCAGCTGTCCAGAAGCTCTTAACACCCCTTCCTCTTAAGCCTTCTCTGGAGACTGCATTTGATAGGCATGATTGATAACTGTGTAGAGATGTGATTGGACAAAAGGGGTATTATCTAATACTAATAGACTAAGTGAGGAAACCCAGTGAGGCCTGTCTCTATTTTTCTTGGCATCTCGGCGCAGCATTTCTTCTTCCCAGCCATCAGGCAGGACCCCTTCTGAAATGAGTGTCTTATGACCTAAAATCAGACAAGGTAAATCAGAGAATTTCTTTATGGCCAGCTCCAAGACAGAAAGGTGGGGGAAAGCCTGCCTTGGGGAAAAAAATAGAGCAGGTGAGAGGAGGGTAGGAAAAGGTGTGTGTGTGTGTGTGTGAGAGAGGGAGAGAGAGAGAGAGAGACTGTCTTCTGAGGCCTAAAGTGCTCAAATGCTATATCAAAAAAATGTAACAAGGGCCATGGGAGTTATAAGCCAGGAACCATGAATGAAACTAATAGATAGATATACAGACAGATAGATGATAGATAGTTAGATAGGTAGATAGATAAACTTTTTTATTTTAGAAAGATCACTCTAGCAACAGATTAAGTAGAAGGTAATGACACAAGATGGAAATCTACAGTAATAGTCCAGGCAAGTAAAGATTAATATTTCCTGAATTAAAGCAGTGAGGGTAGAGATTAAGAAGGGGACAGCCTAAAGAAGTGGTTCTCAAAGTGTGGGCATCAGGATCACCTGGGAACCTGTTAGAAATACATATTCTCAAGTTGTATTAAAATCCATGAATTAGGAACTCTGAACACGGGACCAAGAAACCTCAATTTTACCAAGACTTGAGGCCACTTCATTCATGAAAAAATGTAAGAACCACAGGCCTAGAGCATTAGTTCCTAACCCAGGGTATACATTAGACTCACCTGGAAAGTTTTCGTGATTCACTAGCCCTCCACCCATCCATTCTAATTTATTAGATCTGGTAGAGTGCTCCTGCATGTATATTTTTCAAAAGCTTCCCAGGTAATATGTATGCATTCTCTGATTAAGAACAACTGGAACAGAAAATGAAATCTGATCTAGTTCTCCGCTCCTTCATGAACAAATGCATGCTCCCCTTGCACACAGGGTATTCCCTGCTTTAGAATACGCTCCACACTCTGAAAGAACAACATGTTAACATCCCCACCTGAGACTGTCTGTAAGTAAATCTTTACCTGGGATGTTCTTCCATGTCTTTTTAGGCACACAGGAATGATCCAGCCTTCTTATCTATACCCCATACGATCTTTTGATGTTTGTATTCCATCCAGCAAGTAGAAATAGAAGAAGTGGCATATCTACTAAATGTTTATCTCTGAAATGCATCAGCTGATGGTTTCAGAGTGAGTGATTCAGTCCCTAATAATAACATTGCATTAGCTAGAGAATCCAATTTAATATGAATTCGTGGGAATATTCAAATGATTTTTTTACTTCTCAGTACTGAAATTTAAAAAGCAAACAAACCAGCAACAGAAAAGAGGAAGGCATCCGTTCAAATCCCTTCTCCAGAGTGGCCTCATTTCATAACTGTCTCCTTCCATCGCCAGACTCATCGTTCACTGCTCCCTTAGACCATTTGATTCTCTTCTTTTACTGCTAGGATTGCACCACCGTCTATTCTTTAAACATGCCACTTAACTACTCAGGCAGGCATCCTCTGTGGTTGGTGAAAATTTTGGAAACATATGACCTCTGGGGCATAGTCTTCTCTCTCAGGTTCCCTCCACAAGTTTTGGCATAAAGTTCAAACTCTTAACATGACTTATGATAGGGTAACCATGTAATTTATCATGCAATTCAAGTGATGTGAAAATGAAAAAGGGTGTTAGCAACAATTACAGTGGGATAATTGGGTAAACAGGGATAGCCATCATCCTCCACGTGTGGCAGTTCAGGATCTCCCTTCTACTTATGTAGCCAGCACTTTATTAATGTCTGCTTTGTAACAAACTTGATATCTATATTACTTCTAATCAGTACAAGTCTTTAAAGAGGAGGAAACACAAAGTAATTGAGTTGTTTGCAGGACCTTTTACAGACAGGAAGAGGCAGAATTGAAAGTCAAATCCTGACCTGTTTGATTCCCATGTCCAAACTTTTCCACAGGTGAATTCTTTTCTTAACTAGCAACTTTATAAAACAGAATGAGGAGCTATTCAAATCTCCATGCATACCAAAACTTGTTTTTTAAAGGTCCCGAAGAACAAATCACTTAAGCAACAAATCATATATAGCTCAAAGAAAATTTAGATCCAAGTATATAAAGTCAAAAATATATGTTCCTCTCTGCCCCTACTCTCAGCTAACTCAGCCCACTTCGCAGAGATAAGCAATGTTCTCAAAATCTGGTTGATGTTCGCAAAACTTTTAACGACGGAGACATAAATGTGTTTCTCTTTTTTTCCACTTAACTTGGAATATATTATGTGAATAACTTTCTTAACACTTGATTAAGAAATCCAGCCAAGTTTTAAGCCAAAGATATACAGTGCTTTCACATATAAATCTGCAGACAAACACAAAAACTGCACATTAATTCTTTAATTAAGGCTAAGGGACAGTTAGTAATAAACTACTGAGAGTGGAAAGAACAAAATGTATCTCATGCTTAGTAAATTTTGCTCCTGTGGTTGGCAGGTTCAAAGAGTTCAAAAGATAATCATTGAAGACTGAGCCTGTTATGTAGAATTGGAGTCCACATCTTTGACTCCTAGCAGTGGGATACCATGAAGAACAACCTGGGTCACCATACTGTTATTCACCTCTCTGGGCCTCAGCTCAGTACAAAATCAAAGAGCTAGACCTCATGAGTCCCAGCCCTTCATCACACTCCTTTCTTCTCTGCAGGAGGACAAAAAAAAAATCACTACCCTCTCTCATCTACCAACTGGTCCCTTTTCTCCAGGGCAGAACACACAAACCAACATCCAAGAGAGAAACTTGCTGCAGAATTACTGAACTGCGGAAGGAAATCACTCTTCCTCTCACCCACCTACAACTTGCTCCCACAGAGATTCACAATGAGGGGAAGAAGAGAAAAACAATTTTAATAATGTGCACATCTTTTCCATTCCCAAAGTTTTCTTCTTGTGAAGAGAGGTCAAAATAATATGATGCCTGGTTATTCTCCACCTGCTTGCTCATTAGGGAGGTCTTTATATTGTTGGTAAGTCTTAGAAGAATCAGTAGGTGTGTGTATTATTCTTCCTAGGCTGCTATAACAAAATACTGAAGCCTGGGTGGCTTAAACAACCGACAATTATTTCTTACAATTCTGGGGGCTGAAAGTCCAAGATCTAGGTACCAGAGGATTCAGTTCTTGATGAGGGCTCTCTTCCTGGCTTGCAGAAAGTCATCTTCTCCCGGTGTCCTCATATGGTGGAGAGCGAGAAGAAACAAGCTCTATGGTGTCTCTTCTTACAGGGACACTAATTCTACCATGAGGATGCCACCCTCCTGGCCTCAACTAAAACTAATTATCTCCCAAAAGGCCCATCTTCAAATCCCAAATATCACATTGGGAATGGGAGTTCCCACATAGGAATTTAAGGGAACACAACCCAGTTCATAGCACTATGCTCAGCTCAACCCTTTTTCTGATCTTAGGGAGTGAACGTGCCCACCAAAATTATGAGTTTACTTTTGTTCTCACATGTTGGAAGCCTCACTGGACTGATGGTGATAAGCTGCCTGATTCTTGGGTTTGATATTAACAGTTCCATTTGGCTCACAACCTAAATCCAGGCCTTCCACCCCAGTCTCTGTCTCAATAAAAGTGGTATTCTGGGCATATTGTATTTTTTTGTGGTCCTATTAATGACTACCACCAATTCCACCTTCAATACATACAGGATTGTGAATGTTATTAGCCATGTAGTCCAACTGACCAAAGCATTTAGGTACTTTGAAGATATACTTCCCTCCCTATCAGTGTGTGTGTGTGTGTGTGTGTGTGTGCATATGTGTGCATTGCAAGGAGAATTGGTAGTAGTGGCTGGTATTCTGCACACACCCCATAGCACTCTTGGGCAGCAATCCCACAGTGTGGCACAAACTTGCCTTTCCTGTAACACATCCTCCACAACCAGTGCTTCTTTGGAAATGAGAGACTCCGTGCATGACTCACTAATATTGAAGGGTAAGGTCACTGGTAGGAAAACCAAGTAAATAAATCGTGTGTCCTTCAGAGAAAAAGGATACAGCCACCAGGTGGAATTCTAAAGGGTTAATTGTATCAGTAAAGAGGCATTTAACCCAAAGTTACAGAAAAACTTTGACTCAATATGTTAAGAAACTAGAAAACTTTTTTTTGGTTTGTTGTTTTGTTTTTCTTTTGTTTTTGACGCATGGTCTCACTCTGTAACCCAGGCTGGAGTGCAGTAGCGTCATCACAGCTAACTGCAGCGTCGACCTCTCAGGCTCAAGCCATCCTCCCACCTCAGCCTCCTGAGTAGCTGGGACTACAGGCATATGCCATTATGCCTGGCTATTTTTTTGTATTTTTTTGTTTTTTAGAGATGAGTTTTCACCATGTTTCCCAGTCTGTCTTGAACTCCTGAACTCAAGCAATCCACCTGCCTTGGTCTCCAAAAATGCTGGGATTACAGGAGTGAGCCATTGTGCCCGGTCAAGAAAACATTTTTATCTCAAACATGAGACAGTAAGGGCAGTTTTAGAGCCCATTTATTCAATTGGTCATTTATATATCAATAACTCAGAACCTCTTTTCTCTAACATTAACACTGTGCCAATTACTTAAGGAAGCTTTTTCTCCATGGTCACTAGGTGATTATCACTGCTCCAAACATCTCATTCACGGAGACATGATGAGATTCAGTGGAAAAAGAAGGGAGCATCTCTTCTTCTGGGTCTTTTATGTAGAACAGGAAACCCTTCACCTAAAGTCCCTCAGCTGACTTTTTACATTTCAGGAGCCAGGACTGGGTCATATTTCCCTCCCTAAACCTATCAGTGAAAAAGATAATGGGATTAGCGCGATTCACTTAGGCCAATAGAGTTTTATACCTGACTTACAATGGAAGATGGGGACTCAACCAGCAGGGGAGGGGAAAAAACTGCAGGGTTGGTAACCAGGAGTGCCTTTTCCACCTACCAGTTAGAATCAATGGATAATACAAGAATATGCCCTTTGTTGTAGAATGTAGGCTCACTTTTCATATTCAACTAAAGTCTCCTCTTCCCTGATGTGTGACTGAAGACTTTAAGGCAGATAGGAAACAGTAACTTTGATCTGGATGTTATCTACTGCATCAGCACATTGGGATAGGAAAGCAGTGATCACATTTAATTATATTTTGTAAATCTTTTCCCAAATGACTAGTGCTCTTGTTACCTTTCATAAACGGATGAAATGAACAAATAAATTATAGGACTACTCAGATTCTGTTCCTTGAGAACTGTCACATGCTCCTTGCCACCGAAGGCTGAGGCACAGATAGAGAGCATTGGCTTTAATAGAATTTCAGCCAGACAGCAGACTGACAGGCCTACATGGAGGTTTAAATTAGATATACTTCTTCCGACATGAGGGAGAGTCATTTTGCTGTTCTGACAACACCTTTGCTGCAACTACTTATGTAGAATATACACAATTATTCAAGGAACGTTGGCAGTGATGTTATTCATATTAGATAAAAACCATCTGAGAATGCTAAAATATATCCTATTTTCAGCTACCAATTAAAGACTGTTGCATAATAACTAGGTTCTTGGAACATTTTAAACATTTTAATTTCCATTGTTCATATTAATTAATTTTAAGTTGTAATAAAAATATTTGATGTTCTTGCTCTTTCTTTAGTTGCGGTATTAAGGCCAGCTTGTGGATTGCCTAGACAAAGAAAGGAATATGAGTTTCCAGATAATGTTCATGCTACATGGAAGGTAGAGTAATATTGTATGAAAGTACGAGATTTAATGATAGAAGAGTTGACTTTAACTCTCATCTTTGCCACTTAACTGACTCTTAATCAGGTCAATCAATTATTTTAAAACTGCTTACTCATCTATGAAATGAAGATAATATTATCTACTGTGTAGGCTTATCGTATAAAACACTCAGTGCAGGGCCTGACATATAGTAGGTACTTGGGGATGATAGATATGATTATTTATTAATGGGTTGGAAATAACTCATACATGCTTGCTGCTATTGGGCTAAGTGATCTAAACCTAGACACGTAGGTAGCATTAACATTATTTTTATAGCCATCTAAATAAAAATTTCCCTTTTTTGTTGCATTCTCAGCCCATGCTGCTTTATTGCTAAAAAATATATATACACAGGTGCAGAGTTTCCAACCCTTTTAACAGTTCCTTTTTACATCAAAGAATTAAATTTCTTCTTCCAAGAATTTAGATCAGAGCCCAAAAGAAAAAGCTTTAAATCTCCTGTGATAGTTAATTTATATATTGATATAAATGGTTAATTTATATGTGTCCAGGCTACAGTGCCTAAGACATGTCGTTAAACATTATTAATTTTTTGTAAGGACGTTTTTGGATGAGATTAACATTTAATAGATGATCTTTGTATAAAGTAGATTGTCCTCCATGATGCAGGTGGGCCTCATCTAATCATCTGAATGCCTGAGTAGAACAAAAGACGTACCTCTCCTGAGCAAGAGGAAACACTGCAATAGACTGCTTTCAGGCTTGAGCTGCAGCACTGGCTCTTCCCTGAGTCCCCAACCAAAAATTCTTTGGATTGAACTGCAGCTTTGACTCTTTGATGGATCTCCAGCCTACTGGCCCACTCTGCAGATTTTTGGACTTGCCAGCCTTCATAATCTCATGGACAACTTTCTTAAAGTAAATCTCTTTCTATCTATATACACACGCTATTGGTGCTATTTTTCTGGAAAATCCTGACTAACACACCTTTTCAAGCCACAGAAGTATGTCATTTGTTACACCATGATAGCAGTTAGCAGAAGTGATATCAGCATCACACCCCTTCATAGTAATAGGTGCTGCTGCCACCTGGCATGCAGGTGCACCACTTGCCATTGGGTAAAGGGAAAAGCAAACTCTGTGT
The DNA here is from genome assembly GCF_000001405.40 of Homo sapiens. Lineage (NCBI taxonomy): Eukaryota > Metazoa > Chordata > Mammalia > Primates > Hominidae > Homo > Homo sapiens. The sequence goes on along the minus strand of NC_000007.14, from coordinate 136,455,399 downwards.
GTCTTCTGGAAGAACCACAGTCATAATCTGTAAATTATGACTGTGGTAATTATGATTATTAATGTGAATCTCTCATTCTCTGAAGAAGGACAAATTGGTCTAGCAATGACAGAGGTTGAGTAATTTCCCCAGAATCTTGTATCTCCATTCAGGGATTCATTCTTCCTTTCTTGTCAAAATGCATCATCTAATCTAATCTTTCTAGGTTCTCCATTGCCTCCTGAATCAATATCTCTCTCTGTCTCTCTCTGTCTCTCTATCCTCTCTCTCTCTTTCATCTCTCTCTCTCCCTCTGTGTTTGTGTGTGTTGGGGGTGGGGGCTGTTCTATTTTATTGGCAGGTGTTGTCCCCTCATTTAAATTGTTTTTATAAGGAAGAGATCAACTTATTAGAGGAAAAGACCTATAATTTCTAAAGTAAAATTGTGCCTACATTTTAGCTAATTTGTGGGAATATATCACTTTTGAAAGTGGTTATGGCAGATGAGGAAAAAGTTTATGAAGTCAAATTAAATTACTTTGTTGAAAAGAATAACAAAAGAGAGGATTTTTTTTTTTTTACTTCTTACACCCAAGAAGGGGACTGAGGAACTTACAGTTTATCTAATCCTGGGAGTTTATCTTTTGAACCTAGCCTACCTCAAAAAAAAAAAACAAAAACAAAAAAACCTCATAGTAAAACTGTATATCCTATCCCAGAATGACGGTAATGAACACAATTTAGAGAAAACAAATGCATTGCACTACTGAGACATTGCCACTTAGCTGTACCTTTGAATGGGAAACCATACTCTGGAAATGTAAAAGCTGTGTAATAACCAGGTCATTGCTGTCTTGTAACCTTAGAATTTATCTCTGAGTCTACTGCAAGCTAAACTCTCAGAGAAACAGTAAGCCATATTATTTGGAAATGGACTACTTGTGCTCCATTTTACCTGAAAAGGTGGAAATAGATACTTCATGTGAGACTTTAAAACTTCACTTTGATGCTAAATGCCTATCTCAAAAAGAAAGCTCTCAACTTAACAATCTAACGTCACACCTAGAGGAACTAGAAAAACAAGAAGAAACTAACTCCAAAGCTGGCAGAAGAAAAGAAATAACCAAAATTAGAGCAGAACTGAACCAAATTAAGACACAAAAATCCATATAAAGAATCAATAAAACCAAAGCTGGTTTTTTGAAAAAATAAACAAGATCAATCGACACCGAATTAACAAAGACAGAAGATCCAGATAAGCAAAATCAGAAATGACAAAGGTGACATTACAACCAATCCCACAGAAATACAATAGATCCTCAGAGACTATTATGAACACCTCTATACACACAAACTAGAAAATCTCGAATAAATGGTTCAATTCCTGGAAACATGAACCTCCCCCGCCCCAAATTGAATCAGGAAGAAATTAAAGCCCTGAACAGACCTGTATTTAGTTCCAAAATTGAATCAGTAATAAAACATCTACCAACCAAAAAAAGCCCCAGGCCAGATGGATTCACAGCCAAATTCTATTAGATATACAAAGAAGAGATGCTAACAATTCTGCTGAAACTATATTCCAAAAAAAAATCAAGGAGGAGAGACTCCTCTCTAACTCATTTTACAAAGCCAGCATCACCCTCATACCAAGACCTGCAGAGATACAATGAAAAAAGAAAACTACAGGCCAATATCCCTGATGAACACAGATGTAAAAATCCTCAACAAAATACTAGGAAACTGAATCCAGCAGCACATCAAAAAGTTAATTCACCATAATCCAGTAGGCTTCATTCCTGGGATGCAAGGTTGGTTCAACATAGGCAAATCAATAAATGTGATTTACCACACAAACATAATTAAAAGCAATTTAAAAACAAAAACCACATGGTCATCTCAGTAGACACGGAAAATGTGATTCACCACATATACAGAACTAAAAACAAAAACTGTATGATTATCTCAATAGACATGCAAAAAGCCTTTGATAAAATCCAACATGTCTTTGTGATAAGAATTTCATCAAATTACTCATCAAAGGAACATATGTTGAAATAATAAGAGTCATTAATGTCAAATCCTCAGCCAACATCATACAGAATGGGCAAAAGCTGGAAGTGTTTCCCTTGAGAACTAGAACAGACAAGAATGCCCAATCTCACCATTCCCATCCAACGTAGTACTGGAAACCCTAGCCAGAGAAATCAGACAGGACAAGAAATAAAAAGCATCCAAATAGGAAAAAAGAAGTCAACTACCATTTTTTGCTGACAATGTAATTCTAATACCCAGAAAACCCTAAAGACTCCACCAAAACGCGCTTGGAACTGATAAATGACTTCAGTAGTTTCAGGATAAAAAATTAATATACAAATCCCAGCAGCATTTCTATACACCAATAACATTCAAACAGAGAGCCAAATCAAGAATACAATCTCATCTGCAATAGCCACACAAAAATATATCTGGGAATACATCAAAACAAGGAAGTGAAAGATCTCTACAAGGAGAACTACAAAACACTGATGAAAAAAAAATCATAGATGACATAAACAAATGGAAAAATATTCCATGCTCACGGATTGGAAGAATTAATATTGTTAAAATGGTCCCCAAAGCAATCTACAGATTTAATGCTATTCCCATCAAACTACTGTCATTTTTCACAGAATTAGAAAAAAAACTATTCTAAAATTCATATGGAACCAAAAAAGAGCCCAAATAGCCAAAGGAATCCTAAGCAAAAAGAAAAAGCTGGAGGCATAAAATTACCTGACTTCAAACCACACCATACTACACTCTACACTATACTACACTATACTATACTATACTATACTATACTATACTATACTATACTATACTATACTATACTATACTATACTATACTATACTGTAACCAAAACAGCATGATACTAGTTAAATTAAAAAAAGAAGCAGGGGCCGGGCGCAGTGGCTCACGCCTGTAATCCCAGCATTTTGGAAGGCCGAGGCAGGCAGATCACGAGGTCAGGAGATTGAGACCATCCTGGCTAACATTGTGAAACTCCATCTCTACTAAAAATATAAAAAATTAGCCGGCCGTGGTGGCAGCCGCCTGTAGTCCCACCTACTTGGGAGGCTGAGGGAGGAGAATGGTGTGAACCCGGGAGGTGGAGCTTGCAGTGAGCTGAGATTGCACCATTGCACTCCAGCCTGGGTGACAGAGCGAGACTCCATCTCAAAAAAAAAAAAAAAAAGAAGCAGACATACAGTCTGGGAAACTCACTTGAAGAGAATAGAGAGCTCAGAAATAAAGCTGCACACCTACAACCATCTGATTTTTGACAAAGTCAAAAAAAAAAAAACAAGCAATAAAGAAAGGACTCTCGATTCAATAAATGGTGCTGGGACATCTGCCTATCTATATGCAGAAGAATGAAACTGGACCCTATCTTCCACCACATACAAAAATTAACTCAAGATGGAGTACAGATTTAAATGTAAGACCTCAAACTATTAATATAAGAATCCTAGAAGAAAACCTAGGAAATACCTTTCTGGACATGGACCCTGGTAAAGAGTTTATGACTAAAACCTCAAAAGCAATTGCAACAAAAACAAAAATTGACAAGTGAGGCCTAATTAAATTAAAGAGGTTCTGCACAGCCGAAGAAACAATCAACAAAATAAACAACCTGCGGAATGGGTGAAAATATTTGCAAACTAGGCATCCAAGAAATATCTAATATCCAGAATCTATAATAAACTTAACAAGCAAAAAACAACCCCATTAAAAAGTAGACACATGCACACGTATGTTCATTGCGGCACTATTCACAATAGCAAAGACATGAAATCAACCCAAATGCCCGTCAATGATAAACCGGATAAAGAAAATGTGGTACATGTACACCATAGCATATTATGCAGCCATAAAAAAAAGAATGAGATCACGTCATCTGCAGGGACAGGGATGGAGCTGGAGGCCATTATCCTTAGCAAACTAACACAGGAACAGAAAACCAAATACCACATGTTCTCACCTGTAAGTGGAAGCTAAATGATGAGAACACATGGACACATAGAAGGGAACAACACACACTGGGGCCTTTCAGAGGGAGGAGGGTGGGAAGAGGGAGAGGAACAAGAAAAATAGCTAAAGAGTACTAGGCTTAATACCTGCATGATGAAATAATCTGTACAGCAAACCTGCATGACACAAGTTTACCTATGTAACAAACCTGAACTTGTACCTCTGAACATAAGTGGGCAAAAGGCATTAACAGAAACTTCTCAAAAGAAGACACGTAAGCAGCCAATAAACATATGAAAAAATACCCAAAATCACTAATCACTGGAGAAATGCAAATCAAAACTACAATGAGATACCATCATATACTAGTCAGAGTGACTATTATGAAAAGTAAAAAAGTAACAGATGCTGGTGAGGCCGTGGAGAAAAGGGAATGCTTATACACTGTTGGTAGAAATTTAAATAAGTTTGGCCACTGTGGAAAGCAGTGTGAAAATTTCTCAAACAACTTAGAACTATAGACCTAGCAATTCCATTGCTGGATACATATCCAACAGCAAATAAATTGTTCTACTAAAAAGATACATGAACTTTTACATTCATCGAAGCACTAGTCACAATAGAAAAGACATGGAATCAACTAGGTGCCCATGTATGGCAGACTGGATAAAGAAAATGTGATACATATACCATGGAATACTACGTAGCCATTAAAAAAGAACAAAATCATGTCCTTTGCAGCAACAGGGATGGCGCTTGAGGCCTTTATCCTGTGAGTTAATACAAAAACAGAAAACCAAATACCGCATATTCTCACTTTCAAAAGAGGGCTAAACATTTAAGTACTCATGGACATAAAAATGGCAAAAATAGACACTGGGGAATACGAGTTGGGGGAGGGTGAGCTGCAGCAAGGGTTGAAAAACTAACTGTTGGGTATTATGCTCACTACCTCACTGTGTTATCCATGACGGAATCATTTGTATCCCAAATCTCAGCATCACACAATATACTCATGTAACAACCCTGCACGTGTACCCCCTGCATCTAAAATAACAGTTGAAATTATTGTTAAAAATTCGCTTTTCGAAGTAACTACAGACAAAATTTATTCAAGTTATGGATTTGGGAGGAAATATATTTATGAATATCTGATATGTGTCAGATGTTTAGGCATAAGCATTGAAAGTTGAAAAAAGTGTGAATATTTCTATCCTCAAGTTTTGAGAAAAAGAAAAAAACAAACAAAAACTAGTGGTGGTAGAATTCCAAAGATGTTGCCCCAATAGCCTGTCTTCTGATTATTCAATCAAACTCTGTCTAGGTAGGACTGTTAGAGATTTTTTCAGACGTAATTGAGATTATAGATCATAAAAGAGGGAGCGCATCCTGTGTTATCCAGGTGAGCCCAATCTAATCACTTGACTCCTTACAGCAGAGAACTTTCTCCGACTGGAGTCAGAGAAGAGATGTGGCACAAAACAAAAATGAGTCAGAGAGACTAAAGGGAAATGCAGTCAGCCTCTAAAAGCTGAGAATGGGCGGGGCGCGGTGGCTCACGCCTGTAATCACAGCTCTTTGGGAGGCCGAGGCGGGCGGATCTTGAGGTCAGGAGATCGAGACCATCCTGGCTAACATGGTGAAATCTTGTCTCTACTAAAAAATACAAAAAATTAGCCAGGCACGGTGGCGGGCGCCTGTAGTCCCAGCTACTCGGGAGGCTGAGGCAGGAGAATGGCGTGAACCCAGGAGGCGGAGCTTGCAGTGAGCCGAGATCGCGCCACTGCACTCCAGCCTGGGCGACAGAGCAAGACTCCGTTTCAAAAAAAAAAAAAAAAAAAAAAAAAAAAAAAAGCTGAGAATGACCCCCAGCCAACTTCCAGCAAGACAAGTGGGACTTAAGTCCTATAACCACATAGCAGTAAATTCTGCCAACAGCCTGAATCAGTTTGGAAACAGATTGTCTCCCAAAGCCTCCTGGTAAAAACCCAGGCTGGCCAGAACCTTGATTTGACCTTGGGGAACCTAGAGCAGAGCTCAACTGAGCCACCAGATTCCTGACCTACAGAAGTGTGAGGTAATAAATCTGTGTGGTTTTAAGCTGCTAAATTTGTGATAATTTGTTACAGCAGCAATATAACACGAATCCAGTACTTTTAAAAAATTCCTTATCTTCTTCTGCTTCCTCTATTCCCACCCCATCTAGAGCAGCAAAATCAGTTTTCAGTGGATCCGCAAGAAAGTAAATAGATGCTTTGTAGATGCATCCTACAAATTTAAAGTAGCCAAGAACAAATTTTTCAAATTAGTATTTTTCTTTAAAGTCTAATTGGTAAGAGAAATGAGAATACTTATGTCAAGGAGGTGAGGCTCCAAATTCTCATTCTGCCATTTACTATTTTATATGACTTGGGACATGTCTTTAGCCCCTTATTACATGGTTTCCACATGAGTAAATGAAAAATAGATACTTGCATTACAGTGTCATTGAAAAGATTAAAAACTATTTTTTCAAAGTGTCCCTTATGAAATATTTTAAAATAATTTTAAGATACAAAAGACAAGACTTTATTGCCTAAATTCATTTTGTTATTACAGGGCAATCTGTATTTATTATAAAACAAACTCTTAAAAAACAGTTAAGACAAATATATTTTTAAGAAGGGAAAAGAAACAAAAAGCATAACGACATTCTAGACTAATTTTGGTGAACATACCCTTCCAGACATTCAATTTTTGCACATTGTAATCAACATGTTCATATATAATGTGGCGGGAAAACTTAATGACATTTTCTTCTTTACTTTCACCACTATAAAGATATCAGAAAGAATAAAAATTGTTTCAATTTTTCTTTTCCAGGGAAATAGAAATAGTCTCACAGACTCAGTTTGCCATACCCGGAGCTTCTCTTCCCTCCCTTCCCCGAGAAGAGAGAAACTTCCTTTGACTGTGAAGGGGAAAATCATTTAGATCCCTTTGATGGGATAGGCAGTAGAGGATTAGGCAGAGGAGAATGGCTGCAATGACCTCTCAGAAGGCCTAAATTCAGCCCAACAAAAGTTGATGGCCAAGACAAACCCCAAGGCAATAAGATCAGGCTATATGCCACTTAAATATATATTGTAGTGAAATTTTAAAACAGTGGCATTAAAAAGTCCATGGATATAAGATTTTTGGATGTAAGAACGTCCAAAATATGTAGGAAAAACATTTTACTTGTATAATAGTTTTACCAAAATTCTATAACCTGCTTTTTCACTTGATATCTTAACTTTTTATTACATCATTAAACCGAAAGCTACAAAATAAACTTAAGAGCTACATAATATTACTTTGGATAGATGCTCCATATGTTCTATTAGTAATATATTTTTGGACATATTGGCTAAATCCAAATTTTCATTATTGTAAACAATTTTGCTGTCAGGCTCCTTTATCTTTGCTATAATGAAAGAATAATTCAAAGCAACATGTGCTTTACAAGAATCAAAACCAAAAAGCTGAGAAGCACAATACTGATGAAGATCAAATCTAGGACAACTAATTTGCAACCACTGAAGACAGGGAAGTTTCTATCCAAAGCCTCCTGAAACATATGGTCAATATCTCGCTCTTTGTTACTTAATTTTTGGTGCCCTGCGATTTGGTTTTCTCAAAGAGAGGTGGCCTCTTGAGAACAAGGCAACAAATGCATTGCTTTTCATATTCTCAGGCTTTCTTCTATGTTCAGCAAAGAGTGAATGCATGCAATTTATAGAATGATTTCCACAATTATACTTGTTGTGTTGGCTAAACACATATTAAGGTGAAAGGAGGTTTAAAAAAAATATTGACTAGACATACCTTTAAAAGCTTATTATGACTTGGCTTCTCCAAAAAACAGAAACCCGTGATGGCTCAGTGCTCTTACTGAAATCCAAGATTTGATTTAGGAGCGTGTGTTTAGGTGATTGCAGTTTATCAAGCAGCTGGACTAAGAATACATGTTCTAGAACCAACAAAGACCGTTTACTAGAGTCCGCATGTCTGGGTTTTTGTAATTCTTTTTAACGATTCAATAAATACATGTGATATAATTTGATAGGCTAAATGTTTTGTTTTTATTTACTATCAGTTACCCAGAGGTTGAATGTGTTTAAATACATAAAATTAGGTCTCCAAGCAGAAACCTCAAATACATTTAAATAAGTCTAAACATTGAGCAAACATTTTGAGGGGAGAATCTCATGTATTGAATCTGGGCAAAAGTATCTTGATAAGCCACCAGGTCAAATCAATGAAGTACTTCATTCAAATTGTTCCATGGTCAGATGTGGTTTATTCTCCACTGGCTTGTGTGCTTTCTAATTCAAGTGGCTTGTTAGTGAGGAAACCTCAGAGGGATAGCTGGTGTGTCCTATAGCCTGGCTTCTGGCTTCCCTTTCCCTGAACTCTGTGGGCAAGCAGCCACAGTGAGTTCCCAGTATTGAAGACTTGTTTCTCCTTAGCAGCCAGGAATAAATCTTTAGTGTAGTGTCTAACCTCAACATTATGGAAAGACAAGGGATGCTAAAATGGCTTACAAGTTCCATTTAACTGGGAAGAGGCTGAAGTATCCAGGAGAAAACAAATGTCTCAAAAGCCTAGCCTTGCAAAAACATAGCCCTTTAAAATCATGGCTCCCCAGCAAAACTGTTTACCAAATTTTGCCTATTTTTCACTCTATTAACAGGAGCTCAAATGTCCATTTTCAATCATTCTTTATGCATGTAGAACTGGGGAAAAATCATGATGTTCTCCCTCCCACCCTCAACACATTACAGGTGCACTTTCTATTTCCAAACTGGGGATAGCTTTAAAAGTGAGAAAATACCATAAAAAGAAAGCAATCCAAAATCATGTATACTGCAGGGGATGGGTATTTAACAACTTAAATTCAGTTCCTCTTTCTGGGACATGAAATAGAAAAAGGATCACTGTTCCCTACCCCCAACACACAAACACACACAAACACACACACACACACACACACTTTTTTTACATCTCAAATTTATAAAAACCCCAGAGGATGAAATGAAACTCTTCCTGAGGACACCTCCACAAGTCACTGTGCAGTCACCAGTAGCCTAGAATTCCCTAAATGTGATCTTTCTGATTTGGCTGTCTCTCAAAGAGGCAAATCCAATGAACATTAATGTAATCACTAGCTTTGATGGTAACTGTAATTATGTAGAAATCCAAAAACTCAGTCGTCATTTTAACTGGCTTATCAGGATTAGTGGAGGGAGAGGAAGAAAATATTGCATATATACCTGGAATGTCATTGTCTTGTGTTCATTTTACTTTGACCTCTTATTTAATTTGCTTTTCACATGTGTGTACCTGAATATGACTGGAAACTCAGTGCATTTTGTTAAAATATTCTCTTCTGGTTCTAAATTGAATCGTATAGTGTGGTTAATTTATAATCTTATGAATCTGCATATTGAATAATTGTGCAACAAATAAATAACAAAAAAAATCTGGCCTATTTGATTTTCTGGTCTGTTTCAGCATAAATAAAAAGAACATGGAAAAAAATAGTTGAATCTAAATAGAATCTTAGCCTTCTAGAGGAGGAAATGGCAAAACAGTCAGTGGCCAGAATTAATTTGATGTTAATAAATAACACACATAATGAACTTGAATTCCTATTTTACTTAGAGTAGTTCCAGTTCCATATTAGCTCTCAAGAATGAGATATCTTGTAAGCCTTCGGAAAAAAAAAAAGATTTATTATGTGCTAGATTCTGTTTTATAAATCCTTCAGTGCAAGTGTTACTGCGCATGACAAATGGAAAGACACTATCATTCTTTATATTTTCTTCTTTGTAGATGAAATCTCTCAATCAAACAAAAATAAAAGACCTGCCCTTGAGAGTAGAGTCTAAAACATAGTCTTTGGAATCAGTGGAATGCATCACAAATTCTGTGCTGTTCTGATGAAGTTATGTATCCAGAACTGCTTCTTCAGGAAGCCAAGTCAACATTAGGGATGACAATTCTGGTGTTTCAAAAGAGTTCGTAATGGAATCATTTTGCCCTAGAGATCATTTGGTAAGAGGAAAGCTCTAATTTCAAACAAATAAACTACAAAATGATTTAACTTATGCTCAGACCATAACTAACACCATCATTCAGAAACCAACAGTATACTCTACCATGCCCTGAATTAAATCATTTGTAGTGTAGATTTAACCACTCAACACAAATTCATTAACAGTTTTGCAAATGCTACATTTCCATTTCACCCAAAGAAGGTAATCCACTTAAAAAATGTTAATGGTGAAGACAAATGTATTTCATTTCTGCTATTCAATATTATTGGTTCAAAATGTTAGATGTAGTTCAAAGAGTATTTGTTGTCAGTCATACAATCCAAGTTCAGGTGTCAATGTAGCATTCTTACATATCTGATTTTCTAGCTCACGGGCTAGAGGTCGGGTTGGTTATTCCATAGTGGGCAGGTATAGGCAAAACCTACCCCTAAAGGCCTTGGCTGAGAGGTGAAAGAAAGAGGCTGACAAGTTTATTTTTTCAGGAAGAAACATTTAATAGGGACTTAAGAATAGAAACCATTTCTCAGTGGCCAAGAGACATTGGATCCTTGAACCTGCCTTCCAGAAAGTGTCCTTTATATAGCAAGCTTTTGGGGTAAAACATGTGCAGCTGGGCATGCCTCTGACTTTCTTGCAAAACTTGTGGCTACTGGGGAGGTGAGATAAGCATCTTTCTGAAGGGTTATCTATGCTACAGGCATTGTTTCTTAACCTGGCTGCGGAATGTCTTGGGATGCAGAGGTCAAGCATCAGTCATTTTGGCAGGTTTGATTGAAGATGACGTTACTGTTGCAATACGACAGACTATTTTTCTACATCAGTGAGTGAAAATAAAAATCTTTTTGCAGTTTTATATGTAGACATGAGATTGACCTACCCTACTTCCCAGTTCAGGAATCATAGCTATATATAAAACTACCAGAGTGCTTTAGCATATCAGATATTGTGTTATTTCCACGAATTACCACATCTGTGAATTTTCACAAGAATTATCTGAACTAGGCATTAGCATCTGCATTTTGGTAGATGAGAAAACTTGGATGTAAAAAAAATAAGTAATTTAAAATAATAAGGAGATACCACTAACCCTAGTAAAATGGCTAAAATTCAGAACACTGACAACACTAAATGCTGGTGAAAATGTGGAGCAGCAGGAACTCTCAATCGTTGCTAGTGGGAATGCAAAATGGTACAGCCACTTTGGGAAATAGCATGGCAGTTTCTTACAAAACTTACCATACTTTTATCATACAATCCAGCAATTTTAGTCCTTGGTATTTACCCAAAGGAAAAATTATGCCCACACAAAAACCTGCACACAGAGTTTTATGGCAGTTTTATTCATAATTGCCACAACTTAGAAGCAACCAAGAGGTCCTTCAGTAGGTAGATAAATAAACAGTGGTAAATCTGGAAAATGAAATATTATTCAGTGTTAAAAAGAAATAAGCAGTCAGCAGTATCTTGTAGTTTACCTTGTAGAGGTTTTTCACCTTCTCGGTTAGGGCTATTCCTAGTTTTTTAAATTTGTTTGTTTTTTGCAGCTATGGTAAAAGGGGTTGAGCTCATGATTTGATTCTCAGTTTGGTTACTGTTGGTGTATAGCAGAGCTACTGATTTGTGTACCTTAATTTTGTATTCTAAAACTTTGCTGAATTCATTTGTCAGTTCTAGGAGCTTTTTTGAGGAGTATTGAGGGCTTTCTAGGCATACAATCATATCATCAGCAAACAGCAACAGTTGACTTCCTATTTACCGATTTGAATGCGCTTTATTTCTCTCTTGTCTGCTTGCTCTAGCAAGGATGTCCAGTCCTATGTTGAAAAGAAGTGGTGAGAGTGGATATCCTTGTCTTGTTCCAGTTCTCAATGGGGAATGCTTTCAACTTTTCCCTGTTCAATATTATGTTGGCTGTGCATTTGTCATAGATGGCTTTTATTACATTAAGATACGTCTCTTCTATGCGGATTTTGCTGAGGGCTTTAATCATAAAACATATGCTGGATTTTGTCAAATGCTTTTTCTGCATCTATTGAGATGATCATGTGATTTTTATTTTTAGTTCTGCTTATGTGGTGTGTCACATTTATTGAGTTGCATATGTTAAACCATCCCTGCACCCCTGGTATGAAACCCACTTGATCATGATGGATTATCTTTTTGATATGCTGTTGGATTCAGTTAGCTAATATTTTGTTAAGAATTTTTGCATCTATATCCACCAGGGATATTGGTCTGTACTTTTCTTTTCTTGTTATGTCCTTCCCTGATTTTGGTATTTGGGTGATACTGGCTTCATAGATTGATTTAGGGAGAATTGCCTCTTTCTCTGTCTTGTGGAATAGTAGGATTGGTACCAATCAATAGGATAGGTACCAATTATTCTTTGAATGTCTGATAGAATTCAGCTGTGAATCCATCTTGTTCTGAACTTTTTGTTTTTTCTTTTTGAGACAGAGTCTCACTCTGTCGCCCAGGCTGAAGTGCAGTGGCATGATCTCGGCTCACTGCAATGTCCATCTCCCGGGTTCAAGTAATTCTCCTGCCTCAGCCTCCTGAGTAGCTGTGATTATAGGCATGCGCCACCACATCCAGCTAATTTTTGTATGTTTTAGTAGAGACAGGGTCTCACCATGTTGGCCAGGCTGGTCTCAAACTCCTGACCTCAGGTGATCCACCTGCCTCAGCCTCCCAAAGTGTTGGGATTACAAGCGTGAGCCACCATGCCCCACCTCTGAATTTTTTTTTGTTGACAATTTTTGTATTACCATTTCAGTCTTGCTGCTTGTTATTGGTCTGTTCAAAGTTTGTATTTCTTCCTGTTTAATCTAGGAGGGTTGTGTATTTCCAGGAATTTATCTCCTCTAGGTTTTCTAGTTTATGCGTGTAAAGGTGTTCATAGTAGCTTTGCACAAACAAATGGAAACACATCCCATGCTCACGAATGGGTAGAATCAATACTGTGAAAATGACAAACTGCCAAAAGCAGTCTACAAATTCAATGCAATTCCCATCAAAATACCACCATCATTCTTCACTCAACTAGTACAAAACAATCCTAAAATTCATATGGAACCAAAAAAGGGACCACAAAGCCAAGCAAAAAGAACAAATCTGGAGGCGTCACATTACCTGACCTCAAACTATACTATACGGACATAGTCACCAGAACAGCATGGTACTAGTATAAAGATAGGCACATAGACAAATGAAACAGAATAGAGAACCCAGAAATAAAGTTACAGTCAACTGATCATCAACAAAGCAAACAAAAACATAAAGTGCAAAAGGACACCCTATTCAACAAGTGGTGCTGGAATAATTGTCAAGCCACATGTAGAAGAATGAAACTGGATGCTCATCTCTCACCTTATATAGAAATCAACTCAAGACGGATCAAATACTTAAATTTAAGATGTGAAACTATACAAATTCTAGAAGATAACTTCAGAAAAACTCTTCTAGACATTGGTTTAGACAAGCACTTCATGACCAGGAACCCAAAAGCAAATGCAACAAAAACAAAGATAAAAATATGGGACTGAATTAAACTAAAAAGCTTCTGCAAGAAAAAGAAACAATCAGCAGAGTAAACAGACAACCCACAGAGTGAGAGAAAATCTTTGCAATCTATACATGCAACAAAGGACTAATATCCAGAATCTACAAGGAACTCAAACAAATCAGAAAAAAAAATCCCATCAAAAAGTGGGCTATGGACATGAATAGACAATTCTCAAAAGAAAATATACAAATGGCCAACAAACATGAAAAAATGCTCAACATCACCAATGATCAGGGAAATGCAAATCAAACTCACAATGTGATATTACCTTACTCCTGCAAGAATGGCCATAATCAAAAAATCAAAAAAAAAAATAAATAAACATTGGTGGGGATGTGGTAAAAAGGGAACACCTTTAAACTGCTGGTGGGAGTGTAAACTAGTGCAGACACTTTGGTAAACAGTGTGGAGATTCCTTAAAGAACTAAAAGTAGAACTACCATTTGCTCCAGCAATCCCACTACAGGATATCTCCCCAGAGGAAAAGAAGTCATTATACAAAAAAGATACTTGCACATGCGTGTTTGTATTATAGCAGAACAATTCGCAATTGTAAAAATATGGAACCAGCCCAAATGGCCATCAATCAATGAGTAGATAGATAAAGGAATTGTGATATATATATATATATATATATATACACACACACACACACACACACACACACACACACATATATACATACATACCATGGAATACTACTCAGCTATAAGAAGGAATGAAATAATGGAATTTGCAGCAACCTGGATGGAATTGGAGACCATTATTCTAAGTGAAGTAACTCAGGAATGGAAAACCAAACATCAGATGTTCTCACTCACAAGTGGGAGCTAAGATGTGAGGATGCAAAGGCATAAGAATGATACAATAGACTTTGGGGACTCAGGGGAAATGGTGGGAGAAGGGTGAGGGATAAAAGACTACACAGTGTATAGTGTACACTGCTCAGGTGATGGGTGCATAAAAATCTCAGAAATCACCGCTAGAAAACTTATTCATGTAACCAAACACCAACTGTTCCCCCCAAAGCTATTGAAATTAAAAACAAATTTTTTTAAAAAAGGAAGAAAGAAGCTGTCGAACTATGACAAGACATGGAGGAAGCTTAAATGCATATTACTAAATAAAAGAAGACAATCTGAAAAGGCTACACACTGTATGAATCCAACTATATGACATTATGAAAAAGGCAAAAATACAGAGACAGTAAAAAATAAATGGTTGCCAGGAGACAGAGAAGAGGGAGGGATAAATGGGTGGAGCACAGAGGACTTTTAGAACAGTCAAAGTATTCTGTATGATACTATGATGGTGTAATGGTAGATACATATCATTATACGTTTATCCAAACTGATAGGATGTATAATATGAAGGGTGAACCTAATGCCAGCAATGGACTTTGGGTGATAATGATGTGTGGGTTCATCTGTTGTAGAAAAAAAGACTGCTTTGATGGGAAATGTTAATAATTGGAGAGGCTATTGATGTGTGGGGTGAGGGAGTATTTGGGAAATCTCTGTGTCTTCCTCTTAATTTTGCTGTCAACCTAAAACTGCTCTTAAAATTCTTAATTTAAAAAAGAATAAAAAAGAAGTAAGCCATTTAAGTAAGTGGCAAACTCGTAAGTGGTAGCCTCAGTTTTTTCTGACTTAAAAGTCATCTTACTTTATTTTCAACATTTTTTATAAAGTGGTGTTGTTTTAACTTTTTCCCTGGTTTAAGCAAGTTTTTGAGAACCTAGTAAACTATAAGTAAGTTCTTAAAGAGTGTGAGTTACAGAAAGAACAGAGCAGAATCAGACCCCAAAACACCAAATTTATTGTAATTTTCAAGTACCAACAATATTTTTTTGAAAGGTTGAATATGTTTAAGTAAATGAAATAGGCAATCAAAAGTACCTGTACACCATGGAATACTATGCAGCCATAAAAAGGAATGAGATCATGTCCTTTGCAGGGCCATGAATGGATCTAGAATCCATTATCCTCAGCAAACTAATGCAGAAATAGAAAACCAAACACCATATGTTCTCACTTTTATGTGGGAACTGAACAATAAGAACACATGCACACGGGGAAGGAAATAACACATCCTGGGACCTGTTGGGGGGTAGAGTGGGGGGAGGGAGAGCATTAGGAAAAATAGGTAATGCATTCTGGGCTTAATACCTAGATGATGGGTTGATAGATGTAGCAAACCACCATGGCACACATTTACAAAAGCAACAAACCTGCACATCCTGCACATGTACCCTGGAACTTAAAATAAAGATTAAAAAAAAAATACAAGCCAGTAATAGAGAGCTGAAAGCATAAAAGTTTATGTTTGCTTTTTATTTTTCCACTTTGGTCTACAGTGGTTTTACTTTTATCTCTGTTCAAAGCCTGACATCAAGAAAAATGATTTTCCCTTTCTCAGCTTCACTTTATTAAAAATCAAAATCTTCAAATATATAAGTAAAAAAATATATAATACATTTTCATTTATCCATCAACAACATTCAGCAGTGGTCAAATTATAGCTACTCTTGCCTATCAATATCCACTCTTTCCACTTCTTCACTCTCCCTACAGGATTACTTTTATGTAAATTCTAGACATCATTTTAGTTCATCTGCAAATATTTCTGTATTTACCTCTAAAGGCATTCTTTAACAACGTATAACCACGATATCATTACCACACTTAAAAACTATTTCTATTTTCTTCAAATGTCTCATGCTACTTTACAATTTGTTTTCTTAAGGATCCAAATAAGATCCATACATTAAAGTTGTTTTTATGTCCCTTAAGTCTGTTTTTATCTATAGATTGCTCCTTTATCTCCCACCCGCCAATACACACCTTCTGTAATATATTTATTGCAGCAACTGGATCACTTATCCTATATAGTTTATAATAAACTAAATTTTACTGATTGCCTTTTTATGGTGTCATTCAACATGCTCCTGTATCTCCTGTAAATATTGCAAATTGGTTGTTAGAGCTAAAGGCTGATCTAATTGGTAATTAGATCCAAAGTTTGATTTTTTTTTCTGGCAGTAATATTTTATAGGTGGTATCATATACTTCTATGAAGAGGCGTGTCTGTTTGTCTCTCATTTTTTATGTTAGCAACAATTGATAACAACTGGCTAGATTCATTATTTCATTAGGGGTTGCAAAAATGGTAACATTTCAATTCTATCATTCTTTCTTCATTCTTTGGCTAAAGGTATCTTTAAAAAGGATTTTCTGTCATCAACATTTGGTTATCCTTAGACATAATCCATAAAGGAAAAACAGGATAAATGCTCAATTCTTCTCTTTAATTCAAAACTGTACATTCTTATGGATCCCTAACATTCTTCAAAGCTGTCCAATGACAACATTATTTTTAAATTAACATTATTAGGAACAGATAGATTTAAGCATATTTGAGGCATTTTAATCTACTGCCTTTGATTTTCTTATTGATTCTCAAATTTTTACCTTTGGCCAATGGTAACCTCTTCAGGGTGACTCCTCTGAGTCTCTTTGATGCATCCTAATAGTCTTTCAAATCTGCCTTGCTTTTTAGTAAGAGAATTTGATATTCCAGGCCCATCTTGTACAATATTCAAACCCCAAGCTGGAATTAGATACTTGTTTGCAATGAACTTCAACTCCTTTTAGGGGAAATGTCTACAGAGCACATCTGAGTTACATTTCCTCTTGATATTGAGTTTTATGTTGTTTCTATATACTTTTAAGTGATTAGAACTAGGAAACTATTTTTTTCTTTTTGTTGGGAAAATGCTTCATGACTTCATACTGATACTTTAACTTCAAACTCATATTAATGGGTTTTCATTTATTTTCTTCTACTTGCTATTATATCTTCTTTACCCCATGGGACAAATCCCATTTACAATAATGTCAACAAGCTTACTAACTTGCTTGATCTTAAAATATGTACACACCTGTCTCACAATAACAATTCAATTGCAAAAAAATATAATTTTAAAACAGTTCAATATATATTTTTGCATGTTTTTTTGTCCTTAGGATATCTTATAAAGGTTGTATAGTCAAATATCTGTGTTTGAGTAACTGACACAATTCATCTCTGTGTGATTATAATGCAAACTTAATATATTTATATTTATATTTCACCTCTTTTATCAAACTTTTCTGTTATGGGTATTGGTGTTTTAAAATTTAATTTTAAATAATGATATAATTATGTAAAATATCAAATGTTACCAGGGTCAAACCTAAAACAGGTATATTCAAATAAAATGTAGCTTTTGTTTCTATAACCTTTTCCCCATTGCATTCCTCCTCCAGAAGCAATTGTTTTCTATTATAGTTTTGTTTTGCTTTTAGTTTTTGGTTTATTTTTTCATTTTTTAAAGATAAGTCAATACATTACAGTATATTAAAAATTATCACTAATTACATCATTTGCAGTTCCTCCCATCGAAGGTGAATAATCTATATCTTTACCCCTTTAAATGAAGCTGGCATTGTGGGATTCTTTTATCAACAGAATGCAGCAGAAGTAACATTGTGGTATTTCTAAGTCTTTGCCTCAGAAGACCTTGCAGCTTTTGCTTTTATTGGAACCTGAGGCAACAATGAAAAACCGTGTGGAGAGAGATCCAGCTGTCCCACGTCTTCTAGGCATTCCAGGTGGGGCTCATCCATGTGAGTGAAGCCAGGATGTTAGATATCAATAGCCATAGGACTCTGCACAGATAAGAACAGGAGACAAACCACCCAGTCAACCCACAGTCACATTAAATTAATAAATCATTCTTTTAAGACACTAAATTTGGAAGTATTTATGTTTTATAAAGCAATGTATAATCCTCAATATATTATACTCACTTAACTTCATAATTTTAAAAAATTTTTTACTATTGTCTGAATATTACTTGATAACAATATATAGAAATATGCATCATTCTTTTATAAAGCTGCACAATACGTCATCATGGGCTTCCCACACTAGGAAACTTTCCTTTACTGATGGCACTTGGTCTGTTTCCATTCTTTCACCAGTACAATAATGGTTCAGAGAAAAGAGTTGTGCATATGTCTTTTTTACATTTTTTTAACATGGCTATTTTGATAAAGAATAAAATAGAACTTATAGAAATAAGACACAAACCAATTAAAATTAAAAATTGCTATGACTTAAGTAAACGCTTTTGAAGACAGACTGGTAAATTGAGATATAAATCTGTAAAATTATCCAGAATGCAGCAAAGAGCCAAAAAAAATGGAAAAGAAGAAAGAAAGGACAAAAAATAGGTTAAAAAGTGACATTGGTGATGGGAGTTAAAGAAGGAGATAAGAATAGGGGGAAAAACAGTATTTGAAGAGTTTGTGCCTGAAAATATTTAAAACTGATGAAAGATAGAAATTATAGGAGTTAGTACACAAATACTTGTAGTTAAATTAAAAGAAGTCCTTGCTAGGTACGTTATAATAGAATTGTAGACACCAAAAACAAAGAAGATCTTTAAAAAGGCTGAAAGAAAAGAAGATTACCTACAAAAGAACCAAATTTATCCTGACAGCTGCCTTCCCAATAGCAATACTGGAAACTAGAAGCAAAGTGAATAATGTATTCAAAGAGATGGCAAAAAATAACTGTCAAGCTAAAACTGTACACCCAGAAAAAACTGTCCTTCCAAAGTGAAGGCAAAATAAAAATATTTTCAAGTAAAAAAGAAATCCTGAGAAATTTTACCACCAACAGACTCTCATGAATAAAGTCTAAAAAATGTACTTTGAGAAAAGAGAAAATGATCCAGAGAAACGGTCTAATGTAAAAGGGGCAATGACAAGCAAAAAATAAGTGTAAACATGTAAGTAAGTATGTCAATATGAATGTGTATAAAAATAATAGTAACAAAATTTGTAGGACTATAAAAACAAAATCATACTAAAATAGCAGAGAAAAATAGAATGATATTTGTGAAATTGCTTTTTTAAGTTAAAGCCTTCTAAACTAATTGTTTTGATAAAAAGAAGGGTAAAGATATTGATTAGTTTTAGAATTAACTGTGCATATTAAAAGGAGTAGTAACTAAAAGCATAAAACAAAATACATAGCATGAAAATAGAATACATAATTTTCAAATAGCTAGAAAAATGGAATCAAAGCAACTATTTAATCTCAAACAATAAAGAGGAAAAATGAAACAGAAAATGTAGTACAAATAGAGTCCAAAGAAGATAAGATAAAATTAAGGAGCCTAAATAATTCAAATGAATTAAGCTTACAAATTAAAAGAAAAACATATTCCAAAAACTTAAATTTCTGTCTCTATGTTGCTTAAAAAAAGACACATATACATTATAAAAACAGAAAAAGCTAAAAACTAAAGACTGAGAAATTATATAAGAGGTGAATACTAACGAAAGTGAAGCTATTGTTGCTTCTAGATAAATTAAAACTAGGGCAAAAGGCATTAATGAAGAATGCAATTTACTAAAATGATATATTAAAATCTTTTGGCACAAAATAATATTGCTTCAAGATCCATAATGAGAAAGTTGAAAGAAGTATGTAGCAAAATTGATAAATTCACCACCATAATGAATCTCACTAATTAGTACATCAATCAAATAAAAAAGAGATCAGCTGAGACAGAAAAGATCTGAACCACAAAATTAACAAGCATGGTCAATGGACTTCTACAGAATCATGTACACAACATTAAAAAATATATTCTTCTGCATAAAGGGAATTTTTTTATATACTTTAAGTTCTGGGATACATGGGCAGAACATGCAGGTTTGTTACATAGGTATACATGTGCCATGGTGGTTTGCTGCACCCATCAAGCCGTCATCTACATTAGGTATTTCTCCTAATGCTATCCCTTCTCTAGCCCTCCAACCTCTGACAGGCCCCAGTATATGACATTCCCCTCCATGTGTCCATGTGTACTCATTGTTCAACTACCACTTATGAGTGAGAACATGCAGTGTTTCGTTTTCTGTTCCTGTGTTAGTTTGCTGAGAATGATGGTTTCCAGCTTCATCCATGTCCCTGCAAAGGAAATGAACTCATCCTTTTTTATGGCTGCCTAGTGTTCCATGGTGTTTATGTGCCACATTTTCTTTATCCAGTCTATCATTGATAGACATTTGGGTTGGTTTCAAGTCTTTGCTATTGTGAATACTGCTGCAATAAACATATATGTGCATGGGACTTTATAGTAGAATGGTTTATAATCTTTTCGGTGTATAACCAATAATGGGATTGCTGGGTCAAATGATATTTCTAGTTCTAGATCCTTGAGGAATTGCCACACTGCCTTCCACAATAGTTGAACTAATTTGCAGTCCCACCAACAGTGTAAAAGCATTCCTATTTCTCCACATCCTCTCCAGCATCTGTTGTTTCTTGACTTTTTAATGATCACCATTCTAAGTGGCATGAGATGGCATCTCATTATGGTTTCAATTTCCATTTCTCTAATGACTAGTGATGATGAGCTTTTTTTCATATGTTTTTTGGCCACATAAATGTCTTCTTTTGAAAAATGTCTGTTCATATCCTCTGCCCACTTTTTGATGGGGTTGTTTGTTTCTTGTAAATTTGTTTAAGTTCCTTGTAGATTCTGGATATTAGCCCTTTGTCAGATGAGTAGATTGAAAAAATTTTCTCCCATTCTGTAGGTTGCCTGTTCACTCTGATGATAGTTTTTTTTTGCTGTGCAGAAGCTCTTTAGTTTAATTACATCCCATCTGTCAATTTTGGCTTTTGTTGCCATTGCTTTTGGTGTTTTAGTCATGAAGTCTTTGCCCATGCCTATGTCCTGAATGGTATTTCCTAGGTTTTCTTCTAGGGTTTTTATGGTTTTAGATCTTACGTTTAAGTCTTTAATCCATCGTGAGTTAATTTATGTATAAGGTGTAAGAAAGGGGTTCAGTTTTAGTTTTCTGCATATGGCTAGCCAGTTTTCCCAACACCATGTATTAAATAGGGAATCCTTTCCCCATTGCTTGTTTTTGCCAGGTTTGTCAAAGATCAGATGGTTGTAGATGTGTGGCATTATTTCTGAGGCCTCTGTTCTGTTCCATTGGTCTATGTATCTGTTTGGGTTCCAGTACCATGCTGTTTTGGTTACTGTAGCCTGTAGTATAGTTTGAAGACAGGTAGTGTGATACCTCCAGCTTTGTTCTTTTTGCTTAGTATTGTCTTGGCTACACGTGCTCTTTTTTGGTGCCATATGAAGTTTAAAGTAGTTTTTTTCTAATTCGGTGAAGAAAGTCAATGGTAGCTTGATGGGGATAGCATTGAATCTATAAATTACTTTGGGTAGTAAGGCCATTTTCACAATATTGATTATTCCTATCCATGAGCATGGAATGTTTTTCCATTTGTTTGTGTCCTCTCTTATTTTCTTGAGCAGTGGTTTATAGTTCTTCTTGAAGAGGTCCTTCCCATCCCTTGTAAGTTGTATTCTTAGGTATTTTGTTCTCTTTGTAGCAATTGTGAATGGGAGTACACTCATGATTTGGCTCTCTGTCTATTATTGGTGTATAGGAATGCTTGTGATTTTTGCACAATGATTTTGTATCCTGAGACTTTGCTGAAGTTAGTTATCAGCCTAAGGAGATTTTGGAATGAGACGATGGGGTTTCCTAAATATACAATCATGTCATCTGCAAACAGACAATTTGACTTCCTCTCTTACTATTTGAATACCCTTTATGTCTTTCTCTTGCCTAAATGCTATGGCCAGAACATCCAATACTATTTTGAATAGGAGTGGTGAGAGAAGGGATCCTTGTCTTGTGCCAGTTTTCAAAGGGAACGCTTCCAGCTTTTGCCCATTCAGTATGATATTGGCTGTGGGTTTGTCATAAATAGCTCTTATTATTTTGAGATACATTCCATCAATACCTAGTTTATTTAGTGTTTTTAGCATGAAGGGGTATTTCCTGCATTTCCTAAATTTGAATGTTGGCCTGTCTTGCTAGGTTGGGGACATTGTTTTCCAAGTTGGTTCCATTCTGCCCATCACTTTCAGATACACCAATCAAATGTAGGTTTGGTCTTTTCACATATTCCCATATTTCTTGGAGGCTTTGTTTGTTCCTTTTCATTCTTTCTTCTCTAATCTTGTCTTCACGCTTTATTTCATTAAGTTGATCTTCAATTTCTGATATCAAGTGGAAGCACTTGATCAATTCAGCTATTGATACTTGTGTATGCTTCATGAATTTCTTGTGCTGTGTTTTTCAGCCCCATCAAGTCATTTATATTCTTCTCTAAACTGCTTATTCTAGTTAGCAGTTACTGTAACCTTTTATCAAGGTTCTTAGCTTCCTCACATTGGGTTAGAACATGCCCCTCTAGCTCAGAGAAGTTTGTTATTACCCACCTTCTGAAGCCTACTTCTGTCAATTCGTCAAACTCATTCTCCGTCCAGTTTTGTTCCCTTGTTGGCGAGGAGTTGTGATCTTTTGTAGAAGAGATATTCTGATTTTTGGAATTTTCAGTCTTATTGTTCTGGTTTTTCCTCATCTTCCTGAGATAAATCTACCTTTGATCTTTAATGTTGGTGACCCTCAGCTGGGGTTTTTGTGTGGACTTCCTTTTTGTTGATGTTGATGCTATTCCTTCCTGTTTGTTAGTTTTCCTTCTAACAGTCAGGTCTGCAGGTCTGTTGGAGTTTGTGGGAGGTCCACTTCAGACCCTGTTTGCCTAGGTATCACCAGCAGAAGCTGCAGAACAGCAAAGATTGCTGCCTGCTCCCTCCTCTGGAAGCTTCATCCCAGAGGGGCACCCGCCAGATGCCCACTGGAGCTCTCCCGTATGAGGTGTCTGTTGACCCTTGCTCAAGGTGTCTCCCAGTCAGGAGGCACTGGGGTCTGGGACCCACTTGAGGAGGCAGTCTGTCCCTTAGCAGAGATCGAGTGCTGTGCTGAGAGATCTGCTGTTCTCTTCAGAGCCAGCAAGCAGGAACATTTAAGTCTGCTGAAGCTGTGCCCACAGCCACCCCTTCCCTCAGGTGCTCTGTCCCAGGGAGATGGGAGTTTTATCTATAAGCTCCTGACTGAGGCTGCTGCCTTTCTTTCAGAGATGACCTGCCCAGAGAGGAGGAATCTAGAGAGGCAGTCTGGCTCGCTTCTGCATAAAGGGAAATTTATGGAAATTGCCCATATACTAAGCCATGAAACAAATGATACGCATACCTACAGCAACAGAACTGAAAAAAAAAAATAGGCCATGTTTTCTAAGCACAATGCAACCACTTATAATATAACAAAAAAAAACACAAAACCCTAGGTTTCCTAAATTACACTTAAAAAAAAAAACACTTCACGGAAGAAATTATAATGAAAACTAGAAAGTACTTAAAAGGGAATAAAAATAAAAATACCGTATACTAAAAATTCATTAACATAGTTAAAGTTGTCTTCTCGGACTTTTGGCTAAGATCAAGTGTAAAATAAAAATTTAGTTTTCAAGCTTATATTTGAAAACTTAAAAAACTAAAAAATGATGAGGTATGCATCCAATTTAAAAAGTCAAAGTAACAGAATAATCCCAAATCAGGGGAGATAAGGGATTTTTTTTAAATAACAGGAATTAATGAGATAGATAAAAACACACAGGACAACAGAAAGGCTTGATAAAGTGAAAAGTTTGTTCTTTGAAACAAATTATCTCTGGCAAGATGAACTGGGTGAAAAAAATAATAAAAGGCACAAATAAACAATACTAGAAATTAACAACAAATTAACTAGAGATACACACAGCAGAGATTATAGATGTATGTGTGTGAGTGTGTACGTGTGTGTATGTGCATGAAATAAGCAAGTACTTTTGCCAAAAATTTTTAAATGTTAGATAAAATGGGAAAATTCCTAGAAAAAATATAACTTAACAAAGCTGAAGAGAAACTGCAAATCAAAATGGTCCATAAACATCAAAGATATGAATCAGGAATTAATGTTTTCACAAATAAAAGATCAGGTCCAGATAATTTTATTGAATTACCAAGAAACAATTCTAACTGTATATAAATCTTTCCAGAAAACAGAAGTAGAGGAGATGCACTCAAAGGAATTTTAGGAAGGAGGTATAAAATTTTTCCCAAAATTAAATATGGAAAACAGGATATTTACTTATGAACATAGATACAGAAGTGTGTGTGTGTGTGTGTGTGTATGTGTGTATGTGCACACACGTGTGACCAACTGTGCATTAATTTCAGGAATGAAATGTTAATGTGAGAAAAACAGATTAATTTAAATCACCACTTTAGCAAGTTAAAGATGACAAAGTGGTACAGCATAAAGAGAATATTTAATAACACTGTATACTGAAAGTTTGCTAAGAGAATAGACTTTATGTGCTCTTACCACACACACAAAAAGGGTAATTATGCAAGGCAATGAATAGGTTAATTTGCTTCACGGTAGTGTAATAATTTCATTATGTATATGTATATCAAAACATCATGTGATATACCTTAAATATATACAAAAATAAAATAAAGATGACAAGATGATTCATCGAGAAGATGCAGAAAGTGGCCAGGTGCAGTGGCTCACACCTGTAATCCTAGCACTTTGGGAAGCCAAGGTGGGTGGATCATTGAGTTTGAGACAAGCCTGACCAACATGGCAAAACCTCCCCTCTACTAAAAATACAAAAAAATTAGCCGGACATGGTGGCAGGTGCCTGTAATCCCAGCTACTTATGAGGCTGAGGCAGGTAAATCACTTGAACCCAGGAGACAGAGGTTGCAGTGAGCCAAGATCATGCCGCTGCACTCCAGCCTGGGCAAAAGAGTGAGACTCTGTCTCAAAAAAAAAAAAAAAAAAAAAAAAAAGAAAGAAAAGAAAAGAAAAGATGCAGAAAGAGGGTTCAACAGTATTTTACACCTACTTACCTACTTATAATTAAATTATAATATAATTAAATATAATTTCCCACCTATTTATACCCAAAAGATACCTCTTGGTAAACTAATAATAGGAAAAAATTTATTTTCCCTTTTGCAGGTAATCTACCACAGCTTTACATCAGTCAACAAACTTTCTCTAAATCAGGAAGAAGTAAGGACTCCAGCTGTTACAGCCCCTTTTCAACACTGTACCTGAGGCCACAGCCAGAATGGTCAGGATTGAAAAACAAAGAAGCAAAAGCAACTACTGGTCTCAGAAGTCCACTTAGAAAGCAAACAGAATCTGTACCCAAGTTATTGGAATTAGCAGTAGAGTTTAGCGGAGCTACAAGACAAAAATTCAATGTACAAATAGTGATTGCATTTCTGTCATGATTATCCTAGTCCATTAGTACTGCTATAACAGAATACCTTAGACTGGGTAATTTACAAATAACAGGACTTTATTGCTCACAGTTCTGGAGGCCAGGAAGTCCACCATCAAGTTTTTGGCAGATTTTGTGTCTAGTAAGGGCTTGCTCTCTGGTGCCTTCTTGCTGAGTTCTCACATAGCAGAACAGAGGAGGGAGGCAGCTAGCTCTCTGAAACCTTTTATAAGGGCATAAATCCCATTCATAAGAATGGAGCCCTCACGACCTAATCACCTCCCAGAAGTCACACTTTCTAATACCATCACTTTGATGATTAGGTTTCAACATATGAATTTTGAAGGGATGCACACATTCAAACCATAGCAATAGGAATACAGAGTTAGAAAATATTCAAACTAATAACAAAATATAACATTTGTAGTACATATCTAAAAAAATGACATTTAGGGAGAAAATGATAAATGTTTTTAAAATATCAAACAAGAAAAGGAGATACTATGTTCATAGATAGGAAAATTTAGTATTGTAATGTTAAATTTTTCAAATTAATTTTAAAAATCAATGTAATTCTAGTTAAATTACAGCAGAGTATGACATTGACAAGAATGACATTGAAAGCAAACAAAAGAAACAGAACTGAGAACCTAAAAATATGTCGGGAAACTTGACATACAACAGAGTTGACATTGTAAATCAGTAGAGGAATTCGAGATAATTTAACAAATGATACTGATACACTTGATCATCCCCATGGAAAAACAAATTGGATCAAATCTTTCGTGACACAAAAGTCAATTCCAGGTGGAATAAAAATTTAAATTTGAGATGGCATTTTAAATGTTTCATATGGTTGATTAAAAATGATTATGTGGGGAGTTGAAAATGTGTAAATTTAACAATTATAATTCTGATGTTATGGTCTACAATAATTGTTGCATATGTGTACCAGGAAATACATAAGATAATGTTTATACCAGTATTGTCTATAATTATACAAAATAAAAACATTCTAAATGTTCTTTACCAGGAGCACAGATAAATAAATAATATGTGAATGTGTGTTGCAATATAGCCACAAAAATTAAAAGGAAGGTACATGACCTTTGTGCATGAACGTGAAAGAACTCCACAACTCAGGATAGTGGTGACCTGCTGCAGAAGTACTCAGTCACAAAGGGGATGCACAGAGCTTTGAAGGCTAGTTGTGATTTCTCACGTTGAGCAGTATGCAAACAAAGGCTCTGGAAAGTAATTGTGTACCTTCTGTACATGTAATATATTCACTTTTATGTATGAGATAGTTTACAAGTCTAAAATTATAATAATTTTAAAAGAAGAAAAGGATTACAAAGGATATTTACATTATATTTTATATATAATTGGAGGTGGTTTACCAAACCCTCTGTTTTTGTTGTTGTTGTTGCTTGTCTGTTTTGTTTTTTGGCTTTTGGGTTTTTCGAGACACAGTCTCGCTCTGTTGCCCAGACTGGAGTGCGGTGGCACGATCTTGGCTCACTGCAACCTCTGCCTCCCGGGTTCAAGCAATTCTCCCTGCCTTAGCCTCCTGAGAACTGCAATTACAAGCACCCACCAATATGCCCAGCTAATTTTTGTATTTTTAGTAGAGACAGGGTTTCGTCACGTTGGCCAGGCTGGTCTCAAACTCCTGACTTCAGGTGATCCGCCCACCTCAGCCTCCCAAAGTGCTAGGATTACAGGCGTGAACCACCGCACCTGGCCACTGAACCCTCTTAAATTCTATGTTAGGAGCCCCTCCTAGAAAAAGTTTAACCTCCTATATTTTTAGAGCCAGAGATGTAACCAAGCTCTCATAAACCAAAAGTTAGGTCAGGCCCAATCCCAGAGAGGGAATCAACTTAGGCAATCGCTGAATCAAGTTCAAGAAAAATCAAGAAAAATGAAAACTAAAAACAGTTAGCTCATTTACTTAGCATTGTACAAACCACAGTTCCTAGACGTTGGTGATGGTAATCCAGTTTTCATTTTCTAGAATTCTTGAGATCACTGGTAGTGCAAATGCACATTGAGGGTACAGAGGAACATTCAGGAGTGATGCTTCAGTGATCTGCCTAGGGGTAAGGAGTTGTTACAAGTATTACAGTTTGCTGGAACTCACAGTTCTTTTTGGCACTAGGTACTTTGACATATTTAAAGATGAAGCCAGGGCAGTCAGAGATAAGGTCTCTGACTTATCATTAGATTAAAATATGAAAGATCTGAAGATATGAAATTATACTAGTAGGTTCAATCTGCTTTTTGAACAATGACCTTCACTTTCTCATACCCTAAGTATGAGAAAATATTTACTAATAATATTAGCTTTAGACCATTTTAATATTGTATATCTATACCAAAAGTGTCAAACCAAACTAGTATACACACTGAGACAACTTAGGGTTTTACATATGGGACATGATGAAAAGAATCAAAAAGAGAGTAACTGGCTTATATTTAAAATATCAATGGAAATAAATTCCCTGAGAAGCTGAGCTTATTATATATTTTAATGAATTTGAAGCCTACTAAGAGGGCCTGATATTCGTCTCCTTACTCTTACATCTGGAAATGTGGTCATTTAGGACAGAATCATAGATAAGATACCTCTGGATGTAAATCTCACTTTCGTAGGAACCCTAGGTATCCAAGGGGAAATATTAAGAAAAAAGATTCACAGGTAAGCAGTAGGGCTCCAAATGAGGGGATAAAAGCCACTGAAGGGAACGGGTGAAAGGCAGACCTTCTGCAAACCCCCATATTGTGCAGTCATGGCCATGTTGCACATAGTGGGCAGATTTCTATTCTGTGTTTTAACACTTTTAGATGTAGGGCGTGATGCTGTAACTTTTATCTGGTCAACGATTTTCCTCACTATTTACTCTCCCTCTCTTTCTTCTATGCTCTAATATCGCAGATCCCAAGAAAAATATTTGGCAAGTTGTTCCAAGTTGTTGAAATAGTTGGCAAAACAAATCCCTAAGAAATTGAAACTTCCTAATCTGATCAAATAAAATGTTGAATACGGCTTACTGTCAAGATGAGTTACAGCCTTTAGAAACTAAAAGAAGAATTCATGAAGAAACGCTGAAAATTTTCTACACAGAACATTGCATTTTATTAACAAGTTTAAAACATAAGCCTAGCAAACCACAGGAGAGATCTTTTTCTTAATTCAACTTTGTTAACTTTGTTTGATTCAAAGCATCAATATTTATGGGGCAGAAATTTCCAATTGTCTCTTAAAAATTGGGTTTTTTGTTATATAAGAGAGATTATGCCATGAAGATAGTTTAGTAAAGAACCATTCTTCACACATTTTCATGCAGCATTTCTGTTTACTCAATAGCTATTATATTCACCCAGTAGCATCCCTGGCTTGGAGTTATTGTTGGGGAAAACAAATGGGACTGTTTTCATACTCTGAGAAGATGTTTTTGAGCAGATACATGCCGAGATGCTTGCAAATTAGAAGGTGGACACCTTGGGTGAACTACAAGGAGAAATCATTCCAATCAAATAAAATAGGGCTTGAGAGAAGGATGAGGAGAATAGAAATTTGGTGAAAGACAGAAAAGGAGAAAGAGAGTGAATGAAGGCCTGAAAAGAGATTTGAACAGACACTTTACCAAGGAAGATATATGGATGACAAAATAACATCAAGAGATGCTCACCATTATTAGTCATCGGGGAAATGCCAATATAAACCAAAATAAGTTACTACAATGTATCCACAGGATGCTTAAAAGAAAAAATTGAATGTTGGTAAGGATGTGGAGCAACTAGATTTCTTATACGCTGCTGATAGGAATATAAAATGATGTAGTCGTTAGCTTTAGACTTTGAAAAATACTCTCAAGTTTATTGTGGAATTAGACACATGGACTCAGTAATTCCACTCATAGGTATGCACTTAAGAGAAATGAAAACATACATCCATAGAAAGAATTGTACACCTCGAATTGTACAACTTCAGAAATGTTCATAGCAACATTATTTAGAATGGGGAACAACCCAAATGGCCATGAGAAAGTCAATGAATAAACTGATTCAAACAATGGAACATGACTAATTAATGAAATGGAATGAACTACTGGTACAAGCAAAATCATGGATATATCTCAAAACATTCTGGAAGCCAGATACAAAACAGTAGATACTGCATGATTCCATTTATATGAAACTCTAGAAAGTGCAAACTAATCTGTACAGACATAAAGTAGATCAGTGGTTGCCTAGGACTGGGGAAAGGGGTATTGACTGAAAACTTTTGGAGTGATGAAAATATTATGAATCTTGATTGGAGAAGCAGTTACATAAATGTTTACATTTGTTCAAAATCATCCAATGTTATATTTTAAATGGATTATATTTTAAATAATTTGAATTACAGTGAATGTGAATTTTACCTCAGGAAAAAAAAAAAATTTAAACACATACACAGACAGGGTACCTTGAGAAGAATGAAAAACATGGTGAAGGAATTAGAAGACAACAAGCTTTTTTAGTCTTAGAAAATATGTCAGAGTTAGTACTAGATATAAAAATTGTCATACTGGGCCAGGCGTGGTGGCTCACGCCTGTAATCCCAGCACTTTCGGAGGCTGAGGTGGGCAGATCTTCCGAGGTCAGGAGTTCAAAACCATCCTGGCCAACATGGTGAAACCCCGTCTTTATTAAAAATACAAAAAAAAAATTACCCAGGCATAGTGGTGTGTGCCTGTAATCCCAGCTTCTCGGGAGGCTGAGGTAGGAGAATTGCTTGAGCCGGGGAGGCGGAGTTTGCAGTGAGCCAAGATCGCACCACTGCACTCCAGCCTGGGTGACAGACCGAGACTTTGTCTCAAAAAAAAAAAAAAAAAAAAAAAGTCATTCTGAAAAACGACCCGTTGGGTCCTATGCTTACCACCTGAACCTCAGCATCACACAACATACCTTTGTAACTGACCTGTGTACCCCCGGATTTTAAAATAAAAGTTCAAAAAGAGTGAACAAAACAAAATCAGGGAAACTATTACAAGTTCAAAAAGTTAAGAGAAATCCTAACCAAATGCATTTTTGGACTTGTTTAGATTTTGTTATGTGTGAAAATGGCATCACAGTAATTTTTAAATAAACAAAATTTTTCAAAAGCTACAAAATATAAAAAACAAAAATTGTCATAGCATTTTGGAAGGTTGGAAGGAAAAGAGGAAGCCAGGCCCTTAGCTGTGAATCAACCTGACAGGTCATTGACCATGCAGGTTTTTATCTGTGGTTGTTCTGATCAACAATTTTATCCATGACTTTGGTTCTTTCTGGTCTAATATTTTATGATTCTGTGTTCAGTGATAATGTTTTAACATGTGTTCATCAAACCTACAGAAAGCATATAGCTAAAAATGATAGCTAGCTAATACTTTGGATGACAGATTCAGGATTCAAAATCATTTTGACATATAAGAACACTGAACTGAAGCCAACCAGATAAAATTTTAAAGGACAAATCTCTTGAATTTAGGTTTAAAAATTCAATTGGGCAGATATTGTTGTGGAAAAATCTGGTTTTCTTTTTTAAAAAAACACCTATTTCCAGAAGGAGAAAAATTCTTTTTAATAGACTATATGTGTATATATGATTCCATCTATATAAAATTCTAGAAGATGCAAACTAATCTACAGTGACATAAAGATCAGTGGTTTGCTGGGGTCAGGGGTAGAGGATCTATTGACTGAAACGCGGTATCAGAGAACTTTTGCAGTGATATATATATACACAACTTATTGCAAGGTAAATGAGCCAATTGTCAAATGATTACTAAAAATCCCATTCAACATGAGACTACATGAAGAGAAGTAGACATCCAGAACATTGTAAAGAATAGCCTCACCTTGTTCTGCACTAGTCAGACCACATGTGAAATATTTTGTTCAATTATTAATGGCAGATTATAAGGAGAATACCTGAAAAGGAGACAGATCTGTTGAAAGATTCTCAAAAACATGTCAGAGATTAGAATACCAAAGTGAAGAAAGTCATAGTAGTTTCCAAATTTTGAAAGCACTGCAACATACAAGAGAAACAGTGCTCTGTGTTAAAGATTGGGGTTAATGTATATAAATCACAAAGAGGTAGAAATGAAAAAATTGAATACATCAATCAGTTCATAAAGGTATGAATGATCTCTTGATGTACAAGGTAGCCTTTCACTGAAACTGAGCAAAGTATGCATGATCGAATTACAGAGATGTCATATGGGAATCCTACTGTTAGATGAGAAGTGGGAATAGATGTCACTAACTATAGAATTGTAAAGGTGGAATTTGACTCAGTCTTAATAGTGGGAAATATTTGGAAAGGCAAAGAAACAGGACAGGGATGGGGTTGGTAGGTTGGGGAAAGAAACAGCATATATAATAACACAATGATGTGAAAATTAGGGCAAAAAATGTCAAATGTGCCTAGCACGTAAGAACCCAATCTGGCTAAAATGCAGTGCTGTTAAGGAAGAGCACCCAAATTAGCCTGGGAACATAAGAATAGCCTTGTGGCTGGGCACAGTGGCTGACGCCTGTAATCCCAACACTTTGGGAGGCCAAGGCAGGCAGATCACTTGAGGTAAGGAGTTTCCAGACCAGCCTGGCCAACATAGTGAAACCCCGTCCCTACTAAAAAATACAAAAATTGGCCGGGCATGGTGGTATGCACCTGTAATTTCAGCTACTCAGGAGGCTGAGGTGGGAGAATTGCTTGAACCTGGGAGGTGGAGTTTACAGTGAGCTGAAATCATGCCACTGCACTCCAGCCTGGGAGACAGAGCAAGACTGTCTCAGAAAAAAAAAGGAAAAATAAAAGCTTTGATATTAGGACAGGAGGTTTAATACCTGACTATACTGAGCCGAAAGCTAGAAACTGATACTTTCAAATACATTTTAGAGCAGAATGCCTTCCTTCTTAGTTCACACTGTTAATAAAGGGAGGTAATTAAGGGAAGACATTATTAGAGCTTGCCCATGAGATTAAGAGAATAAGACAGTTCTTTGAAGAAGAAAGAAAGGTAAAGTGGGGAGAGTGTTGCGGGAGAAAAGAAAGAATCGAATGGGTTTTGTATGTGTAAGAGAAAATTAAGAGGTGGAGGTCAGTGACAGCCTACTAAAGAAAAGGACAGTAGAAAATCAACACTGAACAATAACTGGAAGGGAATAACAAAGGGAAATGATCTCAGTAAAGGCCAATCTTTTGTGTTGATCCTATGTGCCCAACTGGCTCATAAAATGACCTAGGCACATGAGAAACTCCAAGCTGATATTTGTTCTCAGAAAGTCAGTATACAAACATGCCTGAGGTTCTTTTATTTGCTGTATTTGTGTTTCTCTATATTTGTTAAGATGGATGAATTCTCTGCTTCATTGAACACAGTAGTTAAAGCAAGTGAAAATTAAATGTTGACTTGGTCTGATTAAAGTATAAATCTAAATGCAGCTTTAAGAGACACAATCAGAAAGTGAGAAGAGAGATTCATTACGCATTTATATATAGAGAGAAATTTGGCTTCTAAATATCCTCACAATGGATTGGAAGTCATAAAGACAATAGATACAACAGTTTTACTTTAACCTACAGATTATCTCCTATGCATTTAAAACTCTAGAAGATGAAATTACCTCCAAACGAAATTAAATACTGAAAGCCTAACACAGAAGGCCAAAAAGTCCAATCTCTTTCTTTTGCCTTTTATATAAAGAAAAACATAAGAGTTTTAGTTAAACATCTATATATTTAAATGGCCAATGCACACTTGAACATATGTGAAATTTCAGTACTAGTCAAATAAATCTAAAGTAATGACATTGTCTATCTAACAAATTGGTAAAAATTAAGAAGATGAATAATATTTATTGGTAATGGAGAGTGACAAACTGAACATATCGTAGAATAAACTTTTCAACTTACCAAAGTACAATCTAATATACTGTGCATATTTTTTGATTCAGTAATTTTACTTCTAGGAAAATATTCTAAGCTAAATGAGGAATCTGTCTACAGAAGAAAATACAAATTTTCAAAGGAAGCATTGCATATTACAATGCTGCAGACAATTTAAATGCCTCCTAAGAGGGAATTGGATTGAATAAATTATAACATATTGATAATGTAAAATAGTAGAGAGCTGCTTCAAAGGAAGAATTCATCATTATGTATGATTATGTCATTATATATTAGATAAAAATGAGATTGAAATATATATACAAAATGCTATGCTACCCTATATATTTAGTATGTTTCAATTTAGGTAGATAATTAATCTCTTTATGAAAAAGTCTGAAATGGTATGTTTTTAATTGTTATATCTGGCTAGGATTATGTAGATGTTTTTACCTTCTATTCCATAAAGGTAGGCTTTAACTTTGGAATTACAAGCTTGTATTATTTTGTGATCAGCAGAATCAATTGAACAATTCGATCTAATAGACTTCAATATGCCCTAAGTGAAGTTGTAGCTGTACACACAGGTGGCTGAAGTAGAATATAGAGAAGGTTGTTGGAGTCGAAGAGTTTAATTACCTTTGAGGCTGGATAATTGGATGTGTCATCCTCATACATAATGATGAGAAGAGATTGAATGTAAAAAAAGATCAAATCCTATTGTAACTTTAACAATTTATAAAGTGATAGACAACAAGAAAAGACATAAGCAGTATTGAGTGGCATGGATCTCAAATGACAAAGGCTTTTGACATGACTTTGGAAAAGTGACAGTCAGGAAGGAGAAACAGGGAGCTGGGAGACTATCCACACAATTGTAAACCCTGTGGTTTAGGGAACCAGTAGCCTCCGAAGTTAGGGTTACTAGAGAGGTCTTGCTCTCAGGGGAGACCCAGTGTTCAGCAAAAGGTGGTGGAAGGGCCATGCAGGGAAGATGCTTCAATTTATATAACTTTTTATTGTGAATCTACCACATGCCAGTTGCTGCACCGATTCTTGAGTAACAATTTAATGCTTACAGAAATCACAAGGGAAAAGGTATGGACTGGATGAAAAAAAAGGAGAGAAGAAGAGAGTAAAATGAGGATAAAAGTTCATGACAAGACAGCTTGTCCATCCTTTCTTCTGGAAGGTGACTAAGGATGGTGATAACAAGGTTTCTATCAGAAGTGCAGCCTAGCAGGTTACAGGCACAAGTGCAATAATAAATGACAGTTTTGAAAATATACAATATTGAATATAGAGAGATGGAAAGGTCAAGGTATAAATATATCTTAAGAGCTAGAGAGGGTCGGAGGAGCCAAGATGGCCGAATAGGAACAGCTCCGGTCTACAGCTCCCAGCGAGAGCGATGCAGAAGACGGGTGATTTCTGCATTTCCATCTGAGGTACCGGGTTCATCTCACTAGGGAGTGCCAGACAGTGGGCGCAGGCCAGTGGGTGCGCACACCGTGCACGAGCCGAAGCAGGGTGAGGCATTGCCTCACCTGGGAAGCGCAAGGGGTCAGGGAGTTCCCTTTCCGAGTCAAAGAAAGGGGTGACTGACGCACCTGGAAAATCGGGTCACTCCCACCCGAATATTGCGCTTTTCAGACCAGCTTAAAAAACGGCACACCACGAGACTATATCCCACACCTGGCTCAGAGGGTCCTACGCCCACGGAGTCTCGCTGATTGCTAGCACAGCAGTCTGAGATCAAACTGCAAGGCGGCAGCGAGGCTGGGGGAGGGGCGCCCGCCATTGCCCAGGCTTGCTTAGGTAAACAAAGCAGCCTGGAAGCTCCAACTGGGTGGAGCCCACCACAGCTCAAGGAGGCCTGCCTGCCTCTGTAGGCTCCACCTCTGGGGGCAGGGCACAGACAAACAAAAAGACAGCAGTAACCTCTGCAGACTTAAATGTCCCTGTCTGACAGCTTTGAAGAGAGCAGTGGTTCTCCCAGCATGCAGCTGGAGATCTGAGAACGGGCAGACTGCCTCCTCAAGTGGGTCCCTGACCCCTGACCCCCGAGCAGCCTAACTGGGAGGCACCCCCCAGCAGGGGCACACTGACACCTCACACGGCAGGGTATTCCAACAGACCTGCAGCTGAGGGTCCTGTCTGCTAGAAGGAAAAATAACAAACAGAAAGGACATCCACACTGAAAACCCATCTGTACATCACCATCATCAAAGACCAAAAGTAGATAAAACCACAAAGATGGGGAAAAAACAGAACAGAAAAACTGGAAACTCTAAAACGCAGAGCGCCTCTCCTCCTCCAAAGGAACGCAGTTCCTCACCAGCAACGGAACAAAGCTGGATGGAGAATGATTTTGACGAGCTGAGAGAAGAAGGCTCCAGACGATCAAATTACTCTGAGCTACGGGAGGACATTCAAACCAAAGGCAAAGAAGTTGAAAACTTGGAAAAAAATTTAGAAGAATGTATAACTAGAATAACCAATACAGAGAAGTGCTTAAAGGAGCTGATGGAGCTGAAAACCAAGGCTCGAGAACTACGTGAAGAATGCAGAAGCCTCAGGAGCCGATGCGATCAACTGGAAGAAAGGGTATCAGCAATGGAAGATGAAATGAATGAAATGAAGCGAGAAGGGAAGTTTAGAGAAAAAAGAATAAAAAGAAATGCGCAAAGCCTCCAAGAAATATGGGACTATGTGAAAAGACCAAATCTACGTCTGATTGGTGTACCTGAAAGTGATGCGGAGAATGGAAGCAAGTTGGAAAACACTCTGCAGGATATTATCCAGGAGAACTTCCCCAACCTAGCAAGGCAGGCCAACGTTCAGATTCAGGAAATACAGAGAACGCCACAAAGATACTCCTCGAGAAGAGCAACTCCAAGACACATAATTGTCAGATTCACCAAAGTTGAAATGAAGGAAAAAATGTTAAGGGCAGCCAGAGAGAAAGGTCAGGTTACCCTCAAAGGGAAGCCCATCAGACTAATAGCGGATCTCTCGGCAGAAACCCTACAAGCCAGAAGAGAGTGGGGGCCAATATTCAACATTCTTAAAGAAAAGAATTTTCAACCCAGAATTTCATATCCAGCCAAACTAAGCTTCATAAGTGAAGGAGAAATAAAATACTTTACAGACAAGCAAATGCTGAGAGATTTTGTCACCACCAGGCCTGCCCTAAAAGAGCTCCTGAAGGAAACGCTAAACATGGAAAGGAACAACCGGTACCAGCCGCTGCAAAATCACGCCAAAATGTAAAGACCATCGAGACTAGGAAGACACTGCATCAACTAACGAGCAAAATCACCAGCTAACATCATAATGACAGGATCAAATTCACACATAACAATATTAACTTTAAATGTAAATGGACTAAATTCTCCAATTAAAAGACACAGACTGGCAAGTTGGATAAAGAGACAAGACCCATCAGTGTGCTGTATTCAGGAAACCCATCTCACGTGCAGAGACATACATAGGCTCAAAATAAAAGGATGGAGGAAGATCTACCAAGCAAATGGAAAACAAAAAAAGGCAAGGGTTGCAATCCTAGTCTCTGATAAAACAGACTTTAAACCAACAAAGATCAAAAGAGACAAAGAAGGCCATTACATAATGGTAAAGGGATCAATTCAACAAGAGGAGCTAACTATCCTAAATATATATGCACCCAATACAGGAGCACCCAGATTCATAAAGCAAGTCCTGAGTGACCTACAAAGAGACTTAGACTCCCACACATTAATAATGGGAGACTTTAACACCCCACTGTCAACATTAGACAGATCAACGAGACAGAAAGTCAACAAGGATACCCAGGAATTAAACTCAGCTCTGCACCAAGCGGACCTAATAGACATCTACAGAACTCTCCACCCCAAATCAACAGAATATACATTTTTTTCAGCACCACACCACACCTATTCCAAAATTGACCACATTGTTGGAAGTAAAGCTCTCCTCAGCAAATGTAAAAGAACAGAAATTATAACAAACTATCTCTCAGACCACAGTGCAATCAAACTAGAACTCAGGATTAAGAATCTCACTCAAAGCCGCTCAACTACATGGAAACTGAACAACCTGCTCCTGAATGACTACTGGGTACATAACGAAATGAAGGCAGAAATAAAGATGTTCTTTGAAACCAACGAGAACAAAGACACAACATACCAGAATCTCTGGGACGCATTCAAAGCAGTGTGTAGAGGGAAATTTATAACACTAAATGCCCACAAGAGAAAGCAGGAAAGATCCAAAATTGACACCCTAACATCACAATTAAAAGAACAAGAAAAGCAAGAGCAAACACATTCAAAAGCTAGCAGAAGGCAAGAAATACCTAAAATCAGAGCAGAACTGAAGGAAATAGAGACACAAAAAACCCTTCAAAAAATCAATGAATCCAGGAGCTGGTTTTTTGAAAGGATCAACAAAATTGATAGACCGCTAGCAAGACTAATAAAGAAAAAAAGAGAGAAGAATCAAATAGACACAATAAAAAATGATAAAGGGGATATCACCAACGATCCCACAGAAATACAAACTACCATCAGAGAATACTACAAACACCTCTACACAAATAAACTAGAAAATCTAGAAGAAATGGATACATTCCTCGACACATACACTCTCCCAAGACTAAACCAGGAAGAAGTTGAATCTCTGAATAGACCAATAACAGGAGCTGAAATTGTGGCAATAATCAATAGTTTACCAACCAAAAAGAGTCCAGGACCAGATGGATTCACAGCCGAATTTTACCAGAGGTACAAGGAGGAACTGGTACCATTCCTTCTGAAACTATTCCAATCAATAGAAAAAGAGGGAATCCTCCCTAACTCATTTTATGAGGCCAGCATCATTCTGATACCAAAGCTGGGCAGAGACACAACCAAAAAAGAGAATTTTAGACCAATATCCTTGATGAACATTGATGCAAAAATCCTCAATAAAATACTGGCAAACCGAATCCAGCAGCACATCAAAAAGCTTATCCACCATGATCAAGTGGGCTTCATCCCTGGGATGCAAGGCTGGTTCAATATATGCAAATCAATAAATGTAATCCAGCATATAAACAGAGCCAAAGACAAAAACCACATGATTATCTCAATAGATGCAGAAAAAGCCTTTGACAAAATTCAACAACCCTTCATGCTAAAAACTCTCAATAAATTAGGTATTGATGGGACGTATTTCAAAATAATAAGAGCTATCTATGGCAAACCCACAGCCAATATCATACTGAATGGGCAAAAACTGGAAGCATTCCCTTTGAAAACTGGCACAAGACAGGGATGCCCTCTCTCACCACTCCTATTCAACATAGTGTTGGAAGTTCTGGCCAGGGCAATCAGGCAGGAGAAGGAAATAAAGGGTATTCAATTAGGAAAAGAGGAAGTCAAATTGTCCCTGTTTGCAGACAACATGATTGTTTATCTAGAAAACCCCATCGTCTCAGCCCAAAATCTCCTTAAGCTGATAAGCAACTTCAGCAAAGTCTCAGGATACAAAATCAATGTACAAAAATCACAAGCATTCTTATACACCAACAACAGACAAACAGAGAGCCAAATCATGAGTGAACTCGCATTCACAATTGCTTCAAAGAGAATAAAATACCTAGGAATCCAACTTACAAGGGATGTGAAGGACCTCTTCAAGGAGAACTACAAACCACTGCTCAAGGAAATAAAAGAGGATACAAACAAATGGAAGAACATTCCATGCTCATGGGTAGGAAGAATCAATATCGTGAAAATGGCCATACTGCCCAAGGTAATTTATAGATTCAATGCCATCCCCATCAAGCTACCAATGACTTTCTTCACAGAATTGGAAAAAACTACTTTAAAGTTCATATGGAACCAAAAAAGAGCCCACATAGCCAAGTCAATCCTAAGCCAAAAGAACAAAGCTGGAGGCATCACACTGCCTGACTTCAAACTATACTACAAGGCTACAGTAACCAAAACAGCATGGTACTGGTACCAAAACAGAGATATAGATCAATGGAACAGAACAGAGCCCTCAGAAATAACACCGCATACCTACAACTATCTGATCTTTGACAAACCTGAGAAAAACAAGCAATGGGGAAAGGATTCCCTATTTAATAAATGGTGCTGGGAAAACTGGCTAGCCATATGTAGAAAGCTGAAACTGGATCCCTTCCTTACACCTTATACAAAAATCAATTCAAGATGGATTAAAGATTTAAACGTTAGACCTAAAACCATAAAAACCCTAGAAGAAAACCTAGGCATTACCATTGAGGACATAGGCGTGGGCAAGGACTTCATGTCCAAAACACCAAAAGCAATGGCAACAAAAGCCAAAATTGACAAATGGGATCTAATTAAACTAAAGAGCTTCTGCACAGCAAAAGAAACTACCATCAGAGTGAACAGGCAACCTACAACATGGGAGAAAATTTTCACAACCTACTCATCTGACAAAGGGCTAATATCCAGAATCTACAATGAACTCAAACAAATTTACAAGAAAAAAACAAACAACCCCAATCAAAAAGTGGGCGAAGGACATGAACAGACACTTCTCAAAAGAAGACATTTATGCAGCCAAAAAACACATGAAAAAATGCTCATCATCACTGGCCATCAGAGAAATGCAAATCAAAACCACTATGAGATATCATCTCACACCAGTTAGAATGGCAATCATTAAAAAGTCAGGAAACAACAGGTGCTGGAGAGGATGTGGAGAAATAGGAATACTTTTACACTGTTGGTGGGACTGTAAACTAGTTCAACCATTGTGGAAGTCAGTGTGGCGATTCCTCAGGGATCTAGAACTAGAAATACCATTTGACCCAGCCATCCCATTACCAGGTATATACCCAAAGGACTAGAAATCATGCTGCTATAAAGACACATGCACACGTATGTTTATTGCGGCATTATTCACAATAGCAAAGACTTGGAACCAACCCAAATGTCCAAGAATGATAGACTGGATTAAGAAAATGTGGCACATATACACCATGGAATACTATGCAGCCATAAAAAATGATGAGTTCATGTCCTTTGTAGGGACATGGATGAAATTGGAAACCATCATTCTCAGTAAACTATTGCAAGAACAAAAAACCAAACACCACATATTCTCACTCATAGGTAGGAATTGAACAATGAGATCACATGGACACAGGAAGGGGAATATCACACTCTGGGGACTGTGGTGGGGTGGGGGTAGGGGGGAGGGATAGCATTGGGAGATATACCTAATGCTAGATGACGAGTTAGTGGGTGCAGCGCACCAGCATGGCACATGTATACATATGTAACTAACCTGCACAATGTGCACATGTACCCTAAAACTTAAAGTATAATAAAAATAAATAAATAAAAAGAGCTAGAGAGGCCAGATCATGCATCTGGCTAGACACATCACCATTGAGAGCCTTGCACTCAGGGTGTGGTTCATGGACCATCAGCGTTGGCACTACCTGAGCTTGCTGAAAGTGTAAAATCTGTTAAACCCGATTTCTGACCTACTGAATCAGGATCTGCATTTTAACAAGTCCAGCTGATTCATAATCTTGTTAAAGTTTAAGAATTTCTCTAAAACATATATTCCAAACTACTAAACCATATTCAACTGAATTAGAGGTTGAGTTACAACTAGGATGCCAGGAACTATGCATAAACCTGTATCCTATTGTATCTATGAAGCAGTCTATTGCCTCATAATTCCTGTGTATGCATAATTCCTGTGTCCCCAGCCTTATACGCTGGGGAAAACACACACTGGTGGGAGTGCGTAAGGCTGGGGAAACTAATTTCCTCTATCTTTAGGGAAAAAAAGTGGTTGAAAATAAGATTCTAGAAAAACTGATCTGCGAAACTGTGACTATTTGCCTGCCACAGGGGATATTTGTGCCTAGGAGGGGTCAGAGTTTCTTGAGACAACCCTGAGGACTTATATCCCATTTTAAGAGAGGATTTTGATTCACAGAGAATCATTAATGGATACTTAGACTATGTACATGAGTTTAATTGGGCAGGATCTGCCACAGCCAGAACCTTTAGAGAACAGGAGACCTGAAGCCATGGGAGCAGGGGGCCTGCCATTCCTGAGAGGGCACTAGGAAAGAAAGATTGCTGGCCCTGTGATGGACATTATGTCTCTAGCAATCAAAGTCCATTCCAGACTCCCTGGGTGGACTTACAAGACACAATTTGTAAGTGTAGTACTAAGTAGGCTATCAGCCTTGGCAATGAGGTCAGTGAGATGGGTGGTCAGCAGGGAGAGTGTGGGGCTCCAACACACCTCAGTTTCCAGGAGGCCCACGAGAGTCTGTCAGAGATTCAAACTCAGCCCACAAGAAACCACCCCAAACTCAGCGTGTGCAGGTGGAAACAGAGAAGCCTGCCCTGGGAGGAGCCAGCATATGACTAAGCTGCACCCCCATGTGTAGGGAGGATTGGCAGATAAGCGTACAGGGGAGAAATGGGGCTGCAACCACTTGAAAGCAAGCTCCCCTTCTTCTCACCTCCCATTAACACTTGCCACACATAGAAATGTGTGAGACAACCTACCTTCTGAGATCAGTAGTCATGCTGAACTGAGAGAAAACACATAACACCTTTACCCCTTTTAGATAACCCCTTGAGGACACCGTGTAGACCGTCATCAGTGAACTTGACCCACACCTCCTCCTTCACCACACCTCCCCCTTCCAGTCCTTACTTCCGGCTAGTTTAGACGTAAAATTAGTGTGAGCATTGAGACCATCCTGGCTAACACGGTGAAACCCCATCTCTACTAAAAATACAAAAAATTAGCTGGGTGTGGTTGCGGGTGCCTGTAGTCCCAGCTACTCGGGAGGCTGAGGCAGGAGAATGGCGTGAACCTGGAAGGCGGAGCTTGCAGTGAGCCGAGATCACACCACTGCACTCCAGCCTGGGCGACAGAGCAAGACTCTGTCTCAAAAAAAAAAAAAAAAAAAAAAAAAAAAAAAAAAAATAGTGTGAGCATTCTTTCCTTGCAGATAGATGTGAAAAAGAACTTAGCCTAGGGTGGTAGTTTAACCGGGAGTCAGGTAGGAGTACCACCCCAATTAGAGGTATTGTTTTTTCCGATAGTATTTACCTCTTTTTTTGTGCACCCTCTCCCAGAGAGACACAGTCTATATATGTGGACATATTACTTTCAATTAGTCTATTGAAGATACCACTTGTCATCCTCATTTGATATCACTTCTTTCTTCAATCAATATCTAGCTCAGGTCAGCACAATTAGAAATTTAAAAGGTAGAAAGAAAAAATATATTTAGATTATCAGTTTCTCTTTACATATTCAAAAGGGCAAAGGCAACTCAATAATTTTAGATCAGTTGTCTATCCAACCAAATTGCTCACAAGGATAAGTTTGGCTGCAGAGCACTGAACTGCTTGAAGCCATGAGTCAGGGACATGAATGAGACAGTCTTGCAAAGAATTCTCACTCTGCACCTCCTTTTCATTCACTTGGATTCTATCCCTTAATATGGACAGATGTCTTACCGTCCCTAACATTCCCAGAATCCTCAGCGAAACAAGTCAAACTCACTACCCCTTGTGTCCAGCAGGAAGCCAAGTAGCATCAACATGATCCAAAGTAATTGAACCAGCAGTGAACTCTTTTTGCAAATCTTCTGCATTTAATCGTAATCTTACACTTG
Source organism: Homo sapiens (assembly GCF_000001405.40). Lineage (NCBI taxonomy): Eukaryota > Metazoa > Chordata > Mammalia > Primates > Hominidae > Homo > Homo sapiens. Next base: position 136,411,860 of record NC_000007.14, on the reverse strand, counting down.
TCTACTCTTTGATTTTGTGATAATCTGTAGAAACACAGTTATGATAGAATAATGGGTAGAGAGTGACAGTCCTTAGTCATAGTCAATTCATTGTTTAACTGAAACAATCACTGACTCCTACAATATCAATTTGATTGAAATATGGGAGGATTTAATTTGTTCTTGGGAGTTATTGAAATAGCCAAGTCATGACATATCTGAGAAAATTATTCCTGTCAGTGTAAAAATAGATTCCAATAAACTGGGCAGTGATCTGCTTGATTATTTGGCCATTGTCCTATTCTTATATCGGAATTAAAATGTAACAACAGAAAAGTTATTTAGGTGTGCCACATAGACAAAGCCTGAATGTATCTGCTACAGACGTGTGTATTTTTTCAATTAACTGGCAAAAGTCTCTACAGAACTACCATTTCACCAGCTTATAAACCATTTTACCATAAGAGATACAGGAGGAGACAGAGACAGATAGAACAGAGAGACTTTACCCAAGCAGTGTTGCCTCACATATGTACAAAGAAAGAAAGAAAGAAAGAGAAAGAAAGGTAGGTTTCATTTAGCAAGGCCCATTTAAAAATATGAAGTGTGCATTATGTTTTTTTATAGAAAATATTGAGAAGTGTCCAGACATTTAATTTTTTTTTTACTCTTTTTGCAATGCACTTTACCTCTATCTGGCATTTTGTGCAGTGTGACCAGGATAGCAATAGTCAAAAGACAATAGGATGTCCACCCAACAAATGAACTAATTGGCAAGTTGTAACCTGCAGTCTTCACTCCCATGTTTCAACCCTGAAAAATATGTGTCGTCATGCCTACCTATGGGGCAATGACCAATTATCGGCCCCCAACAAAACACGAAATAAGAATTATCAAATATAAACATTTATGATGATTTAAAAGTCTCATTAAGTCTACTTTATGCATTCTATTACCTTCATTACTTAAATGTTAATTCTTCAAATGCCAAACACATATGTTATAGTATTATTACTAAAAGATTGTCAATTATGCAAAAGATTATGAGGGTACAAATAATAAAATAATATAAAGGGAATTTAGAGACATTTAAAGATCCAATTAGATAGTCATGTTTATACCTTTTCTTGTTATTTTACAATACCCTCCAAACTTTAATGTTTATATAATTATTTTTATTTCTTCTATTGCCTTTTTGTAACTTTATTTTTTATTTTATTTACTTTATTATTATTATTATTATTATTTACTTTTAAATTCAGTAGTCCAGGTGCAGGTTTGTTACATAGGTAAACTTCTGTCATGGGGGTTTGTTGTACAGATTATTTGTTTAAGACTAGAGCTTTTAAACTGCTTTAAATACTCTTAAATTTCTGAGATTTTAAATCTGTCTAGAAAGAAACATCAATACAATGTCATATGTTAAGCAAAAGATAAAAAACTAGCTAAAAATAATTAAAATTCATGCAGACCTAGCCTTAATTGTCAATGGCCAATAAATATAATAAGTAGAAACAGATGGAAAGAAGTGTGAGTGGCTACCAACATCTGGAAAGACAATGGAAATCTTGCAAGCCAGTTCACCTACTAACTCACAAAACTGTATGATAGATATAGATAGATAGATAGGTAGGTAGGTAGGTAGGTAGATAGATAGATAGATAGATTATAGATAGAAACAAGAATCAGCACAAGGCATTTCAGAACCAATGAAATAATTAATCTGATACTGACATTTGAAAAATAAAAATCTTCCTTATAAAATTACCATGGTCCTAAGGCAAGGGTTTAGCATAGATATTAGGATTCTGTAGGAATTCAAGGTTGGACTGGCAGAAAATGCAAACATGGCAATAGATACAGGCCCATGTTTCCCAGAGCAGGATGCATGTGCCTCAAGCTTCTCTAAATGCTTTCAAACAGCATATGGAGAATAAATAAATAGCATCGATTTACATAGCAACAGTTACTTCCTCTTCAATCAATATGATTAAGTTAAAAATCAAGTATCATCATAGTGCTATTGGGTCCTCAAAAATTCTCTAGCATGTGGTAAACTCCCTTTAGTAAACAAACAACCAAAAATAAACAAACAAAACACATAGGAAGACTTCTACTTGACAAGCATCCAAATACACCTTTTCTTCTTCCTGGGTTGCAAGTCACAAACCAAGGTTTAGGTCACAGTATTTCACCAATAATTCTCCAAAAGCATATGTCTTCCTCTGCTTGGACATGAATAAACACGTTTTAGGGAGTTTCAACACTGAAATGCTTTTTGAATTGACTGACTTACGGAGTTTTCTTGTTTTCTTGGCTTCACACTTGAGCATAAGGATATGCTCAAGATCCTTATCACAGAGAAACATTAGTTTGGGTGTTTTATCACCAATGAGGATGAAAATAAATCCATGGGATATTTAAGTTTCACTAGGCTTGTTTCCTTTCATATTTCTAACTTAGACCAGAGGTTATACAAGGCAGCTGTCCAGCATCCATACCATTAAGGTAGACTTCCCCTCATAATTTTAAGGTAGGATTCCTCTCACTTCTCTCAACTGGAAATGATCTGGATGTCATACCATGGATATGATTACAATGATATATTACCTAATTAGATAGAGCAATATCTCCTGACACCCTATACTTACTTGGAGTTAACATAAAACACTAATATTGTAATTAAAAGAGGCTAATAAATATTTTTTCAAAGGGCATATGAAGAAGGTAATGTTAAAGAAATTGTTTGTATAACTGCTCAACTTTCTGAAGTGCATAAGTGGTTCTTGGCTAAAAATCTCCCCTTAAGAAACTATAATCGATCAGACCACACTAATATGATCCACAATACTACATATACCAGGATAAAGTAAACCAGTACTTCTGCTCATGCTGCCCCTTTCTGAGTGACATTTCTGCCTCTTTCATATTTGAGTCTCTGTCAGTGTAGTATCATCTTCTCCAGGAAGTCGACTTCAGTGGCCACCTGAATCATTAGGATTTCCTTTGCTCTATTCATGTAGTACTTGGCAAGCATTTCTATTATAGCATATAGCAAGTCATGTGCACATTTGTTTACATGTCAGATTCCCTGCCTCCTCTCAGTGTGAGGGGATGGAGGACAAGACTCCATCATCTGTGTATCTCCAACCATAAGAGCTAGCAAGGTACCTGATCTCTGGGAGCTATGGAAGGAATACATGCTGAGTAAATTTGTTACTGAATGACCTCGCAAACTTGGTACAGACTCCTGCTCTTACGTAAAGATAAGAAAAATCCCCTCATCATCTTTTATATATGTTGGTGAAGGGGGTGTGCCTCTGGATATGAGTTTAAAAATATAGCTACATGAATCTCCAAGATGTATTCATGAGGAATCTGAGATGAAATGAAGCCCCAGTTTCCTATACTTTAAAAAAACCCTCCTGCTTTAAATTTTTAGCTGAGAAAGCTATACTATTTACAGGGATTATGCTTCTACTAACAGGCTTGCATTTGTTTTTTAAATAGGACCCTCTATCATTTTCCCTTAGTTAGTTAGTAGCTGTCATGTATAAAATTACCACAAATAAAAGAAGGAGGTGGAATATAAATGTTCAGAGGCAACACAGCATGGTAGGCAGAGGTGAGAAAGGAGGTTGCAAAACACTTGTGTGGTTCCCCAGGGGGAGAGGAATGTAGAGCAAGTCACATCAGGAGCCTAGTGGCTGCTCTGTCCAGAGATATATGTACATTCATGTGTGCATATTATTTTTTTCTTAGAGGTATAATATGTTAGAATCTTTCTGATTATGTACAGGCTTCTGCTACTCATAACTTAAAATATCATGCATCTTGTTGCCGCATGTAGCTATGGCTGGGGCAATTCCTGCAAAACCTTCCTCAGCTTCCAGCCTCTTTTATCATATAGAAATTTAATTTCAGCAAGGAAGAAAGGACAAGCTAGACAGGGAGTCTCCTAGGTGAGGAAGCAAATTAGTGGGAAAGGAAAAGGACATATTCTGGCTCCAAAAATGGAGTTGTTCATCTCCAAAGTGCAATTGAATAGCTATCAGTATGGACAGTGGGGGAGCCAGTAAAGGATTTTAATCAGAAAAGATGCAAGATTGTATTTGCTTCTGGGGAAGGTCCAGAAAACTGCAATACTGGGGACAAACTGGAGGGTGCTGGGCATATCTGGATGAAAAAAGCAAAAGTGATAGGACAGAGTTGAGAGGAATATATTGAGGGGCTATTTAGACAATACTTAGGGAGGAATTAGAGATTTGAAGAAAGAAGGTGTTTAGGTGACTCTCAGATTTGAGCAGCCCCTTATATCATGGAGTCAGTACTTACCGTATTTGACTACTAGTCTAACGAGCCTTCTATCGCATTATATAATGCCTATTCTGACATCTAATTTCAGAATCTCAGATGAATCACCCAGTCCTTCTGTACTTCTTCATCATCAGACAAGAAAGGACAGCAATCTTAAATTATTCTCCCTACTTCCTACCCCCAATCCCATTTCCCAAACTTTTCTCTCTCCTCCAACAAAAGTAAGGTGGGAATCCTTAATCAACATTACTCAATCAACAGAATTAGGTAACCTCAAAACTGTGAGCTCTCCATCTCTGCAAATCCAGGAATGAGGAGGCATGGATCTCTAGGATGCTCACAGGAATTGTGTGCAAGGAGACCTAACTGGCATAAGGATGCAAGATCCCCCCAGTCTTCTCTAGCAGTGGACTGACTGATGTGGTACAATAGTATTTCCTAATGGAAATTAAAATATATGTGAACAATATACTTAATCAAGAATCTCTGATCAGGCTTTATTAACATGAGAGTCAGGCCACCAAAGGATTCTATGGACCAGTGTTAAAAAAAAAAAAATCTGGGTAGGATGGAACCATGCAAACAGGAGACCTGGGTTCTGGGTCAGCCTCTGATTTAGGTGAGCTGGGTAATTAAGGGCAACCCTGCTCTCAAACTTGGTTCTATTGTCTATAAAATAAGGAATTTGGACTCTAACGTCTTTCCCAGGTTTGGTGTTCTGTGCCTCAGGGAATTTCTATAAAATGTTGTTTCATGCTTTCATTTTCATGAACTCTAGCAAATGGGAACTAATGACTCATTCAAAGTAAATTAATTTACCTGGAGTCTGTTAGGGCAACAGAAATAGTATGGTTAAAAAATAGAACTGATATTTTTCTTCCTGCCAACCCAGCAAACATCAGAAACAGGAAAAGGCTTCGCTTAATAGTGAGACACCACGCTCCATGGGGTGTCACAGTTTACAACATACTTCACACGGAAGGCATCGACAAGCAGGGAAAAATACAACTTTTATTTTTTCTACTTGGAATTAAGAGTGTTTTTCATTGCACTCTATGCCCAGGGCTTTAGCGTTTGAATCAGGTGGTACAAAGCTGATGAAAGAGAGCCTGGAGCATTTGATGGCATTGTCTACTTGGGCTCTACAGCAGAACGGCGAATTCTGAGTTCGGCCCTCTAGTGGACACATACTCTTATTGCAAGTTTCTTTTACTAGGAAGCAGAATCACATCTACAACTGCGGGGGATCAATGGGTGAGAGAGAGAGGGACGCCGTTTCACATGATTTGTGTCTGTCACGGTCTGATTCTTAACTGTGACACATATAAAGACCACGAGACGTGGAGCTAAACAGTCCCAAGTCTGAGTGTATCCTAGGTTGGCCATTAGGGAGCTTTGTGGGTCCGGATCAATCTCAGAGTTCCAGTGTTTCCATTATATGAGTGTCTCCCCACGCCGGGCTTTGTTCTTTAAATGGAGTAATGCATCCACATATGCTTTGTGAAATGTAAGTGCTTGCTACCTACCAATTTCTATTATTAGTTACATTCTTAAAATACCTATTAGTTTTTTGAATGCCTAAACCATTTTCTCTCTCTCTCTTTTTTTTTTTTTAACTTTTAAGTTCAGGAGTGCATGTGCAGGTTTGTTATATAGGTAAACTCGTGTCACGGGGATTTGCAGTACAAATTATTTCATCACCCAGGTATTACACCTAGTACCCACAAGTTATTTTCTGTGATCCCTCCCGCTGGATAGTAGACCTTTGTTGGATGCAGTTTGCAAAAATTTTCTCCCATTCTGTAGGTTGTCCGCTTACTCTGTTGATAGTTTCTTTTGCTGTGTAGAAGCTCTTTAGTTTAATTAGATCCCATTTGCCAATTTTGCTTTTGTCCCAATTGCTTTCGGTGTCTTCATCAGAAGTACATGAGGTGATGAATACAATAACTATCCTTATTTGATCATCATACGACATATATCAAGATACCAAGTTGTACCCCATAAATATATACAAATACAATGTGTCCATTAAAATAATCAATTAAAAGTTTTTAAAAATGCAGAAGATAAACTTAAAAAAATCTCTAAATAGGTAAAATTTTATGTATTTGAATAAAAAATTATTCTTCCACATTTCTCCCTTTATCAATCACCTCTCATCCTTATTCAATGTCTTCTCTGAACTCACGATGGCACTATTAAGTGAAAAAAAACTTAGATAAAATTTGAATATTTACTTAAGACTTACCTCATTATTAACTGAAGAGTTAATAAGAGATCTGCAAAGTTCCTGAACTTAAATAAAAACAAAAGTTAATAGTTAATAGTTAAATAACTTAATAAGAAGATAATGCCACCTACCTATAAGAAATCCTCATTAAATATAAAGATAAAAGTAGGTTAGATGTTAACAAATGGAAAAGATAGCTATTTTGATAGTAGTCTTATTTAAGATGAAATTATTTCCCAAAGAGCTTCTCTACAAGTTGCTTAATATCTCTATGGTAAAAGAACCTAACATTTATAATTGACTATTTAAGAGTAATGGGATTATCTAGCCTTTTATCTTTTTATTTTCATTGTCCTATATGTTAACAGTAAATCACCAAAATTATCCTTACTGAGATAAAAACATTATCTCAAACTAATTCAAAAGCAATGAGTAATATGTGTGAAACAGACAAGATTAACTACCTCACTCTAAATATAAACGTACTCGCCTTCTTTCTTCCCAATACTTTCTCCAAGAAGCACACAAACCTTGCTGCACACAGAGAGCAGCTGACTATTATTGCAAAGCATTCCTCTTGTTTCCCCAGATGTGTTTGTGTATCATCTTAGTCTACACAATACACCCTCCCCTTTCCTCTCTTATCACACGTTTTTGAGAACACCTTTTAAATTAAAAAGTATCTTCAGTATTTATGAAATAGAGTGTTATTTTTTCTCTTTGAAACTATGCAATTAATATTCCAGTATAACCAAACAAAGTAGGTGAGCCTTCTGGGTTAGGATCTATGGTAACAGTCAGAAAGAAAAGCCATGCTTAAACTTTAGCAAGGAAAAAGGATGAGGAGGGAGGGCAAGGAGCAGGCAGTGATGCTGGAATGGGAAGGTGGGGTGTAATAATGGGCTGATTTGAGAGTCTGAAACAGAGGGCAGAAGAAAGTGCATTTCGGTGGGAGTGGGAAGAAGAAGTGGTCAGCCCACCCCCTCCAGGAGCCCCATATCCTGGCTTATATGTTCTGATGATACCCTAAACCTCAAGGAGACACTAGAGACTAGAGAACTTCTCTGCTGTGAGCCACACAAAAGTTCTAGCTTCCCAGAGACATTGGATTGCCTTCCTGAAATGCCTATCAGCCAAATCAAGACCCCTTCTACTCTTGCATAACACCATGAACTTTCCTTCATGGCCCTTATGATATTTTAGGTATACATTTATTTCTTTGATTATTTCTTTAATATTTGTATTTTCTAACAGATGATAAGCTTTGTTGCAGGTAAAGTTTTTGCTACTGTACAACAAGTGCCTGGCACTAAATGCTCAGTTAGTGTTTGCCGAATGAAAAAATGAATTATGTGGATGAGAAGGCCACTCTGCACTTCTCCAAGATAACTCTTCAGAAAGACTTGGCTCTTTCTTTCCTGCCTGCTGGCCTCTTATGTGAATAGTAAACCTAGTACAGTCATGTATCACTTAAAAATGGGGATGCGTTCTGAGAAATGCATCGTTGTGTGGACCTCACAGAGTATATTTACACAAACCGAGATGGTACAGCCTGCTCACCCCTAGGCTATTTGGTATAGCCCATTTCTCCTAGCACCTGTACAGCATTATAGCGTACTGAGTACTGTGTATGTATACTGAGTACTGTAGGCAGTTGTAACACATGAAAAGCATTTGTGTATCTAAACATAGAAAAGGTAAAGTAAAAACACAGTATAAAAGAAAAAAATGGTACACTTGTATAGGGCAATTACCATGAATACAGCTTACAGGACTGGAAGCTGCTCTGGGTGAGTGGTGAGTGAGTGGTGAGTGAATGTAAAGGCCTAGGACATTACTGTATGCTAAAGTAGATCTTATAAACACTGTACAAGTAGGCTACACTAAATTTATATAAAAATATTTTTTTTCTATAATAAATTAACCATAGGTTACTGTAATGTTTTTACTTTACAAACTTTTTTTTATTTAGCATTTTGACTCTTTTTTGGTAACAGTTTAAAACACAAATACATTGTACAGGTACACAAATATATTTTTTTCTTTATATCTGTGTTCTATAAGCTTTTTTCTATTTTTAAAATTTTTTTCTTTTCATTATTTTACTTTTAAAACTTTTCTTAAAAATAAGACACAAACACACACATTAGCCTAGGTCTACACGGGGTCAGGATCATCAATATCACCATCTTCCACCTCCACGTCTTGTCCCACTGGAAGGTCTTCAGGGGCAAGAGCATACATGGAGCTGTCAACTCCTATGAAAACAATGCCTTCTTCTGGAATCCCTCCTGAAGGACCCATCTGAGGCTGTTTTACAGTTAACACTTTTTAAATATAAATAGAAAAATACACTGTAAAATGACATTTTAAAATGCAGTATAGTAAATACATAAAGCAGTAAAAGTTGTTTATCAAGGATTATGTATTGCTGTACATGATTGTATTGCTAGACTTTTATATGACTGGCAGCCCAGTAGCTTTGTTTACACCAGCAACGCCACAAACACAAGAGTAACACGTTGCACTATGATGTTAGGACAGCTATAACATCACTATGTGATAGGAATTTTTCAGTTCCCTTATAATCTTAGGGCACCTTGTCACAAATGTGGCCCGTCACTTACTTCAACAGCGTTATGCAGTGCAGGACCATAATTAAGCTGATATAGGCGTAGGATGGTCCCAATTTACACATGATTACACAAAACTCAGAAAGACTCTATGGACAGATGCCCAAAACTGTTAGCCTGGTTAGCATTTCCAAACCTTTCCAAAAGGCAGTCCCCACCAGGCAGGTATGCACATAATCTCACCAGTTTGAGTTATAATCACTCTGGCTGAAAATTACAATGAATTGTCTCAATTGACTGCTTAGAATCTCCTGGGAATCTTTTAAAACTCCCAATCCTAAGAGAGCACCTATGTGAAGTTAAGTGAGAATGTCTTTGGGTATGAACCAGATATCAGCAAATACGTAGTGAAGGTTGAGAACCATTGCTCTATCTCCAACTTTTCCAGTGACCTTCACACCATTCCTTTTTTTCCTTTTGACAGGAGGGATCTCCTGATAAACTAATGAGCACAGAGCCCAAGAAAAAACAGAGTAGAAGCAAGAGAATGGCGAGAGAGAAAACAGTTGGGCTGATGGGCAGCAAACACAACGGATTGTAGTAGTATGAGCAAAAATCTTGTGCACAATAATTTATTATAAAATAGAAGAACAGACTGCTTTGATTTGAATTCTATTGATCATAATAGACAAAATTTAACAGGAAAAAAGCATAGTTCTGTAATTTGGTGAAAAAAATCATCTTACACATATAGGATGAGGGAGAGCTGACTAAATGAACCAACATGGTGAAAATAAAGGAGTGTATTAGCTCAGGCTATAGAATGAGTACTATAGTACTATAGAATGGGTGATTTAATTAACAGAAGTATTTTGCACAGTTCTGGGAGCCAAAAGTCTAAGATCAGGGGGCCCTCATGGTCAATTTTTGATGAGGGCTGTCTTCCTGGTTTGTAGATGGCTACGTTTTTGCTATGTGCTCACACAGTCTTTCTCAGTGTCCTTAAAGAGAAGGAGTTTTGGTGTCTCTTCCTGTTCTTATAAAGGCACCTGCCTTCTCTAATTAGGGACCCACTCTTATGACCTTATTTAATTTTTATCACCTCCTCACAGGCCCTGTCTCCCTATACCATCACATTAAGGGTTAAGGTTTCAACATATGAATTTAGTGGGGAGAGGAACAAAATTCATCCCATAACAAGGTGATTTGGTTGAGACTGGGCAAACTATAAGTCAATGATGACTGCCAACATTTGTTTTTATGTGGATACAAATAAAAATGATAGTGATTATTTATGGAGGTCTACCATGGGGCAGGCACTGTAACACAGTATAATACATAATACATGGACTTTTATATATATGTATATATACATATATATACACATATATGTATATATACATATATATATGTGTGTATATATATATATACTTATTTAATGTATGGGGAGAGACTCATAGGATTGTCCAAAAAAAACCTCTGCAAGGTCACGAGAAGGGGAGTTTTCCATTTCCGGTAAGAGCTGATTGTATCCAAATTAACCTGCCATGTTACCAGCGTCCCATGTCCTCCAATAACCTGAAATTAATTTCTCAGAAAGTCACCAGGTACCATCAGCTAGGGCTCAGACAACTCTTTGCAGTTGGTGTCTAAACCCTGGTAATTGCCTGAGCTCTAGCTCGTATTTGCATTTGAAGAAGGTAGATGAGGAGGCAGGATCCCTCTCTGGGAACGCAAACCTGCCTATATCCTGCAACTTTTTCCAAATCTGTGCAGGTGTCCCCATGATATAGGACAGTGTGCCACTTCTGGATGAACTTTGGGTGGTCCATTTCCTCAAAAAATCCTCTTTCCCAAGCAAGTCTATTTTTAAATCCTATGCTTCTCAAATGTTTATGGACATATAAAATACCTGGAAGGTATTTCTGGAGGATTTCTGTAAAATGCAGATTCTAATTCAATCTGTTTGCAGGGTGCCTAAGCTTCTGCAACTTTTAAAAGCTCTAGGCGATGCCACTGCTGCTGAAACACGGGCCATGCTTTGAGTAATAAGTATGTTTTGAATAACATACTTTGAGATATGGTGATGTACTTGCCTTCTCTATCTTCCTATCACTCCTTTGATCCTGACAGCCATCTTCTGAGGATTCTTGTTTCTAATCCTAGCCATCATTTTGTGTATTAGAAAAATTAATGCCAAAAGAGACGATGGAATCATAGAATAAGAGACAGATACAAAAGTTTCAGTTATGTCTTTTGGAAAAGAGACAATGTACCTCTTTCTTCTTTCTCTCCCTTTACAGTTTCAGTGATATTATTTTGAAGAATTATAACTCACTTTATGATTATCCAAGCTATTTACTTTTGCACCAACCTATTAGCTCTGGGAAAACATGGAGAAAGATTCTGCATTTCGATATGAGCCACAACTCACCAATCAATTAACTGTCTTTCTTGGACCTAATTAGCTATAAGTTAGTGGGTGGCAGCTAGAACTGACTTCAGAAACAGTTAAGAAGCCACCAGTTGGGTAACGTTGGAAAATTTTATTTTCCTTTATTTTGATTTTTCTTAAACCCATGACACCTAGGACATAGAAGAATGAATAAAAGATTGAATAAATGTATTGATAAGTAAATGAGATTCTTGTGTTAGGCCCAAAGGTTCAATGGGTTATTCTTCTCTAGAAAAACCAGGAGATGATTAATCAGATAGATACATAGATAGATAGATAGATAGATAGATAGATAGATAGATAGATGACATATACACATACAAATGTATATATACATATATGAGTGTTTTTTACTGTTCAGTATCATATATTTTTATTTAAATTTATATATAATGTGTACAACAGACATATGCATGTATCATACAAAATAAGCATAAAGAAGCAAATACTTTTATGCTTTATGCATGTCCTTCAAATGAACTAATCAGCATCACTTCAAAATGATACCAAAACCACGTGATTCAAAAAAGAGATAAATTAAACTCATGAGCTGGTCTGTATTCTGCCCATTTAAAATAATTTACATGAGTTTCAAAGTGATATTGTAACCAGGTTCACTTCACTGAACCTATTTGCATATCTATCTGAATGCAAAGCACAGAAAGAAAGTGAATTGCTGTTTAGCTTTCTTCCCTGGAGTTCTCTGCATGATTCACCTCTTGCTGATGGGCATACCAAAGCCCCTAGGGAAGCATTTACAAAACGGGCTTACAAATTTGTTTATGTGTAATACCCTCTTCACCAAAACAACAAAAATCACCATGATCGTGCAACTAAAGCAACTCCTTCCATTAAATCTGCTGTTCCTACTCATTTTCCACTCTATTCTTATTTTGTACAGTTTTAATTTGAAATTATTATTCTATTTAACCCCTTAAAAGTTATTTTACATGTGTAACAAGACATCAACTGTTCATTAAGTACCTCTTCTAAGCTTGGCTCTATATGAGGCACTGGGTAGAACCAGATACAAGTTTTAATGAGTCATTTTCTCATTATTATAAGAATAAAATATATAAATATTAAAATTCTAAATAATATTAGAGGATATTATATTGATTCAGTTCACCCTCATTTCCAGCTCCAATGCTTCTAAGAGTTTTAGTCATTTGTAATTATTTCTTCTGTATCCCTCCAGGATACATTTATGTGCATGTGGCTGAGCTTCTGTAGTATACCCTTAAGTTATATGCATCTGTCTTTCTATATTTTCCAAGTAAACTTAATCTTCCAAAACAAACAAATATAACTTCTACACTTTTGGTGTTATCCTCAAAATAGTAAATAACATAGATTCTTGAATATCAGTGCCTGGCAATGTATTTGTTAACTCATCAGACCTTCATATCCTATTCCCGTGAACCCATTCTGGTTTGGGTATTTAACTCTGTGTATGACTTTTTCTCTCAACTCCTACTACATTAATCAAACTGTAATTTAAACATCTGAATCAACTTACTTATTTCTGAAATATTGGGCTCCTTTTAAAAAGGATTACTCTGCAATTTCTCTATTTTATAATTCTACTGTGTTTTACTGGCTTTACTTGAAAGAAAGGCATTTGATATACAGGTCTATTCGATATTTCACCAATCACACTGTCAGTTACTGTAGGCTTATATAGGAAGTCTTGAATTCAGTTAATGTGAGTTTTCCATTTTGTCGTTGTTTACTAATATGGTTTTGGCTATTCGAAGACTTTTCATTTTCATAAACATTTTAGAATCATCTTGTTAATTTCTATGTAAAATCCTCCAGGGATTTTTACTGAGATTGCAAAAAATCTATAAATTTGGGGAAATTAAAATAAAAATAATATTGAGTTTCCTGACTCATTAACATCATTTTATATCTCCATTTATGTACATCTTCTTTAATTTCTCTCAATAACACTTTTTAGTTTATAATGTAGAGGTTGTATACATATTTTTGATATTTTATCTCCCAGGTTTTCATATTTCTATGTTATTGTAAGTGGCACTGAATTGTGTAATACTATTTTCCAATTATTCATCAGTAGTATATAAAATACAGTTGGATTTTGACTTTGTTTTGCTATTTTGCTAAGCTAACTTGTTGGTTCTAGTAGATATTGTACAATCTTTAGGATTTTGTACATAAATAATTATGTTTCCTATGAATAAAGACAGTTTCATTTCCTTTCCAATATGTATAATTCTTTTTTATCTTACTTTATTATACTGGTAGAATCTCTATAAAAATGTTGAATGGAAGTGGTAAGAGCAAACATCCTTCCCCTTTTCCTGATCTTAGGAATAAAACATTCAATTCTTTATTAAGTAATATTAGCTGTAGATTTTTTCATAGATGCCCTTTATCAGTTTTAGGAAATTCTCTCCTATTTGTTTTTTGTTTGTTTGTTTGTTTTTCGTTTTGAGACTAAGTCTTGCTCTGTCACTCAGGCTGGAGTGCAGTGGTGCGATCTCAGCTCACTGCAACCTTTGCCTCCTGGGTTCAAGCGATTCTCCTGCCTCAGCCTCCTGAATAGCTGGGACTACAGGCAGGTGCCACCATGCCAGGCTAATTGTTTTTGTATTTTTAGTAGAGACGGGGTTTCACTATGTTGGCCAGGCTGGTCTTGAACTCCTGACCTCATGATCTGCCTGCCGCGGCCTCCCAACGTGCGGGGATTACAGGCATGAGCCACCATGCCCAGCCTCCTATTTCTGTTTTTTTGGAGGGTTTTATTATGAGTGAATGTTGAATTTTGTCTCATGCTATTTCTGTACCTATTTAGATAATCATATACTTTTTTCTTTTTTAAGTATGATATTATGATGAATTACATAACATGATTCTTACATGTTCATAAAAGCCTGCATTCTTTGTAATTATTTTCTTATCATTTCCATCTTTCTCTTTGTCTCAGTTTAATTTGTTCTGCTTTTTCAAGCTCCTGCACAGTGAATCTTAGTTATTTTAGACTTTTATTCTTTTCTAATATAAGCATTTAGTACTGTAAATTTCTCTCCAAGCACTTCAGCTTTATCCTATAAATATTTTTTTTGATATATTTGGTTTTCATTTTCATCTGATCAAAACATCTTTTTATTTTCTTTCTGATACCTTATTTGATCCATGGGTTATTTAAAAGTATATGGTTATACTGCAATTGCCTAGGAATTTTCTATTTATCTGTCTGTTGATTTTTAGTCTTATTCCATTGTGTTCAGAAAACTTTGTCTGATTTCAATTATTTTAAATGTACTGAGTCTCAATTTTTGCCACAGTTTATGATCTTGATAAACTTTCCAAGTGTACTTTCAAATAATGTGTGTTTGTCTGCTGTTTAGTGAAGTTTTCTGTAAATATCCATTAGATCAGGTTGGCTTTTGTTTACTGGTTCTATCAAATACTAAAATGATAACGGTTGAAATCTGTAACTCTAATTATGGATTTTTATATTTCTTTTTTCAGTTCTACTTCTGGCTTACAGATTTTTGAAGGTAGTTTATTAGATGCATGCATCTTAAGTCTGTTTATGTTCTCCTGATGATTTTACCCTTTTATCATCATGAAATAATCCTCTTTGAGTCATTCATATTGCTTGGTTTGGAATGTACTTAGTCTGATATTAATATAGTTACTTCAGCTTCCGCTCATGATTGTTTTAATAGTATATATTTTCCATTCTTTTACTTTTAACTTATTTGAGCCTTTAATAAAGTGTTTCTTTTAAACAAAATTATGTCCTGCTTTTTTATGCAATCTGAAAATCTCTGCCTTTTATTCTGAGTGTTTACTTCATTTACTTCTTATTTAACAACTTTATTAAATATAATTTAGATACAATACATTAACCAATTTGAAATGTACAATTCAATGAGTTTTCATAAACTCACGAGGTTCCATAATCCAGTTTTCAAATGTTTACATCACATAAAATCCTTTATGCCCATTTACAATTAATTCTTATTTCTATGCCCAGACCAAGACAACCACCAATATACTTCTGTCCTTATAGATTCTTCTTTTCTAAGGATTTCAAATAAATTGAAACCTATGTGTATTTTGTGTGGTGGTCTCCCTTCCTTCCTTCCTTCCTTCCTTCCTTCCTTCCTTCCTTCCTTCCCTCTCCTCCTCCTCCCTTCTTCCTTCCTTCCTGCCTGCCTGCCTTCCTTTCCTCCTCCTCCTCCTCCTCCTCCCTTCTTCCTTCCTGTCCGCTTGCCTTCCTTTCCTCCTCCTCCTCCTCCTCCTTCTTCACTTAGCTTAATGGTTTTGAAGTTCATCCATGATAAAGCACGTATCAATATTCATTCTTTCTCTTTTTTACTAGTATCCCACTTCATTGATATGCCACATTTGCTTAACCATGTACCAGTTAATGGATGTGTTGGGCCATTTAGATGTAACTATTGTAATATAAACACTCAATTTCAAGTCTCTGTGTAGACATAGATTTTCATTTATCTTGGATGTACTTAGGAGTGGTATTGCTTTGTCTTCTTCTAAAGTGTATTAAACTTTTTTAAAAAAAAAAACTGCTAAATCGTCTTCCAAAGTGGCTGTTTTTACATTCACACCAGCAATTTAGAGTCACATTTCTCTAAATTCTCATCAATATTTGGTATTGTTAGTCTTTGTAATGAAACTCATTCTGGTGAGTATGAAATGGTATATCATTGTGATTTATTTATTTTTTCTAGAGACAGGGTCTTGCTGTGTCATCCAGACTGGAGTGCAGTGGTGTGATCATATCTCACAGCAGCCTTAAACTCCTGGGCTCAAGTGATCCTCCCACCTCAGCCTCCCAAGTAGCTGGGACTACTTGGGAATATCTTCTTTGGAACGTGACACCACACCTAGCTAATTAAAAAAAAAATATTGGTAGAGACAGGGTCTTGCCATCTTGTCCAGTTTGTTCTGGAACTCCTGGACTCAAGCGATCCTCCAGCCTCAGCCTCTCAAAGTTTTAGAATTACAGGTATGAGCCACCTCAGCAGCCTCCTTGTGATTTTAATTTGCATTTCCCTAATGACTAATGTTGTCAGTAATCTTCTCGTATGCTTATTAGCCATATCTTCATTGGTAAAGTCTCTATTTAAATCTTTGTCCATTTTGTCAGTTGGGTTGTCTTCTTATAATTGCATTGTAGGAATTTCCATTTACTTTTAATATCATTATTAATGTAATTGAGTCTGAATCTACTTTCTTGGGATGTTTCTTTTGTTTGCCTCTTTTGTTCTTCCTTACTTTTTTTCTATTCTGCCTTTCATTGCACTGCATTTTCTTTTCTTTTTTATTGAGACGGAGTCTCGCTCTGTCACCCAGGCTGGAGTACAATGGCGCTATCTGGGCTCACTGCAACCTCCACCTCCTGGGTTCAAGCAATTCTCCTGCCTCTTGAGTAGCTTGGATTACAGGTGGCCGCCACCACGCCCAGCTAATTTTTGTATTTTTAGTAGAGAAGGGGCCACGCTGTGGCCAGTATTTTGGCCACGCTGGTCTCAAAGTCCTGACCTCGGGTGATTCGCCTGCCTCAGCTTCCCAAAGTGCTGGGATTACAGGCATGAGCCACTGCGCCTGGCCGCGTTCTCTTAAATTCTATCCTATCTCCACCAGTGGTATACTATCTATAACTCTGTTTTATTTTTATGTGATTGTTCCAGAGTTTAAATCCTATCTGATTACATTTTAACTTTAAATAATATTAGATCACTTCATATATAGTACAAGAACGCTACACCAGTCTAGTTCCATTTTCCCCTCCCAGCCTTTGTGCTATTGTTGTCACACATTTTGCATCTATAAACACCCAATATATAGCTATTTTTATTTTTCTGTAAGCAGTCAACTACCTTTTAAATAAATTAAAAATGAAATAAAATCTCTTCTATGTTTGCCTACATATTTATTATTTCTAGTGACTGCTATCCCTTTATGTACATTCATATTTCCATTCAGTATCATTTTGTTTTCTACCTGAAAACAAAAGGAAGAGCTTCCTTTAACATTTCTTGATATGCTGGCCTACTAATGATAAATTCTCTCAGCTTTGTGTACCTGAAAAAGTCTTTTGCTTTTTAATTAGAAAAAAATCATTAGTGTTGCAATGAAGAACAGGAAAATAAATGAACTATACAAGAAATAAAATACTGAATTGAGATAGAATTCTAGGTTGACAAATATTTTTAAATTTTAGTACTTTAAGAATGTCACTCTTTTGTCTTATAGCTTACATCATTTTTAATAATTCTATTGTTACTATTTTTGTTAACTTTTAAAATGTTCTCTTTATACTTAATTATTAACAATTTGCTTACAATGTACCTTGATACGGCTTTCTATATTTCCTCTACTTGAGGTTCACTGACTTTCTTGGATTTGTGGGTTTATTGTTTTCAGCAAATTTGAAATATTTCTAAATGATGATTTTTTTTTTCTGCTTCCTCCCTCCACTTTCTTATGTCCTTCTGGGATATTAATTGTACTTATATTATACTCAATGCTTATTATTTTCCCACAGCTCATTGAGACTATTTTCTTTTTTTTTTAACCATTCTTTATTTGTGCTTCACTCTGGGCTGTATCATTTGCTATGCCATCAAGTTCAATGATATTTTTTGTAGAATCTAATCCGCTATTAATCCCATCTGATAGTGTTTTTTTTTTCATTTCATATACTATACTTTTATTTCTGAAAGTCCTATTTTGTCTTTTGTAAAATATCCATTCTATTTTCAAGATGTTCAATTTTTCTCTATTACATAGCATATTTTAAATCACTGTGTTTTTTTTTATCCTTGTTGAATAACACCATCAACTCTGGCATTTGGGGTGTGTTTTTATTGATTCTTTTTCCTGGTCATTTGTCATATCATCATTCATCTTTGCATGCCTGGTAATTTTTTATTGTTTACCAAACATTGTGAAAATTATGTTTCTTGTATGCTGCTGGGTTTTTCTGCATTTTAAAAAATATGGTTTGACTTTATTCTGGCCATGCAGTTAACTTACTTGTGAGTCAATTTGATCCTTTATGTCATGCTTTTACATTTTACTAGGGCAAATCTAGAGCTGCCTATGTAATATAGCCCAACTACTAAAACCCTTCTGAAAATTCTGCTAGAAGTCCTATGTATTAGAAGATCTTTCCACTCTGATTACTGGAGACCTGAATTGTTCCCAGACTTATAATAGCTCCAGGAATTATCCAGCTTACAGATTTCTTGTGACGATGTCCCTGGGCTTGGATGGTTTCCTCATACGCATGTGCAGCTCTGTATTCAGCCAGAAGGAAACCCTTCTAGAGATATCCAGAGGGCCCACTCTCTCTCTCTGTCTCTCTCCACCTCTTTTATCTCTGGTATTCTGCCCCAAATTTTAGCCATTGTGGCTTCCTCAAACTTTGTTCTCTAGTTCACTGACTTAGGAAGAATACAAAGTTGTTTGAATTCCCTCTCCATGCACTCTGGCCTAGAAATTGCTTCCAAGATAATAGTTATTGGAATCGCCTGGTTTGTTTTTCTTCTCTCAAGGATTCCAGTCCTATGCTGACTGCTGTCCAATGTCTAATCTTTGGATTTTGGCGTATTTTGTCTGGTTTTCTTGTTTAAAGATGTAGATTAAATCTGGTCCCTAGCTAGAAACTGAAATCCTCTGTTTCATCTCTTTAATTTTTCTTTGCTGATAGATTTTTAAATGCCAGACCTCCTTGTATTTTATTTTAACATGTTTCATGTGCATCTTCTTTAAAAATGTCTACATTTTCTTACATAATCACAATTTCATTTTTATGCTACAAAAATTAACAATAATTCTTCGGTTTATCTACCACTTAGCCATAAGCAAATTACTCCAGTTTTGTTCAAAATGTCTGTTTATAATTGAGTTGTTTGAATCAGGATCCAAACGAGATTTACACAATTTACTTTGTCATCTTTTCTTTCTTCTTTTTCCACTAGTCATTGACTTGTTTGAAAAAAAAATTTCCATATCCTGGGTGCATCTATTTTCTTTCCTGTGACAGTATTTAGCTTATTTATCTAAATGAAAGTTAGCTCTAGAGGTTTGATTAGATAAGGTATATTTATAAATGTTTCATATGTATTATTTTATTTTCTGAAGTATATGTACTTTACATTGTATCACATCACAAGGCACATAATATCTGATTGTCTTATTTTTATTATACTAACATTAATCAATTGCTTTAGATTGTGACAGTATAATTCTACCATGATATATTTTCCCATCTACCATCTATTTTGTGGATTCATCCATTGATAACCACTGCATGAATTAATTCTTCCATTATGAGTTACACAGTGACAATTTTCTAGTTCTATTATTTCTTTCACATTTATTAGCTGTAATTCTGCAGGTAACTTTCTTTTGTTAGCTAGATTTGGTGTCTCTGACATATAGTTCATAGAGGAAGATCTCAATACATTTTTAAGTTTTTCTCTTTAATTGCTAATTTTCAGAGTAAGGATTTACTCCCTTCTTCACTTTCAGTGATGTCTAATGAAATGAGTATGCAAAAACAGTATTAACAAAGCAGATCTGAGACTGCATATCTTTACAAAGTGCTGCTTAAAAGATCGGCTTTTGGCTGGCATCTGGGAACTTAGAAGTCAGAAGGACTCCTAACAATGCCAGAACTGATAAGGGTGGCTCATTGTACGTAAATTTGTTTGTCGAAACAATGTGGTTTGTGCTGAATACCTGCCTTCCTGTGCCTGGAATTTTGGTGCATGCTAGGCAGATCGTTCCTATGTGACCAGCCTCCAATTAAAACCTTGGGCACTGAGTCTCTAACAAGGTTCCCTGACAGACAACTCTTCACGTTTTGTTATACCTCATTGTGGGGAGCACTAAACGCACTGTGTGTGACTCCACAGAGAAAGAGCTCCTGGAAACTTGAGCTTGGTTTCCCCTGGACTTTACTGCATGTGCCTTTTCCTGCTTATTTTGCTTTGTATTCTTTGACTGTAATCAATTTTAGTCATGATTACACTACATGCTGAATCTTGTAAGTACTCCTAGTGAATCATTGAACATGGGAATGGTCTTGGGGAGTCCTCACACAGTGAACTTGTTTGGATTTGTGGCTTTTTTGTCATTTTTTCCTCTTAGTATTGTTATAATTAATAGGCTTTAATATAATAAACATGTTTCAATAAGTTTTTTTCATTATTCTTTTTTGAAGCAAAATTGTCTCAACTTTGGCAAATAGTAGCTCTTTCATGTTTTTTCTCTTGATGCAACACAGTCATAGTTATCTTACTTTCAGGCACAATATGGCCCAGGCTAATCTTGAAAACATTCTATCCCAGATCTGAAATAAGCCATTCCTGCAAGTAAATAATACTGAAAACAATATTTAAGCTGCAATCTGAGCACTAAGTATGCTCTTGTTAATTAATGGTTATTAATATTTTCATCCTTTTAAGTGGACAGAGCTAGGAAATATACGAGTTGTGAAATGAAAAAAAAAAGAGTCCACCTGATAATCTCAATTAAAATTGTATACTATGAGATTTCTACTTATTTGATTTTCTACTTCTATCTCTCTTCTATTACATTGAAAATTGTGATTACTGATGTTAAAATAATTACATATTTATATCCTACAATAGATATAAGAGTTTTGAAATAATACCAATGTTGTTACTAACAACGAAAAAACGGAATAATTTAGTTGCAAAATGTGTTTGCAACTATATTCATCCTTAGAATACATCACACTAAATATATATAGTCAAAATATTGTTTCTAAATCAACCAGATATAATTTTTTCTCTCTGCAGTAATGTCATCAACTTAATATGTAGTTAAGTTCATTTATTTTAGTTTTGAATTTGTAGGAATTACTCTACTGTATCTTTTTTATTTAATTTTTAAAATGTAAAGCTTTCATTAGTTTCAAATGTCAATGTTATTTCACAAGGTATTTTCACAGAAATCTTGCTTTTATACCTGTTTTCTTTGCTGAATGTTTTATTATATAAATATACATACATATACACAAGCGGCTATATATTATATATACCCTTCTGAATCTTACTTTTTTTACTTGCTAATACATCCTGGAAGTTACTCCATATCAGCTTATAATAGAGAGCTTCCTCATTCCTTTTTACAGTGACACGGCATTCCATTGTGTGAATGGATTACTTTGTATTCAACAAGAACTTATTAATGGGCATCTGGAATGTTTCTAAGCTTTTTGCTTAAAACATCATTTTTAATGTGTAAGTTATACGAATGTAATACAAGTGATTTAGCTAACCTCATACTTGCAAATATTTATTTCCCATATTTTATCATTACAATAAAAAATACTCTAGAGGGAATCTTTTCACAAAAATCCATAAATAAATCCTGAATTATTTTCTTAGAACAAACTTCTGGAAGTGGAATTTCTGGGTCAAAATCTTTGAACTTATTTAATGTTTTATGCCCATTGGTTTGAAGCCTATTTAGACAGCTCTGACATATAGTAATCCTGATACTAATTCCCAATTTGATCATTCAGTAACATAATTCTGTCATCCTAAATATAGAGTTTTTTCTAATCTAAAACTTATAGACATCAAAAAGTTGAATTTAAAATAGTAATAGAAACTATTTTAATATATGAATATATTCTCCACTACGGGAATACCTGCGACATGAAGGTAAGTTTGATCTGTCAAACCTACTGAACAAGGCTTTCATTGAAGGTGGCATACAATGAATTTTATCCACATAGATTGCTCTAATTTAAGTTGTTAGTGGAGTGTAAGTTGAGTATTTGCTTTGAGTTTTAAGGACAAGTTTTTTTTCTATTGCTTTATTTTTAAATATGTCCTTTTGCACATAGTATGCAAATGTAGAAAATTTTGAAGCCATTGCCAAGTTCCTTAGAAACCTACAAATTTGACATTGCTGAAAAGATAATGTGCTCTACAGTGTTCTCATTGAGAAGCTGCCAATAGGCACAAGGTTACCGACTCTGAGTCAAAAGAAGAAACTCAAGAAGGAAAGGAGTTGGGATCGTCGTCCTTCCTCTAGATAAGCATATAGACCTTGAATAATTTTTCTTGAAGAAATACTTCCTGAGAAACATACAACATTGAGGAATTAACTCTAGAAGATTCCACGGAAAGCCACTTCTACAAGAATCCCTAGGGAAAATATATTTGACCAGTTTATGTTTTGATTCTGACCAAGGAAGCAAATAATGAACCAAGTGCATACCTAGGGATGTACTTACCACATAACAGATTATGTTCATGTGAGGACTGCTTGTATAAAGCTAAAATTCCTGCTAATTACCAAATACAAATTCAACAGAACAGAAATCCTCGACTAACAGAAACCATTAATGCCCAACATTCCAGAAAACTATCTGGATGGACAGAGAGAAAAATAATTCTGATAAGATGAAGAATCTGGAGATAAAAGTTCTATGCCATAGTCAGGAAAGTAAAATATCTTATAGTACCAGATATAAATTCAGTGACTGACATTACACAATATCAATGACTGACACCAATCAGACTATAGGGAGTGATGGGTAAGATGACACATTACTGAGTGCTCTCCCATCTAAAGATACTAGTGGCTACTCAGGGGCAGCTAACAGTTGCCACTAAGGAATTTGGGCCCAGTATCACCATATTGTCTGATTTTATTAAGAAAAGTCAGAATTTGTATGAAAAAATCAGACAGTTACATGTACAACAAATTTTTTAATTTAAAAAAAATCTATATAGGCCAATCAAAACAGGTCTGCAGGCCCCTAATTTGTTATCTCTGTAATTGTCCTCAGGTTACGGGGCCTTAGGAATATCAATGACTGACACCCATCAGACTATAGGGAGTGATGGGTAAGATGACACACTAATGAGTGCTCTCCCATCTAAAAATGCTAGTGGCTACACAGGGGCACCTAATAGTTGCCACTGAAGAATTTGGGCACAGTATCACCATACTGTCTGATGATATTAAGAAAAGTCAGAAAATTTTGTAAGAAAAAAAATCAGACAGTTATGTTTACAACAAATTTTTTAATTAAAAAAATCTATGTAGGCCAATCAAAACAGGTCTGCAGGCCCCTAATTTGTTATTTCTGTAATTGTCCTCAGGTTACTGGGCCTTAGGAATCTGGTTATTACTATTGGGCCTTACCATCCCCTTACCCAAGAGGAGTCACTGTTCAAGTACAATGAACTTTACCAGAGAAGTCCATCTATTTCTTTTAGGGCAATATATAGTTCTTACTGACTTTGAATTGCACAAGTTCTGTTACCTCCTAAGTTAACAATGTCAGTTCAAAATACCCTTCAAATATCGTTTATTTTATAAAAACTGTAAAGCTAAAATAGGACTATAGCTTGCCAAGTTTCAAACTAGTTCACAGTGATGGAATTCAAGCTTTTCTCATCTTGTTAATGAAAATGGCACACTGAGCATTTCACGTCTTCAGCATTTTATGCAAAGATGCTGATGTAGCCCCTGGAAATAAAAGACTCATCCCCCAAATAATTAGTTGATTAATCTTCTCACTGAGATGACCAGATATTTTGGTGCTGTACATAAAATATTACTTGCAAGATCACAGGCTGGAGTTGATAAAATATCATGTGGCATAGTATTAAATTTATTTCCATTCCTTTTTCAAAGGCAGTAACTAATGCCTTTTACTACTAATTTTAATCCTAGAGAACTTTTTCTTCCACATAAAACATCCATGCCCCTTCTTCCATCACTCTGCCTCTCACCACTCCCATTCCACCAACATGATTTTATTAGTATGAGGGAATTCAAAGTTAGAAAACATTGTAGATTATCCTGGTCAAATCTATCATTCAGTGAAGAATTAATGCTATGGAACCCCCAACAAATGACCATTTAGTCTATGCTTAAATAGCTGGTGAATTTCATCTAGGGCCTAAGAATTCTGGCTAGTACGGAGAACTGGAAAACTGTGTCTTGGAATTCTCTCACCCCCTACCCCATCTCAAGTACATACATAATAAAGTGAAACATACCTGCTATTAACTCTCACCTATCATATTCTGCTCTCTTGTTAGTAATCCTCAGCACCAACAAACACCCAACAGACTGGTGTCCCAAGCACCAGTCGTGACTCACAAGTATCTGATTATTTAAAGCAGTGAAATATCACATTTGGCACCTCTCCTGAGAGGCAGCTGCTGTGCTTAGCTGGTGTGTGAGCAGTTGGTGGGTCCTGCCCACTGGCAGGCCAAGTCAAAAATAGTGCCCACGTCAACAGTCAAAACCACACATTTCACTGAAATTCCAGAATTTGTGGGGCTAACTTGGCCAAAACAAGGAGACAGAAACCTGTATGAAAGTCAAGGCAAATAACCTTCCTAGATTGCTGGCCTATCTGTCCTCAAAGGAGAGTACAAATTACTGACTTTGTGGAATTGGTCTGAATTGCTTGAGTTTGTGATAAAATGCATCACCATTAGAAATCAGATGAGTTAACTATGGATAATTTCAAAATAAAAACAAAAAAATATTTCAATTATTTAAAGGAAAATATATTTTGTTGTGGGATATGGGTGCATTTTGAAATTTGATGTAATGTGGTACAGGATCTCTAATAGTACAGGTAAATGACTAGGGCTTCTAGAGCTCATAAAACAATGTTCTCAAAGCTGTCTTCATTTCTCCTATTTGTGCTCACGGCTCAGTTACTACTTTGGTCAGTTACATATTTTGAAAATATCTTCCAGTTAATGTCTTTCCACTTTTTTTTTCAGTAAATTTACATGAAAAAGAAGTACTTCATTTAATGCATTTGGTTTTATTAATTTTTTCTTACACATTTTGTTTCTTGTGTATTTTAAAAACTATTTCCCATCATGAGATTTTTTTAAATTTAATTTTATTTTAAGTTCTAGGACACAGGTGCGGGATGTGCAGGTTCGTTACATAGGTAAACGTGTGCCATGGTGGTTTGCTGCACCTATCAATCTATCACCTAGATATTAAGCCCTGCATGTATTAGCTGTTTTCTTCTAAAAGGCTTACAGCTTTGCCTTTCAGAAATAAGGCTTTAACATACCCAAAATTATTGTATATATATGTGGTGTGAGGTAAGAATCTATTATCTCTTTTTTTCTAGCATGAAAACAGATGGCTGGCATTGATCTTTTCACTTATCTGTAATACTAAGTCTTTTGCAAATCAAGAGTTCACAAATGTAGATTCTGTTTCAGGGCTCTTGACCCATCTTCATGAGTCAATTTGTCTACCAAGCATAAATATCACTGCATTAAATCTGTAACTGTAAAGTAAGTCCTGATATCTTTGTAAAGCAAGTTTCTACATTAGATTCTTATTCAGCAATGTTTTGGCCATATTTTCCCCCTAGATTTTTAGAATCAACTTGTCAAGATTCTCAAAAACCTCCTAGCTTAATTTGTAGATAACAGGTGTCTTTATGACACTGAGTTTTCCAGTCCACTAGCATATTACATCTCTTCATTTATTTAATTTTTTCCTCATGGCTTTCAAACAGTTTTGTAATTTTTTTCTATAAAGGTCTTACGCAGTTTTGTTAGTTTTATTTCTAGGTACCCTTATGCTTTGTGCTATCATGAATATTATCACTTTAAAATTATATTTATGTTTATTGATGATATATAAAAATTCAATTAAATTCTTTTATATCTTATAGCCAGTCACATTGATAAAATCTCTTATTAATTATAACAATGGGGTGAAGACATTTTAGTTTTTTAATTTAGGCAATCATTATCTGCAGATAATGATGATTTGCTGCTTCTTTTCTTTGTGTATTTTATTATTTTGCTTTTTTAGTATGCTGGCTGCACTTAATACACTAAAACACAGAAAATAATGTTAAATAGAGGCCGTTATGTTGGTCCATACTTATCTTGTTCCCAATTTTACAGATAATTTTTCAAGAACAGTAATATATTTTTAAAACATTTCCAAAGATACATTTTTCAGGTTAAGAAGGTTTTCTTCTATTCCTACTTCAAAAATATTTATAATAAATGGTAGAGTGTTGAATTTTATCGAATTTCTTTTCCATGTTTTGAAAAAATATAGTACATCTAATTTAGTACATCTAAATATAGTACATCTAATTTATAGACAGCTTAAGACATAAACTACTCTTGAACTTCTGGGGCAAAAACACAATTTATAAAAGATGTGATCTTTCTATTCATAGCTATTTGGTTTGCTAATGTTTTACTCAGGATTTGCACATCCATGATTTCGAGTAAGATGGCCTATGACTTTCTTTTCTAGGTGCCCTTGTGTGGTTTTGTCATTAAGGTAATACTAGCTTCCTAAAGTAAATTGAAGAAACATAATTTTATTTTCTATTTTTAGAAGAGATATAATAGTAAAATTATCCCTCAAAAGTTTAGTAAAATTTTTTGGGAATCACTCACTAGTTTTTCCTCTTTGTGAAAATAATTTAAATTACTCAATTTCTTTAATGGTTACAGAAGTAGTCATACTTTCTATTTTCTCTGTAGTCAGTTTGAATAAATTACTTTTTTCTAAACATTTGTATATTTCATTGTTTTCAAATCTGTTGACACAAAGTTATCCATGGTATTTTCTAACTTCCTTTTGAATCTCTTCTGTATCTGTAATTATAATTTTTTTTCTATCCCTAATATTGGATATATATGCCTTCTGCTTTGTTTTTGATCAGTCTCACCAGTTGCCTATTTTATTAATATTTTCAAAGAACAACTTTTGGTTTTGTTATTCCCACTACTTTATCTTTGATTTCCTTTATTAATTTCTGTTTCTAATATAATTATAATCTTTCTTTTACATTCTCTTGAGTATATTCTGTGTTCTTTAACTCTCTTAAGATGAATACTTAGCTCATTTAATTTTAACATCTTCTTTCACAGTAGTAAAAGAAGCCAAACTAGAATTTCTGACTAATAAGAATTACATATATTTCCATATCATGTTTCTATAGTTGCAGAAGTCCTAAAATATCATTTACATTTATATCTACTTTAAAATTATAGTGATTAGATGTTATTTAACGTATTAATAAAGAAGCACATATATTACAATTTTTAAAAATGATTTAATACCTATATTCCTATGTAATTGGTTTTATTCGTACTTTCATTTTTTTAATTTTATGCATCAAGGATCACTAGTATGTGAAGGAACCGATATGATTTGTCAGATTTCCATAAAAGAAAAAGAAGTTAAAAAACACTTAGTAAAGCTTAATGCAGGATTCTCAGATTTAGCTTCCTCACTTTGCCAAAATCTCTAGACACTAGTGTCTGTCTCATCTTCTTCCATGTAATCATACTTTACCATGCCCTGGTTTGCTTTCTTTTTTACAACTTACTTCTCTCTACTGTATTCAACTCACTGGGTTTTATTTTGTTTGTTTATTTTTGCCCTTTGGTATTTTTCTTACTTTCTAGCAAATCCAATAAGGCATTAAATATTATATTTGTGGTAATTTTCAAAGATCTCATTGTATTTCAGCAACAGGATATCTCAGACTATGTAGACAGTTAACCTGCTGGAAATAGAATTCTTGTCTAGGATTTTCCAACTTTTGCTTAAGCTAGGTTGGGAAAAAGATCTACCATAATTTATTTATAATTCTGACTTTCAGATTTATATTCAAAAAAGGTTCTGTTCCTTGAAGAGCAATCGTCCCCAGTGTGAGTTTATGTATCTTACATATCTAGCTCCAAACCATTCTTTCCTAGTGGCAAAATTCAAAAATTTAAATCTGGAAAACTAGTCCTCAAGTTTTTTTTTTTCTCTTTCTTTTTTTTTTATTATTATTATACTTTAAGTTTTAGGGTACATGTGCACAATGTGCCGGTTAGTTACATATGTATACATGTACCATGCTGATGTTTTAAGCATCTATTGCTGTCACCTATTTTGATAGGGACATATACAACATTCTCTCTCATGAAATAGGATTTAAATGACTATCACAGGCCATTCATGAAGCACAGTGCCTTGATCCTCCCTCTGGGCCTTGTCACCCTCATTCTTTCTCTGCTCCCTCAGCCCTTACAGCCCAGGCTTTAATATGACTCCTAAACTGACATTATCATCACCTAGTCAGTGCCTTACCTTCAAATTTTCTTTTAGAATGTCACACGATGACCAGCAATCAAAAGAATTCTGATTGCTATAATATTCATATTATGAATATGTAATATTTATAATATATATAATATATATGTGTGTGTGTGAAAGGTGCCACCTATTTTGCTGATTTATATTAAAGCTATTTCCTAAATAATATCAAGGCTATAACCTGAATTCTATCAAGGCTAATGAGAGGGGCAATATTAGAACCATAATTTTCTTCTACTTTTCTTTCAAATAATTCCGTACTCGGTTGCTCTTATTTATGTTTCTCTAGCTGTACATGAGCAAGATTATCTCAAACACCTTTATCAGCATTAGTTATTATTGTTCAATTTAGGTTTTTCCAATCCAATAGGCAAAACTTATGACTATGACTTAACTTATGACTAGTGATGTTAAATTTTTATATGTGCTTTTACAAAAGCTGACTGAGTTATTCTAAAGTGAACTCATTGTCCTTTCAAAATGGACTCAATCTTCCAAACTTAGTCCAGATTGTGCTTACTGCAATAATTAACTGTTTGTTTTCATATAATCTTTTTAGATGAACTTTAGGAAGTAATTATTTTCAAAGGCAGTTAGATCCAATCCTCGTTGCCTTACTGCTCCAATTAATACATCATTTCTAATTCATTTACCTCAGTTATCCAGGGATTAAATTATATAACGAAACTGAATGATTTGAGGTACCTAAATAATGGCATCAACTCTTTTTTGGGTATAAATACAGCCTGAGGATATTTTTATAAGATTTCAAAAAGCCATTTGATTCAGTCACAGCTTCAAACATTTATAGATTTTAGAAGAAAGGTCGTTAGAGTCAAATCCAGCCCTCTTATTTTGTAAATCTGAGAATTAGGATCCAGAAAGGAAGGCTGAGTTATCAATATCACACAGAAAGTGGTAAATCTAGGATTAGAACCCAGGTGGCCTGACACCTTTTCTACTGATTTATACCCATTTTGCGACTCTACAAATGTTTCCATTTTTGGAAAAGGATTTATGACAAATAACACACTTTATATATTCAGATAGACCTTTGTATGGAGACTCTAGAGGCTACCAAATTTTCTCTGACTAAGGATATCAATCCATTGGGATAGGAGGAGTATTTAAACCCACATGGAATGTGGGGTTTTTTTTTTTTTTACAGTTTTAAACTATTCAAAAATAATCAGGCTATATCCCACTGAGGAAGCGTGTTAGATAACCAGCAATAGATGATATTTCTGGAATTGTTCTTTAAAGATATTTCAGTGACACTTCAAGAAAAAAGAGCATGGCTAGAGTTAGGACTCAATAAGTTACTTTTTTTTAATATAGCGTCAAGCTGAACATGGAACTTAGTCCCTATATCAATTTCTACTTGAAAATCCAACCTACGCAAATAATTTTACTTAGGTAAAATTTTAACCAAAGACAGTTCTCTCTGTAAGAGCAATTCTAATGCCAGCTGTTGAGATAACAACATTTTCTACTATATTATACAATAAAAAGAGGGTGCTAGAAGGATTTAGTGTACACACAGAGTTCCCACAGCACTTATTTCACAATCTCTCAACTCTAGTTATCTTCTTCTATTTCTCTAAGTTCATTCCATTTCTGAACAGGTATTTCTCTCCTTATGAAAGTGACATTCTCATGCTAGTTCTACTGAAATCTCACCTTGTTCTTAGCCAAAGGTTTGTTTTTTGTATTGTTTTGTTTTGTCTTTTTAGCCTTTTTCTCCTTTCCTTCAATTTCCTATCTAGCCCCAAATGGCCACCAGCCCTTTGCCTAGCTGTTCTAAACAAAGGAAGAGTTAATCCAGTAATCTTCAACTTTTACAGAATTCTGCGGGGAAAAAAATCTTTTTTTTTTTTTTTTTTTTTTTTGAGACAGGGTCCTGCTCTGTCACTCAGGCTAGATAGCAATGGTAGAGTACAGTGCTGCGATCTTGGTTCACTGCAGCCTCTGTCTCCCAAGCTCAAGCTATTCTCCCACCTCAGCCTCCCAAGTAGCTGGGACCACAGGCACGTGCTACCATGCCCGGCTAATTTTTGTATTTTTTTTAACATGGTGTCTTGCTATGTTGCCCAGGCTTGTCTTGAACTCCTGGACTCAAGCAATCTGCCTACCTGGGCCTCCCAAAGTGCTGAGATTACAGACGCGAGCCACTGTGCCCAGCAAAAAAAAAATCATGCTTTATTCACAGTTTTCAATTTTCAAGCCAAGCACCCAAATATCTATTATTTTCTATTCTAGAGGTTTTGAGTCAAAATGTTACAGCCTCCCATTTACTTGCTACCATTAGCGTATATGGGCAGTAATTTTAAACTCCTACATTGAAAACAATCCCAGTGAAGTTTCTGTTTTTGCACTGAAAAGATGCCAGTCAAACAATGACGGTTATGTCTTAGTTCATTTGATCTGCTATAGCAAACGACTATAGACTGAGTGGCTTACAAACAACAGAAATTTATCTCTCACAGTTCTGGAGGTGGGAAATTCTAACACAAAGGCACTGTCAGATTCACCATCTGGGGATGACACACTTCCTCATAGAAGACTGTCTTCTCAGGGTAACCCCACACGGCTGAAGGGTTGAACAAGCTCTCTGGGGTCTCGTATCTAAAAGCCCTAATCCCACTCATGAGAACTCTATCCTTATAACCTAATCACCTCCCCAAAGCCCCAACTCCTAATACCATTGACTTGAGAATAGAATTTCAACATATTAATTTTGAGCAGACACAAACATTTGGACCATAGCACGGTAGTAAGAATTTTCTTCCAAAATTCCATGTCTTGTAATGATTTCATGTTGTTTCTCTCAAAATCAAGATGGCAGATGTCATTATCTTAGTACATCTTCATTTTAAAAAGAAATATTTAGTATTCATTCCATCTATGGAATAATAGATCCCAGTCTCATTTCCCCCTGATTTTCAGTCTCCGGGAGAAGTTCTCATTCAATTCATATGTAAAACCATTTTGTAATAAGGGAATTTAGCGGCACTTAAAGAGAGTTTCTATTGTACTCCATTAAGTAGCATGGTGAGTTAAGCAGCATTTGTGTAGCTCTTACAAGGGTCCCTGCTTCAATACTTCCAAATGCATTGCTTCAGGAGTCTTCAGACCCATCACATGTTTAGTTATAACCCTCAGTTGTGAAAATCATTTTCATTTATGGATGTGTTAAACCTGTCACTCTTCTCATAAAATATTTTTTTCTCTATGGTTGAAGTTTATTCTTTCTGGCTTTTAACATAGCTATTTAGCTAGACAAGGAAGGAATTTAATTCAGAAGGAGGGAGGAGGGAGGCTGGAAGGAAAGAGGATGGACAAAAACTCAGAAGGGCACAAACATAGTCAGGTGCCACACAACCTAGGGAGTGTCAGTACAGGAGGAAAGTAGGAAACAGAATTGTGCTTGTAAATGGGTGTTTTATGGGAAATACCACTCATGTCTTGAGAATGTTGTAGCAACCCTGTCAGCTGAGGCAGGCCTGATATGGATGAACAGTGCTCCATAAGGTAAGATTGGGTGTAACAGAGCTTCATGTATCCACCACCTCATGGGATTCTCCAGTTTTGTATTTTCTTGTTGCACTAGTTCTCAAATTACTAAAAATAACATGTTCCTCTCTTTACAAAGAAGAGATGCACTCTTTACTAAGAAAATACTGGAAATAGTTTTCTGGCCATTGAATTGTTTTTCCATAGCTGACCTCAATTCCTTCAGAATAAATCGATATTGTTGAATTGCCACACAAACACCTCACATTGAGTCCTTGTAAGTTGGCACGTTTCTCATACATGCTTAATATAACTAAGCTTGCTGCTACACATAATTTCAGTTGTTTTTCAATTTTATGATCATCTATTAGAGACTAAGAAGGAAAAAACAGATGTATTATCTTAAAAACACAAAAACATGATTGACAAGCAAGAACTGGCCCCAAGCTACTTCCAATCAATTTCCTGAACAAAATATTCAGTCTATCTTCCCATATGAAGCAGACTTAAGTGAGGCAGTCTTATATAATACAAAATCTGCAGGGTCACTGTAAGCTAGAATTGCAATGTTTACTCCATCAGGTAAAGGATGAGGCTAAAATCCTCCCCTTAGGTCATAAAGGAAACTAGAGGCTTAAAAGAAAATCTTCAAGCTATCATTCTTAATTAATCAGTATGAGGTTTTTATTGTTCTTCAAGTTCCAGGAGTTCTCATCTTTTTTTTTTTTTGTCTTTATTATCAATACCCCTTCCCCACCAAAGGGGAAACATATATATATGTGTGTGTGTGTGTGTGTGTGATCCTAAGTACCATGAACACTTCAATGTGTATGACATTTCAATCCAATCACATAACTAGAAACAACAAAATCTGTTTTCAGACATTGAGAAACTTTCCAATTTTTTTCTGTAGGTTAAAGAATCCCTATTCCAATAGCTTCTCCATAGAGAACGTGATTTTCTAAATGAAACATTTTGGTTGCTCTCTTAGAGAATCTTCAAAATGTCCACATGTATCTAATCTGGCAGAACCCAAAAGAAGAATCTAGCAAGTCTCTGACTAGTGAATATTAATGTAAATCATACAACTCATCCTTCTGAATATTTGAATGTAGAATCATGCTGTCAGAAGAGTTATCTTCTAGTGATTTTCTCTCTATTGCATAGGTATAAAAGTAGGCTGGGAGCAATCTTTCTATGTATTTCAGCAATGTGGAGAAGAAACTATAAACTCCTACAACCACTGTCCTCTATCTCTGTGGGAACAGGTTCACGGTGCCTCCTGCTCCGGATTCTTTGAGTTACCAAGGAAACTGCATGTCACATAAATATACTGGGTATTCGAGAGGTATTCCCTGTAATACCATGGTATACTCCTCCATTTGTTTTTAACTAGGTCTCTTTGCTAGTGCATGACTAAGTAATAAAGCAAACTCCCACCAATGATTCTCTGAATTAGTAGAAGATCCTTGCAGCTGAGGAATGTACAATGCTGACAACATGGGGAAATTTGGTTCAAAGACAGTATATTAGTGTAGCAACGGCTCATCCTAGCAGGTAACATGCTATTCAGAAATGCCTGAGATTATCCAAGAGTCAGATGATGCTTATATGCCAAAAGTCTTAGAATTCTCCTGAAAGATCAGTAGTGCTGAGGAAGATGGGGCCAGGGAAAGAGTTATTCTCCAGCACTCTTCACCCTCACAGACCCTTCCCTTGCCCTTTCTTCCTCTTATGACAAAGTCCCAGCTTCACTTCACAGGATAAGGAGGAATTTTAGATGCTGAAATCACAGCAGGAAGAGGATGGAATAGCAACTGAGCTCTTGAAAGTTGTCTGGGTGTCAAATTGAATATCTGAAAAGCAATCAGAATATACGTACAGCAAAGGTGAATCTACTACCAACACATCACCTATATTTCATAATACTAAAAGAGTGTCTTTATCCTGGCTAGCTTAAAGCTCATCGTAAAAACACTTGTATTATAGCTGGCTTCTGGAAGGGAAAAGAGGTGGAGGTGAGAATGAGGAAAATCATCCAAGTGTAAGTTTAAAGGTAATTATAATATTCATTTATCCACATCCAAAAATTTTATCATAATTTTAAACATATATAAAAGTTAAAGAGTATAATAATCCGATCAACAATCACCCAGCTCCAACAATTGTCAAGCTCAAGTTATTTTGAAGCAAATCCCAGTTGTTAAATCATTTTATTCATAAATATTTCATAGGTCAATCTAAAATCATCAAGACTTTTTTGAAAACATAACCACAATAACTGTATAAAAATTAGCAATAACTCCTTAGCACTAGGAAATACCCACAGTTAGTCTTCAAATTTATCTAATTTTCTAACAATTTTTGTAATGTATTTGCTCACATTGGAATCAAAATATATTACAATTGGTTGATATGTGTGTCTCTTAAGTCTTGAATCTATGTAAGTTCTCCTCTCCATATTTTTTATAATTCATTTGTTGAATAAATCAGACTATTTGCCCTCTGTATTTGGCCCAGTCTGTATTTTGCTGGTTTCCTCCCAGGGGTCACTTAGCATGTTCTTCTGTCCACATGTATACTGATAGTTCTACCTAGAGGTTTCATTAGACTCAAGTTTCTTTTTTCTTTTATGCAAGAATACCTTAGAAGTGAAGTGTGTACCTTCATCAGAAGGCATTTTAATGGCTGAATGTCTCTATTTTCTGATGTTAGAATCCTTTATTGTAATTGCCTATATTCTTTAATTCACTGGGCGGAATTTTAAAAGATTTAGGTAAGTCACAATGTATATATCCTGGAAATAGGAACTGGAGATTCAAAGATTAGTAAGGCATGTTCTTGCTCAGAAAAATCCTATAGCTTGAAGTGTGGGAAACAAACAGGCACAGAAAGACATTTTTATAATGCAAGGCAGACTCTGGTCGATACCAGGTAAATGCATAGTTTGAGACTAAGTCTTACAGAACAGAGGAGACAGGTTAAGCAGCAAAGGGAGGCATCCCGGGTAAAGTCAGCTGCACAAAAAGCAGCTGTGCAGAAGACCACTGGGAGTATATGGGGGAAAGCCAGTCTCTCTGACCATTGATTTTCTTTGTTCAGATACACAATAAGGTTGATCTAAATGTTCTCTGAATTTCTTCCACCACTAAAGTTCTTGTATATAGCAGCTTGTATATTTAACCTGTAAGGCAGCCAAAATACTCACATATGTAACAAAAACAATAATCAGAAAAGCAAAGCAAATGATAAAATTCAATACGAAATAATTTGTTTACTCTTGAATTCAGCTTCTTCAATAAAAGTTTCCATTGGAGGAAGATTAAATCAGTAATTAAGGTATTTCAGGCACTTCTGCAAAGAACTTTTTACTAATTTCAGAGCACTTTAAAATGCGATCACTCCAATTCTTTAATGAGTTAAGTTTAATATCAAATCATCATTTTCTAAGCACTTAGTGTATCATGGGAAGAAGTATAAATTAGGATAATAACATTTTGAGGAAGAAATTTAGAAATATTTGTTAATAAAATAAATTTGCATACATTCTGACTTAGCAATATGCTTTAAGTAATAAGTTTTACAGAAATACCAACACAGCTATGCAAAGATGTTGACTGTAGCCTTGCTTGTTATAACAGTAAACCGAAAAAATATATATACTCATCAATAGGGGATTGATTAAACAAGTCATGATTCATCAAAAATGAGTTACCAGGCAT
Source organism: Homo sapiens (assembly GCF_000001405.40). Taxonomy (NCBI): domain Eukaryota; kingdom Metazoa; phylum Chordata; class Mammalia; order Primates; family Hominidae; genus Homo; species Homo sapiens. The sequence goes on along the minus strand of NC_000007.14, from coordinate 136,375,905 downwards.
CCAAAAAATAAATGAGCTAGATCTCTAATACTAATAGGAACATCAGTCTCCAATTTCAAGTGAAATACTAAGTTAATATATTGGATATCAAGTTGAATTATTGTTTCAAAAAGTATATGCATATCTATTTGTATTTATAATAGAAAAAAGTCTGAAAGTAAAAATCCAAATAAAAATTTTAATACTTACTTATAGGAAGTATAGTTATAGGAGATTTCTACATACCATGTTCTTTCTACATTATTTCAATACTTCATATTGCTTTTCAAATTTGAAAAGGGACAAAATTTTCTTTTAACCAAAACTTTTTTCCTTGATACATTTCCCATGTCCCCTCACTCCCTCTCTCCTGATTTGTGTCTCTTACTACATAAGCGTGCCCCATCTTAGCACACACTTTATTTAACTAAGCAAAGCAAAAAATCCTCACTTGAGTCTGTGTGTTCCCCTGGGTTCTGGTCTGTCGCCCTCATGAGCACATCTGATTTTTAGGCCATGCTCACTGATGTGCTTTTCACCTCCTGCTCAAATTTCAACCCAATGTCATCAGGTTTCCATCCCTAACTCTACTGAAGCTTCCTTGATGAAAGTCAGCAATTGCCTTCTAATTGTGAAATAGTGTGGATGATGTGAGTCTTCCTCTTGGTCCTCTCAGCCACACTAAACACTGCCTTCTGGTAACTGTATTCCCAAGACTTTTATAAATGTCCTCCCTGAGATTCTGTGACACCATTCGTTTGACGTCATCTCTATATCTGTGGTTGCACATTCAGAGACTCCTGTGAACCCTCTTATTCATATCACCCCTGAGCGTTCTCTCTGACCTCTTTTCCTCTTGACTCTATCCTCTCCCATGCCCTCGGAAACTTCATTTTACCTTTCATGCTCTCTCTTTAGTGTAACCCTCTCCATCACCTCAAATTATGTCACCAGCATGCTCACATCACTCCACAAACACACACACACACACACACACACACACACACACACACACACTCCTTTTGTGCCCTCTGGTCTCTACCCACCCCCTACAGTGATTTTTCAATGTTTCTTCTTTTTTCAAAGACGACCTTCTTGAAGGAGGAACCAACACCTATTTCATCACCACCCATTCATTCTTCAGCCCAAAGATGGATGTGTTAAAAATCAAATGAAGCTGTACATCAGGGCCCCTCATTGCATGAACCCTTTCCAAGACCTTACACGTGGTTCTCAATTCATAACTGTGTATTCTTTGCCTTATAAAGGACCTTCACAGATTGTACAGCTGCAGGCCCCCATAATTTGGATCCATTCCTGGCTCTGCACACTGAAACTGGCTTCCATTCTAACTATTCCTCTGAAGCTACTCTGACAAAGATCACAATTTAATTTCCAAATGATAAATCCGTAGGTAATTCTTAGTCTACTTGAAACTGTCGCTTTTGTCACAGTTAACCTTCTCATTCTTCAAACTGCCCCTTCATTTTCATTTCCATTCTTCTCTGAATCTCTTTAGACATCACTTGCCCCTTCTCATTCTTCTCTCTTTGCTTCCTCAGCCCAACATTTAATCAATCATCAATACTATTTTGTCCACCTCTAAAATCTCTCTCCTACGTTCACTGCCGCCTTCATTCAGGCCTTACTCTCAGCCTGTACTCTCATATTCTCCAATCCCTATGACCAGGTCATCTCTCTGACTTCACCCACCGCCACCACTGTTAAAATTCTTAAAGATGGCTCCTAGCTTAATAATGAAAATAATGTCCTTATAGTGATGTGCAAAGCCTTCCATGATGTCTTCTCTCCTTTTCTAGCCTCATTTCAACACGTGGCTCAACAACTAATCTATGCTCCAGCCAAAATGACTTTTTCCCAGAAGGCATGGCCATGCTTTGCATCTCCTGCTTCGAATGTCTGAATAGCAACTTCATGTTTTCTCCAGTTTCCCACCCACTATTCTATTGAAGCCCTAAGGTGAGCTTAAGAATCACCTCCCTGATCATCCTGTTTTAAACTGAGCTGGTACTCCTTGTCTAGCTACCATAACATCCTATATATATTTCCATTAAGTATCTACCATTCTATGTTGTAATTGTTCATTTCATTGTCTGCTTCCCCAAGTAGGTGGAAGTCTTTAAGAAAAATGAATGTACTGCACCCATTTTGTACACTTAGCACCAAAAATAATACTTAAGACACAACAGGCTTTCAACGAGTGTTTCTGAATAAATGAGTAAATGATTTAGTGGAAGTTCAAAATGCCTCAATAGAATTAATTTGGGAGTCTCTTTCCCTCTAGTTTTCCTGCCTTAAGCTTCCTTTATAATCTAAAAATAAGTTGAACACTCTGTTCTCTGTCTGAAATGCAGCTACTAGTTTGATTCTTTTTAGGCATTTCATGTTTATTAAATATTTATTTTCATCAGTCTAATCAATATTAGTGCCGCATGGTACATGTACTTGGGTTTTGGGGGGTTCCCCTGCTATGAAGAACCAGTCAATGAGAGACATCCTTACCAAGCAGGTTCATATACTCTGTGATTTACCTATGTAACAAACCTGCAAGCCCTGCACATGTATCCCAAAACTTAAAATAAAAATAAAACTTTAAAAAAAGAACTAAAAGGAACAGATTGAAGTCCAGAAAAAAGGCAAAGAGGCAAGTAACAGTCTATTAAGACTTACCCAACATTCTCCTGGGCCCCAGGCTCAAAGGATAAAATTAAGGTATTGTAAATTTTCTTGTAGGTTGGCCTGCTTAATCACTTGAATAGGAAAATAGCCAGCAATTCAGGGTCTAGACCTAGAGTAAATATTATTTTTTAAAATTCTACTAAAGAAATAGTTCTACACATATTAATTCATGCCTTAGCAGATATTTACTGATTGCTGACTGTGAAGCAGGTATTGTTTTAGCCACTGAGAATACAGAAATGAACAAAATACACAAAAGCCATCTTCATCGAGCTTACGTTGTAATGCAAGGAGTCTGTCAATCAACTAAGTAAATGAAATTTGTCATGTGCCAGATAAGATAAATGCTATGGAGAAAAATAATGTGGAGAAAGGGAATGGAAAGTGCTGGGGAGTAATGGGCATTTAAAATAGGTTGGTTATGGAAAGCCCCACTGAGAAGGTGACATTTGACTGAGACCAGAAGAAGAGGAGGGAATAAGTCATGGGACTATCTGGGAAAACAGGGAATGAGTCATGGGGGTGTTTGAGACATGAACTTTTCAGGAAAGGTGACCCCCAATGTCAAGCTCCTAAGAAAGCAGAGTGACTAGGGTTTTAGAGAAACAGCATGTGAATCAGTTTATTGGAGTCCAGTGAGTAATGAATGAAATAATGTTAAAATGCTAGAAAGCTAGTTTAAGGAAAAATCATGTAGGGTTTTAGAGACCAGAGGTGGGGCATAGCTTTTACTCTGAATGAGATGGGAACCACTGAAGGGTTTTCAGCAGAGGAGTGGCATGATCTGACTTCAGTTTTGAAGAGTGTGTATATGTTGTGAGTACACATGCTACGGAACACGTTTTAAACAATACATAGTTTATCAAAAAACCCTGCTACATTTTTTGAATCAAACATTATTTACATTAATTAGATGACCACTATTAAATTAAATATTTTTTACTACAAATATATAATTGTAAAATCCAGAATATGGGAAACTCTAAGGACAAAGGCCCAGGTTTGTTTGTTAACAACAAATGGGGAATCTACATATTAACTTTGAAAATTCATAAAACAATTGGGGATATTTGGACACTGACTGGATATTTGTGGTAGTAACAATTATTTTTTTAGTATAATAAGAATTCTTTAAAGGTCCTTATTTTTCTAGAGATAAATTCTGAAATTTTTAAAGATTAAATAATAGAACAGCTGGAATTTGATTCAAAATAATCTAGGAGTGGGAATGAGTGACTGAGTTAGGGAATATAGATGAAACACGATAGGTCAGGTATTAATTGCTGAAGCTGGGTGGCAGGTACAGAGGCCCATTTTGCTATTATCTTTATTTTTATGCATATTTGAAAATGTTCATAACATAAATTTTTTAAATATAATAAAATTCATTCATTTGTTGTGGAAGACAGTGTGACAATTCCTCAAAGACATAAAAATAGAACTACAATTTGACCCAGCAATCCTATTACTGGGTATATAACCCAATGAATAGAAACCATTCTATCAGAAAGGCACATGCACATGTATTTTCATTGCAGCACTATTCATAATAGAAAAGACATGGAATCAACCTAATTGCCCATCAATGGTAGACTGAGTAAATAAAATACACCATGGAATACTATGCAGCCATAAAAAAGAATGAGATCATGTCCTTTGCAGGAACATGGATGGAGCTGGAGGCCATTATACTTAGCAAACTAACACAGGAACAGAACACCAAATACCACATGTTCTTACTTATAAGTGGGAGCTAAATGATGAGAACACATGGACACATAGAGGGGAACAACACACACTGGGGCCTATTAGAGGAAGGAGGTTGGGAGGAGGGAGAGGATCAGGAGAAATAACTAATTGGTACTGGGTTTAATGCCTGGGTGATGAAATAATCTTTACAACAAACCCCGATGACACAAGTTTACCTCTATAACAAAACCTGCACATATACCCCTGAACTTAAAATAAAAGTTAAATAAAATAAATAAACTGGATCATTTTATACAGAGAAAAAAACACATAGTTTAAAAGAAACACTGAGCACTTTCAATTTTATGTAAAAAAAAATCTTTTAAAGAAAATCCCCATCTATTCGTATCTTTCATAATCAAGGCTTTCTACACCTATTTTTAAGCAGTTCAGCACGGCATAGTGAAAAGAGCATTGAACTGTGAGCCCAGGAGGAGGCATATTAGGCTTCTCTTTTCCACTAACTTACTTTGTGGCCCTGAGCTAGTGACAGAAGGATGGTGGAGTTCAGTTTCCTAAAATATAAAGGAGTCAGACTGGATGATCACTAAGATTTCTTTTAAACCTAAGACATAATCTTTGTAATGAATGATTTGCATTAATTTTTATTTTAGTGACTGCCCTAAAGCAAACATATGCTACTAAAGGATGAAAAAAAATGGTACCAAGCCAGAATCCTAAGAGATCCAATAAGCTGCCTGAGAATTAGGTTTTTCTATTATTTCAATTCCAGATTTCTCCTTTAATAAGCTAAATAATAAAACATAGAAAGTAATTCTTTTTAGCAGGAGTCTGCAAACTTTTTCTGTAAAGGACTAGATAGCAAATATTTTAGGCTTTCTTGGTCATAATATCTCTGTTTCAACTTCTCTACTCTGCCATTGGTATATAAAAGCAGCTATATGGAATATATAATAAGTGGGAGTATCTGTGTTTTACAAAACTTTATAAAATAGGCAACAGGCAGCATTTGGCCGCCCACAGGCTATAGTTCGCTGATCCTAGTTCTTTAACATGATCAGATATTAACATAAGGGTCTTAATATAATCAGATAACAACAGAGATATATTAAGTCATATTCTTCTGCTTCACATTTTCTCCATGTGCATATTCCTGTAGCCTAATGATGACAGTGACTCATCATGAGATCTAATGCTATCTATTATAATATCCTAAATCCAGTCTCTTTTCATCATTTCCACTGCTTCCTCCCAACATCTCTTGCCTGGATTCTTGCAAAATGCCTCTGGTTTCCACCCTGTTACAGAGATCCTCTCAACAAGAACAGGTCATGTCAATGTCCTTCTTCAACCCTCAATGGTTCTGAGATTCCTCACCATGACCTCTAAGGTCCTCCCCAGTCACTCCCCTTCTCACTCTCAGTGCTCTAAACATTCTTCCTGTGTCTTGAACACACAAAGCTCACTCCTATCTCAGGGAGCCTGGCTTTACATATCCTCTGCCTCGAATGCCTGATTTACAGACCATCATGTGACTGCTTCTCACTCAACATCTAAGTGTCATTTCAGATGTCACCTTCTCAAAGAAGCCTTCACTGACAACCATCCCTTTCCCTCATCATTTTGAGCTATTGCCCTTTCATATTTCTCCCTAAGCTTATCATCATTTGGAATAACGTTACTTCCTTGTTTTCTTGCACATTTATAGCCTGTTAATCCATTACATTGTGAGTTTTTTAAGGGTCCTATCCCCAGCCTCCAGAACAGTGCTTGGCATTCAATAGACACTCAATAAATATCTGTTGAATAAATTACTCTTCAATATTTTATATGTTGAAAAGCCCTTATTTTGCCTTAAAATGAAATTATGTGTTAATATTAGTATAGTCAACATGCTGTAACAAATAATCCCCAAAAGCTCTAATGAATGGTTCTGACACAGTAAAAGTGTATTTCTTGCTCACCTAACAAAACTAGGCAGATGGATATATTAGGAACTGAACTTGGAGGTGGCACATGTCATCTCTGGCCATTTTTATTGGCTAGAACTCAGTGACACACTACACCTAAATGCAAGGAATACTGGGGAGTGTAGTTGTTGCCTGGGCCAACCCTTGTCAGTGAAAACTACTCTATGGGAGCGGGAGCCCAGATCATTGTTGTGCAACTCAGTGTCTCTGCTAGGGCACCCATTTATTAACTACAACATCTCCACGTGCTCTTGCCAGCAACCTTTAAACCTTTAAACAGAATAAGTACATCATTACAAATGATTTTCACATGGTCTGTAGCAATTCAAACAATGAAATAAAATGGAAAATAATATAAATCCTTATCTTCATACTAATTCTTGTATTTTTACCCAGGAGCTTTCTGTGTCATCTGAATCATGCCACATCTAGCGTTGCCCAAAATACCTTCATAGCTATACCTAGACCTCAAATTTTCCTCCTTCATGTGCCATGTTTCTCTGATTAGCTAAGAAGCTGTCCACGCCATGCTCTAGGTTCATTCTTCATCTTACATCTCTGCTGGACTTTTCTCAAACTTATTTCAAAATCTAATCTGAAAAAGTCAGTTACAGTAAAAACCAATTTGTACTTAAAATATTCATAAGATAAATATTTGATGTATATTAATTACCAAAATGTTAAAAATGTATTTGAGTGATGGAAAAATGTATAATGTGATGCTATTTTTCATTATCTGTATTTTTTAAGATTCTGCATGTATTTCCTAAGCATAAATAAAATACAAGTCCATTGACTTTCTATCAACTTTAGGGCACTGGTGCTGCCTCTGTCTTTTCTCTTACCAAATTTCCAATACCTCATTTAAAGGTCTCCTCCCTTGCCAAAGTTTTAAAGGAACTTTGCTTCTTGAAAGAGAGGAAAGTAGCTTCTGAAATTCTGAATATTACATTGTTTCCTTTAATCATGTAATGCACTTGCTTGGTAAAGCACTTTATTATAAAGATCGATTTTTATAGTTACAAAATCCAACACAAAATAGGACATTGAACAAGATTTTAGCTTGTCTCATAATATCATGAATAGGATTTTATCTATGCATGAACAATCCAGAAACCTCATTTTAAGTAGCGGCTTCAACCTCTCTCTCTCATTTTCTCAAGATTGCTCAAAAGAAGCAAGACTGAAAAAGTTTAGTGATCTTTTTTCCTTTCCCTTCACCTAAGGCAGCATGGCTATTTACCAATATCATGTAACAGAAGCAAAGAATAAAACAAAAGGATAAATCATCTAAAAATATGTACCGTCCTCTGAATGATGGAGAATTTACACTATGTGGTACTTAATGCCACACAGTCTTCAAGCTGAGCAACTAATTATTGAACCACTGAAAGCTCTTTCTCTCAGTCTCTTCTCAGGCCTAAAAACATTAGGCAAATCAGTATCCAAACTCAAAAATTCACTGATTTTATTCATCCTCTAAAAACAGCAGAACTAGGCCTTTGCTACCCTTCCTAAAATGAGGAATCTCATGTGAGTAAACATGTGTGAAATGTCATTCTGAGGTCTCTAGAGGACCCCATATTTACACCATATTTATTTGATCTCTTTAAACAGCCCAAACCTCTATAATGCAGGTCGCTTCCACATGCTAGTCCCTTGGAGGCAAAAGCACTGCTCCCACTCCTCAAGGCAGCCTGTCCCATATACAGTTCTCCAAACCAATTCAAAGTCCTTCCACCCAGAAGGTTTATACACACAAATGTGTGGACTCATGCACACACACACACACACACACACACACACACACTTGCATTGACTTTATCACACAGCATGACATGGCTGGAGTTATTAATGGGTACATAAGGATTAAATCTGGGTGTATTCCCAAAACTTTTATTCATCAAAATGGATACATGGTGGTGCTAGGTTAAACCTCTTGCTCATAGTTTGACCTACTCATGATCATAGATCCCTTGAGAGTCTAATGAAAGCTCTGGATCCTATTCCAATAAGATATCTGCAATTACACATACACACACATGTGATGCCTAATTTCAAGGTGTTTATGAACCTCCCTGAGGTCCATAGACCCCTCAAGTTTAGAATTTTGAACACAAATTTAGAAAGCAATAGCTTTGCAACTTGACAAAATCAGTATCAGGCCCAGGAGTGTGAAGAAATCAGTATCAGTCTGTAATCTGATTTCTTCCTGGAGGAACTAACTCCACCATTGTTTTTACTTAAATTCTATTTTAGGCATTACACCACTCTCTTTATCTCATTCTTCCTCTTTCCTGTGTCTCTTAATCCCCACTAGTCTCTCCTTCATTCTTCTCACTGACTCTCTCTGTCTCTCTCTGATTTCATTGTCTTCATTGCTTTCCCAGTGAGTGTTTTATCCGTATCTGTCCTTTTCTCTTACTGTCTCTCTCTCACTCCCCACACATCTCTCTCTCTCTTTCTCTCTCCCCTCTCTCTCTCAAACACACACAACACGTACGCCCACACAGGTGTATGTCATTTGTTGCTTCTATTATGTCTGATTAAAGAATTTGATATCTGTTATAACACTACAGCTTGCAACTCCAGAATTGCTCTACTCTGTAAGCATTCAATCAATTATAATTTTTCCAGATCATTTAAATTCTTTCTATTGTCTTACTCTTGCTGAATAGCAATCACTCCATCTGTACTGTCATAGTTTAATGTCTGAGTATAAAAGTTCTTTGCTAATAAAAATTATTTATCCTTTTAGTCTTTGCATTGCAGCATGCTATGAAATGTGCCAGTGCGTTGACTGCTGTTTGAATCCCCAGGCATATTTAAACATGTCGACCTAAAAGTGCCATACGCAATAATATTGTCCATACTGAATTGGATTTTCCACACTGATTTCTATATTTTCTTTCTCCAGCAATGAAACATTGCTGTGTGGATATGCAAATGGAACTGTATCTTGTACATTTCTATTTAAATTATAAAAATAATTCACTCATGTGCCCACATGCACAGAAACATGCACACATTTGTAATGAGATATATTTGTGGTAAAGAAAGATTAGAGCAATAAAAAGAGTTGAATGCTTACCAAAAGGAAATATTGGTTCCCAATGATTAACTCAACATAAAGCATGGGAACTCACCCTAGAATGAAGTCAAATGTCATCATGCTCTAGTGCCTTCACTTACACTTCTTTCCCTCTCTCTCTCCTTACTGTGTGCACCTATGTGTACACACTTCCTTCGGCTACAATCTGCACATCTAATCACCCAGTGGTAGTTGTCATTTGACCATTACTAAGTTAGGATCTTTATTTATTTCATTTTCATTTTTTAATTGCAACTATACCATTCCTTTTTCCTTTGTCCTTTCTGGGTTTTATTCACTTTATAGCAAGTTGCACCTACACAATGAAAATCATTCCTTTAAAGGTGACTAAACCCAATTACTCAGTCAGAATAGCCTGTTCAATGGTGTCTTTTATACCGGAATCTTCAAAGATTTTTTCCTTTATAAAAACTTCTGGGTCCCATGATCCAAACTTCATTTTCACATTGTTCTTAATATTGGCAGTTTGGTATTCCATTATCTTTCAACTGAATACTTTTGTAAATTAGTCAGTGCTTTTTATATTAACAGCCTGACAGCTCTTTCTGTGTATAATATCTTGTTGTCATGAACGTAAGTTTAGTTTGATCTTGATGGACAAACCTACCATTGGTGGATTTCCAAGTACACTATACAGGAACATCACTCAAAGATAGCCATAAAGTTACTGATGTGATTGACTTTTTGCCAATAAAGTGCAGCCTTAGACCAAGGAAGCACTTAGGATACTTGATAAGTATCAACTATGTAATGAAACTGGCTAATTTACATGCCATCTATAACATACCTTCACATTCATACCTCATTCTATCTTTCATATGACCTTACAAGTGAGGTATTCTTGTTCCTAATAATACACGAGAGTTAAAGCACCCAAGGTTGAAAGAGGTTGACTAGCTGTTTTCCAAAGTTAGTTAACAAATAGCAAAAAAAAAGTATTGTCCAATCAAAGTTTTATCAATATTAATAACAATTTTAGTAATACAATTTTGCTATTGAATCCATATTGAAGCCAGGATGCTTACTGGTCTGCCATTAATATTTTTATAATAATTCATCTAATCTATCTTGTATATGTGTTTTGTTTGCAGAGTTGAGGTCGAATTATACACTTATATTGTTACACATTTCCTTTTCATTTAAATTCTAACATGTGCTCTTTGCAAACATCATTTTAAAGGTCTCCATAATCATTCATCTCAATTCATTTAACAATCTCCTTACTGACCCATTTAAGCTATTTCCATATATATTTGTATGTTTCTAGAAACATGTTTATACATGAGGCTCTCCAGCATTTTATCTTATTTTCTAAGGTAAATTTCTATCAGCAGATGGAAAAGTAGTAATTTTTTTCGGTTTCTTGATAAACACTGGAAAATTGCTTTTCAAAGAATTGCATAATTCACATTTCCATAATAAGCTTATTATACTGCTTATTTCTGAAATAAGCAGTATTTTTTCTTGCTAGTATTGTTATTCACATTTTTAAAAATTTAGATAAGTTCATAGTTAAATATATTTTCATGATGTGTTAATTGATAATATTTACTCATGAGACAATATTTTCCGATAGGTTTTTAGTCATTTTAGCCATTTGTATTTCCATTTCTATAAATTGTTTGTTGACCACTTACTTGGAATCTTTGTGTAATAACCTAAGTGTCTGTCTTATAAAAGTATGTAACATAAGTTACATACAAGAGTGTCTGTATAAGTTCTGTATATTAAACATTTTAACCCTTCCCCTATGTTTGCAAATAATTTTTAAATATTAGTGTGCCTAACAAATTAGCCTTTTAATATTGAGCAACATACTTGTTAACATTTAATTGTAGTGAAATCTGCCATCATTGTCACAGTAAATTCTTTCATCGCTTTCCAACATAGAAGACACCCATGCAGAGATTTAATACATATTTGTTTATATTTTTCTTTTTTATAGTTTAAGACTTCAATTTATTACTTTCAAAGTGTCATTGAAGAGTGTGTTATGTATGGGAAAAAAACTTGCACTGAATAATCACCTAATAATTGATAGTGATTAGTCAACAGTCTCAGCGTGATTTATTGAATGATTCACTTCTCGCTAATTTGTGATGTTTCATTAGTCATATAATAATCCTTTATATAAAAGAATCTGTTTCTGGCCCATTTTGTCAGTTTTGTTTAGTTTTATAGTTTAAATTATTACACCATTACAAAGCATTTAATACCTGAAGAATCTATTCCCAGTTCAATACTTTTACTTCCAAACGTTCTTGTCTATTCACACCTTATAAAAAATGTTTATTCCACAAATTTTTACATTTCTAAGTTTCAAGAAAATCCAGAAATATAAATTATAACAATAGAATATATAAATAGGATAATATATTTTCTCTGTTTGGGAGCCCATTCTAATGTTTACCTTTCATTATTTGTGTTTTGTAGCATTCTTTATTTAATATTGCTAATATCTATTAACTTTTTCTTAAAATGTAGAAAAAAAGACACACTTGCTTGTATAGACAGGGATAAAATGCTCATGTGGAAAAGGGGTTTAATGCTAGATCACAAGAGATGTTATAAAACGGCCCTTAATACAATGATGGATTTATCATGTCTAGTGTCTGTCTTCCTCAAAGAAAGACCATTACTAAATAAACTCATTACACTGAGGTATACAATCCAAATACAAATAGTAACTATATCTATAAGTGAATGGATATATCATTCTCATGAATTTCAAAATTTGAAATTGTTTTAATGAAAATTCCACTCATAGAGTGAATGCAATCATAATCAAAAGTTTAATGTCTCTCTTTTGTAGAATTGACAAGCTGATTCTAGAAGTTATATGAAAAGGCAAAAGACTTAAAATAGCCAAAATAATTTTGAAATAAAGTTGAAGGAGTAACACTGATTTTAAGACTTACTATAAGGCTATAGTAAGCAAGACTGCAGTTACTAAAAGGGTAGACTTATAAATCAATGGAAGAGAAAAGAGAGTTTTAAAATAGAGCCACATATATATGGTCAATTAATTTTTCATGAAGATGTTAAGATAATCCAAAAGAGAAAAGCAATTGTCTAAAATGTAATTGGATTAAATGGATATCATATGGGGAAAAAATTAACATTGATCTTTACCACACACATCATACACAAAACTTACTTAAACTGAAATGGGAAAAGAGCCTAAATGGGAAGCCTAAAAATCAAAATTTTTGGAAGAAAAAACAAGAGAAAATCTTGATTACGTCAAGACAGAACACAAAGAGGATGAAACAGAAAAGAACAAAATGATAAAATGGACTTTGGATTTGAAACAAAGGTGTTCTCAACACAAAGGCTATTGTTCTTTTGAAAATATCATTTTTTGAAAAAAGGGAAACCACACTGGGAAAAAAATATTTGCAAAGAACATCTCTGAAAAAAATATCACAAAAGAACCTCTAAAATTCAATATAGCAAGGCAATCCACAGACGTCACAAGACTTGAAATGATACCTCAAAAAGATATGTAAATGGACAGTAAACATATTAAAAGGCGCTCAACATCATTAATCGCCAGGAAAATACAAATTAAAACCACAGTGAGGTATTACTACATACCCATCAGAATGGCTAAAATTAAAATGCCTGACCAGACCAAGTGTTGATGGGGATGTGAAGCAACTGGAACTCTCATATACTGCTAATGAAAATATAAAGTTGTATACTTTTTGGAAAACACATTGGAAACTGGAATTTCCAAATTATAGAAAACAGCTTGATGACTTCTTAAAACTTTAACATATACCTGCCATACTTTGCCATTCTACCCCACAGCATTTGCCCAAGAGAAATGAAAACATATCTCCAGACAAAGGTTTATACACGTTTGTAGAAGCTTTAATTGTAATAGCCAAAACCTAGAAATAACCCAACTGTCCATAATTATATGAACAAACTGTGGCAATTCCATACTGGGAAATAGCACTCAGCAATAAAAAATATGAGCTATTGATATATAAACAAACTGTGGCATATCCATACCTGGAAATACCACTCAGCAATAAAAAAAAATATGAGCTATTGATACACGCACAAACATGGATGGATTTCAAAATAATTATGCTGAATGAAAGATGCCAGGCAAAAAAGGAACACATCATGTAGATTGCCATTTATATAAATTTCAAAAACATGGAAACAATAGTGACAGAAAATAATTCAGTAGTTTTCTGGAGAAGTGAAAGATAAGCCATCATGAGAACATTTGGGGGCTGATGGTTCTGATGTGATTTCACAGGTGATGGTCATGGTTCCACAGGTAAATACGTAACTCAAAACTGAGCAAATGGTCACTTTAAACATATGCAGTTTATCCCATATCAGTTATAGCTAAATAAAGTTAACAAGGTTTCTTCCTATAACCTTATAATTATGACTTACTAATACAATAGACTATATATATATATACTGTTATATTTTCCATTATATATGGAAATATATATATATATTCCTACACAATTACTGGGTTTTATATTTATATTTCTTTTCTATTTGTATTGGATCACTTTACTAAAATTTCTTATTAGCATGAAAAGTTTTCTCAGTTGATTTTCTATGGTTTTTAATGTAATTATTTACATTTTTTACCAAACAATGATTATTTTATATCCTTTTTGTTGAAAATTATGTAACCCAATTGACATTAGACATGAAGTGAGGAACGGCAGCTGCTATTACTGTCTGGAGGAATAGGATGCACTTGATGTTTCAGAGGATAAGCCACAACACCTGTGTTGATGCTCAAGTTAACAAGGCATTTTCACTTTGCATTTAAAACAAAGGTGATTTTTTGAGGTCAGGAGTTCCAGACGAGCCTGGCCAACACTGCAAAACCCCGTCTCTAATAAAACCACAAAAAATTAGCCAGGTGTGTGGCATGTGCCTGTAATTCTAGCTACTCGGGAGGCTGAGGCAGGAGAATCGCTTGAACCCGGGGAGGGGCAAAGGTTTCAGTGAGCCGAGATTGTGCCACTGCACTCCAGCCTGGGTGACAAGAGTGAAATACTGTCTCAAAAAAAAAAGAAAGAAAGAAAAAGAAAACATAGATGTTCTCAACAAAGAAGTTTGGAAATACTTCTTTCTTTGCTACAGCACGTAGAAAATAATGCTGATTGTGCACAGAGAAAACAGAAGAGAAAATACCTAGGGTTCAGAGAGAAGAGAGTGTGGTAGCAACTTTCACCCAGTAGTCAAGTTCAAAATGTCTTTTTTATTGATATAAAATAGCTGTACGTATTTGGGTGGTACATGTGATATTTCATACATATATACAACGTGTAATGATCAAATCAGGGTAACTGGGATATCCATCACCTCAAACATTTACCTTTTGTTTGTGTTGAAACATCCTAATTCTTCTCTTCTAGTATTGTAAGGAGTCTGTAGTCAACAAAATGCCTTATGAAGAAATCAGTGAAGACTCAGGATTTAAAGGATGTCTTATTAGGAAAAACATAGTAATAAAGGCTGTGGAGGAAGATTCAGTCATTGCCAATCAGTAGGTAATGAATAAAGCAGGTCACACAGGCTGGTGTCTACACCAGATCAGAAGCAAATTTTATCACTAGCCTAATTTCCTATGATGTCACTTCTGCTCTTTCCTCTCTCTCCCAGGATTTCAATCATACTGTGGCATTTTGCATCCTTGCAGTCTCTCCTTACCTTTGTTTTTTTGTTTGTTTTTGTTTGTTTGGTTTTTTGAGACAGAGTCTCACCCTATCGCCCAAGCTGGAGTGCAATAGCATGATCTCGGCTCACTGCAGCCTCCGCCTCCTGGGTTCAAGGGATTCTCCTGCCTCAGCCTCCCAAATAGCTGGGATTACAGGTGCCCACCACCACGTCCAGCTAATTTTTGTATTTTTAGTAGAGACAGGGTTTCACCATGTTGGCCAGGATGGTCTCGAATTCCTGACCTCGTGATCCGCCTGCCTTGGCCTCCCAAAGTGCTAGGATTACAGGTGTGAGCCACCACACCCGGCCTCTCCTTACCTTTTTATGTGTTCTGCTACTCACTGCTTCCATCTTCCCCCTCATAGTGACCCATCCTTATGTTATTTTAAAAAATGTTCTTTTAGCTCTGCAAGAATATAAAGTACCTATTTTCTATTGTTTTTTCTCTTTGTGGTAATGGACGAGTTTTACTTTCAGACTTTCCCCTTTTTTCTCTTTTTATGTTTTACTGCCTTTTTTTGTGGGGTGGTGGTAGTACCTGATTTTTCCTTGTTTATTCATCTTTAAATGAAGACAGAGATCTATGGAGATACATTTTTGCCAATACCTGATATAAGTATGTAGAAGAACTTCTCTTTCCTCAAGTGTATTAACAGGTTAATTGGATTCCATTTCCAAATATGAACCTGGAGGGTAGGTTGCTATGAATAACTGAGTTCAATACCAGGACCTACTAGAAATTAATCTTGGGCAACTTTGTTGAATAGCGGTAGTTCTTTGATCTTCTGGAATCGAGTTTGTATCCTGTAATTTTTAAACCAGTTCACAACTATTTTTCTTTGACTATAAATGAAAAACAACATTTTCTTACATATACCACTTCCTTTCTCTGCTCCTGGGCAATTATCACTCGTTTTATAATTTTATGTCCTACCCTGCCCCAACCACCTGCTCCCTCACCTGGGTCAGTTAATTATATACTCGAACTGCATTTTCTGAACGGACTGCTATCAGGTGGGGGAAGCTGGGAAAGTAGCAGTCCAGAGGGCCTGCCCAAATTTCTGTTTGGTGTTGCTTTCGTGTCTTTAAATTCAGATAGTTAACTTTGGCATGTCATATCTCTTCCTTCCTGCTTCTGAACTTGCCCAAGGATGGAGCAGTTTGAGGCACCTGTTTCTCAGTTCCTCATTCTCATAGCAATAAGTAGAAATGTCTCCCACATGCGGCATATGGGTAACCTGGTTTCCAGTACTGTTGTGGGATTTGGTCTTCCTGTGTCTCCATGGGCACCATCAGTCTGAGTACTTTCAGAAGCAAGTAATAAAAATTCTACTCTACCTGGCTTAAACAAAACACAATGAGGCTTTAGTGGGAGACTCACTAATCCAAAGGTAAGAAGTACAGGTGGGCATCATAAGAGACTAAACAGATGGGTCAAACGAGTTCAAGGAAGCAATTGCCTCAGCCTCTGTTCAGCCCCATGGCCAATGTCTGTTTCTGGGGTCATCTGTGGCATTTTTTTCCCTCTAGGCAAACCACCTTTTTCTACTTCCCTTGCGCATGTTTAAAACAATTACTTCAATCTTGGAACTACGTGTCTGGGCTCAAGAGAGACCAAACTGACAAATGCCCTAGTTCTAGTTCAAAATTCCAGAGGGAGAATTTCTTATTGGTCAAGTGATTCTTGATCTATACAGCTGTGACAAGAGGATCTCACCACGTAATACGAGTCACCCAGTCTGTCTTGGGGGTGAAGGAAGTGGTATAGTGGAGGATGGGGAAAGAGTAGGCAGTTAAAGTTTAAAGGTAAATAAATAGTAGGGGGGCAGTGGTGTGCACCCGCAGTCCCAGCTACTAAGGAGGCTGAGGCAGGAAGATTGCTTGAGCCCAGGAGTATGAGGCCAGCCTGGGCAACACAGCAACATCCCTGTCTCTAAAAATAAGAAGATAAATAAATAAGCTTTTACTATAGACTATAGATTTTCAGGTGTGGGGGTGGCAGGGATCGGATTTCTTTACCATAGAAGAAGGACTTCTCAGAGGCTTTAATTACCAAATTGTATTATATTATCTTCTATTTAGTAGGAGAGAAAATATAGAACATTTCTCAATTATTTTACCAAGAAACCCTTCTGGCAGAATATTTTTTTAAAGCAAGCTTCCATTTACTTTTTTTTAACTTCAATTTTTATTTTAGATTCAGTGTTACATGTACACATGGGTAAATTGTGTGATTCTGAGGTTTGGGATATGACTGAATCTGTCACCCAGGTCATGTCCCTAGTACCCAATAGGTAGTTTTTCAACCTTTGCCACCTTCCCTCCTCCAGGAGTCCCCAGTGGCTATTGTTCCCATCTTTACGTCTGCGAGTACTCAGCGTTTAGCTCCCACTTTTAAGTGAGACTATGCAGTAGTTGGTTTTCTGTTCCTGTGTTAATTCATTTAGAATAATGGCCTCCAGCTACATCTATGTTGCTGCAATGGACATGATGTCATTGTTTTCTATGGGTGTGTAGTATTCAATGGTGTATATGTACCACATTTTCTTTATCCAATCTACCGTTGGGCACCTAAGTTGATTCTGTGTCTTTGTTATCGTGAATAGTGCTGCAGTTAACATATGAGCGCATGTGACTTTTTGGTAGAATGATCTATTTTCCTCTGGGTATATACCCAGTAATGGGATTGCTGGATCAAATGGTAGTTCTGTTGTAAGTTTTTTGAGAAATCTCCAAACTGCTTTCCACAGTGGCTGAACTAATTTACAGTTCTACCAACAGTGTATAAACATTCCCTTTTCTCCACAGCCTCATCAACATCTACTATTTTTTGATTTTTTAATAATAGCCATTCTGATTGGTGTGAGATGGTTTCTCATTGTGGTTTTGATTTGCATTCCTCTGATGATTAGTGATGTTGAGAATTTTTTCATGTTTCTTGGCCACTTGTAGGTCTTCTTTCGAGAAGTGTCTGTTTATGTCCTTTGCCTACTTTTTAATGGGATTATTTGTTCTTTGCTTGTTGAATTAAGATCATTATATTAAGAATGAACTAAGTATAATGATACACTAAGAATATCTAGTATTGTTTTGGATACTAGATCTTTGTCAGATGTGTAGTTTGCAAATATTTCCTTCCATTCTGCAGGTTCTCTGCTTACTCTGTTGATAGTTTCCTTTGCTGTACAGAAGCTCTTTAGTTTAATTAGGCCCCACTTGTCAGTTTTTGGTTTTGTTGTAATTGCTTTTGAAAAGTTAATCATAAATTCTTTGTCAAGGCCTATGTCCAGAATCATATTTCCTAGATTTTTTTCTAGGATTTTTATAGTTTCAGTTCTTATATTTAAGTACAGACTATAGATTTACAGAAAGATGGAAGAGAGTAAATCAAACATAATTCACTTACTGCCATCTTACTTCAAGATTCTCAATGTACTTTAAAGTTTAAATAATCTTTTACCATAAAAGTCGTACATGAATTTATTTGAAAAATGCAAAGAGTAAAAAAAGACCAGCATTTTTTTTCTCATTCTCACCTTACAGATGTGACTACTGTTAAACATTTTTAAGTATCTTATCACAAATTTCCTACACATATTGTAGCTGAATCCAAACTTATTCTGCTTACTGCATGGCAACCAGTAAGTCAAGAGACAAGGAGTTGCAGCAAGGAAGGTAACTTTTTGCAGAGCCATCTGAGAAGAAGGCAGACTAATGTCCTAAAGAACCATCTTAAATCAGTACAAATTTCAGGCCCTTTTTATGTTAATGGCAGGGGGAAGAGGAGGGGTTTGGGATCAGGAGGCACCTGATGACCGGAGACATCTAGGTGCCAGTGAATGTATGAGGAGGCCAGGAAACCTCTCCATCTTTGGAGAGTCACAACACTCCCACAGATCCTCAGTACAACATTGTTACTTGTGTGTACACCATCCTTAACTCCTTGGGACTCATTTTAGGAAGGGATTATTATCATTTAAACAACAAGCTAAGTTCCTCTCGTAGTTAGCTTGGCCTACATGCAGAGATAAGCAAAGGCAGTTAACCTGAAAGATACCTCCATGAGGGGTTAGGAGCAAAATGGAGTTAGTCATGCCAGGGTGCCTTTTCACTGGTACAACATGCACATATATCTACACATACACGTACATACACATAAATATCATGCACTTTGGAAATATTCTATATATAATATTCTCATTTAGATTTTTCTCATTTAGCGATATGTCTTCCCAATTTTTCCGTAATTTATATACCTATTTTTATTGATTGATATTTGGATTGCTTCTTTTTTATTTTTATGTACATAGGTGAGAAATCCATAAATTTTATTCATTTTTAAAAAATCATTTTTAATTTTTATATTAAGATCTGGGGTACAAGTGGAAGTTTGTTATATAGGTAAACTTGTGTCATGGGGTTTTGCTGTACAGATTGTTTCATCGCCCAGGTATTAAGCCTAGTACTCATTAATTATTTTTCTGATCCTCTTGCTCCTCTCACCCTCCACCCTCCAATAGGCTTCAATGTGTGTTGTTCCCTTCTCTGTGTCCCTGTGTTCTCATCATTTAGCTCCCACTTATAAGTGAGAACATGCAGGATTTGGTTTTCTGTTTCTGTGGTATTAATAGTTTGCTAAGGATAATAGCATCCATGACATAAATTTTAAATATGAATTTGTTGAATGAAAGGATAGGTGCTTTTAACATTTTGAAATAAATTATTGAACTACCCTTCAAAGAGTCTATGCCAGTTGTATACCCACACAAAATAGCGTAGAAGAGATCCCCTAGCCCTGTATTCTCCCTGAAAATGTGTATTACAAAGAGTTACGTCTAATTATTTTAACTTGCAATAGATGGTGAGAAGCCAGTTGATATTAATATAAGTTCTTTGAAACACATAAAAATCTGCTGTTTTTTTTTTCCTTAATGTTCAAATATGTGGTCCTTGCTTTTAATTACTGTAAGAAACTTGCCACACAAAGGAAGGGTTATTTGCTTAGAAATTAATAGTTATTGCCAGCCTCAGCAAACTGTTGGGATAGAATGCAGCAAACACCCAAAAGGTAGATGATAGGTCTGCAGTAGCAAGGAGGGTGGCTGCCTTCAGCAAAACATACAAACTAGGAACTTGTCTTCCTGTGCAATATTTTATCCCTTTAATTTCCAGGAGGAACAGAGGAAGAACATGGCTGGTTTGAGTTCAATTAGATAATTTTGAAAGGGTTTCATAGGTGGTTTCAGTGTTTATGAAGGAATGATTAACTTTCTTCTTGATTTGCGAGTTTCCTTTGCCCACAAAGGGGGAACAAAGACCAGTATTACCAACAGCTTTTTGTTTCTCTGATAAAATTCATCTTTAAAAATGCCTGGCCCTGTTTCAGACCTTCTGCCTTCATAAACAGCATAATATGCCTGCTAGGGCTAAAATACTCAACATATGGATGTTTGAAAACCTCTAGATGAAAAGCAAAATCTCCCCATCTTATATAATGGAGAAACAGTTGTAGCATGTTAGTTTGTAGCAGTGTCATTAAAAAATTTTGCATAAGTTAAAAATACAGGTAAACAAACCCATGTTTTTCTGATTTCTATCAGTATCTTGATACAAAAGCAGCATAATTAAAATCAAAATTCACACATATCACAGAAAATTATAAATGCATTTAAAATAAAATATTTTGGGTAGTATTAATTAAATCAAATATTAGCTGATAATATTATACTAGAAATGGCAGCAGTTTTGTGTTATAGAAAGAGCTCTGTCCTAGAACTGATATTCTAGGTTCAAATTCTACCCTCAGAGAGTTTCTTGCCTTAACTGATCTCACCTTCCTTAACTCTAAAATGGAGATAGAGCAGTTCTGAGAATTCAATGAGAGAACATGTAGAAAAGTGCTTTTTACAATCCATTTTTTAAAATATGCTGTTACAAAGCTTTAAGTATCATATCTTATTTTAGAGAAGTTATGAAATTATATTGAAAAGTTATTTGTGTTACTAATATCTGTATTTGCCATTTGTTGTCCTCCTTGTATATACAGATTAGATAATTTCATAATGGAATTACAAATAGCTGTAATGAGTTTTTGCTACCCATTCATTCATTTATAAATGTATCTACATATATTTAAATAAATGCACACACACACTTACATACGGTGAGGGGAGAGGATGTATTAACAGATACTATGAACAAATCAGACATGATTCCTGCCTTTGTGGTCCTTACAATCTAGTGGAGAAGGAAGCTCTTAATCAACTAATCAAACATATAAACCTGATGATGTTGCAAGAGGATTTCCCCTGGCCAGGGAGATCAGGAAGGGATTCTCATTGAAATTGACACTTGAACCAAGATTTATCTGAAAGATGATAGAAATTAACAAGGGAAAAACTGGAAAGAATTATTTAGTCTTGGACAACAGCTCTGCGGCAGGATGGAGCATGGCCAACACACAGGACAGAAAGTCAGTAGGTTTGGAAGTAAACAAGTTAGGATGAGGGTGAAATTGAGTGAGGAGGTCACAAGGGACCGGTGTTAAAATTCGTATTTGAAAGTGACAGGAAGGGGAAGGGAAAACTCCGATAATGAATTTGGTTTACCATGAAGGTTTGAAAGTCCACAGAAATCACAAGGCAAAGGTAAGCAGCCATGTGGAAAGGCAGGCTGGAGGCCAGGGAGTCCTGAAAAATGCTTCCAGAGAATTATCCCAGGGGCGTGCCTGCATGTTTTCTTGTCTAGTTTGTGTTATCAATTGGATATAGGATTTCCTTGGCCCAAAAGAATATATTAGTCGAAGAGAGGTAAGAGAACAGCAGAGAAACCCTGCTGCCACCCCTGGTACAGCTGCTTCTCCATAGACCTCGGGATGAGCACGCACGCTATATCCACAGACCATCCGCAGGTTTAGAAAACATCCTAGAAGTTTCCCAGGTTTCTCACTTCCTCCTGCATTATGCTTTCTTCAAAGGTCACAATTTTTCTGCTTAGATGTTCAGACCACAAGTTAACCTGTTTTTTAAAATCTTTACTAGATTACTATCTCCCAGTGAATGCTCATTTTTTTCCAAAAAGAAACTAAGGTTATTTGACTTCTAAAATATGAGACTGCTTATGCAGCAACGAGACAACAACAGAGCAGCCTGGAGAGGTGGCTGCTGAGGTCTCTGCCAGTGCACTTGATGACTGGGTGACATCAGACCTGGAGCTTCAGGCAAGCCAGATGCAGGCTTCAGACACATTACCAGTTACTACCTGTTGTGGGTCTTCAGGGACACTGAGCAAGGCCAGGGGTGTACCTTGCTGCACTTTTAAAAGCATGTGATTAAGCTGGGAAGCCTGCAAAACCGCAGGGTTTATGTTCCCTCTTTTGTTTCTAGAAACTATCAGAAAATGTTTTAAAGTATCTGACTGTACAAAAATAGTCTGTTTTACCTGGCAGAGAGGTAGTTTTATATTGTACAATTACTAGTCCTTCCTAGTTGAACTCAATCTTTGACCTAGAAAACACCACCACCTCAGCAAAATTAAATAAACAGAACCAAGAAACAGAAAGCACAGCAAAACAGCAAGGAAGGAAGAAAAGATCAAAGAAACACACTAAAAGAACGCATTTTCAGAGCCAAGTCTCAGAGTGTAAGATTTATTTAGGGTGAAATATAGTCAGCCAGAAGAGACTATTTCAAGTGGACAAATTAAATTATCTAACATGTTAGTGAAGTCACAAACCATAATTAATGTCTAAATTAAAATTGCAGGTATCAACCATGTGCTAATCGTGAACAGTGTAGTAATTCTAATCCAGGTGGACACTCTGTGATTTTACTTTTTAAATTGAAATGCAACATAGCTCAATAGAAAACCATCAGAAAGAATAACATGATAATTATACAGTAACGTTTGTATTTGAAATAGGATATTGATCACTGGGATGATGCACATTTGGTATGCTCTAATGCATTTCAACATACCAAAATAGCATGATAGATCTGTGGTAATTATATAGAAATTGACAGCACATTTATCACTGTTTGTGCTTATTTCACAGCATTGGCATTTCCATGAATTATGACCATGTCATCTCATGTGTATACAAATGTTAAATCGTTTGTGGCAACAATTGATCATTAACTATAGCATATGCTGAGGGGGGAGCACCTATAAGACTTTCAATTAAAGGAATGAATTTGGTGTTTAGGTGGTGCAATTAATTTGACAGACACATTGAAGTTTTAAAGGTAACTCATATTATCATTCATTTTGTTGTTTTCATCTATAAAATGTTACTGAAATGAGCTAAATAAGCATGTGGAAAGCATGAAGTATGTTTCAATCCAGAAATAGCCTCAATGTTGCAATACCTGTGTTGGAGAATACAAATTACCTGTTCTTTTGGAGAAATGGATCTACCACTCCACATATAAAACCCACCTGCCAAGAGATTTTGTTATCCAAGTTTCTAGGCAGCTAATAAGGTGATTGGTTACTAACTGCTCTAGGACTGAAGTAGAGAAAGAAAAAATGATAGAAAAAGAGAGCTACATAAAAAACAGAAATATGTACAAGCAAATAAAGGTCAAAGAGAATGAACAAAAGTCTAGAGGAGTACAGGAGAAAAGAAAAAGAACAGAGAATTTTAAATTCTGGAACAAAGTTCTTGAATTCAATTTAATTCAACAAGTATTTAAAGAGTATCTACTAAGGGTCATTTACCTTGAACTTTTTTGCCAAAATTAAAGTGTTCACTAAAAGGTTATTTGATTCATCTCTTCCTAAGTAAGAGTTACTTCCTTAGTTCCTTGTTCCTAGATTATTTTAAGAGGCTCATTACCGTTTTCTGGCTACATAGAGTTTCTCTCCTCTTGCATTTCCTGTGTATCAATGCCAGATTAATATATCCCTAAAAACCACCTTTGAAATTATTCTTCATTTCAAAACCTCTCAGTACACTATGAGAAAAATTCAATTCACTTCAACTCTTTGTACCTCATATTAGTTGGAGGCAGAAGCATATTGATACACTGCCTCTCAAACATTTTTTAAAAGCCCTAATTTTTAGTATTTGCTGGTCTGTGGTATAAATACTTCTACCATGGCTAATTTCAAACTACCATCTGATATCCTGAACCCAGAGTCAGGAACAGACATGCGTCATAGGCTCACTTGAGTCAGTATGAACCAGCTCCAATATACCACTGTTTGGAGGGCACAAATCAAAATAAAATATAGCCTCTGCCTTGTAATTAAATGGCTTAATCTAAAATAAGAATTCCTTTCTCGAATTTCCTATGGCATGTATCCTCTCTGTAGTTCACGTGCTACCCTCATATGAGTATCATCATATTTATCCCAACTGCATCCTTAAGTTTAGAGTTCATAGACTATATTCTATGCCTCTTTGTACAGTCAGCATCTGCAACATAGCACAGTACCTTGCACACAGTAAGCCCTCCACAAATAAATGATAGGTGAGGGTGAAGATAAAATGAAATTCCAAAATTAGTTGCTCCATTTATTCAAGCTTCACAACCCTGTCATGACTGCCTACTTTTATTTCAGGCCATGCGTGAAATAAGACAACAACCTCATCTGTATTATATGCCACTCAGTATTTCCCTGACTCTAGCTGCTGAATCACCATTTTTATTAAATGAGCTAGGGTCCACTCTAGCGACATCGTATGCACATTAGCCAGTATTTGCTGGGTCACACTGCGTAACAGTGTCCCCCACAAATCTCAGCACCTTACAAAAAAAAGTTCTTGTGTCAGGTGTGTTTCCTGTCAGCTGCAGGTCCAGTGTGGTTTTGTTTCAATTACAGATAGCTTGTATCTCTACTCTACTGTCTCTTCACATCATCCGGGCTGAAGCAGCCTCCATGTGCCTAAAGCTTCTTCCTGGACAGGGCCAATGCCACATCTACTCATATGCTGTTAATCAAAATGAATCACACAAACTACATTTGACTATTCCTACAGAAGGCATCAAAAGTCACAAACAATGGGTTGAGATGTGCGATTCTCTTAACAGAGAAGGGGGGTAAATGATTTGCAAACAAAAATATGGTCTACCTCTTTGGCCAAGCCCATTGATTACCTAATCACCCTTGTTAGGACTATATCCCCCTTCAGATAATGGAGGAGGCTCTAGAAACAAAGCAAAAGCTCAGTGAAAGGCTCTCCTGGGTTTCCCCTAGCAATGAAATTTCAAACAAATCTGAATTAAGACATAGACTTTGTTTACAAACCCAATACTTATTT
The DNA here is from genome assembly GCF_000001405.40 of Homo sapiens. Taxonomy (NCBI): domain Eukaryota; kingdom Metazoa; phylum Chordata; class Mammalia; order Primates; family Hominidae; genus Homo; species Homo sapiens. Next base: position 136,350,461 of record NC_000007.14, on the reverse strand, counting down.
TTCATTAGACTGTGTAGGGATGTTCCAGAATACAGGAGCTAGGCAATGGGTTTTACACAGGAGCTGTGCTTGGGACTTGGACTCAAGGCCTGCTCTTCAGCCCACTGAGATACAAGTTCGTTCATAAAAATTTAGGATCCCTTAGAGCTCCTCATTCAGGACTTGAAAATAAAGCTGCAGCAACATTATCAATTGGGGATTGAGCGAGAAAGCCAATTAAGAGAAGCTGCAGTAGAAGCCAGAAGGAACAGCGCCAGACCTCAATGCTAAAAATCTATCCAAAAGAATCGATCTTTTCATACTGGTTCAATGGCATTACCTTCATATAAGTGACAGTACTTCTCAGTCTATAGAAGGCTGGAGAGAAGAACAGAATCACACCAGAGCTCAGTTAAGAAGTGGGCCAACCTTGGCTAGGCACGGTGGCTCATGCCTGTAATCCCAGCATTTTGGGAGGCCGAGATGGGAGAATTACTTGAGGTCAGGAGTTCGAGACCAACCTGGCCAACATGGTGAAACCCCATCTCCATTAAAAATACAAAAATTGTCCAGGCATGGTGACATGTGCCTGTAATCCCAGCTACTCTGGAGGCTGAGGCAGTAGTATTGCTTGAACCTGGGAGGCGGAGGTTGCAGTGAGCCGAGATCACACCATTGCACTTTGCACTTCAGCCTAGGTGACAGAGTGAGACTCCGTCTCAAAAGAAAAGAAGTGGGCCAACCAGATGATGGCTGCTGGGGCCACCAAATCATAAGGAGAGCTAACATGTCACTGGACGGCATCAGAAACACAGTGCCAAATCTTCAGGGCTCCACATATATCTTTTAATAACTGGCAAAATGTAAATTGCTTCTACTTCTTTCAAAGTCAAGAGCTTTAAATAAATGTGTAAAGAAAACACCCATCACACTTGCCACTGAGGCCACTCCTTCCTGGTGAGTATTTCAACAATGATGTGCCATGCTATAATCCCAACAGAGTCACTCTCAGAATTAGCTAGAATTCAGAGGCCAGGTAGGAGACAGCACAGGGCTGCCTACAGACATAAAGCACTGCTTTAATTTTACAAATGTGTATGGCACCAGGTGACTCCCAAGAAGTTATTAGGAGCAAAACAATTGCACATAATAAATGCCTAACATAAACAAAATGATAGCTAAAAGTTATCATTACATAAAATATATATAATTCCTTGTTTTGAAGTTTCAAAAGGTTCATAACTTTTATTAGTGGAAATTTAGTTTTGACTTTCTACAGTAAATTCAGTTGAATTTAGTTCAACTATGTACTGAACAAATATTTAAAGAACAAAAGCTTGAAAAAGAACCACCTGGATGCCTGTATCTTAATGGAGTCCTAGGTCTCATTCATAGGCCAGCAAGTCTTTTTGCATATTCAGCCTCTTGCAGAAACTCCAATCCTCCTCAGATTTCTCCAAGATGTTTCTGGAAATCATAAGAGCAGTCTCTGGTGTGCTCTCTGACTCAGCCCTCTTGCTTGACACATGGTATAGGCCATTTTATTCCTCCCCTATCTCTGCTGTCTACGGATCCAGTTTCCTGTCTCTGCCAAGACCAAAAGCAGGAAATCTACTGCTGGCGCCCTCCAAAAGCACGACCCTCCATACCTGCCAAGCACTGCTGAGAATGCCAGTACCTGCCAAGGTCCGCATCAGGCTGCCAGTGGCCCATGTCAAGAAGACTGACATTTACGCAGAGGGCAACTGTGCCCGATGTTCTGAGCCCTGTTATCTATGCTAATTTCCTTGCCTCTTGCCCTAACAAAAGCTGCTGGCACTGTCTTGTGTTGTTGTGCGATGTTCTGGCATAAATGCTGCTGATGACATTCTCAGTGGCCCAACCCTTTTAGTATTTCCTTGGTCATCCATTGTTCCTCTGTTCCTGCTAATTGTGACATGAGTCCACCACAGGTCTGGCCAGAAGATGCTGAAGTAGTGGATACCATGTATTCCAGAGTCACTCCCTATCATCATTGAACCTGGCTGTGCCCTTTCATTTACCCATAGGTGGACGTTTGCCCAACTAATGTAAACAGGAGCTCAAATCCTGCTCCAGCCTAAGAATGGGGACTGGAGTGCCAGAGCTGAAGGCAGAGATACCATTCAAGGTCCCCTGGCATGGAATCTGTTTTCTCCCTGCAGCGAGGACGTGACTGTGCAGATGCTGAACCAGTGAGGCCAGATTATGGTAAACTCTCCTTTAAAAGAATGTGGGCAGATTGTTAGTGTACATTTTTCTGGAATAGAAATATAGGCCTGACTACTGAAGGGAAGGTGTAGAAGAAAGTGGCTTCTTTTTGGACTCTGTTGTATTCATCCTGTACTGAACATGCCATAGGCAGCAGTATTCCTTTTAGAAGACCATGGACAAAGAAATGCCACACACAAATCTACTGCCTCTCCTCCTGCTGCTGTCAGTATCATCAGCAAAATAAATCAGGAACAGACAGCATGCTGGTGTGTGACCTCTTCCTTCCAATCTGATCCACAGTAGCTACGCTAAGAGGAGACAGCAGCTTCCCAAGTAAAGGCAGAATTGGGAACCAAGAGGACAGTCAAAAGCATCAGTTCCAAGAATATAAGCACAGGCTAACCCAAGTCTAAAGCAACAGCTTTGTAGCTTGCCAGTGTGATAAGCCCTCCACAGCCCCTCTGAGCTTGGTGGCTCAGCCACAGAACCTCTCAGATGGGAGACTGTCCTTCAAACAGCCTGGCAGAAATGCTGCTCACTTGTTTTTGAAGAGAATGAATCCATGCACATAAACATCCATGCACATTTCCCCACCCTTGCAAATGGGGCCATTTAACTAATTCTGCCCAGTGGACAATGATAGAAAAGACTTGTGTTCCACCTGAGCCACTTATTTAAGAAGAGATGACCGGCTCTCCAGCTCTCTTCACCTCTGCCATGGTGACTGCAAGGGGTAGAAAATGAGACACTCTTGCTTCCTTGTGTCTGGGTGAAGAGTGGCTGTGTGATGCCCAACCCCCACCAACCACAACTGGTGAAGTGAGTAAAACATAATCCTTTGTTGTGTTGAGTTGTTATGATTTGGGGATTTATTTTTTACAGCTTCCTACCTGATATGGTTTGGCTGTGTCCCCACTCAAATCTCACCTTGAATTGTAATAATCCCCACATGTCAAGGGTGGGGCCAGGTGGAGATAACTGAATCACAGGGGCAGTTTTCCCCATACTGTTCTCATGATAGTGAATAAGTCTCATGAGATCTGATGGTTTTATAAATGGGAGTTCCTCTGCACAAGCTCTCTTGCCTGCCCCCATGTAAGACATGACTTTGCTCCTCATTCACCTTCCACCATGATGGTGAGGCCTTTCCAGCCATGTGGAACTGTGAGTCAATTAAATCTCTTTCCTTTATAAATTACCCAGTCTTGGGTATGCCTTAATTAGCAGCGTGAGAACAGACTAATACACTATCCTTTCTAACACACTTACATTTCACTCAAGAGATCTTGCCCGCCTTGTAATAAACACATTTATTTCCCTGGCTCTTTTGTTCTTTGCTTAATATCCCATTCCTACTTGCTTGTTGATCCTTTGGACCTTCCCTATTTTGGAGGATATCCATACTCAGAATATGAACTTGACTCCGCTTAGCTACTATGCACTCTTGAAGCCAAAACCAAGGGACTCAAAGGGTTAAAATAAGGAGGAGTCACAGAAGCAATTCTCCCAGACCTTTTGTGCAGAGGCAGATAACATTGTTAGGGATCCTGGTTCTTCTTCCATACCTAGATACTCTCACAGTGATCTCTGTTTAATCTCAAACCACAATCTTCATTATATATTCATTATATATAATTCATTATATATTTTGTGTTAAAACTGTAATCACAATGACCACTATTTTCCAAGATACGTTTGACTACTTTTCCAGAGACAGAACATCACACAATTCTTACGTATGTGTAACCTCTACTAGAATCAACGTTATTACAATAAATAGAATCTAATTGATACTGTCCATGCCCCTGTGTTTAGAAACAGGAAGTAGAAACTTACCCACTTCTATCTAAATGTCATGTATAAATTATATTGGATGGATAGCTGTGGTGAGAAAAAATAATGATTATGGATGAAAAACTCTCCTGTACTCCTCTCTCACCATTTGAAAGGCATCTAAAATATATTTATGAGATACATTAAAGAGCTTATTTTGCTAGTGTCCAACTCTAAATGGACCATTTCCAGTGTTCTCTAGGGTATATTTTTATAACAGTATCAATTTATTATAAAGGTCAATATTTTTTTCTCTTTCAAATTCTTTCAAGTGGGTTTTCTAAAGTCCATTTTCTGAAGTATTTAAAATTCTAATAAACCACTGAAAAATTACCAAGAAGGTCCTGTGGGATTCTTTTCTCTAAATCATACTATTTGATGCAACATGAACCTCAGTTACAGTAAAATATCATTAAGAAAAGGTCAGCTCTGGAAAACAAAGAACAAAGGCAAAAAGCATCAGGCATCTTGGAAACACAGGAGTCAACAAAGCTTATTCAACACACTCTTTCAGAGCAGGAAGCTTGAAGTCCTAAAGTGTCTGCTTTCCAGGGAAATGAGAACAGCTATCCTAGAACTATGGCAAATGAGGTATTCTCTCTTTCTCCTCTCATTTTGATCAAGTAACTTGGTTGATTTCTTCCTCTAATACTGTGTCTCTTGAAGGGGAAAGGAGCTTTTCATTGTCAAGAACTGTTTCTTGGTGATCTTTGCAGCCACAAATCCTATTCTGGTATGTAGGGCTTGAATACAAAGATTTGTTGAATGAATAAATGAGTATCTTCTGGGTCCTAAGATAAGTATAAAAGTAAAAAATTCTATTGATCAGATCACTCATTCGCAAGACACCAATAATTGATTTGATGCCTCTCCCACAAAGTTTTCCAAACAGAAAAGCTACTTTGACACTGAGAAAGCATAGGTGGAGTTTTCACCATATACCCAGTTCTCAATCCTCTACTAAGAAGTGGTCGAGGGAAGAAGGAAAGGGCCAAGGGAAAGAATGATTTGTTGTCTGGCTGTGCCTGAGTATAGAGCTCCCTCTACAATGAGCCTGACTGAGTGTGCTCTCTCTTCTTAGCAAGTTTTCTTTGAAGCTGCACTTGGAATAAAATTCCTCTTGAAGGCGTTCTACCCAGATTAGCAGAACTCTAGATTTTGATGTCAGTGATTCTTATTTTTACCTCTTATCAACTAGCTTGCTCTCCCACGGAGAGATAAGATTCCTGGGTGCACTTAGGATGAAAGGGGCAATGCTTACATGTTTGGAGAACATGAGTACGTTTCTAGCCTGGATTAAAGCATCCACCTTGCAATCCAGCAATAATCACTATTCACATTGCAGTTTGGATTCAAAATCCCAGCTAATACCTTGGTGTTCTTTTTCCTGGCCTTGTCCTTCATGCATGTTTTTGTTCATTCGTTTGTTTTCCTCAGAAGCCTTGCAGAAGCAGTAGCTTCTGCATAATAGGGTTTGTATATTCCCCTGTCTCTCTCTGTATCTAGAAAAGTCTATTTCCACAACAGTCCTCTTAACAAGTTAACAGATCTAAGTTATAGATCTGTTTTACCTCTGACAACACAGGTAGCAGCATAGCAGCATTGCTTTATATCTACACAAACCAACAGAAGTGATGATATAAAGAAGCACAACAGCTGAAACTCTGACTCATCATTTTGAGTGATGATAGTCGATCCTATCTGCTTTTAAAAAAAAAGAATATTAGAAATAAAAAAAGATGATTAATGTTAATTCAACATAAGTTGCACTACAAAGGATAGGAAAACCTTGACATTTTCATCCAGTTTTAAAATATGAGAAATGTTGCTTGTCATACATATACATATATAGTATATGTCTGTGTATAATACATATACATCTCTTTATTTATTTATGCAGGTTAACCTTGTCCATGATAAAAGTTTAGCTTGTAAGACTTACCTGTCATGCCTATCTCAGCAAGAAAACAATGAGGAAATTTGTTTTCAAACTCTGCTTAGCATACCTTCTGAACAGTCATAGTAGTGTTCCAGTACGATGCTTCTGAACTGATGCCCCCTGGACAGCTACCAATTAGGAGTACATAAAGGGCAATAGCTAAATCACTGCGGCCAAATAAACCTGCACAGAAAGAGCCTTTTGGGCATTTTATACTGACAAGATCATTTTACCACTGGAAAATAGATTTTTGTAGACAGGCCCCCGAGTCCACTTTTGCTCAGTGTGGGGTCAAGGTGAAGCACACCTAATCAATTGAGAAAAGGGCACTTGATTCCCAAGGGGAGATAACTGCAGCAAACTCCTATCTTTACTCTACCTGCAGAAGCCAACAGCAATTGTACCTTCCACCTATAGTCTAAAATTCACTTCCCTGCTACCACTGTGTAGAGATACCGTATATGAAACCAATCCCAATCTTCTAGATAGTGAGTTGAGAAAGGTGGTCCAGTCCCTTGGATTTAGATCAGAACATGAACTTTCACCAAGACACAGGTGGCCACTAACTACCTCTGTCACTACAAGCAAACTGCCCAGCCCCTCTAAGCTTCAGTTCTTTCCTACATAAAACGGCTACCTGATGGACTTCCTCGACTGGCTTCCAGAGCTGCTATGACGGTTAAAGCAGTGATTTTCAAGCTTTAGCATGAAGCATGCATCATAATTACCTGGAGGGCTTGTTAAAACACAGATTGTTGGCCCCAGAGCCTCTGATTTACTAGATCTGGGTTAGGTAAGCTGAGAATATGCATTTCTAACAAGTTCCCAGATGATGCTGATGCTGTTGGTCGGGAGATCACAGGCTGAGAACTGCTGAATCAAAGGAAATGAGGTGGATTTCATTCTGTATCAGGCAAACTCCAGCACATGTGCTTCAAGTCCCACCTTGCCCTGTCTTCCCAAATTTCATTCATCCTAAAAATATCCTTGTCCCCTCCTCAGTTACTCACTATCATTGATAAGTATCTGATGCATCTCTGTATCCTCTGAGCCTACAATAAGGGCTGACCCCTCTGTTAGGCACTCAGTAATAATAAAAAAAACAGTGAAATGAAGAAATATGGTTAAAAGTATTTTGAAACAGTAAAGCATTATACACACATGAGGGACTTATATTAGTTATGGAATAGACTAAGTTATGTAACAAAGATACCCAAAAATAGAGTGAGCCACCTAGGATGAGGACAACTGTGCTCATAAAGTCATTCAAGAATCCAAGTGTTGGCCAGGCACGGTGGCTTACACCTGTAATCCCAGCACTTTGGGTGGCTGAGGTGGGCGGATCACAAGGTCAGAAGTTCAAGACCAGCCTGGCCAACACAGTGAAACACCATCTTTACTAAATATACAAAAAATAGCCAGGCATGGTGGTGCACACCCATAATCCCAGCTGCTTGGGAGACTGAGGCAGGAGAATCACTTGAACCTGGGAGGCAGAGGTTGTGGTGAGCTGAGATCATGCCACTGCACTCTAGCCTGGGCAACAGAGCGAGACTCTGTCTCAAAAAAAAAAAAAAAAAGAATCCAAGTGTCTTCTAACCTGTTGCTCTGCCATCTCCTGGGATGCTGTCCTCATCTACATGGTAAAAACTATTCAGGACCATGACCGTATTCCAGGGCCACTGGGAAGGGAAGAGGAAAATCATCACAAGGGAGATGATCCCGAAGTTAAACTCATCACCTTGGACATCGTTGGGCTACACTTTGAAACACAACCACGTATAGCTGCAGGGGAAGCTGGGAAGTCTCCATATAGTCATTCCTGGAAGTATCTGCCATGGGGGATACTTTCCAGCCACCCATCTTTCTATGTATATCCCCAAACACAGAACACTCTCAACCCTCTTTTTCTAAATTTAAGCACTATAGACTCATCCTATTTCTGCTTCTAGCTCAAAAGCCAGGGTCTCTGACTTGTGCTTAAGAAAGTGAACAAGGAATTCCAGAGGAAGCAGTTCATATTTAAGAAGTTGCACATATCAGTTTTCACATGCCATTGGCCTGAATTCAGGAAAGCTCTCAGCAAAGAAGGCTGGAAAATATACAGTTTCCAGATGTGGGTCATGTGCTCAGCTAAATTCCAGGCTTTTAAATGAATTTTTCCTACAAAGTAATTTGGAGAAGACTCACTTTTTAAAGAGAAATTGAATTGCAATTAATTTCTATATCACATATGCAAATATATGACATTCATCTGTTCAGCTCTCACATTGCCTTGTTCATTGTAGATGTTGTATATACGCTTGGTGAATTTTTTCTAAATAGAAAAGTAATAGCAGTACAAACAACTGGAAGCCAGGTGCATAGACCAGAAGAGGTTCACACTTTTGAAATAATTTACTAATTACTTGAATATGCCAAATATCATTTTATTACTTGAGCATTACATAGATAAAACATTTTAATTTAGTTAAATTTGTGTAACACAGTCAGATTTTAGTATCATTGTGAACATGTATGGATATATTTTATGATATATTACAAGGTGAAAAAAGATGCTGTAGTATCATTAACCATAAAGCTACCTTTTGTAATCCAACAGGTTTCAAAGCTATTCAAAAACAGAAGAGACAGAATTATTCTTCTGATGATTTGCATGATAAATATATGCCAACAATAGCTACAAATAGGCAGAAACAGTTCTCATTTATTTAGCAGCCTTAAAGCATGTTCTGATTTGTGTGTTATTTTCTAGACCTCTCAACAATTCTACAAGGGGGGTAAATTTATCCTTATTCTGAAAATAACAAAGTAAAATTCAGAGAAATTAGGTAACTTATTTTTTGACACTGAAATACCAGATGTTTGGTAATAAAAATACTTTTGTTGCATGTATAATGAATGTGTGGATTATACATAGGTATGGACTCACCTAATCAAACATTTGAGAAATAAAGATTTCAAGAATAAAATCAGTCTTTCTCTCTTACTGAAGTGTATGATGCACAGGGCTGGTAATTTTGATTGTTATTGAGAAAGGGTTCTGCCATGGTATTATGCTTCCCTGATTTAATTCCATTTTTCTTTATAACTGAGGGCATTTACCACTAAAACAATGCTGTTTCTGAAGAGTGTAGATATTTATGTATTGCCTGAAGTCAAGATTCTCCCTCTGGATATGACAATTACTTCCATCACAACCAATTGAGAAATGAATTACAGAAGCAAAATTGTTTCTAAATTAATGGTTGTTAAAAGTTTCCTAGGGAGTTGTCAGACAACTCTAAACATTTTTATGTTTCATATCAGTTTCCAAGATGGAAAAATGGCAAAACTCAACTGCAAAGAAAGTAAAAGGAATCATCATAAACAAATTAAATTTTGCCAACTATACATGCAGCAAATTACTAAATTGCAGAAAAGAACTGAAAGCAAGACATGGTAATGTAGTAGCTATTATTTTACACAAGCACGAGTTTTGTGAATTCAGAGAGTATGGCTTCATAGACAACAGAGGTTCCCTAAAGTGACTGCATCTGGGATGTCCTCTCATATGACATCATTATCCTCAGAACCACAGGTCCCATCACTAACCTGATGTGAGATAAACATTTACATACTTGTCCCTCTACAGAAATCAAACAGATCACAACTGATCAAAATATACTTACTCGCACACACACATGCATACAACCTTATTGATCTAGGCTTCTCTGCTTTGCAATTGTAGAAGATTAAGTGTTCCCTTCCGTAAAGTAGCTAATGTTCAGAGTGGGTGGCAATTCAGTAATTCTCCATGGATATTAGAGAATGGAATTGTCCTCAAGCCATTTACAATAATTATGGTTGAATGCACTTCTACAAATTGTACCCAGGCCCATGTTTCAGACGTCACCTTGTCATGACTCATGCCACCCCAATGTCTAAGCATGTGCACTTTTATATTTTGCTGTTGTTGTTGCTACAAATAACAATAATCCTACGGAGAAGGAATTGAAGGGGGGAATTGTGAATAGTAAGAGCCAGGTATTAACTAAAGAAAATAGATCAATCCATAGAGTGCAATTAAGATGTGGGAGTTAAGCAAAAGAAATAGAAGGGATGCAGGTTAATCAAAATTTGATGCATGAGGCCTGGTGCAGTGACTTATGCCTATAATCCCAACACTTTGGGAAGCCTAAGCGGGTGGATCACTTGAGGTCAGGAGTTCAAGACCAGCCTGACCAACATGGTGAAATCCTGTCTCTACTAAAAATACAAAAGAATCAGCTGGACTTGGTCGCAAGTGCGTGTAGTCCCAGTTACTCAGGAAGCTGAGGCAGGAGAATCACTTGAACCCGGGAGTTGGAGATTGTAGTAAGCCAAGATCCTGCCACTGCACTCCAGCCTGGGTGACAGAGGAGACTCCATCTCAAAAAAAAAAAAAAAAAAAAAAGATTTGATGCATGCTGTTGGGACTGCAGTTTATGCACTCCTAGACTCACCGATCAGAAGGGTCCTGAAGAGTCTGAAGATGAAGGCACAGAGCCTACAGCAGCCAGTGTGAGGAGGCATAAAGTTATAGTCATTATTAAATCCATGGAGGTATGTGCAATTAATATTTTATGTTTGATAATTATACCCACAATTATAATCTTATAATGAGTTAATGATTAGCAATAACAAGTTAAAGAATGATTTATGGTGATAAATTACACACAGATTGAAACAAAATTCTGTAAGAATGACTGGGGTATATAAGAATTTTAAAAGTGAGTACATTTCTGGATCTGTGCCCCAACCACAAACCATGACTGAGGGAGGATTCTGTGTAATTGGTGCTTAACATAGCATCTGAAACACACTAGATACTCAGTAATCATTGGCTCAAATATATGCCAGCAGGATGAGTACATGACCATTTGGATAGCTAATGAGAAATACAGTCACTTAACAGAGCTTGGAAACCCAACTGAGGTCCTATTTTCTGGAAAGTGGAAGCTGACAAGACCAGCAGTAAAAATGGAGAAGCTTTCCTAAAGTTTTCCAATCTCCTATTGGCCCAACTCAGAATTCTCAAGTGAGAATAAAGGATAAGGGTTTAGGGGACATTTGGCAATGTCACCACTGTGATGGGGAGAGGATGCTACTGGGTAGAGTAAGTAGAGGCTGGAGATGTTGCTAAACATTCCACAGTGAACAGGTGCCTACAACAGCCATTACCAAATCCAAAATGTCAATAGTGCCCAACTTGGGAAATTCTGGCCTAACTGAATGGGTTTCTCTGCTCATGTGATTTCTTTCTACCCTTGTTTTTCTGACAAACTCCTATGTATCCTTCAAAGCCCAGCTCAGCTGTTATCTCTCCTCTAAAGCTTAGCCTTCCTCCTCCATATCTCAAGAGAGAATTATGCATGTCTTTACCTGGAACTTACGTTCCCAAAGCAGACTTTACCTATTTCTATTATTGTATTTATCACATATCATTGTTCTTTGTCATTGTAGTTAGGCATCACTTCAGCTGAACTGAAATAATAAAAATTAGCTACCACGAATTAAGCATTTACTACTTGCAAGACATTTTGCTAAATGCTTTAATCTCTTTTAATGCATGCACAAGAAAACATAAGGTAGCTGTTATCATCTCCATTTTACAAATGAGGAAAATGAAGTTTAGAAGGGTTAAGAAACAGACGCAAGGTAATAGTTTCCACCACTAGAAAGTAGCGGAACTAAGATCCAGGCCAGAGGTCAAACCAGCTGTAACGTGTGTCTGCCAAGTACAGAAGAAAGAACTATTTGATTGGAAATAACCGTTTTCACACTTTTGAAACAGAGAAGGTGAAAAGAGTCATGGCCATCATGTGGACCCACCCACTAAGATGAGCAGGGGAATCAGAAATGGGCCTATATGTTGGGGTTGACAGCAGATACCCCAGGAAGGTCAATCAAACAGAGTGTGCAAATGGTATAGAAATATTTGGTCAAAATCCCAGCACACAGGAAGAGGGAAGTTTAAATGATGTGGCCATTCAACACATGGATGAAATGAAAGAATGATTAAACGCATGCTTGTGGTCAAGTGTTTTAGCATGAAAGCCCTGCAACAGGCCATCTGAGGGCTGAGGCTCAGTCTGAAGAATAGGGAGCTAGAATATCCAGACTGAAGAAATCTGTTGACAGCCTGTGATTTAGAAACAGGAGAGGGTCTGGCAAAAGTAGTTCAGGACCCTGGATCAGGAGGAGGAAGAAGTAGCTAACTGTGTATGCCCAGAGATGGTGACCAGAGGGATGAGCAAGGATTGAAGCCTGGGACCAATTTTGAGTGTTATATTAGGGAGGGAGCATAACCAGAAATAACTTGGTTATTAAGCTGAAGCACAGGGTGCTGGAGCAGACTGAATTCAGGTGAGGCCAGGCAATGGGAACCGAGAGCAGAACTGAGCCCACAGGAGACTCAACTATACAAGAAAGAAAGGGTAAAGCCTGGAGCCAGGTCTGGGCTGATGACCATCTTGCCTTTAAACTAGAAGTGGTGGTATCAGTCTTGGGCTCAAAGTCAAAGTCCTCAAATGTTTCAGAAGAAAAAAACAACTTACAGATAGACACAGATTATATTATAAACAGAAAAAATAATTTAACAGCCGGAGAGGGAAAAGTTATAAGGTAGGTGCAAAAGTAACTGTGGTCTTTGCCATTACTTTTAAATTGCGAAAACTGCAATTACTTTTGCACCAATTTAATAACTTTTCCATCTTCAGCTGTATGGTTATTTTTTCTGTCTATAATATTATATATATCTATAATTGGGAAATCAATAAATATGGCAAAATAATAACATTTCCTCAAATGTAATGGAAACTTTTTTGTGCTATTGGGGCAACTTTTTTCAAAATTTGAAATCATTTCCAAAAACAAAGTAATTTTTCTATTACCGCCTTCCAGTGGCTTGACCAGGTTGATGGCATGGTAGCTCAAATTGATCCCACCATCAGAAAAGAAATTTGGCCATTATTCCACACAGCTTCCCAAATTCTCTCCCTGTCTGTCATCTCCCTAGGACCACACAGGCAACAGACCCCCACTGCTATTATAATAACACAGGTTAGGTCCATTAAACTGAATAATGGACACTTTCATTAACCAGAAGACTGATGGTTACCCAGGGAAAAACAAAATTCTCCCATGGTCCCCACCAAATAATCCCTTTGCTAATCTCCCAGTAGGAAATCTTCCTCAAACCTTTTTTAAAATTTCCTACTGTGAATTAGCTATGTGTGCTTGAAAATACAGAAGAGTGTACTCCAATTCCATTCAACGTGACATTAAGGGACACTTCTCAAGTTAAGAGCCTCTCTCTGCCCACGTGTTTGTAAGCACAAGCAAACAATCTGACCTCCTACCACAGAGGACTGAATCTGCCTATTTTACACATGGCCTGATAACTGAACTTGTATTATGACATTAGAGGCAGTTATGGATGCCCTTAAATGATACATTTTTCTAATCTTTCATCCAATGCATTTCCAGGCAACTCTAAGTAGAAAAGAGGAAAAAGCTGATTATGCATATCCAGTAACTAGAATCATTTAAGCTAAATTAATAGGATCTATAAATAACTCTGTTCTTCCTTTAAAAAAAAAAGAGAGAGAGAGAGATGGTGAGGTTAGCTAACAACCAGAGGAATGGCCTATTTTCCTCATCAAGTTGTCACAACCTGAGGAAATCTCAAATTAGTTTCAGGGAAAATGTAACAACCCAGTGCAGATGCTGTGTGCAGAATGCGTGCCTGTTAACCAAAATTCCCATACAACACATTTACCAGCACACTCATCGGCCCTTCTTCCCACAGCTACTAATATTGCATTCCTCTGTTTTAATGTGATTTTCTAAAATTACCAGTTAATTAATCCTAGATTTGGCATGTTGACATCCTTCATTTCTCTACTTTGAGTAATTTGTAAACCCTGAAATAAAGAGCATTTCTCTCGGAACTTTTTGAAAATATATCAGATGTGCTTAGATGTGACACCATAGATCCTAGGAGGCCCGTTATTATTATTATTATTCTCTTCTCACTTGAGAAGCAGCCCCATTATTTTATGTACTAACCAGAAGGAAAAACATTGCTTTATTAAACTATGATACAGTATAGTCTCACCACTTAGAATTCTGCGCAAATTGGAAAGCTCTCTTATATGTATTTAGACACTTATTTTTATAATTTATTATCATTGTACACACATGAAACAAAACCATAGATGAAATATATTGGTTAATGCAGTAGTCACCAACCTTTTTGGCATCAGGGACCAGTTTCACGGAAGACAATTTTTCCAGACCCTGGGAAGTTGGCGATGATATTTTTGGGATGATTCGAGGGCATTACCTTTACTGAGCACTTTATTTCTATTATTGTTACTTTGTAACATAGAATGAAATAATTATACAACTCGCCATAATGTAGAATCAGTGGGAGCCCTGAGCTTGTTTTCCCACAACTGTTAATAAACTACCCCACCTGGGGGTGATGGGAGACAGTCACAGATCATCAGGCAATTGATTCTCACAGGAGCACACAACCTAGATCCCTCACATGCACACTTCACAATAGGGTTTGCATTCCTATGGGAATTTAATGTTGTCACTGATCTAACAGGGGGCAGAGCTTAGGTGATAATATGAGCAATGGAGAGCAGCTGTAAATACAGATGAAGCTTCGCTCACTGGCCCACCGTTCACCTCCTGCTGTGCAGCCTGGTTCCTAACAGGCCACGGATCAGTACCAGTCGATGGCCCACGGGTTGGGCACCTCAGGTTAATATATATTCCTAAAACTTCATGATCATAGTTTGACACTTTTGTGATTACTTTCGAACTCAGTATCATTAATGTCTATATTGTTGATACAATATTCCTTTAAAAACTTTACAAAAAGAACTAAAATCCTTTGGGGCTAAGCCTTGAGCAATCATCAAGAGCTAGAATAACTCCCTTTCTCTGCAATCATTTGGTTCCTAGGAGCTAAAAGAGTGTCCCACTGTTTTCTCCAGGATTGTCTTCTGGGCAGCTGTCAGTCATTCTGCAACTTTTTATGATGATGCTTTTGCTGTTTTCACAACTCAGGCAATGTCAACTGTACCACACTGGCCTAGCCATCAGCAATTGCTCGATGGTATTTATTGTAAAATATAGCCTAACACAGAGATGTTAAAATTTGCACCTTGGAATCCATCAAATATAGTATGTGGTCATTGAACTATCTGAGTTGGAAATCTGTTTCCTGAATTGAGAAGGCTCACTCTTCTGGATTCTCACCTCAACTGAGAATTGAAACCCAGAGTTTTTCTATCCTGGCTTCTTGGCAGCTGTCTTGAGTTGTTTGGGAGATTTTTTCAGGAAGCTTCCACCCCTAAATTTGTCATCTAAAATTTGAAGAAGATACTCATTTGGTTAAGTCTTAAGCTACCTGTGGATAATTTAGAGCTTGGAAGTAGTCTCATAATATACCTTTCCAGAGGTTGATAAAGTGTACAAGGGAAACGAAGTTTCACAGTGTGAGTGCATGGTCAGAACAAGTCTAGATCGCAATCTCTCAGCCTCCCCACCCCCAGGAGATCAGGCATCCACATGAGGTACTGCTATGTGGAGGTGAGGCAAAGAGCAAATGCAACACTAGGCACAGAAGGAGACATGGGAGAAGTTGGGTAGTACATAAAACAGACTACTTCATGTATTCCTTCAACCAGTCAATCAATCAGACAGCAAACATTTATAAAACCTCTAATAAATGTCAGATGTGTAAACTTTGTGTGCTTCCTCCAATTTTGACCCATATTTGTCTTGGATCAAAGACACAGACTGCTGCCCCAATACTCCATGGTAGCTATTCTTTCTTACAAATCTTATGTTTTGATGTTTTAAGGATAGAAAGACTAAAATAGCCTATGATCAAATATTGTCCCCCATCCCTCACCTACATCAACAAAACGTTTATTAGAACAAATTATTATACATACCAGAATGCACAGTATACCCATGTTTATTCAGCTCTAGCTTTAAAGGTCTTAAACTTGCAGTTCTCAGAATTTTAGTGGCATTGCAAGCTTTCAACCAAATTAAATTTGCATCACAATACATGTAGATCTTCCACTACAGGACAAACACAGCTTATATTAATAGGAATTAAGGTTATTCATCCAAACAACTGAAAGTTGCCCTGGTTTATCTCTAAAAGACTTTGATGGGTATCCTTTCATCTAGTTATTTCTTCTAGAAATGACCCAGCACTGAAAAATCAGGCACTTTGTTATTTTTCTTCAGCCAGCCCAGAAACTAGGTTACTGCTTCCCAAGCACCAAATGAGAAATACCCACTGATTTTTTTTTTTTTTAAAGAAATGCTTCTTGCTTCCCTTCAGTGTAGTTGTATAAATCATTGGTGCTGTGCTGGATATAGGCCACCTCTATAGCCTGCTGAACAAACGGTTAGAAGCAGCATAGGGTGTGTGGGGTTTGCTGTGAAGTGAGCCCCTGCTCACTGTGCAAGCGAAGAAACTGTGATTTGTCTGTTTTGCTCTCCTGCACTCTGGCCACTTGTTAACTTGCTAAGGCCAGCATTCATGTCATTTTATTGTTTTAGGCCCTGGCCAGACATGCTTGCTTGGTGCCTGCTTGGCTCACCATGCATGGTTGCATGGTTGACAATCAGGCCCTTCTCTGACCCCCAGTCATCTCTTTGAAGTCCTCTCCATGTAGCCTCTCTGAATCATTTTTGCCTTGAAGTCCTCTCTGTTTCATTTTGTTATATTGAAACAGTCTAAAATAGTTAAATGAGTACTCAGTTTATTTGTGTTTGAAGCAATCATTAAAAGTTCTATCTGCACTTTCAATTGGAACTTTTAAAATATCCTATGGACAGTCATTTTTTTTAACTTAATTTTTGTTTTCAACTATACTAGACCTAGAAACTGGAAGACGGGATCCCGAGTTGGTGGAGGAGGCTGAGACAGAGTAGGAATGTGGGCAGTACTGCCCAGAGGCTGTCACTAGGTGGACTGTTGGTGATCCACACATTCAGGATGCTCACCAACTTGGGGGAGACTGAGATGCCCACTTCTATTGACCTTAGAAAGTTAAGGTTGACCCCTCAGTGAGTTGACAGGATCCCATCAAGGTAGTTGATGCAAGTAGTCAATTACCACAGCCATTTTTATGGCAAAGATAAAGACAGGATATATTTCCCAGGCTGTTTAAAAACTGAAATCAACAAAGGTGTGTTAACCTTTGACCAATATCCACATATACAAAGTAGTTTTGAGGTACATTAATTATGATCTCATCAATCTAGGGAATATGTTAAATATAAGATTACAAAGTTTTTGACAAGCATTCTCACCCAGCAGTTTTTGCAGTAATCATCCTATTCATTTGATGCCAAAGAAATGGCTGGACAAAGGTACTTGGTACCACATCCTACGGATTATTTGCCAACTGCTGGGTTCTGTGTGCAAAGGCTTATGGTCAAGAAATTAAATTCCTTTGACAAAAGAGAAGATATAAAAACACTCCTAGAGTAAATACCCACACTGAGAGTACATATCTAAATCCTGCAAGGCTGGCTGAGTTCTAATTTTATTGTCTTCTACTACCTTTAAAGTGGGGCAGGGGGTATTTATTATTTCAGTTTATGTGCAAACTGTAATCCCAATATGAAATCAAGTAAAGCCATTTAAAAATCAAAGTTAATGTTAACAAGATGATCTATTTCATCCCGCCTAATAGAAGCTAATGAATCATTGTGAATTTATTGTGGTAGAAAGACAGTGGATGCTGGCAATTATACTGATGAGCAGAAATCCTCACAAGTGGGCACTTTAAAGCAATTATTTTCCATTTGTTTCTAAAAAAGCGTCTGAGTACAACTAAGCTTTGATTACCTGGCATCTGAAAATATACATTCTCAGAGGGGTATTTGCAATGATTATTTTAGTGGAAAGAAAGTAAACAGCTACTGTTTGTGAAAGCTCGGTTGTGAGCCTCTTTAAAGTTTAAAATACGAATTGTGCAAAGATGAAGCTCTGACTTAATGGACTAGCACATTATTACATTATGTTCCCAACTGGAAAGAATCAATAGCTTATTGGGTACCTGAGTATTAGAGAGCTGATTGAAATACATTTTCTCAAGAACAAACCTCTTCAAACTCAAAAGCCAATGTCATTTTTGCTAGCAGGCTATCCAGTCCCAAGCTGACTTATTCCTCTATTTTTTCTTATTATTCCTGTACTTTTTTTTCCTCTTGGCCCCAGGTTTATGAAGGGGTGAATCAAAGAATGACTGTTGATACAGAGCTTGCCTTGTATAAACATTGGCTGCTTCGAGAGAGGCAAGTCAAAGGCCATCCAAAGAAGGAATCAAGGGGAGAAAACAATTAATTTATTTTTCAAGTACAGAAATACTGGGGGGTTCTTACAAAGGGGATTGTCCCATTTCTGTCTAATTTAAGTTTATTGGTGCACAGTGGAAGTCAAAAGGCCACACTCTTTAAAAAAGTGAGAAATATGGACCAATGAGAGGTTAAAGGCTACAAGAAAATAAGTGTTCACATTGTAAACTCAGCTAATAACTCCAGGTCTGGAGATAATGGGCACAAACCCAGATGGACAACATCAACTTGCTCCCTTGTCTTGGGTATAATTTTTCCCTAAATGGGAGAAATATTTTTAAGGGCTATTAATGTAATTCAGTGGCTGAAATGAAGACAAGTAAATGAGGGATGTACTGGACTGTGTAACCAGAAGTCGGCAAAACAAAAATCATTTTTGTAACTTAGGTGGAGTTCCAACAAAACTGGGTGAGCTGTAATGTTCCCCCTCACAAAAGGGGTCACTTGCCCAAGTTCCCACAACTAACAAACTGAGAATTTAAACTAGCTGTTTAGTATCTATCTGTGTTTCGTTCTCAATATGAAAATAGCACAAATTCATTTTGGAGAAAGTACGAGGTAGAAAAAATATTCAAACTACTTAAAAATCATACTCCAACTCCTAGAGAAATTGTTAAAATGTTTGCATAATTTCTTGCATTTTCTACATATTGCTTTCCATACTTGATATCATTTTGTGTTCTTCTTTAACATTTTATCATAAACACTTTCCATATATTTCACAACTCCATGTGAATATCATATAGAATGTCCGCAATTATATCAAATATACAATTTCTTACTTTACCTAGGCAGTTCCTTATGGCTGAGTACTTAGAAAGTCTCGATTTTTTTCACTAGTCTGAATTACCTTACAAAAACACTAGAAATCGAATTTCTGGCCCTACATATACGAGCATCTTTAAAACTCTTTACTCATCTTCCTGAATTACTTTCTCAAAAGGTTAAAACACTGCACTTTTGACCAGGCGTGGTGGCTCAAACCTGTAGTCCCAGCACTTCGGGGGGCCGACGTGGGCAGATCACAAGGTCAGGAGATCGAGACCATCCTGGCTAATATGGTGAAACCCCGTCTGTACTAAAAATGTAAAAATTAAGCTGGGTGTGCTGGTGGGCGCCTGTAGTCCCAGCTACTCGGGAGGCTGAGGCAGGAGAATGGCGTGAACCCAGGAGGTGGAGGTTGCAGTGAGCCGAGATTGCGCCAGTTCACTCCAGCCTGGGTGACAGAGCAACACTCCATCTCAAAAAAAAAAAAAAAAAAAAATTGCACTTTTCCACTGTCTCTGGAGCACCCACTTCATGACACTTGCCAACACTGGGTATTCCCTTTTAAAACAGCTTTTTATATTTAATTAATATAATTAAAATCTTATTTTTGTTTGTAAGCTTTGGTCATGTAATAAGCCAAATATTTTCCCAATGGTTATGACTTATTTGCATTATCTCTTTGGTGAAGTAAGCATGCATGATCTTTGCCCATTTATCTATTGGAGTCTCAGGGTTTTTCTCATTGATTTTTAAGACCATGTCTGTCATGTTTGGTGCTGGAACTCTGGCACTGAATGTGACAAAATAAAAATTCATTTAATTACTTCTTTATAAATTAATATTACGCATTTTAATGTTTGTTGTAATTATTTTTCTTTGCCGTCTTTTAGTTTAACGCATACAGTTTAAACCCTTGAAATCTGTTGAATCTCTGTCCTTTCTTTAGCAAATTCTTCCATTTGATTGAAGTATAGGAGGTCTTACCTAACGTATAACTCAGATAAACAAACACTCAGAGCTTCCTTTTAGGCATTTCATGGCTTAATATTTATAAGTGCATAATGATCTGGAATTTATTTTAATATGGGATACAGTTATAGGCAACATGTTTATTTAAAAATGACCTAAACCCACTTGTTAAATAATCTTTCTCTTCCCCAAAGATTTTTTAGTAAATCGTTTTCACATATTTAGTTTATATATGTACTAAAACACCCTTTTGGTATTTTTCTGTTTCTTTGAGCTTTCTGAAGATGCTTATGTTTGTATCATATTGAATAATATAACTTTATACTATTTTAATATCTTGCAGCAATAATTTACCTCCTTACCTTTTTCATACTGAATAATGATATATTTTTGTCTATATATTTTTCCACATAATTCCATTTATATTCTCATCTATATATTTTATATATAATTTTAAAAATATATTTTAAAAATAAATATTTTAAATTTGATTAGAGGAATTTGTACACACATTATTAAAAAAAAGAAAGATGAGAACAAGGAAAACGGGAGAACCCTAATGAAATGCAATCCTCTCTCAATTCACCTTTCTCACTCCTATTCTCCGTTCAAGACTCTAAATAATATGTTTATGCAAATATATTTTAAAATGTATCCATTTCAAACATTATCTGCTTCAACTAAACAAGACAGGATTCAACTGCACAACACTAAAAATCCTTCTTCTATTCCTTCTACTAGAGTTAAATCACTATTACAATATATATCTCTGTTACCTTTGTAACTTTAAATCACATATTTTAATATTTATTTTTTGATTGAACAACTAGAGATTTTCTCTGGATTTCTAGCTTTATACAGCACATGGTTTAGAGTTCCTATCTATTTCATCACCTGTCTTCCCTCTCTCTACCACTTGATTTTTTTCATCTGAACATTTATGTTATATTGCATAGTTTGACACCATTTATGTTCTTGTTCTGCAATCACAGTTGTATAAACCTTCACTAACTTACACTATGATTCCAGAAGACTCAGTAACTACAACCGTTCCAGTAGTTCTTCCCGTTCACCCAATAAAAAGACAAATGGAATGTTTTACCTTAAAGCTTTAAGATAATGTAGTGTGTCCTCTCTCACTAGACAACGTGGCCCCCTACAAGAGCTTCTTCTGTGTACCCTGTATTTACAGAGTCCTAGTGGACTGCTGACTCTTACCTATAAATTCTAAAGAGGAAGAAATGAGGTGCTGGTCACTTTGATGAAGGAGCAAATTCGAGTTGGCTGTGCTGGGATTGGTCAGCATTTTCAATTTGTTGGGATGTGAGTACATCCTGCAGAAAAGAAGAGAAAAAGATAGAGAATGAATCAGGTATTGTTTAATGAAAAGGGGTTAAGAAAAAATCAAGCAACTAACAGAAATAGAGATGCATTTGTCATCTCCAGAGAGTTTCAACTGAGGGATCCCCAGTGATGGGAGCCTCTGAAGAACCCGTGTAAAAGCTTCCCACCAGAAAAAAAAAAGTGAGCTTTCATCACCTGCAAGTCTAGAAAGCACAGGAGCTACATCACAACCACACCAGAGGGAAATTTCCTGCCCCTTCCCTCTTCTCTCTCCCACTGTTCTGATCTTTGAGAAGTAGAAACCAGCCATCAAGATAAGGGAGAAGAGAAAAAAGAGAAGCTTTAACATTAAAGCAAAATTGAAATTTTGAATATTATATGAGATTAGACCTTGAAATACTGAGTCCATGTCTTATGAGTTACAATGACAGAAAAACTCTATTCCATAAAAGTGACCACAAACTGCCACACTTTTCATCCAGGAAGGGAAATAACTCTAAAGAGTAATTTCAATGGAAAGAGAAAGAGGGGAAAAGATTGCTTCATGATCACTTGCTATCAGCTGTGCTTGTTGAAAACAATGTCTGTATAAGGTTAAAGACAGGAATGGGAGAGTAAAGGCCATCTCAAGCCAATTTCAGCCAATTCAAGAAAATAACATTTCAGCCAATTTCAGCCAATTCGAGCCTGAGAACTCTGTGTTTCTCATTTTGAAATTTATCATATCTTAGTATCTGCATTATTTCAAGTGTATATGTAGGACCCTATATGAGAAATAAATGTAATTTTAAAAGGTTGTATGTAAATATATTTTAAGTAAATAATAATGTCTTCCTCTAGTTTCATTAAATTTACTTTAGCTTCATTTCTGATATTTTTCAGATGACCAAGGATTTCAAGTTTCTATATCCTTTGAGCAAATGTTGGTTCATATAAAAGCCATTACTGAAAATTTACCAGAGAAGCAAATAATATGGTAATTCACTGTGTTTTTGTTTTGGCCCAAATATTTAGTTCTATATATTTCTTTCACAATCTTTTATAATGGAATTCCATACATGGACTTTTTAAATCCACATATAATTATTCACGTCCACTATTTCTCTCAATCAATAGTGTCTACAGGAAAGCATATTATATGGTGTGCCCAAGACTTGTTAAGTATTGCTAGAGAATATATGACCATTTGTTGGCTGGAAACACAAGCAGTCACCTTGGCAGTAAAATGACAATCAAAAATACCATTTTCCTTTTAAGTTTCTATAGTTTATAGACTCATTATCCTCTGGCCTCTGATCATCTCTTTCTAGCCTTCCCTTAACAGTTTGCTTATTAGTTTCTGCTTCTCAAAAGGGATCTAAGGCACCTTAAAATAAAATTCATGTATATAACAAAGTTCTGGAAAAAATAACATATCAAAGATATAAGAAGAGCAAAAGAAAGCAAAATGCTAAGAATGAGGTTTGATATAATTATTGTGATTGCCTATTCAATTTTGCTCTACATTTCCTCAGAGGCAAGAAAATGAGTATGTTGAATATTTCAAGTTATTTGTTTGAAGAAAGCAAACCAATTTTAAGAGAGAAAAAGAAATAGATACAGAAAGTCAGAAAGAGAGCTAGAGAGAAAAATGGGCACATACACTTCTCCCTTGGTTATAAATTCAAAATAGATTTATCAAATGACACTGTATACACAGAATGATGGACAGTTTGTCTTTGACCAAAATTATCTACCAGATACAAACAAAACCAAAGATATAACACTTAAATTTAATTCTGTGAAGGTGATTGTTCAGAAGATAACTTAGTGTAAAACAACTATATAACTTTCTAGTGCTCTTTCCAACTCAAGATAGAGGTGATTACCCAGAGAGCTGAGTGGATACCATGTTTCACAGACTGTTTTACCTACGGGGCACTGCTCTCAGTAGGGTTTTAAGCAGAAGTTGGTTAGCACACTGTTTGAAGTCAAGTGCTTCAGCAAGAGTCTAGGGGTGCATCATTACTTGTTTCAGCAGAGCCATATGTTCAATACCACATTGGTAAGTGGCGATGCTAATGCAGACAGTCTAAAGACCATTTCAATTCATCGTATTCATAAATGGAAGGCCTGCAATCTCCTATGTGTCTCCAAAAATCTATTGATTTCCTTCTAAGCTTTAAGTCAATAAAGGTGCATTAGTCTGACAACAAGGACATATGTTTCCAACACTGTCTTGTGAAAAAGCTCGTAACTTCAAGTCCCCCATGATAAAAAGCCTTTTCTCCAGAAGTAAGTTTATTTCTATTCAAACTTTAGAAGCATAAACATAAATTAGAAATATTTTGGGGGCGTGCTGTACTTTCTCTAAGTTTAAAAAAGGAAAAAAAGCTCTTTGCTATTTCACCATTTCAAAGCTTTTAAGTCAAACCCCCAATGCAACCTGCTTTATTTAAAAAAAAAAAGTTCATTTGTTTTAAAGCATTGTGGTCATGCTAATGTATTTTCAAAATCAATTAAACCTTATCTAAACATCTCAAGAGGGAGGAAGCTTTACTCTATTTTCATCTAAACCACAGACACAAAGCCCTTAGTAAATGCATTTTCATGCTGTGCTGGGAACACGTTACATCCAAGTAAACTGCTTAAATGTCATCCAGCAAAGTGCAAATCCAGCTTATAGTCTGGAGGAATGAATGTTTGAAAGTCTAATACACTCAGATTAATGGTGCGCTGTACTTATATGCAATGATGTTATCATGCCAAGAGACGACGCTAGCCAGACAGACTTGCAGAATAACTTGGAAACCTTGACTGCAAAGTTTCTTGGCTAAAGATGAAACATGTGACCTGTTAGGACTGTCTTTAGTTAAAAAAATTAATCAAAGTCCAGAAAAGTATTTTATGTTATACTCTGAAAGGGGGTCATAATCATGCTTTGACAGCTGAATAAAAGGCAGATAAAACCAAATTGTGTACTAACTTTATCTGATACACACCCAGCTGTCCAAATAGTCCCAGTAGGGATGGGAAAGTAAAAACACAAGCTCACCCAATAGGGTCATCCTAACATAGTGATGACAATTGGCCCAATTAAATCTTTCAAACATTTTCTTCTACTAAAGTCAAAATCTCCCCATTAGCAAAAAGTCATCTCCTCATAGCACATTTACTCTCTGACCATCTTTGACCTGACTGAAATATCTGAGTCATCTTTTGCAAGTCCCTCTCTCACCAAATGAATTCCCAAGCAGCAACAACGTCCCTATTGTATATAGTGCATTGTAATATATACTAAGGAAGAAAAAAAAATAGTTGCAAGACGGATTTATGCACCAAATAACAATCTGGCTGAACAATTGAAAACTTCAGGAATGCCAGCATAAGCATGTGGAAAAAATAATGACTAAAATAAAATATACAAAATGTTGTTATAATGTAGAATTATATTTTCTTTATTTCCCAAAAAAAATGGAAACATTCATTTTGTATAAAAGAGAATACTTTAAAGATTGTCTTACAATATAGTTGGAAGAATAAAAACAAAAATATACAAAACAAGAAAAGAAAGAAACACAAAAGTAGCATATCAACACGTGAGAATGAATATAATATAAAATCCATGCAACACTATTAAGTAAGAAATAACCAAGGGCTGCAGTTTGTTCACAGTGGCTTCCTGAAGGAAGTGATTTTCTGGGCTATGGAAAACAAAGATGTCCTGCAACAGGTCATGATAAATTGATGAGGATACCAGAAAAGCTGGAGCAGATGTAATATGAGTCCGTAAGAATGCTGAGGCTGCAAGAAAGACTATTTCCTATACATTGCAAAAGTATATACCAAAAAAAATGAATTTTTTCAAAAGCAGTTGTAAGGGGCAGGAAAAGCTCTGTGCTAGAAATTAAATGACCTGGATTTTGTGCTAGTCCTGTCACTGTTGTGACTTTGAGTGTTTCACATAAATTCTGTCTTAATTTCCTCATCTGAAAAACGACAATAATTACACATAGCCTCCCACCTTCCTTTGTTATTGTAAAGGTCAAACAATATGATGTTTCTGAATATGAAAATGTAAACTGATACTTGTATGGAAAGGATTTATATGAGGAACATGTTAATTGCAACTGTCAAAATGTCCACATGACCCAGTCCTCAGTTTTAGATGCTCCATATACTCTCCTGATTTAGCCTCATTCAAACTCATGGCTTCAACCAGCACCTAAATCCTGATGGCTTCCAGATCAATATTTCTAACTCAGATTTAACTACTTACTAGATATTTCCATAAAATGATCCAAATGTACTTACAATCAACATGTCCAAAAATGAACTTACTCTCCTCTCTCCTGTAAACTACTCCATACCTGGTATAATCTATCTAAGTGAAATGCAAGGTCAGCATGACTCCAGTCCTGTGTCAAGTCCCACAGCAGCAGAGCCTGAGATGAATATTCATGTGCAGTGACAGAGCAAGAAAGTGCCCCCAGGAGAAATCTCTGATGGAGGAAGGGAAAGAGGAACGGGAAAAGGAAGAAGCCAAGCAACAGTGTGACCTCAGCGAAATTCTAGCCTCAGCTTTATCACACAGAGGAAGTCTGGAATGTACATTACCTCCCTTGGCTCGTGCCACCCCAGAAAGAGAACCCTGGGCTTTCATATTCCTGTGCATACCATTCCTGGCAAAAACCACCTCAGGGTGGAGGGTAGGGGGAACTGATATGGTTTGTCTGTGTTCCCACCCAAATCTCATCTTGAATTGTAGCTCCCATAATCCCCACATGTTGTGGGAGGGACCTGGTGGGAGATAACTGAATCATGGGGGGCAGTTTCCCCCATAGTTCTCATGGTAGTGAATAAGTCTCACGAGATCTAATGGTTTTATAAGGGGTTTCACCTTTTGCTTGGCTCCCATTCTTTCTTGTCTGCTGCCATGTAAGACGTGACTTTCACTTTCTGCCATGATTGTGAGGTCTCCCCAGCCATGTGGAACTGTGAGTCCATTAAACCTCTTTTTAAAAAAATAAATTACCTAGTCTTAGGTATGTCTTTATCAGCAGCATGAGAACAGAATAATACAGGAATGTAAACTTCCAGGTACTTTCCAGGTCACTTTCCTCTGACCACATGAGGAAAGTGGTTCCAGGAGCTGTCAAGCATCTTCCAATGAGGCAAAAGAACACAGAACAAGCTAGGGAGTCCCCCCGGCCCCCCACCACCCCACCACACACACACACAGATCTGGGGAGATCTGAGTATAGTAGCCCCTGAATATCCAACCCAGATACCTATAAGGCATCTTGGAGTCATAGCTCTCATTCATCCCATGCATTGTACCATACTGGTCATGAAGCCCTATAGCGTCTGTTGCTAAGTCCTATATAGATGCAGGATCTCTCTCAACTTGACTCTGACCAGTCCTTTGCTACACTTTGAACCCCTCATTGCTTCTAACTTGAACTTCTGGAAAAACTTGCTACCTTATCACTAAGCCTCCTCGCAAAGCCTCCCTTCATTTATCCTCCAAAAGACAGGCAAACTAATATTTCACAATCAATCAATAAATAAATTTAATGTGTCACTTCTCTATCTAAAATATTTAAGTATCTCCCCATAATTTTCAAGATGAAACCAAAACTCCTTAGCTTCGTACAGCCAGCCAGTCATGTTTTAGCCTCTAACCATCTCTCCAGCTTAACCATTCTCAAAACTGTTTGGTCTCCAGATTACGTACACTCTAAAAGTTTACTAAGGACTCCAAAGAGCCTTGGATTATGTGGTTTTAGTATAACTTTTAATACTGAGTATATTAAAATTTAAAACAGAATAATATTGAAATATACCTATTAATTAATGTTATATATTCATAGAAATAATATATTTTATGAAACACATCTATATTTTCCAAAACAAAACAATAATGAGAAGAATGGCATCATTTTACATTTTTTGCTAATTTCTTTAAGGACTGCCTTAATAGAAAGCAAACAGTGTTAACATAGATTCATTTCCTTTCAAGAGTCATACTGAACATATTGTCTTAGAATAAGGATTTTTTCTTAAAACTACAGTGAACATCATTGCTTGTAAATAAGTATACATATTTGTGTGTGTATGTGTGTGTATATACATATATATAATCTACCATAATGCCTACAGAGTATTCCTTTGTATAAACCTACTATGGTTTATTTAATAAATGTTTTTGGACTTCTCAGCTTTTTCTAATGTTATACTATTGAAAACAAGTATACAAATAGAAAATAACTTACACATGCATTTTTCTGCTTCTATCCATTTCTGTGATTAAGACAAATTTTTAAGAATCTCATTTCTTCTTAATCAAGAAATATGCATATTATTAAACTTTGTCACGTTGCTAAATTGCCAACCAGAAATATTAGATCACCTATGCTTGCCTCTACAACAATGCTTATTTTTCTACATCATTACTAATACTAGGCATTAAAAGTCCTCTTATTCTTTGCCAATTTGGTAGATTAAAATATAGCATCTTATTAAGTGTGACTCTGATTATCAGCAAAAGTATAGGCATATACATAATTTCCCCAAATTGTGTTTCTTCCTTGTAATTTTTCATGCAATGCTTTTGCCAAATAGTTGTATTTGCTTTTTTGTTTCTTTACCAACAAAATCTCTTCTCTCTCACTCTATATCTCTTTCTCTCTCTCTCTCTCTCTCTCTCTCTCATTTATGGGTTTTGCCTTTGGAGTTAGGCTTAGAAATGGCCGGGCACAGTGGCTCACACCTGTAATACCAACACTTTGGGAGGCCGAGGTGGGAAGATCACTTGAGGTCTGGAGTTCAAGACCAGCCTGGCCAACATGGTGAAACCCCATCTCTACTAAAAATACAAAAAATTAGCTGGATGTGGGGGCACACACCTGTAATCCCAGCTACTCAGGAGGCTGAGGCAGGAGAATTGCTTGAACACAGGAGGCAGAAGTTGCAGTGAGCCAAGATCACTCCACTGCACTCCAGCCTGGGTGAAAAAGTGAGACTCCATCTAGAAAAAAAAAAAATTCTGAAGAAGGAATTACCTAACTTTAGGAATGATCAATCCATCATCAAGGGAGTTGTTTAAGGATATGCTGGATGATTTTCTGCTGTTATTTTGTTGAAGAAGTCTATATTTGATCTCTAAAATTGAATAATTATGTAAATAAAAAATTAAAGTAATTTATGAATTGATTAAGAGCAGAAACAAACAGAAGAATCAAAAACAGAAATGAGAGAGGGGCTTCAGGATGGCTGATGAGATGCACCTGGCAGTCCTCCTCCACAGAAAAGAACCAAGATATTAAGTGGATAATTACACTTTAAATGGATCAACTAGGAGGGAATACTGGAGCTCAATAGAGAAGTGATAGGAACAACTAAGGCAATGAAGAAGAGACAAGCAAGGCAGCCTGCTTGGCTAGGATCAGCTGGGGAGAGCTCTCCCAATCAGGGAAACAGTAAATGAAAGACCCCCAGTGGCCCATATTCCCACATGGGCTCCTCCAGTACTAGTCATGGGAGAGCCCTTCCATCCTTGCAGGCCCTGAGACTAACATAGAGATCTACCTGCAGACAGGTGCAATGGCATTACTCCAGACAGTGAGCTCATGCTGGGTTCCGCACACACCGAGTCCCAAGCAGCTACGACATGGTGTCATTTTGAGGGCCCAGCTTCCACCAGGCTGCATCCTTCCCTGGGGCCCCAAAGCCCCTTCATCTGCACATTCCTAAAGCCCCATTGACGTATCCTGCACATAACCACCACCACAGATGGCTGTTACTGCCAGGGCTGAAACACAAGCCATTGGCAGTAACACTGATGCCCCCAGCAGCAAAGCTGCTGAGCATTTTCATGTGCCTGAAGGACAGACTCCCCCACCTCCAGCTGCCACCACTGCTGGCTGCTGCCACTGGGGCCAAAGCACAGGCCACTGGCAGTAACCCTGCCCATCCCAGTAACAGGCTGCCATGCACTTTCACACATCCTGAGGTCAGGCTTCCCTGCCTGCAGCCACAGCTTGGGATCAACGTGCATGCTCCCCAGCCACCTACCTACATTCACTGCCAATGAAAGCACCCCCACCCTCCCTATCAGCAAGGTGCAAAACAGCCACTACTGATTCGACTCAAGCACTTTGCTGTGGGCCTGGGGATTACCCAACCCCTGGCCACCAGAGCCAATGTCCATAGACGCTACTAGGGAGCTTAAGGTCAAGGTCACCCAGCATGGCTCTGCAGCCCTCCTCAGTGTCTGAGCATGGTGTCTGAGGGCTTGAGGACCACCAAGTCCTGTCACCCACCGTTAGCACCCATGCACTCATCCCAGGGACCTGAGGATGGGCTCACCCTGTCTGCCACCACAACTACCTGCATGCATAACCTATAGGCCTGGGTTCTGGTCCATCCAGCGTATCACAACGACTGGCAACACCAGTGTGGACTGCTTGGAAGCCAGAAGGTTATCCCACCACTACTGCTGTATCCCACAGCTGGCCTGCTGCCCAGGGGCCTGTGGACCCACCCACCAGCCTGGTCATCTGCTGGTACTACTGGCATCCAAGAAAACTGCCCATAGGCCCAAGGATTGGCCTGCCTGGATCTGCTAACACTGGTGCCAGCATTGTCCACCTGGTGCCTAAGGATAGGCATACTCACCCGACCAATGCACTCACTAGGGCCTGAGGACTAGCCCAACTGGCATCTTTATCTCCAACAAAACTTTAGTATGGTTTCCACTAATAACTGCACCCTAAGCCACTGAGTAAATCACAGACTTTATTGACACTAATTACAGTCAAATAAATTATACAGAGAATACACTACTGCACACACCCAGAATCAAAGCCAAAGTACCTTACACAACAAATACCATAGATTTAACTTCAAGAAAAAATCTTCTTCTATGAAAGCAAATCCAAAAAATTAGAACAAGTGACTGTTACACCAGATATGCAGATATCAATGTAAGGACACAAGAAACGTGAAAAACTAAAGAAATATGATGCCTCCAATGGAACACAATGATTCTCCAGCAACAGATTCCAAAGAAATAGGAATTTATGAAACCCCAGCAAAAGAATTCAAAATAATGATATTCAAGAAGTTCAGTGAGATATAACAGAAGATAAACCAGTACAAACAAATCAGGAAAACCATATAGGATATGAATGAGAAATTTACAAAAGGTACAAATATCATAAAAAAAAGAACCAAACATAATTCCTAGAATGGAAGAATTCATTAAATAAAATAAAAAATAAATATTTGACAACTTCAACAATAGACTAAATCAAGCAAAAAAAGAATTTCACAACTTCGAAGACAGGTTATTTCTGACTAAAATAACTCAGTCAGATAAAAGTAAAAAGAAAAAAGAATGAACAAAGCCCACATGACATATTGGGACACTATAAAGTGACCAAATATACAAATTTTCAGTGTCCCAGAAGACTAAGAAAAAACAAAAAGGAGGGAAAACCTAGTTAATAAAATAATAGCTGAAAACTTCCCAACTAGAAAGAAATTTAGATATCCAGATACAGAAGCTCAGAGATCCTTAAAAAGATACCATTTTTAAAAAGGTCCCTGTAGTGCATAATAGTTAAACTGTTGAAGGTCAAAACAAAGAAAGAATTCTAAAACTAGCAAGAAAAAAGCATCTAGTCATTTTTAAGGGAAACTAGCAGTGTATTTCTCTGCAGAAACCTTACAGCCTAAGAGGATGAGAGGATGTATTTAAACTGCTGAAAGAAAAAAAAAAAATGACAGCCGAGAATACTACAACTAGCAAAGTTCCCTGCCATAAATGAAAGAGAAATAAAGTCTTTCCCCGACAAGCAAAAACTGACAGAATTAATCACCACTAGATTAGTCCTACAAGAAATGCTTAAGGGAGTCCTATACCTGAATTCAAAGGATTCAAATTCAAAAGGATGATATCTACTATCAAGAAAACACATTAAAGTATAAAACTCACTGATAAAGCAAATACACGAACGAGAAAGAGAAGGAACTTAAATGCTACCATTACAGAAAACCACCAAACCACAATGATAAACAATAACATAGAAAAGAAAGGACCAAAGAATACACACAATATTTGGCAAATAATTAACAAACTGACAGGAACAAAATCTCACATACTTATAGTAACCTTAAATGTAAACAGACTAAATTTTTCACTTAAAAGATACAGACTGGTTGGATGGATTTAAAAATATGATCCAACTATATGATACCTACAATAAACTAATCCCATCTGTAAAGATACATATAGACTGAAAGTAAAGGGATGGAAAAAGATATTGCATGAAAACCTAGAGTGAGCAGGAATAGCTATATTTATATCAGATAAAACAGACTTTAAGTAATAAAGAGTAAAAAAGAAACAAAATAGGTCATATAATAATAAAGGGATCAATTCAGTAAGAGGATATAATAATTCTAAATATATATTCATATAACACTGGAGCACAAGATATATAAAGGAAATATTACTAGATCTAAAGAGAGAAATAGACTCCTATAAAATAACAATGGTAGATTTCAATTCCCCACTCTCAACATCAGACAGATCATCTAGATAGCAAATGAACAAAGAAATATTGGATTTAAACTGGACTTTAGACCAAATGGACCTAACGGGCATTTACAGAACATTTTGTCAAACAGCTACCAAATACACATTCTTCTCATGGCACATGGAACACACTGCAGGACAGGCAATATGCTAGAACACAAAACAAGTCTCAACAAATTTTTAAAAGATCAAAATTATACAAAGTATCTTCCCAGACCAAAGTGGAATCAAACTAGAAATAAGTGCCAACAGGAAATTTGGAAATTGTACAAATACAGGGAAATTAAACAACATGCTCCTGAATGACCATTGGGTCAAAAAAAAAATTAAGACAGAAATCAAAAATTTGTTTTGTTTCTTGAAAAAAATGAAACTGAAACACAACATGCCAAAACCTATTGGATATAGCAAAAGCAGTGCTAAGAGAGCTGTTTAAAGCAATATATGGCTACATCAAGAGTGAATAGATTTCACATAAACAATCTAAAGATCTAAAGATTGTACCTCAAGGAACTTGAATAGCAAGAACAAACCAAACTTAAAATTAGTAGAAAACAAATAAAAATCAGAGCAGAACTAAATGAAACAAAGACTTAAAAAAGCAATAAAAACAATCAACAAAACAAAAAGTTTGTTTTTTAAAAAGACAAAAAACTCATGCTAAAAAATCTCAATAAACTACATGCTGATGGAACATATCTCAAAATAATAAGAGCTATAATGACAAATCAATAGCCAATATCACACTGAATAAGCAAAAGCTGGAAGCATTCCCTTTGAAAATTGGCACAAGACAAGGATGCCTTCTCTCACCACTCCTATTCAATATAGTAGTGGAAGTTCTAGCCAGGGCAATCAGGCAAGAGAAAGAAATAAAGGGTATTCACATAGGAAGAGAGAGGAAGTCAAATTGTCTCTGTTTGCAGATGACATGATTGTATATTTAGAAAACCCCATCATCTCAGTCCCAAAACTCCTTAAGCTGATAAGCAACTTCAGCAAAATCTCAGAATACAAAATCAATGTGCAGAAATCACTAGCATTCCTATACACCAACAATAGACAAGCAGAGAGCCAAATCATGAGTGAACTCCCATTCCTAATTGCTACAAAGAGAATAAAATACCTAGAAATACAACTTACAAGGGAAGTGAAGGAACTCTTGAAGGAGAACTACAAACCACTGCTCAAGGAAATAAGAGAGGACACAAAAAAATGGAAAAACATTCCATCCTCATGGATAGGAAGAATCAATATCGTGAAAATGCCCATATTGCACAAAGTAATTTATAGATTCAATGCTATTCCCATCAAGCTATCACTGACTTTCTTCATAGAATTAGAAAAAAAGTACTTTAAATTTCATGTGGAATCAAAAAAGAGCCCATATAGCCAAGACAATCCTAAGCAAAAAGAACAAAGATGGAGGCATAACGCTACCTGACTTCGAACTATACTACAAGGCTACAGTAAACAAAACAGCATGGTACTTGTACCAAAACAGATATATGAACGAATGGAACAGAATAGAGAACTCAGAAATAAAACCACACATCTACAACCATCTGATCTTCAACAAACCTGACAAAAACAAGCAACAGGGAAAGGGTTCCCTATTTTATAAACAGTGCTGGGAAAACCAGCTAGCCATATGCAGAAAACAGAAACTGGACCCCTTCCTTACACTTTACACAAAAAGAACTCAAGATGGATTGAAGACTTAAATGTAAAATCCAAAACCATAAAAACCCTAGAAGAAAACCTAGGCAATACCATGCAGGACATAGGCGTGGGCAAAGTCTTCATTACTAAAACACCAAAAGCAATTGAAACAAAAACTAAAATTGACAAATGGGATCTAATTAATCTAAAGAGTTCTGTACAGCAAAAGAAACTATCATCAGAGTGAACAGGCAACCTACAGAATGGGAGAAAAATTTTGCAATCTATCCATCTGACAAAGGGCTAATATACAGAATCTACCAGGAACTTGAACAAATTTACAAGAAAAAAAAACAATCCCATCAAAAAGTGGGCGAAGGATATGAACAGACACTTCTCAAAAGAAGACATTTATGTGGCCAACAAACATGGAAAAAAGTTCATCATCACTGGTCATTAGAAAAATACAAATCAAAACCACAATGAGATACCATCTCATGCCAGTTAGAATGGTGATCATTAAAAATTCAGGAAACAACAGATGCTGGCAAGGATGTGGAGAAATAGGAACACTTTTACACTGTTGGTGGGACTGCAAATTAGTTCAACCTTTGTGGAAGGCAGTATGGCGATTCCTCAAGGATCTAGAACCAGAAATACCATTTGACCCAGCAATCCCATTATTGGGTATATACCCAAAGGACTATAAATCATTCTACTATAAAGACACATGCACACATATGTTTATTGCAGCACTATTTACAATAGCAAAGACTTGGAACCAACCCAAATGCCCATCAGTGATAGACTGGATAAAGAAAAGGTGGCGCATATACACCATGGAATACTATGCAGCCATAAAGAAGAATGAGTTAATGTCCTTTTCAGGGACATGGATTAAGCTGGAAACCATCATTCTCAGCAAACTAACACAGTAACAGAAAACCAAACACTGCATGTTCTCACTCATAAGTGGGAGTTGAACAATGAGAACACATGGACACAGGGAGGGGAACATCACACACAGGGGCCTGTAGGGGGGTCATGGGCAAGAGGAGGGAGAGCATTAGGACAAATACTTAATGCATGCAGGGCCTAAAACCTAGATGAAGGGTTGATAGGTGCAGCAAAACACCATGGCACATGTATACCTATGTAACAAACCTGCACATTCTGCACATGTATCCCAGAACTTAAAGTAAAATTTTTTTAAAAAGATAAACAAAACTGATAAAACACTAATCTAATCAAGAAAAACAGGGAGAATATAAAAATAAACAAAATTCAAAATGAAAAAGAAGACATTATAACTAATATCACAGAAATAAAAATGATTATGAGGGGCCGGGCGCGGTGGCATACACCTGTAATCCCAGCACTTTGGGAGGCCGAGGTGGGTGGATTGCCTGAGCTCAGGAGTTCACAACCAGCCTGGGCAACATGGTGAAACCCTGTCTCTACTAAAACACAAAAAATTAGCTGGGCATGGAGGCATGTGCCTGTAGCTCCAGCTACTCGGGAAGCTGAGGCAGGAGAATGGCATGAACCCAGGAGGCAGATGTTGCAGTGAGCTGAGATCACGCTACTGTACTCCAACCTGGGTGACAGAGCAAGATTCTGCCTCAAAAAAAAAAAAAAAAAAAAAAATTATGAGGAACTACTGTAAACACCTGTATGTTAACAGCATAGAAAACTTATAAAAAATTGATATATTTCTAGACACATACAACCTATCAAGATTGAATTAGGAAGAAATAGAAAATCCAAACAGACCCAAAACAAGTAACAAGATTGAATCCATAATAAGTAGTCTCCCAACCATGAAAAGCCCAGGATCTGTTGGTTTTATTGCCAAATTCTACCAAACATGTAAAGAAAAATTTACAGCAATTCTCTCCAAGTCATGTTTAAAAAAACAAAAAGAGGGAATTCTCCCTAACTTATTCTATGAGGCCAGGTTTACACTGATACCAAAACCAGGCTAGGACACAACAACAACAACAACAAAACTACAGCCAATATTCCTGATAAGCATAGATTAAAAATTCTCAACAAAATACCAGCAAATTGAATCCAAAAGAACATCAAAAAGATAATACGACATGATCAAGTAGGATTTATCTCAGGGATGCAAGGATGTTTTAACACAATACATGTGATACACCACACCAAAAGAATGAAGGACAAAAACCATATGGTCATCTCAAAAGACACAGAAAAGGCATTTAATAAAATTCAGTGTCTTTTCAAGATGTAGTCTCAGCTACTTGGGAGGCTGAGGCAGGAGAATGGAGTGAACCTAGGAGGCAGAGCTTGCAGTGAGCCGAGATTGTGCCACTGCACTCCAGCCTGGGCAACAGAGCGAGACTCCGTCTCAAAAAAAAAAAAAAAAAAAAAAGGAAAAGAAAAAGAAAAAGAAAAATTCTCAACATACTAGGAATCGAAGGAACATACCTCAACCTAATAAAATCATATATGACAAATCCACACCTAATGTCATACTGACAAGGAAAAGCTAAAAGCATTTCCTCTAAGAACTATATACAACTAGGATGCCCACTTTTACCACTCCTATTCAATCGTACTAGAAGTCAAAGCCAGAGAAATGAGTCAAGAGAAGGAAATAAAACACATCCAGACTGGGAAAGAGGAAGTCAAATTGTCCTATGCAAATGATAAAATCTTATATTTAGAAAAGCCAAAAGATTCCACCAAAAAACTCTTAGAACTGATAAACAAATTCAGTAAAATTGCAGGTTACAAAATCAACATATGAAAATCGAATGCATTTACAATTCATCAATAATGAAATAGCTGAGAGAGATATCAAGAAATTGATGTCATTTACACTAACTACAAAAATAAGAAAATATCTGGGAGTAAATTTAACCACAGAGGTGAAAGACCTCTACAAGGAAAACTACAAAACACTGATGAAAGAAATTGAAGATGACAAAAACAAATGGAAAGACATCCCTGTTCATGGATCAGAAGAAATAATATTGTTAAAATGACACAATTACCCAATGCAATTCACAGATTCAATGCAATCCCTATGAAAATGCAATGACATTTTTCACAGAAATAGGAAAAACAATCCTAAAATTTGTATGGAGCCAAACAAGCCTGGACAGTTAAAGCAATCCTGAGGAAAAAGAACAAAGCTGGAGATATCAGAATACCTGACTTCAAAATATATTATAAGGATATAGCAACCAAAACAGCATGGTATTGATATAAAAACAGACACATAGACAAATGGAACAGAAGAGAGACGTCAGAAATAAATCTATTTATTTATGAACAACTGATTTTTGACAAAGCCACCAAGAACATGCATTGGGGAAAGGACATCTCCTTCAATAAACGGTGCTAGGAAAACTGATATCAATACATAGCAGATTGAGACTAGACTGCTATCACTCATTGTATTCAAAAATCAACTCAAGATGAATTAAAGACTTAAATATAAGACTTGACACTATAAAACCACTAAAAGAAAACATAGGGGAAACACTTCAAGACATTGGTCTAGGCAAAGACTTTATGGCTAACACCTGAAAAGCACAGGCAACAAAACCAAAAATAGACAAATGGGACTATATCCAACTAATAAGCTTCTGCACAGGAAATGAAAAATCAATAAGGTGAAGAGGCAACCTGTTGAATGGAAGAAAATATTTACAAACTATTCATCTGACAAGGACTAATAGCCATAATAAATAAGGAACTCAACAGTGAGAAAACAATCCCATTTAAAAAAGTAGGCAAAAGACATAAATAGAAATTTCTCAAAACAAGACATACAAATGGTTAAGAGGTATATGAAAAAAGATTGAACATCACTAATCATCAAGGAGATGCAAATTAAAACCACAATGAGACATTACCTTACCCCAGTTAAAATAGCTATTATTAGAAAGAAAAATACAATAACAGATGCTGGTGAGGATGCAGAAAAAAGAGAGCCCTCATACAGTGTTGGTTCGAATGTAAATTAGTACAACCACAATGGGAAACAGTGAAAGATTTCTCAAAAAACTAAAATTAGACCTACCATGTGATACAGCAATTTCACCACCAGATATTTATCCAAAGGAAAGGAAATCAGTATATCAAAAGGATACCTGCACTACCATGTTTATTGCAGCACTAATCACAATACCAAAGATATGGAAGTGTCCATCAATAGATGAATGAATTTTTAAAATGTGTTCTATCTACACAACAAAATATTATTCAGCCTTAAAAAAGAAAACCTGTCATTTGCAGCAACATTGATGTAACTGAGAGTCATTATGTTAAGTGAAGTAAGCCTGGCACAAAAAGACAAATACTGCATGTTTGCACTCACATGTGGGAGTTAAAAATGTTGATCTTGTGGAGGTAGAGAGTAGAATTATAGATACTAGAGGCCGGGAATGGGTGTGGGTGGGAAGGGGAGAAGGAAGAGAGGTTAGCTAATGGTTACAAACATACAGTTAGACAGAATAAGTTCTAATGTTCTTCAGCAGAGGAGGGTGACTATAGTTAACAACAATGTATTGAATATTTCAAAATATCTAGAAGAGAGAACGTGAGATATTTTCAACACATAAAAATGATCTCATATTATGTATCAGTAAAAAATATGATAACCAGGCCAGACTGAAAGACAAAAAAAACAAAAAACAACAACAAAAAAAAAAAAACAGAAGTGAGAAAAGGAATAATGCTACAGGGTAAGAATTGGGAGAGGGACTTTTACTTTTCATTTTATACCCTTTGCACCAATTTTTAAAACGTATCAAATACATTAATAAAAACTTTAAATAACCATAACAAATTGTAACAATAAATAAGTTAAATTGACATGATAGGAAGATATGGTTCATGACTTCAAAGAATGCACTATCTGTTAAATAAGAGACAGGCTAAAAGTCTCTTAGCGGAGCTTAGATTTTTCCTGGTGACCAAAACATCATTACTACTCCCGACTGCATCATGTTTATAAAATAGCCAGGAGTCTTCGCACTCCACTAGCCACAATCTCCTGAGCAACGTTTAACCTCAATTTTGCTGGTTATCTTTAAATTTCCTATTTGGAAGCGAAGAGAAAATCTGAGCTAGAACTAAGTAGAGTAATGTCTGCTTGTTTCTCTTGACTGACCTCTGTCATCTCTAAGTATCCCATTGAAGCCTATTTCTCCTACTTGAGTACCTTCAAATTTATTTAATCTCTGCCTTGTTTGAACTACCAGAGGAATAACAAGATGACAATTACTTTTGATTTTGCCTATCACTTTCTTTCTCTGGAATATAATCTTAGTGACCAGGGCAATGAAGGCTACTTATCATCCACTTCTGGAGTATCAACTGCACTTGGGTGATTATGTAGAGACTACACAAGTTCAAAGACCCTGGGTAGAAATGATTCCAACAAGCAGGGGAAAGGAAATTAGTTCTGTGACCCTAACCCAGAATTCCTCTGGATCTAAAGGACTGGCATGCTCTGAACCAGAGAGGAAACGTGAACATTCTAGAACAGATTGAAATCCTGAGTCATGGCATTAAAATAGTGCCCAACCCTCTTGCCTTCCTCTCCAGGGTTCTGACAGCAGGAGAGCTTGGTTATATCCAGACGATCTCTTTCAGCTTCAAATTATAGCTTGGAAACCTGAAGAAACTGGAGCAGATGGTTGACTTCATGCATCATTGAAAGACCTGTAGTCCTCTCATATATTTGGCAATACTGCTAAGTAAATAGAACAAACCCCACTTCAACTGAAGTCTACTTAACAATATATTGCTGTGTGGGACAACATATCATTGTATGGACAAAATTTAATGTGATAAAAACAAGAGGCAACCAGACAAACAGGTATTTAAGAAAATATACATAGCTACATACCAGAAGTAGGCTACTGTGAAAATAAATTACATCTAAGCCTTCCAAAAATTACATTAAGAAATGTAATCAACAGAATGGGCTCTTATGTACATGTAATTTATCTCATCGATTATCTCAGTGCACTTGACACATAAGCAACAGCATGTGTAGCATAGGTGCTGCCCGTGGAAGGTCAGTGGCAGGGTTTTCAATAAGGGTTTTCTCATGATCCCAGAAAGAACATGATCTCAACAATCTGTATTCAACAGAAGGTTGAAGGCTATTCTTCTTTATAAGCAAAGGTTGCCACACATACCGGCAATATAATTTCATGGGACACTTGTAGCCACATTACCCCCAAATGCCCACCATTGCCTCAGTTCCAGACCTGTTGTAGTATCATCCCATATTCTTCCCTGATGGGGAACTTTATATTTAAATAAGGCAGCTGTAGGCCAAGCGTGGCAGCTCACGCCTGTAATCCCAGCACTTTGGAGGCCAAGGCGGGCGGATCCCGAGGTCAGGAGATTGAGACCATCATGGCTAACACGGCGAAACACCGTCTCTACTAAAAATACAAAGAATTAGCCAGGTGTGGTGGTGCATGCCTGTAGTCCCAGCTACTCAGGAGGCTAAAGCAAGAGAATCACTTGAACCCAGGAGGTGGAGGTTGCAGTGAGCCGAGACCACACCACTCCACTCCAGCCTGGGTGACAGAGTGAGACTCTGCCTCAAAAACAAAACAAAACAAAACAAACAAACAAAAAAACACAAAAAATTAAAATCCTGGCTTTTTTCTTAACTCTACAAAGTTGATAGTTTAACTGGGCATAAAGACATGACACATAGACTAGTGATGTTAGAACCTGGGTTATTCTCAGAAACAGCTCTGGAACTTTTTTAAAAAATTGTAAATTATTGTTCTGCTCCAACCTCAGACTTTATGATTTGATCCAGAACCTCTAGGACCTGGAATTGCGTTTTTAAAAACTTCATCTATTGCAGTGGGGTAAATCTAAAACTCCTAACATAGTCTCAAGAAAAAAAGAACAAATGAAACTATATAAAACCCATATCCTTGGCTTAACAAGAAAATAACATCAAAACTTCAAAATATATATAAGTAGAAATAGACACAACAAATCCCAGCAAGCTATCTCTAAAATAATGATATAAACTTTTGCAGAGAGCAAGGGCAGTTTGGAAAAAATTGTGCAGAAGACAGGAAGTGAAACCACCGCCAAAAAGAAAAAGTCAGCAATAAGAGTGAAAACACCAAAAATGTGTCCTGGTAAAGCCAGGCACTGATTTCATGAAAGGACCTAAACATCTGCTCAGGATGTGAGGAGGCAATCTTAGAAAAGTAACATTCCTAGGAAAGAATAAGGCAAAAAGGAAGAAAGTGGTCCCCTTTGAAAAGCCTGCAGTAAAGTAGAACAAGCAAAAAAGGGAAAGTTAAAATCTGTAAGTATAAAGTAAAATAAGTTAAAATAAAAAATTAAAGGGCATGCAAACACTTTTCTTACTGCTCCCCTGCCGAAACAAAAACAAACAAAAAAGCAAACAAAAAAATTAATAAAATTTTAAAAACATCCAATGTAGAAAATCCATACCTCACTACATTGACAAGGAGGACGCTCTTGAAATACAGACACAACAATGCAAATCTCCAACTCAG
Organism: Homo sapiens; assembly: GCF_000001405.40. Lineage (NCBI taxonomy): Eukaryota > Metazoa > Chordata > Mammalia > Primates > Hominidae > Homo > Homo sapiens. The sequence goes on along the minus strand of NC_000007.14, from coordinate 136,309,180 downwards.
TGCACAGAAACATAAAAGCACAAATCATTTCACCTATATAAAATTACTATTAACATAAAGTGGAAAATGCGAATGCAAGCAATTCAGATAACAAAGTATCTCTTTGCCCAAAGCATATAATGAAGCAGAATAAAACTGAAACACAACACTACAAGCTAAACTAAATATTGTCAATCAGTATTGGGATGTGAAAAAGCCAGAAATTTAAAAACTAAAAACAGAAATGGGCAGAAAAGAAAGAAGTAAAATGATAATTGATAAACGGAAGGAAAAAGTACAATAAAAATACAAAATTTTACCAGAAACAAAGACTAAATCATATAACATCCAAGGAGGAATACAATTAAATGAAAATATAGTAAGAGAATATAAAAAAAAATTAGAAAGACAATAACAGGATTTCAAATGAGATGATACCAGTTTTAAAAATTAGAAAATTGTTGGAAAAGAGCAGATTAAAAAGGCAAAAAGTGGAAGCACGACAGATACAATTTACATGTAATTACAGGACATAACTTACATGTTACAAGGACCCACAATGTACATAGGAAATTGACCCTTTATCAAGATATATGCTGGTAAAATATTAGACTTCACAAAATTTCAAAAGTCAGTTCTTCCAGGTAAAATATAAAATATATTACAGGAACAAGAGAATTAGATTAGCATCAGAATACCCACAAACAACCAACAAAGTAAAGCAACAATAAAATAGCATTTTTAAAAATCTTCTAAGAAAGAAGTGTGAATCAGGTTTTTATATCCAGCCAAACTATCCATCAAGTATAAAGGCCATAGAAAAACTCTTTTAAACATTTGATTAGAGAATTATGTAACCTTGGGGAATCAACTAGAAAAGGGATTGGCAAATAATTTTCTATAAAGAGACAGAGGTTACATGTTTTCTACTTTGCAGTCTATTTGGCCTCTATTGCTGTTATTCAACTCTAATTCCAAGTGTGAAAGTGGCCATAGATTCTATGCAAACAAATAGGTATGGCCAGATTTGCCCCACAGAAAGCTGAAAATAAAAAATTAAAAATTAAAATAAAAAATTAAAGGGCGTGGAAATACTCTTCTTACTGCTCCCCTGCCAAAACAAAAACAAACCAAAAAAGTAAACAAAAAATTAATAAAATTTTAATAACATCCATGTAGTTTACAGACTTCTATACTAGATGATAAACTTCATTCAACCAAGAGATAATTAAGCATATAATATGTCAAAGTGTGTTGAGTTTAATTTTTAACACGTTAAATAATGTTATTTCTTTACTATGTTAAAGTATGCTTAAGGTGTAAGTTGTAGTTCTAAAACTAAAACAAATGTGAGGGCAAGTGCAAAAGAATAATAATATATATGATGCATGCTACATGTTACAAGCACTGATAAAATATAAATGATGTAATAACTATATAATGATGTAACTAAAAATGAAAGGAGACGAAACTAGAAGAAAACAAAATAAGTTCATTGGCTGTTTTTTGAGCAATAGATGGAGGCTAAAATATACTGTTAAAAACTGATAAATCAGATAAACACTAAAAAAAAAATGTAGGTGGAATAGAACATTTAAAAAGGTTTAAGAACCAAGTTAACAGGCTGGGCATGGTGGCTCACACCTGTAATCCCAGCACTTTGGGAGGCCGAGGCACGTGGATCACGAGGTCAGGAGTTTGAGACTAGCCTGGCCAATATAGTGAAACCCCATCTCTACTAAAAATACAAAAAATTTGCCAGGCATGGTGGTAGATGCCTGTAATCCCAGCTACTTTGGAGGCTGAGTCAGGAGAATCACTTGAACCAGGGAGGCAGTGGTTGCAATGAGCCAAGATCACACCATTGCACTCCAGCCCGGGCAACGGTGCAAGATACCGTCTCAAAAAAAAAAAAAAAAAAAAAAAAAAAGAACCAAGTTAACAATATAGAAGAAATACAAATGTTCTTTAAAACTAAAAGAAAATTTTTAATTATAAGGTTAAAAAAATACACCATATAAAGAAACATAAAAAATACAATACACACGACTGTAATAAAGTAGTCTACAAGAAGTGTGAGCTTAACTCATCCAGTAAAAGACATTAAATTTAACTCACAAAGTAAGACCTAACTATTGCTATAATCAAGAAATATATCAAAACAGAATAATTCAGAAAGGCTAAAAATAAAGGAATGGGCAAATGTATGCCAGTCAACTACAACTAATGAGAAAACAAAGGTAATGATAATTATATCAGATGAAATAAAATTAAAACCAAAAAGAATTAAACATGAAAAAATGAGAGTATTTGTTATTGTGAAAAGCCACAGTTCACATGAACATATATCAATTAAGAATAAAGGACCAAAAATCTCAGCAACCACCTACATAAAGCAAAAATGACAAGAGATCCAAGGAGATAAAATAATAATAAGATGATGATGAATTTTTAACACTACTCTCACTACAAAACAATTTAAATGGAAAAAAGTAAGCACACTGAATACCTAAAGAACATAATCAATAAGCTAGTTCTTATGGATAAATATCAATTTTTACATCTTAACAACAGAGAACATACTTTTTTCTCAAGCACACCTGACACATTCACAAAAATGGTCATGTATTAGGTCAACACACAAAAAATCAGTAACTTCCAAAAGTAGAAAAACTACAAAAACGTCTGATCACAAAACAAAATGAAAAGAAAATTTAAAAAAACTTATAAATAGATATTTCCACTTAGAAATCTTAGAACTTTCTATTAAAAAATACTGAGTGGAAGGATAAATATAAACCAAAGTTATAGAATTTTAAAAGATAATAATAATGGAAACATTATATCTCAAAATACATGGGATGTGTGGGACATATTTAAAGCAGCAATCAGGGAAAATACAGAGCCTTAAAGATGTTTATCAATAAAACCAAAAGAATAAAAATAAAAAAAAATTCTCAACTGAAAATACTTAAACACTGATAATACAACATATTGGTGAAGATACGGAACAACTAAATATATCATAGATTGTTACTGAGAATAAAAATTTTAAAATAATTTGGCAGTTATAAACTTAAAGATAGATTTATCATGAGACCATGTCATATCACTCCTAGGTATTTACCTATGGTGTACTACAAGAGATATATGGTGGCTGTAAGACTAGTGATAGCTATAAGGCCCACTCAAACCTCTCACAGGGCCTGCACTACATGTTGCTTAGCAGTCTGCAACCTGGCCTGGGGATTTCTAGGAGATAAGACCCCCTGAGCACAGATGCAACTCTCATAAACCTTAAGACAAAGCTTACCCTTACAAAAATAGCTTAAACTCCCTTTAAAGAAACACCTGGTAACTGATTCAGACTGGACACAGGTACAAGAAAGGGAGCCGAATGCCCCAAACCCTGAGAGGAGTCTCCTGATGGAGACTTTCCCATCAGACAGTCATCCAACCCCCTGGCTGTATCTGGCCTATACCACCAGCCTGCTCCCACTATCTGTCCTACAAGAGTGCTGCAAGAATAAATTGAACATCAGACAGAGTCTAAGACTCCTCTTTGAGATTAATTGGACCAAAGGGGAAAAATTTTCCCTGGGGAAGCTGGTTAACTAGGATCCCCAAGAACCCCAAACACAATATTACCCAAGTGAAATAAAAACATACATCCACACAAAGATTTCTATGCAAATAAATATAGCAGCTTCATTCTTAATAGCAAAACAAAAACAAAACATGAAAATAAGCCAAATACCCATCACCTTGTAAATGAATAAATGAAATGCAGTATAGCCATATGATAGAATATTAGTCTGCAATTAAAAGGAAAAAGCTACTGACAACATACACATACAATGATATGGATAAATTCCAAAAGCATTATGCTTAGAAAAGGCAGAAAGACTCAAAGGACTACATATAGAAGGATTCTACTTATATAAAATTCTATTCTAAGTAAACTCCACACTCTCTCTCCCACTGATAATGACAAAATTCTTAGTCAAAATATGTAAAGCAACTACTTAAGGATTCTGAAAAGTAAATAATATCAGGTGAGTTAGACAGGGAAATAACAACTCAAAGAAACACCAACATAATATCTCAAAGAGTAAAGTATATATATTGTAATTCCTAGAAAACAATTCAAATACATGAAGCAAAAACTGATAGAACTGAAAGGAGAAAATGACAAATCCAAGCTTATAGCTAGAGACTTCAACACTACTTTCTCAGTGATCAATAAGCAAGTAAAGAGAAAATCGGGATGCATTAAGAAAACACAAACAATACCAAAAAACAACTTAATTGAAAAGTACAGAATATTCTTTTCCTGCAAAAAGCAGAATACACATTCTTTTCAAGAGCACATGGAATATTCACCAAAACACACCATGTCTTAATCATAAAACAAATTTTAACAAATTTAAAAGAATTGAAATTATGCAAAGTATGTTTTCTTATTACAATGGAATTAAACTAGAAATTAGTCACAGAAATATAGGAAAGTCTTCAAACGCTTGGAAATGAAACATTACACTCCAGGAAGAATTCTTGAAGGAAGTGTATTAGTTTCAAAGGAATTCTTGAATGAAGTGTATTAGTATGCCCAGGTTGCTATAACAAAAAAAACCTCAACTGGTGGCTTAAACAACACATTTATATCTCACAGTTCAGGAAGCCGAAGATCAAGGTGCTGGCAGATTCAGATCCTGCTGAGGGCTCTCTCCCTAACTTGCAGACAGCCACCTTCTCACTGTGTTCTTAATGGTGAAGAAAGAGAAAACTCTGGTCTGTCTTCCTGTTCTTGTAAAGATACTAATCCCAGCATGAGAGGCCCACTCTCATTAATGAAAAGAGCTTCTATCTAAGAAACTAGGGGTGAAAAGAACAGAATAAAACCAAAGCAACCAGAAAAAAAAAAGGAAAGTTATAGATAAAAGAAGAAATCAATGAAATTGAAAAGAGAAAAACAATAGATGAAAACAATGAAACCAAAAGCAGGTTATTTGGAAAGACTGATAAACTTCGTGTCAAACTGATCTTGCAAATGTAAATTTATCTCATATTCTGACTTATGGGAGGGATCTTCGTTTAGGTCTTTAGACTATTGACCTTAGGTCTTCAGACTTTATGTCTACAACTCTCCACTTCCATCTAATGTCAGAGTACAGACAATGCAGAAAGTTTCTTCTAAAAAGGGAAATACACCTTCTAAATGCTCAAATTTCTTTCTTTCTTTTTTTTTTTTTTTTTGAGATAGAGTCTCACTCTATCACCCAGGCTAGAGTGTAGTGGGGCGATCTCGGCTCACTGCAACCTCTGCCTCCCAGGTTCAAGTGATTCTCCTGCCTCAGCCTCCCAAGTAGCTGGGACTACATGCACATGCCACCATGCCTGTCTGATTTTTGTATTTTTAGTAGAGACAGGGTTTCACCATGTTGGTCAGGTGGTCTCAAACTCCTGACCTCATGATCTGCCGCCTCGGCCTCCCAAAGTGCTGGGATTACAGGTGCGAGCCACCACGCCCGGCCCCTAAATACTAAAATTTCAATATAGCTTTATGAGTGCTTATGACACATACACAACAAAGTATTTGGTAACATTTCTTTAAGACAGAGCTGAATCACAAGTGAATCACAAGCATATGAGGTGTAATCCATTGATAAGCCACATCTTAATTCTGGTTGGTGTCTACACAGGAGCTTTCTCCAGCTTCTGCCTCTCTATGGCCTCCTTCCAGAATCTACATCTTTGCTTCCCAAAACATGATCTCAACAACTGCCCTGTAATAAAGTCAACTCCCCCACCCCACCGCGTGCCACCCATAAAGGTTATTTGGCCACAACTCCTTTACTTTAGCAGAAGCTTTCCAACTTCCCCTGATATATTCTTAAGCTTGCTATTTTTACAACTATTTCAAAACCAGGACATTTCTGACTCATGAAAAATCTTCAGTTGTTCCAGAGCTCTGTAGATCTATGACCTCAAGGAATTTGCAACTAAGTTGCCTGAGAGGGAGGAGGAACACCAAATAAATACAAAGTATAGCAGACAATCTAGGCCTATGAGAAATGCTTAGATTCCTGTGGTACCAGTTATGAATACTATAGAATTTTAGAAAAAGTGAGATGAGAGAGAATTGTAATGGTCTTCATATGTCAGGTTGTACCTAGAGGAAAACACAAGGTGCTCAGAAAATGGGAACCACAGGAATGAAAGCACAGCAATAATAATACCCAAGGAGCAGGGAAGAGGCTAGCATGACTAGAGCACAGATTGCATATTCGAGGTGAAATACAGTTTGAGAGACTTGAAAAATCAAGAAGATGAGTTCAGGCCAGGTGCAGTGGCTCAAGCCTATAATCCCAGCACTTTGGGAGGCCAAGGCGGTCAGATCACTTGAGGTCAGGAGTTCAAGACCAGCCTGGCCAACATAGTGAAATTCCATCTCTACAAAAATACAAAATTTAGCTGGGCGTGGTGGTGGGTGCCTGTAATCCCAGCTACTCAGGAGGCGGAGGCAGAAGAATCGCTTGAACCTGGGAGGCAAAGGTTGCAGTGAGCCGAGATCGCACCACTGCACTCCATCCTAGGTGACAAAGCAAGACTCTGTCTCAAAAAAAAAAAAAAAAAAAAGAAAAAGGAAAAAGCCAAAAAAAAAAAAAAAAAAAAAAAAAAAGCCAGTGGGAAACAGGTGCAGAGAAGTGATAGACGAGGAAAGTGATTTTGGGGGAAGGTGAATGGAGCAGAGAGTACATTGTGCTTGGAGAAAGTTTGACACCAGGCAGGCCACCAGAAGTTATCCCTAGATGACAGAAATGGAAAGAGAAAATAAAAGACAGATGCAAAAGGTTTTCAAAGATGGCACTGAATGTACTTAGTGAGCAGGAGCAGGAGATAAAGAAGCAATTGAGTTTCTGGGAGAATATGACTAGGTAAATTTTAAAAACAGCAAAACAAAGAGACAAAATAAAGGAACTAGTTGTGGGAGAGATGATAAGGGGCTGAGCATTAATTCTAAGTGATGACAACATTCTTGAGTGGCAATGTTCTTTCTCAGCAGAGATTAGAGTACCAGAACGGGAGCATAATTATCTACATAGAAATGATAAAGTCACAAAAAAATTGATGCCATGGGGAAAACCATTAGCAAGAGAAAAGGATTAAAAACCATTAAAAATAAAACTCTTATTTAGTTTTGCAATTAATAAAACAATTTATATTTTTTCCTCTTTTTTTGTCTTCAACGTTTAAGTTCAAGGATACATGTGCAGGATATGCAGGTTTGTTCCGTAGGTAAACATGTGTATGGTGGTTTGCTGCACAGATCATCCCATCACCTAGGTATGAAGCCCAGCACATATTAACTATTCTTCCTGATGCTCTCCCTCACCCCACAATAGGCCCCAATGTGTGTTGTTCCCCTCCCTGTGTCCATGTGTTCTCATCATTCAGCTCCCAATTATAAGTGAGAACATGCAGTGTTTGGTTTTTTGTTCCTGCATTACTTTGCTGAGGATAACGGCTTCCAACTCCATCCATGTCCCTGCAGAGGACATTATCTCATTCCTTTTTATGGCTGCATAATATTCCATAGTGTATATGTACCATATTTTCTTTTCTTTTCTTTTTTTTTTTTTTTTTTGAGACAGAGTCTCTCTCTGTTGCCCAGGCTGGAGTGCAGTGGCATGGTCTCTCGGCCCACTGCTACCTCTGGCTCCCAGGTTCAAGTGATTCTCCTGCTTCAGCCTCCAAAGTAGATGAGATTACAGGCACCTGCCACCATGCCCAGCTACTCTTTTGTATTTTTAGTAGAGATGGGGTTTCACCACGTTGGCCAGGCTGGTCATGTACCACATTTTCTTTATCCAGTCTATCATTAATGGGCATTTAGGTTGATTCCATGTCTTTGCTATTGTGAATAGTACTGCAGTGAACATACATGTGGATGTATCTTTATAATACAATCATTTCTATTCCTTTGGGTATATACCTAGTGATGGGATTGCTGGGTCAAATGGTATTTCTGCCCCTAGGTCTTTGAGGAATTGCCACACTGTCCTCCAAAATGGTTGAACTAATATACACTCCCACCAACAGTGTGAAAGTGTTCCTTTCTCCCCGCAACCTCACCAGCGTCTGTTGTTTTTTGACTTTTTAGTAATAGCCATTCTGACTGGTGTAAGTGGTATCTCATTGTGGTTTTGATTTGCACTTCTCCAAGGATCAGTGATGTGGAGCTTTTTTTCATGTTTGTTGGTTGCATGGATGTCTTCTATTGAGAAGTGTCTGTTCATGTCCTTTGCCCACTTTTTAATGGGGTTTTGTTTTTCATGTAAATTTCAATGTTTTCCAACCATCCAATGAGGAGGGAAGGAAAAAGATGAGCTTGTGCAGACGGCAGAGGAACAGTTGTGAAAAATAGAGAGGTTAAAAAAATCTTTAAAAAGTTATTGTTTGTCAGTGGTGTCCAATGTTACAGAGGTCATGGGGAATGAGGATAGAAGGAAGAAAACTAAGCTTAAGAATTGAAAAGTTATGGCCAGTGGTTGCCAGGGTCCAGAGGTGAGAGCAATAAGGAGTTGTTGTTTAATGGGCATAAAGTTTTAGTTTTGCAGGATGAAAAAGTTCTGGAAATGGATGGTGGTGATAATTACATGACAATATGTAATCATTCTCCTTAATCTCTTTGTAACATTGGACACCACTGACAATAACTTTAAAAAAATTTTTTTAACCTCTCTATTTTTCACAACTACTCCTATGTTTTCTGCACAAGCTCATATTTTTCCCTCCCTTCTCATTGGATGGTTGAAAAACTTCAAAATTTACATGAAAAACACAACCCCATTAAAAAGTGGGCAAAGGACATTTGGATATAGCCAATGCAGAATGATATTTCTTTGAGCAGGGTCAACCCAGTGCCTGAATATGAGCCAAATATTTTTCTCATAATTAGATGTTTTGCATTCATTTGGCTAGTACAGGTATTCCTTGCTATCCTTGGGGGTTCCAGGACCCCCATGGATATCAAAATCCATAGATGCTCAAGTCCCTGATATAAAATGGGATAGTATTTGCATGAAACCTACACATATCCTCCTACTTTTTTTTTTAGAGTCTCACTCCATCTGAAAAAGAAAAACAAAAACAACAACAACAAAAACAAACCAGGCTGGAGTGCAGTGTCACTATCTCAGCTCACTGCAACTTCTGCCTCCTGGGTTCAAGCAATTTCCCTGCCTCTCCCTCCCTAGTAGCTGAGATTACAGGCGTGTGCCACCAGACCCGGCCAATTTTTGTATTTTTAGTAGAGACGGGGTTTCGCCATGTTGGCCAGGCTGGTCTTGAACTCCTGACCTCAAGTAATCTGACTGCCTCAGCCTCCCAAAGTGCTGGGATTACAGGCATAAACCACTGTGCCCAGCCCTCGCATATACTTTAAATCATCTTTAAATCGCTTATAATACTTAATATAATGTAAATGCTGTATAAATAGTTGTTTTACTATATTGTTTTTTATTTATAATATTTTTATTGTTGTATTTTTATTGTTTTTTTTCCAAATATTTTTGATCCACAGTTGGTTGAATCCAGGGATGCGGAACCCACAGATAAGTAAGGCTGACTATACCCACACCTTCTGACATTACTGTGGTAAATGAATGTTTTGTGGTGTGGGATGAGGGTGGCTCTGCAACCATAATGAAACTTGTCCCTCTGAGAATTCAGGCTTAACCTCTTAGCCAAATCATTGCTGGCCATTTTTAAGACTTGGTTCAAACAAAACAACTGCACTTGGCAGTCTAGGGAGGTGGGGAGTGAAATCGTTACATTACAGAGTGAGAAAAGTCACCTTAAGTTGTGAATAAAGTATATACCACATTAAGAGAAGCTAAGAAAAAGTTTGTCCCTCAAAGTTGATGTTTTTCATCAAAAAGAAGAAAATTTTTTTAAGTTGTATAAGATGAAAATTGGATTTATCTATCTGTCAAATATGGCAGGAAAGATCAATTACCAGCCTGCAATAAGTAATAGAGTCACATTTCATTTAATGGCATGGAATGTGTAACTTAAATGTGTGGGGTCCTCACTGTGATGGGATGGAATGTGGTACACATCTTTTAAATCTCAATAATTTCGTTGCAAGTCTGTCTCATTCTGGTAGTTAGGGCCACATTTAGTGTATGGAAGTAAAACATTTCCTCAAGCACCATCAGGTAAGACAGCATAGAGCATGCCTTCCACAAAAAACATATTGGGTTTTTTTCTTAAAATTTTTAAAATAATAACGTGAATTAGGCTATAAATAGAAAGCCAAATTATATTTTAATTGCCAAAACATAATAAAAAGACTATCTCCTTGAAGGAAAAAAAAAATTTAAGTGTTTTTGAGTCAAAGAAAAAATAATCAAAACTGAAATTTCAGACAATTTAGAAATTACTGAAGAGGTGGCTACAATATTTTTTGTGAAAAAGATCAGAGGCAAAATCATAGCCATAAATACTTTCACTTTTTTATACTAGATAATGCCAGTTTAAACTTTTTTTTACTATATAATAGTTGTACTTATTTTGGAGATACATGTGATATTTTGATACTATATACCATGTGTAATGATCAAATTAGGGTAACTGGGAATCCATCACCTCAAACATTTATCTTTTCTTTGTGTTGAGAACATGGCAATTCTCTTCTAGCTATTTTAAAATATATATCAAATTACTATTAAGTATAATTTCCCTACTCTACTATCAAATACTAGAACTTATTTCTTCTCTCTAACTGTATTTTTTACCCATTAACCAACTTCTCTTCATCGCGATAAAAAGTAATGTGATAAGCATTTACCTCAAAAAACTAAGAAAAACCAACTCCAAAACATTAAAATATAGTCACTAAACCTGTGTAACATCTAAGGCATGTCCATAAAATAGAACACTCTGGACATTCTGTTTGATTAGGTACCCATTAGGTCCTATTCAGCACTACATGTACTGAAATGGCATATGTCCAAAAAGCATTACACGAAGAGACCAAAATACAGAATTACTAACATGGTATGCCACAATTTATGTTTAGTTTTTCTTTCTTTTTCAGGTGAAAATGCATGTCAGTTCCTAGATCATGTATAAATCAAAACAAGAAAAGGATGGGAAGTGGGTAACTGAAGGTCAGGAATGGGAATGCCATAAATTTTACATTTTGGACTTTTCAGAGCTTTTTTGATTTCTACAAGAATCTATTATTTAGTCAAACATATAAATGTAAAAGTGGTCAGGGGAGCAGCTACACTTCGCAGCTCATTTTTTATTCCCTTTGAAGACACATAAAGTTCCTCTTGGCCATGGGCTCTCCCTTCCTACCCCTCTTCAACCCACTCCAACTGAAAGCCAAGTTTTCTATCCCTTCCAGACTCCCCAGTCAATGTAGGAAGGCCTCACAGGCCATGAGGTTAGCCCAGCCACCATTTTCTCCCATAACCTCACTTCCAGATTGGATAAGCCTCTATGTTCATAATGTCTATTTTCTCTTTTTCCTTTGATTCCCACCCATACTCTTTCCACTTAAAATCAGTACCGTGTGCCTATCCAGGAGTACTCTTGAGTGAAATATATATATAGTTCTCAGGGGCATTGACTTTTTGTCATTGACATTGACATCGTTCCCGTCTAAATATTTTAAATGTTTTTGAAATTATTTTAAAGACTTTTGTGTAGTATTTCTTAAGTCTACATATGTCCATGGCTCCATGCTAATTATTTAATGCCCATGAAAGTAACGCAGTAATCCGTGTCTATGTGAAGTTATTTGGTAGGTGTGTATAACCCTGTAAGATGGCTAAAAACTCAATCTACCAAAGACAGAAACAAATTCAGTGATACTGCAACTTATAAGAAGGAATATTTCCTATATTTTGAATTTTAAGCCTTTTTGCTTAATTCTTATATTTTGTATTCACACTTTTATTTCATATTTGCTGCACACCTGAGCCTCTCTCAGCTTCAGGAGAAGTCACTTGCCCTAGCTACTGCTGCCCCCAAAATTCTGCCCCCCAGCTTTAATTCCAACTGAATATGATTCAGAAGTTGACATGTTACCACCACTGCCTGGTTATTAAGAGAAGACGCCCTAAGGAGTGGGATAGCAAATGTGACAATCTTGAAGCCTGGTTCTCCTGTGTAAGATGTAAAGGCAATATAAAGGCAATATTCTTTCCTTACATACATTTTGAATGAGTACTATGTGCAAAATTGAGCTGAGTTCCCTGCATGTTTTTATGTTTACAACTGAAATAATTAGGGATCACCTTTCCCATAAGCCATCAAATAAATCTATCCTGTCTGGGATTTTTTTTTTTTTAAATTTCTAGGTACCATCTGTGTCAGTTTGGGTTGCTATAACAAAGTACAACAGATGGGGCAGCTTAAAACAATGCAAATTTATTTTCTCACAGTTCTAGAGTCTAGATCAAGGTGTAGGCAAATTTTGTTCCTACAGAGGTCTCTCTTTCAGGCTTGCATATAGCCGCCTTCTTGCTGTGTCCTCATATGGCCTTTCTTCTGTGTGTACACTTGTCTGTGTCTTATTCCCCTCTTCTTATGAGGGCAACAGTCAAATTGCATCAGGGTCCACACATACGACCTCATTTTATCTTAACTACCAATTTAAAGGTCCTATTTCCAAATATGGTCACATTTTGAGGTCCTAGGTTGAGAATGTCAACACATGAAGTTAGGGGGAAGAAATAATTCAGTCTATAAAGTTGACTAAAATATATTAAAGTCTGACTACAATATTGTCCTCTAGGATTATGTCATGGGATATAACTAGGTGAAATTTTACAATGGGGTTCTTTTCATACTTTCATAATTAAGATTTCTGGATTTTATGCATATAATTTCATTGACTTCTACACATAAAGCACAATTAGGCAGTGTTTCAGTGTACAAACTTTTGGGAAAATTATTTGCAAAAAAAAAAAGAAAAGAAGAAAGTCCTAATAATTCTGCTGCCTGCATCCATGTTATTCTGCAGTGCTCTTCCAAATTGAGGCTGGTCTTAGCCATATGACTTACTTTGACCAGTTAGACAATAATGAAAACATAAGCAGAGGCTTTAAAATCACTTGTGAATTGGAGCTTGTCCTTTTGATATTTGGGAACCTTTTCAATGATGTGAATAAGCCCAGGATGCAGGATGATGAGAGACACATGGCTCATCTCCCTAACCACAGCCAATTGTCAACCTAGCCCCAGAATCGGAGCCAACTGATGTGACCGCATTTATGCCAGGTGAGTCCAGCCAAGATCAGCACACCACCACCCAGCTGAACTCAGCCCAAACTGCCAACTCATGGAATCATGAGCTAAATTAATGGTTGTTGTTTTAAAGCAACAAAGTTTTGAGGCAGTTTGTTACACAGCAAAACCGAAACAATACAATGAAAACCTCAGACCTGCCAGGCGCGGTGGCTCATGCCTGTAATCCCAGCACTTTGGGAGGCCGAGGCGGGCGAATCACGAGGTCAGGAGATCAAGACCATCCTGGCTAACACGGAGAAACCCCGTCTCTACTAAATAGACAAAAAATCAGCTGGGTGTGGTGGCGGGCGCCTGTAGTCCCAGCTACTCAGGAGGCTGAGGCAGGAGAATGGTGTGAACCCGGGAGGCGGAGCTTGCAGTGAGGAGAGATGGTGCCACTGCACTACAGCCTGGGCGACAGAGAGAGACTCCGTCTCAAAAAAAAAGAAAGAAAGAAAACCTCAGACCTAAGAATCTCATGGCTTACTTATTTAAACACAAATGAATAGAATTAACATTTGCATGTTAAAGCATCAACAATAGAGTTGGTTAAAATCTTCAGAGATTAAAGAAAAGCCACCAAAAGTGAACTGATACATATTAAATAGGCTAAGAATAGCCAAGATGGATTAGTGTATGCCACAGACAAAATGTTGGCAAAATGATGTCAGAATAACTCAAAAAAAGTGCCAGGTGCAGTGGCACCTGCCTGCCACCTACAGGTGCATGCCTGTAGTCCCAGCTACTCTGGAGGCTGAGGCAGGAGGATTGTTGCTTGATCAGGCCTGTGGATAGCACTACACTCCAGCCTGGGTAAAATAGCGGGACTCCCATCTCTAAAATAAAACATAAAAAATATTGTTGTCCCTTGGTATCTGCAAGGAATTTGTTCCAGGACTCCACTCCTCAACCCCCCAACCCCACCCACCTCATATACCAAAATCTGAGGATGTTTATTTCTCTGATATAAAATGGGGTAGTATTTGCATATAACCCCATGCACATCCTCCAGTATATCTTAAAACTTCTCTAGATTTGTTATAATACCTAATATAAAGTAAATGTTATATAAATAGTTGTTATACAGTATTGTTTTATCAATATTATTTTTATTGTTGTAATGTTATTTTTATTGGTTTTTTCCCCAAGTATTTTCAATCCAGGCTTGCCTGAATTTGTAGATGTGGAATATGCGGATATGGAGGGCCAACTGTGTTAAGACAGATCTGGCCAAAATCACAGTTGCTGCAGTGAAACCTCACCCCATGTTATAGGATTCCCTTGTGAAATGGGGTAAATTATAACTAACTTGAGTGAAGACTAATATAATTCAGTGGTAGAAATCTGAAATATAGACTATTTAAGAGGAGTATACCATAGCATCTTAAGTTATACAAATCAATGGCTAACAAAGCGTGGCCATGAAAGGATTTTTGCTAAACCAAACTGAATCAATACATAAAATGGTTTGCCATTGATTCATGAAGAGTATGTCAATGAGGCACAAGAGTGCTAAAGAATACAAAAAGAAAAAAGAATACAAAATAAAACAAAAAAGAATGAAAGAAATAACTCATTTCAGTCTTGATCAGCAGACCCTGGTAACAAACAGCATGCAATTCACCTGGCAGAAGAGGAGAAAGATGAGTTTTCAAACATTGAAGGCTGTGAGATTTTTGCTGATGACTCAGCTTTCTGAGGCAGGCAATTCCCTATGCAAAGCCTAGCTCAGCAACTCTAAGGAGTGGATAATGGTTCATTGCTAATTTGTGTCACCTAGATAAATTAGTCTGTCTGCTCAGGTAGGAAAAGACAGTGGCTGCAAAGCCCAAATTTGAATTCAATGGCCAGATGTGGCAGTTCATGATGAGGGTCCCTGGGGATGCACTAAGAATGCAATGCCACCTGAGACTCCTCACCATGAGAGATAAAAACTGGCAGAACAGAAGTTCAGTGACAAAAGAGCAGAAGTGAATGCATACAGTGAGGATGACTATATATTGATATAATATATTGTCCAAACCAAGACAACTCTGGGAACAAAAATGGGTGCCATTAATAATTATGCTGATACCACAGGTATGAACTGGAACTGTCCCAATTTTGAAGTCAAGAGTTCATGAAATCATTATCATACATAAATATGTATCATAATCAAAGAGAATCTGAAAGGGAAATATTCTAAAAACATACGAGGAGATAAAGACGAAGTAGGTAGAAGACTGTAACTTTGGGGAAAAATGTCTAGAGTCACTCCTTGGGGAAGAGGCAGCCCATACTCTCTATATCAAGGAAGATTTGTAGCTTCAAAAGATCCAGAAAACCAATCAACTGCCGCAGGAAGAAGAGATGCATCATAGATGCTGGTGGCTCACCGCTGAGATTCAACTGCTTATGAAACAAACCAGGCTGAATAAACAGTGAAGAATGGACACCTCTGCTATCAGGAACTCACTACTCACTTCCTTTTTTTTTTTTCTTTTGAGATAGCGTTTCACTCCGTTGCCCAGGCTGGAGTGCAGTGGCACTATCTCGGCTCACTGCAACCTCCGTCTCCCAGATTCAAGCAATTCTCCTGCCTCAGCTCCCCAAGAAGCTGGGATTACAGGGACCCACCACTATGCCCGGCTAATTTTTGTATTTTTAGTAGAGACAGGGTTTCATCTAAACACACACTTATCGTTGTGGTAAGAGCTAGGAGGAAAACAAAAACAAGGACATAATAGACCATATCTATGGGTGGTGAGTAAAATGATGGATAGTTGATAAGTAAAGGACTAAGAAAATGACTTTTGAGCTGAGACTCAAAAGTAGAACTGGTGATGCAAAGACAATGGGGGAAGAAACATTTCAGACAGAAGAAACAGCTGGTACAATAAGTTCTACAGCAAGAACAAGCAATGTGGCTGGAATAAAGGAAAGGAGGGAGAGTGATAGAAGATGAGATTAGAGAGTTGTGGGGTGGGTGCAAATAATATACAAAATTAGGGGATTTTATTTGAGTATACCAAAAAATAATTAGAAATTCTTTGCAGAAGAGAGACATGATTCGATTTACCTTATAAGTACTGCAATTGCTCCCTGGAGAACATGTTGTAACCAGAAAAGAGAAGAATTTGAAGAACAGTTAGTAGGCTGCTGCAATAGTCAGGCAGAGAGATGATTTGGATTAGTACAGATGGAGAGAAGGTATTTGGCTTGGGCTATGTTTTTTATGACTGGGATCTGGAGCTTGTGAGAAAGAGACACAAAGAAAGGTAGCATTTACCCAGCCAAGTGGGAGGATGGTGCAACAAACAGAGAGTGGAAATTGGGGAAAAAAGCAGGTTTACTTCTGCCTTGCAAATATTAAACTTGAGATGGCCATTAAACTGCCAAATGCAGAGGTCAAAACAGTGGTTGTATAAATGGCTCTGAATCTCAAGAGAAAGGCCAGAACTGGAGTTATAAATTTTTTGAATCATTGAATGTAAATGTCATTTAAACCAAAGTACTAAGTGAGATTAGGTATGGGGAAAGAGAAAATAAAGAGAAGCTAATTGCGTGGGACTCGTTTTAAAATTTAGAGCCTGTATTGAAGGAGTCAACATAGGCAACTAGAAAGAGTAGCCAATGAGGTAGAAAGAAAACAGAAAATGTGGTGTCATAGAGGCCAAGAAAAGACAAAGCATTTAGAAAGACAGGGCCATCAGCTACATATGCATGCTGCAGAGTGATTAAGAAGAACAAGTAGATGCAATCTTTGAATTTTGCAATACAGGGATTAATAATGATATTGACAAGGTAAGTTTCAATAGCATGGTGGGGACAGGTACTCTACTATAGTGGGTTGAAAGGTAAAGAATTAGAGACTGTGACTTCAGACACATATTTCTAAAGTTTTGCTGTGACTCCTATCCACTCCTATAGAATCACGTGAGATGAGTAATAGTGCTCATAGAATCTGGTCCTGGAGATTCATTTCTATGTCTCTGGGTAGCTTAGCAGAGAGCTGCCTCAGGAAGTCCAAGTTAGCTCAACAGAAGAACACCAGTTACTGAGATCCAAAAGTTTTCTCCTTCCATGAAGACCACTTTTTGAACAAAAAGCACTCATGCTTACGTTGTTATTTACATAAGGGGTTGACAAACTATGGCCCTGTGGGTCAAATATGACTCATTACCTGTTTTGTAAATAAAGTTTTGTTGATATACAGTTATGCTTATTAATGTGCATATTAGCTATGGTTGCTTTCATACTATGCTGGCAGAGGTGAGTACCTGCAACAGAACCTGTGGTTCACAGAGCTAAAATTATTTACTCTTTAGCCCTTTACAGAAAAATTTTGCCAACTCTGAACTAGACAACTAGTCTTTAAAAACAGGCAGTCTTTATAAATATACAATCCCTATAGATATCTTTAGATACAGCCCCTATAAGTATGGAGAACATTGCAGGGGCAAGGTCCTCCACTGAATCATTGGCCATGGTGCATTCATTCAGTTCAGCTATGCCCAGGTTGGATCAACAACTTTCTGGCAAAAAAAAAAAAAAAAAAAAAAAAAAGTGCTTGAGGAATTGCATGTGCTCTGCTGCTTCTCACTTCTCTGCTTTTGCATTTTCCCCTCCTAAGTCCTATTTTATATCTGTATCATGCTAACTATAATGACCATGTCTAGGATCCCTTTGCCACATGAAAGGAAACGACTGAACCATTTCTTTCACATTGTATTTGGGCTTTAAAAGGAAATAATACGAGAAATAAATTATTGGAGAATATATTTTAGATGTAGATATAGATGATATAGATTAGATGCAGACACAGATATAGATATAGATGATATATAGATTAGATATAGATGTAGCTATAGATATAGATATAGATAGATACAGATATAGGTAGGTTTTCTAGACCAAAACTTAAATTTCCACAAACAACAGGGCTTTGCCTAGCGGATGTTGATTACAGCTGATAGAAAAAGATATTTGACTGAGGTCTTAAGGCTCTGAATCTTGACTAGCTGACACTGTAGCTGGTAATACTGCGTAGGGAGGGAGCACTAGGCACAGAACATTCTCCAAGGAAATAAAATGCTCTATTATTAGTTAATTATTTGGAATCTAAATATCATTGTAAGCTACTGCCTTGGTAAACTGGATGCTGAAAGTTCAGGGGGGTGTGGTATTCAAATTACCATTTCTCATGTGTCCCCTCCAGGAGACAAACATAAATAGCTAGCTAAAGGTGAGATCCAACTACCAGCTTTACTGGCAATAAATCTGGATGAAAGACTATTGCAAGGCCTTTTATGTCACTCCCTGTGTCATCAGAGCCACAGTGCAGTAGCTATGCTCCCTGTTAATAAGGCCAAGCAGCATCCAAGTACTCCCCATTTTCACTAATTGGATTTGCCTCACTCTCTCCATTGGAGGAGGAAATTGGATACAAGTTTCTCTGATACTGTTTCCTCCTGGAGAATGTAACAGCAGCCTCCATACGTAAATATAAGGATAGGCCTGTGATATGTTCCCTAACACTGGGCTGGATGAGCTATGGGCCATACTTGTAATGGTTAGCTTTAGGCTTTAACTAAAATGGGGCTGAATGGCTTATTTCTCACCTCTCTAGAACCAGGTTCACATAAGCAGTCCTTACCAGGCCCACTCCTCTCTTATTACCCAGATCTTCTAGGTCTTCCATGACCAGGAACTCTTTCCAAATAGAAGTGCACCCCAACCCATCAGCCAGGGAAGAAAAAATAAGGAGAAAAGAGGCTCCAATGATGTCATCCAGTCCTGAGAGAGAGATTTTCCTCCACCCACCAAGACCCACTAATTTCATGATGAAGACATATATTGGGGCACTTCTTTGTTGCCTTTGGAAAGAGAGATTAGGGCATGTACCCTTGACTTCTACCTAGAGGTTATAAAATGCCTCAGACAGAAAGTCTATCACGATGACCAAGAAGAAAACATTTTTTATTCTGATTGAGAAGAATTTAAGTAGACATCCAAAAGGAAGACAAGATTTTCTATTACAATAGGGGAAATATCAGACCCTTACTTCTGATGTTAAAAAAAAAAGATTAACAGCAGATGAGTTTCCTAGTATTGAAAAAAAAAAACATAGTTGAATGTACAAAAAGTCTACACCTATTTTAGCAGATATACCAGTGATACCAGTACATACCATATCGGTTAGGGGAAAAAGTCAAGGTGAACTTGAGACTTAGCAGAGAAGATCAATTTTACCTTGTAAATATCCCTGAGACCTGGTGGTATAGAATTCATTATGAAAACAGCAATCAAAACGTGTATCTTGTTTGAAAGAAATCAATCAAGTACAAATGGAGGCAAAATAAAATTACAGTTTAAAGAATTTGTAATGGAATGTATACAAATATGAGGATGTCAATGCCTAGAAACCATTTGGGTGAAGAAAACAAGGGAGAACTGCAGGCAAGCTATCACAGTGGGAGTGTTCTGTAAGGGTGTGTTGCTGCATGTGTACATATTTAATGTATTTCTGAAGTGGGTAGCAAAATTGGACTTGAGCTTTGTCAGAGATATAAAGAGTGTTGAGGGCGACCATATTCTCCTACCTTCATGATGCCGTAAAATAACTTCTACTCCAGGAAAGGACAGCAGGTCAGTAAAACTTTTATCTCTTCTTCCAACCCCTTATTCACTTTCTTACATAGGAAGAGGAATGAGCTATCCAACTGGTATACATTTAAAAGAATCTGACAATTAATTTACTTTTCTGATTGGAGCAAGATAATGATATAAATGTCAGGTTGACACATATTGGCTTTATCTCTTTGACCCCTTTCTCAGGGCTTGATATAGATGAGACAGTGTTTTCTCTTTTGGATGGATAATTTTCTATCTGAATAGGAATTCCATCTAGATGTTATAGCTCTAACAACAAGAATATCGTGGTGACTGCAAATTATCTGCCTTAGAGACTCTTCTTCCCATGAGATGGCCCACAATCCAAATTTATGGAATGGATCTCAGAAAGCACAATAGTGGTTGCAAGTCCAAGCCACCTGCTCCAGGCCAGATCTAGTAATAATAAAGTGAATCTATTAACCTCATATGTCTGTCATTTGTGTCTATTTCTCTCTTGGACCCCTATAATCCTAATAATGGGTACTTGAGTTATTTCTATTTTAGATTGCTTTGATAATCCAAAAACAACTCTATTTAAAAAGATTTTTTCAGAGCTCTAGGCACACAGCTCACCTTTGTCTTAAGTTGCCTATCTTTTTGGAAGATCTAAATCCTATATCCTTTATAATCCAGCTTAGATGCCACGTACATCTTTGACAAATATAGTCAAACATAAGTTGAGTTTTCTCCAAATTTTAAATTCCTTAGAGCAGGAATAAATGAATCATAAATTTCTTTGTACTTCATCATCTTTACTTTCAAACCTTTTCCTTTCTATCTCTGTCAGCCAAGCTAGAAGCCTCAGAGTCATTCTAGCCTCCTGCCTCCCATCCCTGTTCCTCCATATTTTGGATGACAATAAGTTGGAAGACATTTGTCCCAACCTATTCCAGTCAATGCAATGCCCATTGTCCTGGCATAAGTATTAAATGCCAACTTTTACTCTCAAAAGTACCCTTTTTAAAAGGTAAATTATATGTTCACCCTAAACCCATATCCAACCTTGCCTTCTTCCTATGTCTTAAATTGAGGCCCCCTTTACCCCCATTCTTAAAATATAAGTCCTAGTTCAGACTTTCATCAGTCTCATTACTGTAACAACCTTCTAATTACTCTTTTAGAGGCAAGACTTCAATTCTGTTTTCCACAGCTGCCAGAGTAGTCAGTCTAAAACTCAAATGCATTCATGTCATTGCCTTATTTAAAACCCTTCTACAGCTCCCCGTAGAAGAGCCCTACCTGAAATATGTAGTTTTTTATTACATTTAATATTCTATCAATTTCTTTTTATAAGTCAAACATTTGTTACACCAAAATGCAAGTGTTTACACACTGTATGCTTTTGATCTTTGCCTAGGCTGTCTCCTTTACCTGAAATGCCCTTTCCTCCCATTGCCATCTTTCCCCACATATCTGGTTAACTGCTGTTTATCCTTTAGGACTCAGCGCAAACATCAGCTCAAACCAGACAGCTTCCCTTACCACCCATGACCACCCCCCTGGTTTGGTTGGCAGGACCTTCCTCTATGTCACCATAACAACTTGGATTCATCTCTCTTGAATTTAGAGTACAGTATTTCTACGGTTTACATGTTTGTTTCTCTCCCCAAACTAGGAGATTTTTGAGAATAAACAACCACTTATTCTTGATTTGGGAGATCATGGCCCCAACCCAATGCCAGTTTATAGTGGGTGATCCATAAATATTTTTTACAATATTTATCACAAAACATTTTAAATATACAGAGAAAAATAATACCTCAAGCCCCTACACAGCTGCCACTTGGATTCTATCACTGTCGTTTTCCAAAACTGCTTTATCACATATTTATTCATTCCTCTAATCATTCATCAACCCATCTTGTTTTTAATACATTTCAAAGTAAATTGAAGACATTGAAACATTTCCCTCTAAATCTTTCAGCATGCATATTAACTAAAGTTCATTAGTTGCTCATTTTTTTCTTTTGATACAAGATTTGCATACAATGAAATGCATAAATCTTAAGTGTACATTTCCTGGGTCTTGACAAATATAGATGTATAGGTAAACTATTCATTCTTGATTTGTGTTTGCATCTTTGTCAAACAACAGTTGACTATAATTGTGTAGATCTATTTCTGAGCTATTTCATTACATTGATCTGTCTGTTCTTTCACCAATATCATCTTGATTACTATACCTTCATAGTAACTCTTGAAATTGGCCATTTCTGTCTGTTACCATTTTCTCTCAGACTAAAGAACTTCTGTCAACACTTATTCTAATCCAGTTCTACAGTGGAAAATCCTCTTAGTTTTCTTTTATCTAAAAATGTCTTCATTTTGCATTTATTCTTAAAGGATTTTTTTATTTCTGGATATGGAATTTCAGGTTAATAGTTTTCTCATTCAGCACTTTGAGCATTTTGTTCTAATGTATTCTGGCCTCCATTTTTTTCTAAGAAGAGGTCAGCAATGATTTGAATAGTCATTCTCCATTATATAAAGTGTCAGTTTGGGGAGCCACATCCAAGATTTTCTCTTAATCTTAGGTTTTCTACAATTTGCCTTTGTTTTTCCTAGGAAAGCTTTTCTTTATATATTTCCTGGTTAGGTTTTTATAAGTTTTTTAAATTTGTAAATTTATTACTTTTACCAAAGCAAAAATTTTGGTCATTATTTATGCTCCATTTACTCTCTCTTCTAAGACTTGAGTTCCACTTATGATTAATATTTTCATGTTTTGCCACATGTCTCCAAGCCTCTGTTAATTTTTTAAAATATTTTTTCTGTTCTTTAGATTCAATAATTTCTATTAATCTGTCCTCAAGTTCATTGACTCTTTATCCTGTCACCACCTTTTTTTTAGGTTAAGCCCATTCAGGTAAATTGTTTTAATTTAAATATTGAACTTTTGAGTTCTAGCATTTTCATTTCATTCTTTGCTTTTCTCTTTACTTATCTGCTCCAATTTACTTTTTAAAATTTGTTATGAGCCTATCTTTGTCCTGGAGCATCATAGTACCTACTTTAAAACTGTTGCTTGCTAATTCCAACATTTGGTTAATCTTGAAGTTGGTCTTCATTTACTTTCTTTTCTTTTGAGAATAAATCAAATTTTTCTAATTTTTCTATGTTAAGTAATTTTACATTGTAGTTTGCTGGATTCTGTCTTATTCCTCAAAGAGTGTTTTTGTTGTTGAGTTTGTTTATGTTAGTAGATAATTAGCATAATATGCCACAAAAACATTAAACTCTTTCTTTGTTGGCAAGTTTTTTTTGTTTTGTTGTTGTTGTTGTCTTTTTGTCTATTTGCTTTTGAAGCAGGGTCTCACTCTCTCATTCAGGCCCAGGCTGGAGTGCAATGGCAGAATCTCAGCTCACTGCAACCTCCGCCTCCTAGGTTCAAGCGATTCTCATGCCTCAGCCTCCCTGGTAGCTGGGATTGCAGGCATGTGCCACCACGCCTGGCTATTTTTTATATTTTTAGTAGAGACAGGGTTTCACCATGTTGGCCAGGCTGGTCTAAACTCTTGACCTCAAGTGATCCACCTGCCTCAGCCTCCCAAAGTGCTGGGATTAGAGGCATGAGCCACCGCATCCAGTCTTAATTGCCTGCTTTAATCTAATCCTCAAGTAGGCTCCTTGGAATCTGCCCAGATATTCATGTTTCTGGGTTTAGGCAGAGAGTTGAGATGCCTTTATGGACAACAGTTAGCCTCCTTCTCTCTGGTTTCATCACTTTCCAGAAGCTGTATTTTCTAGAACTTTGTTCTTTGATTCTTCAGACCAAAAATAATTCAGATTTTCTATCACAGTTTTATTATCCTACATCTATATTGGACAAACTGGGGCCTTCATTCAATATATAAACCTTGAAAATGGAACTAATTTACTGTCTTTCCCTTCTCCTAAGTGTTGACTCCCCTCCAAAATCTGCCTGCGTTGTGTTGCTCTCTAGCACCTTTGGCCAGTTTTTCATTTTGTTTTGGTTTCGTCTAGAATTTATAGTTGTTATCTACAGAAGGGTCAGAAAAAGGTTACTCAGACATTATTAGAAGCAAACCTTCACAATTCATAAATATTTATTCTTACTCTCTTACCTCAAAGACAGGGATCTTTATCTCTTTATTTACTGGTATATCACAAGTGCCAAAAATGATGTATAGCATATTTTAAGTTCTCAATAAACATTTGTTGAATAAATGAACAGATGAATGGTTATTATTGCAATGTCTTATATACAAAAAACATCTACCTTTTTCATAGAAAAACTACACTACATAGAATCATAACCCATAATCTCTTATTAAAAGTAACAAGTGTTGACAATTTTTCTTATTTGCTTTGCATACCTTTTTTAAGTTAAAGAGTCATGAAATTAGAAATAAAGTAAAAGACCCCTTAATCTCTTAATTTTTCACCCTAACTTTGAGCTCCAGTGTATATATCTTTGTATTTTAATTATAGAGAATTCATTAATCTTTTCAATTTCCCAAAAGGAAGAAAGGAACAAAAACTATAATAAGTAATTCTTCTTTAAAAAGTTAGGAAAATGACATATTTAACACAACAAAACTTTATGGCAAGTTTTCTCAGCACTAATATATGCCATAAATCACTAAGGGTAGCCAATAGTGGATAGCACTTCCCAAGCACCTCTAACCTAGAACACTTGCCCTAGAACACCTCATAAGACTACTGTTCCTTGAAACTCACTTGGCAGAAAACTAATATGAAATTGTCCCCAATTTCTTAGTTTTTTTTTTTTTTTTTTTTTTGAGACGGAGTCTTGCACTGTCCCAGGCTGGAATGCAGTGGTGCGATCTCGACTCACTGCAACCTCCGCCTCCCAGGTTCAAACGATTCTCCTGCCTCAACCTCCTGAGTAGCTGGGACTACAGGTGTGCACCACCACGCCCAGCTAATTTTTTTGTATTTTTAGTGGAGACAAGGTTTCACCATGTTGGCCAGGATGGTCTTGATCTCCTGACCTCGGGATCCACCTGCCTCAGCTTCCCGAAGAGCTGGGATTACAGGTGTGAGCCACTGCGCCCAGCCGAAATTGTCCCTTATTTCTGATGCAAAAACTTAGGCATTAAAAGCTATCCTCTGATAGATTAATCAGCACGGTATCTCTTTAGTTCTCCCAATGGCATACTCTCTCCTCCATTGAGCCTGGATTTCATTTCTACCTTTTCATTATGTCTGCCTTAAGTAAAGTCAGCCATCATCCTCAGTTATTTACATGTTGATCCAAACATAAAAGAGAATAAAACAGCAGAGCAGAGTGAAGCAGCAATTAAGAAGCCAGAGATATAAAAGGCAATTGCTTTCAAGAGGATTCACCCGGCACACAGAACTTTCTTTCATGATTAAATTCTTTTTGAAATCCTAAATCAAAGGTTCAGCCTATCAGAGAGCTAGGAAATCCATAACCAAAAAAAAAAAGTGCCATTGATGAGACCCGTTTTGGAAATATACTGAGTGCTTTTTGTCAGCATTTGCTACCTAAGCACGTGCGGAAAACTGCAATACATGCTGAGCATTTTCTTTATATACAAAATTCTACAATAAAGTGCCCAGTGACAGAGAAAAAAAGAAATAAAACACAATTGGCAAAGTCAAAGCAAGCAGAATTAATGTCTCCAAACCACAGCCCAGGCATCTCTAGACCCCTGAGGGGATTGGCTGGAAACTATAGCTTTCATTCAGTGCTTTCAGAACTCTATTAATTTTTTTCTGCCTGGCTGAGTCAGGACTATATAAGGGACAGGCAAGGGGCAGGACAAATCCATTTCTAAAACTCTTCAATCAAATCCTGAATAGGCACCAGTAATATTCAAAAAGTAACAACCATGAGTAATAAGTGTCCTTGGAAATCCAGAAGCATTTTCCAATCAAAGACCAAAAACTCCCAAACTAGGTACACCACATATAAGCCAATTAATCAGTTATGCGGGTTCTGCTGATACAGCTTCCATTTTGTGGTATTTCCATTTTTCATTTTCACTTTGAAGCAACTGATGTCAAAAGCAATTTAGAAGATGGTGGAAGACAGTGAGGGTCAGAGGCATGTGTCCTTAGGTCTTTTCTAATTGTGCAGACACACACACGCAAAAGTAGGTTGATTAAAAGAGAAGTAAGGCCGTTTATGCAGAGACCCAGAAGTCTACTTTGTACCATCAGGGCAATCAGGGGAAAATCAAGCCCCCATGCTGACTACAAGTGTTGCCATGAATTAAGCATTTCTCTTTCTTTTTAAAAAGCTGAAAATAATAATTTTCTGATGACAACAGAAATGTATGCCCATGAATGTAATCAGACCTAACAGGGAGGTATAATGAAGGAAGTAAAAATCACCCCAATTATGCATATATTATGTGTTTATTAGTACTGTTAACACCTTGACTTATACTCATGTAGATTTCCATGACACATAAATCACACACTTTAAAAATGTTATAAAAATGGATTCCTCCTTTGCTTGCTGTTTTATAACTTTATTCCACTTGGCTACATATCATGATCACTTTTCTGTATCAGTAAAGTGATTATCATCATTTTGAATAGCTACATCATCATTTTGAATAGCTACAAAGTATTTCATTAATCGGATGCATCACAATTCATTTGTGATGCATGACTTTCATTTGCAGAAAGTCCATTTCTGAATATTTAATGTATCTCTATTAAAAACAATGCATTATAAACATACTGGCTTATACATCCTTGCATACTTATTCCTCGGGGAGGGGGGAACATAGATGTGCAACTTCTGAGTCAAAAAAGCATATATATCTAAAGTTTTTATATATTTGGCTAGGTTGCACTCTAAGGAAGAAAAAAGTTGTATCAGGTTACACTCCCCCAATGGTGCATGTGAATCAAGACTTAGCTTCAGTACTTGAGATCTGAGATGCTTCTTTCCGGAACTGGGTGGTAGGGTTTTACCCACGCTAATAGAGTCCTATCTCCCTGAAAGCAGAGTCAGCCTGATTCATCTCTGTATGCCCCAAAGCACTGAGAATGCCATTGGTTCCACAGTGGCTGCCTAATAAATGTTCTGATAAAAAGGCAAATTTTTTATCATGACCTCTAAGACCCCATAGTGTCTGCCTGCCCCCGTTTCCTTTCCAACTTCTACCACTTTTCTCCTGTGAACTTTACTCCTGCTGATATCTATATGGCTCATACCAAGGTCACATTATCAGCAAGGACTTCCTATTTCAAACTGCAACCTTCCCATCATTCTCTATGCTCCTTCCATTTTATGTATATGTTTGTTTTGTTTTGTTTTTTGAGATGGAGTCTCACTCTGTCTCCCAGGCTGGAGTGCAGTGGTGCAATCTTGGCTCACTGCAACCTCCACCTCCTGGGTTCAAGCGATTCTCCTACTTCAGCCTCCTGAGTAGCTGAGATTACAGGCATGCGCCACCACACCCAGCTAAATTTTGTATTTTTAGTAAAGACAGGGTTTTGTCATGTTGACCAGGCTGGTCTCAAACCCCTGAACTCAGTTGATCCTCCCGCTTCGGCCTCCCAAAGTGCTGGGATTATAGGCATGAGCCACCACACTTGGCCCTATGATATAT
Source organism: Homo sapiens (assembly GCF_000001405.40). Classification (NCBI taxonomy): domain Eukaryota; kingdom Metazoa; phylum Chordata; class Mammalia; order Primates; family Hominidae; genus Homo; species Homo sapiens. The sequence continues at coordinate 136,281,662 of NC_000007.14, read as the reverse complement.
ATTTTTTCATCATTACCTTTATTATCATGTAGCACTGTATAATCTGTTTATCTTGTTTATTTTCAGCTTACACTAATCAGAGCAGGAATTTTTGTCTGTTTTGTTTATCGCTATATTCCCAGCACCTAGAAGAGGTGCTTAGTAAATATATGTGAAAATAAGAAACTAATTTATTAAAATAAAGAATGAAGATATCTACAAGCAGAAAGTTAATTGCTGGAACCATAAATGAGGGCACAAAGAGAGAAAACATACAGAAGATGAACTCAATAAAACTAACATATACACCTGTGTTACATTATCAGAAGTGTACAGGCATTCAATATGTATTTGAAGTTGGAAGTGAGAGAATACAGGTAAGCTTGAAAAGTTTACCATCCACTTGGGGATATAAAACACATGTAATATTTTCATAAACTCCACAGTGTAAAGTAAAAATAAATTATAAAGTCAAAATTAATATAATGTCAATATTGAGGAGGTACAACAAGAGCCACAACTGATGAATAGAAAAGGTGGTTTAGAAAAGAAGGGAAATGGTTCAAAAAGGAGGTAAAGATGTGAATGTGTGAGCAGGTGTGTTCATTGCATGGAAGAGCAAGTGAAGAGAGCTTTTTCATTTACTCATAAACATCAGTTAAGCATATTTTTATATTCAAGACATTCAGTTGGAACAGGGAAACAAGACACAAACGCTGCCCTCAGGGAGTCTATAACCCAGGTGGAGGGGAATATGTTGTTAAGTACCATTGTGATACCACTGGGATACTAACCCAGGTGAGTAGGTGAGTGAGAAAGGAGGCATTGATACGAAAGGCAGTTTATGAGCTAAGTTTTGAAGGTCATGTCAAATAAGAATTAACCAGAAGATACGCAAGGAATGCTTACAAGGAAAGCGTGGTGCTCGTGGAACAGCTGGCAGGGAAGTCCATCTGAAGCTGAAAGGCCTGAAACACCAGCAGTAAGACATGCCGGAGAGATGAGCGTGCACAGGGATGGGACAGCTTCCCTCCTGGATCTGTCTGAACGTGGGAGCCAATGGGCTCCGTAGAAGGTATTAAGAAGAGCAGTCATGCCGGGCATGGTGGCTCACGCCTGTAATCCCAACACTTTGGGAGGTGGAGGCGGGCGAATCACGAGGTCAGGAGATCGAGACCATCCTGGCTAACACCATGAAACCCCGTCTCTACTGAAAATACAAAAAAAATTAGCCAGGCGTTGTGGCGGGCGCCTGTAGTCTCCGCTAATTGGGAGGCTGAGGTGGAACTTGCAGTGAGCCGAGATCGCGCCACTGCACTTCAGCCTGGGCGACAGAGCAAGACTCCATCTCAAGAAAAAGAAAAAGAAAGAAAAGAAAAGCAGTCATACAGTCAACTTTAATCTTTAATAAACTCATCTCACAAATTTTCAGACATATAGAACAGAATAAAAAAGAACAAGAATCTGCTTAACAGGACCTGAAGCCTCTGCCACAACTATGGAACTAAAGTAAAAGATGAAAGGTGAAATTCAGCCTTTAGCTCTCAGCAGGGCTGCAGCAGTGGGTGCCCCAGGTGACAGAGGGGGCCAATAGCAGAGGGCACCGTGTTAGGAAGGCGATCCCAGCTGCTCCTTCTAGAAAAGCCAGGAAGCATTGTGGACAGAAATCAGAAGATACAGGGTGGGATTCGGCTTATTTTCAGGTCAATTCCTTTCCACTTATAGTTTCATCTGTTAAGTGATTCACAGAATATCTGATCAAAATTGACTTTTATTGAATAAGGAAATAAATATGTGACAAACTACAAAAGCCTCCCTACCTTGTGTCATTTATCATCATTTTTTTTCTCTATTGCAACAAATAGGGGTGGGGACGATATGAAAAACAGCTGGCCTCTAGACTGAGCATATATACTATGCACTTATGCACTAAGAAAAATGTTTCATAACAACAATGTATCTGCATGCCTGAATCACCTGGAGAACTTTTAAAAAGTACTGATGCCTGGCGGGCGGATCACCTGAGGTCAGGAGTTGAAGACTAGCCTGGCCAACATGGTGAAACCCCGTGTCTACTAAAAATACAAAATTAGCCAGGTGTGGTGGTGGGCGCCTGTAATCCCAGCCACTAGGGAGGCTGAGGCAGGAAAATCGCTTGAACCCAGGAGGCAGAGGTTGTAGTGAGTCGAGATCACTACACTCCAGCCTAGGCAACAAGAGCAAAACTCCGTCTCAAAAAAAAAAAAAAAAAAAAAGAAGGAAAAAGAAAAAAAAAAGTACTGATGTCTGGGTACTATCCCCAGAAACTCTGATTTAGTGGGTTCAGTGTGGTACCTGGGAATCAGTAATTATAATTTACCTATTAAATGTCCTAAGAAATCTAGTGATAAAAATAAACTTTGACAGTGTATTGCCAAGAATTTCCAAAATGTATTTCACCATGAGTTCGTTTTCTTTCGCAGATCGCTTATTAACATCTAACAAACTACGAATCTTCAGCCAAATATAATTTGAGAAGTGCTAGTGTTTCTTTTTAAAAAATTAAATGTTCAGGAAAAATTGTATACATTTATCACTGTTCCATATTAACCATCAATCATATTTAAATGAAACCTGAAGAAGCACATTGAACTTTCATTAATCCTCCTCATTAGGTATAATTGTTTTCAGACAAGTGTTAAGCAAATAAACAAGAATGAAGATTCCTCTTTTCTGCCAGAGACTATGAAATGGAATTAAAAGTCCACTACCCCATGACTGTCTTTTGCTCACCCAGTTGAGCTACAATAGATCCTGCTCCAGGATAGCAAATACTTCCTCAAAGCAAATGTCTTAATAATTTACAACTCCCCTTCATTTTTTTCATGACCTATGGCACAGCTTCATGATCCACAAAACAACTAGCCCACGTAAGTCACTTAATAAATATTAAATAAGCCCTTTGGAGGCAATGCATGGTAGGGGAAATAGCACATTCTCTTGCAAGAGCCAGTCTGAGTTTAAATCACATTTCCAGTACTTATTAGCTTTGTATCCTAGGGCAAATTTACCTCTCTGATCCTGAGTTTGACTAATAAAGTGAAGATACCCAAAATATCTAATTTTCAGGCTTGTTGGGAGATTAAAATGTATATACGTAAACTGCGTCACAAATAAGGTGCCCAATAAATTGTTGTTTGAATGAGTGGTTTCTAAAGTAATGACATGGTTATTTTTTAATCAGAAACTGCTTTAAAATTTTTGCTGAGTATCATGTCAGAGAAGGTTTAAAATAAAGTTTTGTCCTCTATTCACAGGTCATTTTTAAAATAGTTGTGCATTCTGCAGGAAACTCAAAACAAGTTATCAAAAGTTCCCATAGCAATACTGCAATAGCCTCTAGCATAGCTGATGTCATAGACATAATCATAAATCATTAGTTTTCTGTTCCTGAGCAGATATTAACAATGAGCTTCTTTATGCTTCTGTTTATACAAGCATATTAATGCCAAGGATACGTGTATGCTGACACATGTGGGCGGCCAAATGGCTGGGGTTATTGATGAAAGCAAACATATAAATATGGCTGCTCTCAGAAAATTCTTTCATGCAAGAATATTGAAAGGTCCCAGAAGTGGGGAAAACACTGCAATTATCTGTTTCAACTCAGATCTAATACCCAAAATTGTCCAATTCCAGAAGCTCATTTCTTTGTGTAGATGGCAAAGTTATTTTATTCATGTTCTTAGAGACCAATTGTTAAGTGACCTGTAGTGTAAATTTAATGAGTAAGGAAGGAGTCCTATCTCAGAAGATAATTTACATTACTACTTATTAAAGATTTTGACTGTGACAGCTCACCTTTCAAAATGGATTCCTGTTGTATGCCGCTTTAGAGAGGTATTTGAAAGAGATGGTTTTTCTTGTCTCTTATTCAAAGTTCCCTGATGCTGAAGAACCTTTCAATTGCTTCCCTTTGGGTTAGAAGTCACAGCTGAAAATTCTTGATGTGACCTTGAGGGCCAGCTTGCTTACCTTACTGACTTAAATGCTTGCCACCAGCCCTCCCCTCACCCCCAAGTCTCCATACTCCAGTCATAATAAACTATTCTATCCTCAAATTCTCCTGCCTGCCTGAGGCCCCTATAACCTTCCCTAGGAATGTTCTGTCTACCCCTCCCTGAACCTAACTAGCATTTATTCAACTTCCCTTGAGCTCTTTCCCACTCCCAGCTGAGTTATATATCCCATATTAGTGACTCTCATGATAATACCTTTACAACACTCACCATCACTTACTCCAGACCTACTTTCCTTTATAAGCTGTGAGCTTCTGAGGGCTGGGACTGTCTCTGTCTACTTCAACACTACCGCCAGCACCAATACAATTTATTTCTTTTGTTATTTGTTGTAGTTGAGATGGAATCTCACTCTGTCACCCAGGCTGGAGTGCAGTGGTGTGATCTTGGCTCAGTGCAATCTCCGCCTCCCAGGTTCAAGCCATTCTCCTACTTCAGCCTCCTCAGTAGCTGGGATTACAGGCACAAGCCACCATACCCAGCTAATTTTTGTATTTTTAGTACAGATGGGGTTTTGCCATGTTGGCCAGGCTGGTCGTGAACTCCTGACCTCAGGTAATCCTCCCACCTCAGCCTCCCAAAGTGCTGGGATTACAGTTGTGAGCCACTGCACCCGGCATATTTCCCATACATAACTGAATATGGTGAATGAACAATAATTTCAGGAAGAAGTTGAGCTTTTCATCAGCTTTCACTTTTTTTCCATCTTGTTATTTACCTCAAAAAAGGAAAAGCAGAAGAAAGAATGTGCTACCTGTGGCGTTTTCTTATGTGAGCTGAATCTTAATCTGAGTAATTTCACAGGCATCAGTCAGAGCTTTTTACTTAAAGTGGTTGTTGCAAGAAAGGCTTTAATTTTTAATATTCTACTTCTCCAAATAATAAGAAACATAATCAGCATTTCATGTTTGTTCATTAAAAATATATGACATGTGTAATTATTAAACCATCATAATAGAGACTGAAAACAATTTATTAAGTAAACACAATTTAAGTGACTTACCTTACATACTTTTTAATTAAAATAAGCCTGCTTTTATAAATCAGCTGTCGGTTAATGCTTTTGCTAATTTTCCTCTGCAAATCTGCTTTACCCCCTTGTTATATTTTGAATGAACCAAATGCATACAAATAAAACAAACTTTCATAATGCAGAGATTTTAAAAATGCAATTGATGCAAGACTGTTTTTACTTATCTCAAATGTTGCTTGATGAATACTAGGTTTAATACAAGGGCAAATAACATTAGATTGAGAATATCTAGAATAGAAAGTCTTAGGAGATGATAGCACTTTTTCATGTCTTATTTCATTTCAGAACTTACGATTTACTTTGTTCTTGATGTGTGTATACAGCCAAAACTATTCTCACCTTTCTCTTCCATGATGACTCTCATCCACTAGCTCGTAAATGCAATAAGAATAAGGTGGTGGTAGAGTAAAAAGATGAGAGATACCTTTGAAAAAACTAAGAAATAGGTTTAAAGTGAGAGAGTCAGTGTGTGTGTATGTGTGTGCGTGTGTGTGTGTGTGTGTGTGTCTAAGGCATGATCCAGAGTGGAAATAACTGAGCCGTGAGTGATAATTGAGAGGATAAACAAAACCACATGTGCACAACCCCTCTGAGGAATAAGAAGTAGATGGCAGACATGAAGTGTCTCATCAACGAGCTCTCAGCCCAGCCCACCAAGTAGACTTAAAGACCCAGGAAAAACAAGTTGCTCCCTGGAAAGGAGCAGTTGTGAAAGAGTTAAGCAAGAGACTAGTCAGCCTCCACTTTATCCTCTTTAGTCCTTTTCATTCCAGTTCAGACAGAATTTGGGATTGGCTGATTCATTATGTTTTTGAAAAAAGAAACATCCTCCAAATTAAAAAGAAATCTTTTTTTAGTCCATCCCTCTCCTGAGACTTTCATCTTAATGGAAAACATTGGCCAATTATTTTTTTCTACAGCCAGCCCCTTTAAGATGTTTCTGAAAATCTACATTTTTAAAATTAGTTTATTTTAAAAATAAATTTTACATAAATATCACTGCTTTATGAACTGTGGAAAGTCTCCTACTCCTTGACATGAAGCATTATTTATCTTAGGCAATGAAATGTAAAGCTATTTTTTTCAGACATTGATTAGTTCTCATTTTGAACCCATTTACATTTAAACCCGTTCAGTTTGTGGGTTGTTCATTAATTCAGTGAAAGAAAGGAGGAAGGGAAAGGAAGGAAAGAAGAAGGAAGGAAGGAAGGAAGGAAGGAAGGAAGGAAGGAAGGAAGGAGGGAAGGAAGGAGGGAAGGAAGGGAGGGAGGGAGAGAGGGAGCGAGGGAGGGAGGGAGGGAAATAAAGAGTATAGAAAGAAGAAGAGAGAAAGAGAGAGAAGAAAGAAAGAGAAGAGAAAAAGAGAAAGGAAGAAAGAGTATAGAAAGAAGAAAAGAGAAAGAAGAGAAAAATAGAAAATAAGAGAAAAAGAGAAAGAAAGTGAGAAAGCAAGCAAGCAAGAATGCAAGCAAGAATGAAAGAAAAAGAAAGAAAGAGAGAAAGGAAAGAAAGTGAGAAAGAAAAAGAAAGAAAGTGAAAGAAAGGAAGGAAGGAAGGAAGGAAGGAAGGAAGGAAGGAGGGAAGGAAGGAAGGAAGATTATTTAGGTAACATATGTAGAAAAACTGGAGTGTTTCCTGTATATCCACAGATCAGACAGTTATTCCCAAGACATATCAAATGTTTTCCTTGGGTTATAGAATAATGATGCTTTAGTCCAAATCCTCAGCATGATCACAGGAAAACTAGAGTAAGTCTGGAGGGACTCTGTATGCTGAGTATTTAGAAGTCATTAACTTCAGAGGGTGGACTTCTTTCTACATATCATTAGCCAGTTGCTAGAATAAAGAAACTTACAGTTGCTTACACAAGGCTAATAAGTCCTGTAATCAAGATTTAGTAAGGAAATATAAAATATACTACTGAAAGAACAGAGAAGTTCATTCTAATGGGAAAACTTGCTACTTGGAAGGCTACAAGATCATGACTCCTTAGGAGAAATTTAGAAAGGAGTCACTTGGTCTAATGCATCCACATTTAAGCATAAGTACATTAAAGGGTTCATATAGCATCTAAATCTTCCTCAAGAGAAAACCCTTGAAGTCGGAGCACTTGGTTTATCTGTCTGTTAATTATGTTGGTATACAGAGCAGAAGTTGAGTTGAGAAAAGAAAAACATTATTATTTCAAGAAAAGAAAACCATTATTCTTTCAGGTGTTGAGACCACTGAATACCAACCACAAAGTTATAGAAAGAAGTTTTGTAAAGATGTGAATCCCATTACATCAAAGCCCAATAATCAAGGCTATTAGAAAAACTAGGAAATAATTCCAAATACTAGAAAGAGATAATAGATTTTACCTCCTTTGATTTAAAGCTCATATCTATTTATGCACAAGAAACAGTACACAGTTGATGCAGTCTTCTAAACACATGCACTTAAATGTCAGATTACATAGAAGATTATGGAAAGCAAATACAAAAGAAAAGGAAAAATACTGGGAAAGACCTTCTCAAATGTAACCAATGTTTAGTGGATCTTGTAGGCATTTAGAACTGCCACTGTCATGACTGCTTGTTGGGTTTGCTCAGAATCTCTTCCTCCTCTTCTAGTAGGAGCACCCTTCTCTCCTGCAGCACCACCCCTCTTAAAATCCACAGTCAGTCTTGATGCCTGGCCCCACCTGCCAAAGGGATGAAGGATAATTCAGGTTTCACCAATGAGAGGATATCATTTTCTTAAGTAATTTTTTCAAGGATGGGCATCTAACACCAACATGGTCAATTAAAGTCTATCTTGAGCTTTGGTGCTGACAGAGACAGGAACTCTCTCTTTTGGTGGGTTCACAAACAGTAAGTGCATACTTTGGGCTACCAGAGCCCATCTCTCCTAACAAATGGCTAGAACCTGCATGAAAAAGACAAAAAGTACAGAACCATGAAATGGAGATTAAAATAGAAATATGATCACATTTTTCAAGCCCCTGGATCAAGTTGTGCCAAAACTATCCAGACTGCCCTGTAAGATGAGCCACAAAGTGCCCTTCTCATTTGTTTGTGTTGTGTTTCTGTCACTTGCACCTGAACAAGTCCTGATTACTACAACACAAATGTGTTTCCATGGTTAACAGCACTGACAGCACCAAATGTTTAATGAAAATACTAGAGATAATTTACTAATTTCTATAATAAATGCTACAAAAACCAAATGATCGAAAATCTGAACTCAAACTTCCTATTTGAGCTCTTTGGTATCATAATATCACATGTGTATAGAGACTTTCTTTGAGATTTAGTATCATGGCGATCCTAACACAGGTTTGCAAACAGCAGTTTGTGTGTTCTGATAACCATTGTGACATTCTCTGGAGATAATTCTGTTTTGTTTTGCTTTCCCATAGCCACAGATGGCATCCCTGACCCTTTTCTTAAAAAGTTACTTACGCATGCCTTTTCTCAAAAAGATGCTTAAGTCCTTTGTAACTGTGAGGACAGAGATAACATGGATAAAACTAAACTTTTTAATGGAAAACAAAGAAGGGCTTTACTTAGGATAGGTTAACAGATAGGTCAACAAAGTAACCCTCCTATATGAAGAACACAGCCTGTATAAGACTTGTGTGAATTGTAATGCCTGCTTAAATTTTTCCTTCAGTATCATGGGAGACAAATAAATATCTCTGTTATCTCAGTTACTGACATTCTTTGTGCTATAAGGAGGATATGGTAGAAACCTGGACATGACCTAAAGGATTTTTTTTTTATTCTAAAATGGCATACATTCCTAAGAGGCATATACTTCTGTCCTAAATTCATATATAGCCTTCTCAGGCCCTTAACTTTTAGCCGTAGTCTATATTTGGTGGTCATAGATGTTGTTTTTCAAAGACTGTGACTATATAAGTTATCTTGAATCTAGCAAAATAGGCATCATCATTTTCACCCTGTAAATGGGAGTAATTCCATAGAGCGACTCTGCAAATTATATTGTAACCAAACCACCCTGCTTAACCAAATCTTACCTTTTACTATCCAGTTCTGAAAAACTTAGAAAGAATTTTGTTCCATGTTCTACCTAGTAATGACCGATATCCCTTAACTCAGAGCCCCTTAGAGCCTTATGTTCAGTTGCAAAATTGCTGAGAAAGCTAGAAAGCAGAGCAAAGAGCTGAACTGCAGCACCCAGGCTGTACGAAAATTGGGGAGCGCTGTAGTAACCAAGCGACAGCAATTTGTTTTTTCCTCTCTTCTTAAGCCATGCCTCCAATGACATATACATCCTAGAAAATGAAGCAGTATTATAAAGTGGCTAATAGTCCCCTGTCCTTCAGAATCTTTAAGGAGAAATTGCCACTGAATTTTATTAGAACCTGTTTTTATGGCAATTTATACCAAGAGCCATAAAAATGTATCATTCCCCATCACCAAAAATTCCACTCCTGGGAATGTTTCCTAGGAATATAATTTAACAGAAGGGAAAACTAAATGCACGATAATGTTATTTATAGCTTTAACTAAAATAGCAAAGCATCAGAAGTAATTTACATGTATAATAACAATGAATCTTTAAATAAATTACTGTGTATAATTCAATGGAATATTACACAGCCATAAAATTATAATTATACTGTTATGATATAATATTCAGTGTAAATGTATAAAAATGTTATATTCATTATGATTACAACTAGAAACACTAAAAACTTACATAGATGAACACTAAGATGAATATAAAAAAATAAAAGTAATCCTATTAGGATTGTGAGGTCATTGGTGATCTTTCTTTTGTCAAAATTAACTTATGTTATTATGAATCAGCTATGATTTTTTTAAGAAAACTTAACTTCTCCGTCAGAGAAGAAAGTCAACCTTAGCTTCTCATTCATTACCTGAAGAGGTTGGTACTGAGCATCTCTTTTGTGCCAGGGTTCATTTGAAATTAGGGATATATTCATCAGGAGATTAAAGTCAAAGTCAGCTATTCTCTGACCGACATTTCTTCCCTATTGTCCCACAGCATTAGAAAGTATTACAGGTCTTTGTTACCTTATATTTCTGTAATTACCATATTTTGTTAAAAACTGGATGTCCATTTTCTCCACATCTTAAATATTTCTGAAATTGAAATACATTCTCTAACTGATGGTGTCTTAAAACATTGCCACCCAGGTAGCAGTTGTGAGGAAGTTGTAATTGCCTGCACGTGTGCAAACTTGGTCATAGATCTTCATACGGTTGTCACTTTAGTTATTTGCACTGCTTGTGCTACAAATGATGAGTCTCATTGTGTTCCTTAAAATTTTGCACTGTTACTCGGCATTAAATAAAATGTGATAGACAAGAAGAAAGGCAAGGATACTGAGCAATACAGTATAAATCTAATAACAGTGAAGCAAATATTCTTCATGGGAGGAATGATTATAATTCCACATCTTCCTGCAATAACAGACAATTTATTTCACTTGCACACAGTGAAGATGCACAAAGATGCATACATGCACAAAGATGATAAATGATAAAAGAAAAATCTAAGTCTAAAATAGTCTCTTAATAATGTGAAATAAAAATTATAAGATGTAAGAAACATTGCGTCTTGGTGTAATGAGGAAGCATTGCCTTTAGTTTTACATAAAATGATGACACCACTTAAAAATCAGTGGCTATTGTAGATTCAATATATATAGTAATTGATGAATACCTACTGATAACGACTACATTTTGTCTTCAACTATTTCTCCTTTCTTCTAGATGATATATAGGATTTCCACAATTTGTCATACTTCTGATTTATGCTAGAGAACTCAAGTGCTAAATATGAGGTGAGGAAATCAAGGGAAGCATCGATTCTGAAGAATGTTCTGTACCCTAGGCCATCGTTGAGGTCAGTGGCATTAATTGTTGAAAGGGAGGGAAGAGGAGACATCTGACAATAAACATTTTCCATTTAAGGGCAAAGATCACAGTGGCACACTGGCCCTGATAGAGTCCCTGGCATTGTGATTGTATTAGTCCATTCTCATGTTGCTATAAAGAACTGCCCAAGTCTGGGTAATTTATAAAGTAAAGAAGTTTAATTGACTCACAGCTCCACATGGCTACGGAGGCCTCAGAAAACTTACAATCATGGTGTAAGGGAAAGCAAACACATCCTTCTTCACAGGATGGCAGGAAGGAGAACTGCTGAGCAAACAGGGAAAAGCCCCTTATAAAGCCAACAGATCTCGCGGTAACTCACTATAATGAGAACAGCAGCATGGAGGTAACCGCTCCTATGATTCAATTACCTCCCACGGGGTCCCTCCCACTACACGTGAGTATTATGGGAACTATAATTCAAGATGAGATGTGGGTGGGGACACAGCCAAACCGTATCAGTAATAAGAGAATGAAAGTGGGAGGGAATGATGAAATGGCTGCAGTAGAAGATTATTTCTAATATATATAAGCTTTACCACTTTGAATTAGACAAGAGGCATCCACAGCCCAGTTCCTGTGAACTCGCAAGCATTGTAGCATCACTTAATTAATTAAATGATAGGGACTTTCAGCTTGGTATCTTCCTTCTCAGGAAGATCCTAAAAGGGCACACCTATATGAAAATATCCTATACCTACAGTCTAATATTAACATGTGTCCATTTTTTCCCAAATACTTTCAAGTTCCATTTTTCATCTATTTATAGATAAGAACACACTTAAAAAATCTTAGGCATCTTTGATAGGGTATTATGCTTTTGTCATTCATAAAGAATATGCAAAAACAAATTTTAAAGGCAGGCTCTGTCATTAAAACTCTATGGTTAAGAACTGTTTCCACTGGACTCTTTAAGACTTTTCCTGAAGTTACAGTTAGTCTTGTGAATTCACTCTTCCTCTTGAAACAAACCAGATATTTAATTAGGCAAGCCCAATCAAGTCTTCTACCCTCTCCTGGTCATTCTAGGTATGGTTGATATCTCCAGGATATTCTCTCAATTAGGAGATTATTGCATTATTATCTCATTTTATTCAACCATGAACAAAAAGAATTTGTTGCTTCTAAGACATTTCACCTACAGGGAGTTGTTCCCCATAGAATTGCTAATAGAATTTTCTGTCTAAAGAGTTGATCTTCCAAATATCCCATGTGTTTTTTGTTTGGTTTGGTTTTTGGAACACTCCCTGTCAACAGTGCACCATTCCATTGATATTTTTATTACCTTATTTACATTCATGACCTTCATGTTGGTGGCATGACACCAACACACCCTCATTCTCAGCTTGTCTTTGAAATTGCTCTCTTGTTGACAGTTAACCCCCACAAAGAGAATATGAAGAATGAGGGCTGGGGGCCCTCTCTCACATTCCAACTTAAACCTTCTAACAATCTATCAGTTCTGCTGTCAGGGATTTTTAAATTTTTATGCTACTGCCTCAGTGAGAATATACTCTAGAACCTACACCTGTTTTCCTTTAATTTTCCTTTAAGTTTCATGACAATATTTCTGCAGTAGATAAAGCAGTTTCAGATATCCTCACATCAACTCATGCTCATATGCATCAAAAGCCCACATAAAGACACACATTTTAATCTTTTTGCTCCCTGCCCTAACTCTACCTCACTTCCTGCCGGGTTTCCAACAAAGGATTCCTGTAACCTTCTGAGAGCCATCATGACCCATAGCCAAAAGTGCACTTGTGTCACCTTTCCTCTGATATAGTCCTTCTGTTGTCTCACTTCATATCGAAATCTCTTGTGAATTTATCCTGGAGAGGGTTGGGCAAGTCATCTGAACAGGCATCTTCTTTAAAGTGCTACTTTGCTCCAGGACAAGCAAATCTGGCACTCAGATCCTTTAAGTGCCTACTTAAATATCCCCTGATCAAAGAGGCCTCCCCTGAACATTCTTTAAAAACAGCATATGCACATAATATGTTTTGGCTCTGTGTCCTCACCCAAATCTCATCTTGAATTGTAGCTCCCATAATTCTCAGGTGTCATGGGAGGGACCTAGTGGGAGATAATTGAATCATGGAGGTGGATTTTTCCCATGCTGTTTTCATGACAGTGAATAAGTCTCATGAGATCTGATGGTTTTATAAAGGGGAGTTCCCCTGCACATGCTCTCTTTGCCTGCTGCCATGTAAGACATGACTTTGCTCCTCCTTCACCTTCCACCATGATTGTGAGGCCTCCCCAGCCATGTGGAACTGTGAGTCAATTAAACCTCTTTCCTTCATAAATTACCCAGTCTCAGGTATGTCTTTATTAGCAGTGTGAGAACAGACTAATACAGCACGCATACCCACAAAGCACTAACACATATGCCTGCTTCCCCTCTTTACTCTCACCTTGTTTCATTTTTGTCTTAGGACATGTTACCACTGCTATTTTATTTGTTTGTTGTCTGCCTTCTCCACTAGAACGTAAGCTACAAAAGAGCATGGATCAGTTCCGTTCTGTTCACTGCTGTGTCTCAGGAACTACCTGTCAGGTAACCATATCTGACAAACAGGTGGCACTCAATAAACATTGTAAATGAATGAAGGATGAATGAATGAATGAATGAATGATGCAACTCAGCTTGGGCATCTGGAAAATGAAAGGGTTTGAGTGAATGATCTGTGAAGTACTTTTTTTAGCTCTAACACTCTGAAATTTTAATCTATTGATGGATTATCCAATTGATATTTAAATTGTCTATGTCTCACTTCAAAAAAGGATTTAAAGTAGCTGTATTCTCTAAGCTTCCAGATTCTACACTTCTTAACAGTGTCTTCTGTTTTGAAGGATTCTCCCTAAAATCAAATAGGTGCTCAAAAAATGGTAACAATTTTTCAATAAGTCAATCAATGTAGAAAAAGATGAAGGAATAATCTTCATTTCTTTTAACTTCTAACATTTCTAACTTCAAGCCTAACTTCTGTTGATCAGGCTATCATCAATGACAAAAAAAAATGTCAATTAACACTGACTAATTAACTAAGTATATGAAATACTTAATTCTCGCAACCTCTCTATGAGGCACCTACTGTTATTAATCCCATTTTACTATTTTACATATTAACAAGCAGAGCCAGAAACTGGCAGAGCGAGACTGGAACCCACAAACTAATGACTTTAAAGTTGGTTTCCTAATGTTATTCCTTGAACCTGTGATTCTATTCATTCCTCTTTTTTTTTTTTTTTTTTTTTTTGTTGTTGTTGTTGTTGAGAGGGAGTCTAGCTCTGTTGCCAGGCTGGAGTGCAGTGGTGCAATCTCAACTTACTGCAAACTCCACCTCCCGGGTTCAAGTGATTCTCCTGCCTCAGCCTCCTGAGTAGCTGGGATTACAGGAACACACCACCACACCCAGCTAATATTTGAATTTTTAGTATAGATGGGGTTTCGCCTTGTTGGCCAGGATGGTCTCAATCTCCTGAGCTTGTGATCTGCCCGCCTCCTCTCTTTACTCTTAATTTTAGCTTGAAACTCCCCTGTTGCCATTTTTCACCAGGAAGTATAGTATAAATACTTTTTTGTACCTTTTTCTTTCTTTCTTCATCAGTTCTCTCTTCTCATCTTATCTGACAGCAGTAAGCTTTGATTTTCAGTAGGAAATTCAAAAGCCTTGCGCCAAGCCCCAGCGACACCAAACAAGGAGAGAATCTTAATGGAAATAAATGACATTAGGAAATGGAAGTGAGTTGGTGGTGTGATTGAGCATAGACAAGTGAACATGCACTGTGCCTCATACTGTGAGTGTCTGCAGTCGATGAGGCTCAAGTCAACACAGGAAGGACTGGCTCAACTCCTCATAGCAGTTTGCCTTCAATCTTGAGTACTAGAGAAACAGAACTAAGGACATTTGCCTGCTCTACAGTGCAAGCTGCACTACAAAGGCTCTGCTTTTACCCATCACTTGGCCCACAGTGTGTGCCCTGATGACCAGAGCCTTGGCCAACTCCTTTTTCCCCCTCCTTGTCTCCTCTCATTTTGCAATAACTATGGCTCCTTTCCAAAAGGCTTGTGTGGATGTCCAGAGCATCATTATGTTTACATTTTGGAAGGTAGTTATGGCATCAGGGAAGAGAAAATGCTGCAATAAAAAATAAACTGTAAGGCAGGGATTCCAGTTAGGAAAATAAGAGGCAGTTTTGATAGAAACCTGGACTGAACTTGAGCAATGGCAGTGGAAGTAAAGAGGTAGGTTCAATTTTGAGATTCAATAGCAGAGCAGAATAGACACTGCCACCAGTTAAGGCTTCTGTGTCAATGGACAGCAACACAGCTGTCTAACTCAGTCTTCATTCTCAGCCCTGACCGTCAGCAGGGGATATCATCTCTCATCTGTCACTTTGTGTAACTCCTCCCTTCCATTCTCACAGCCATGTTCCTCCATTCTTACTCATAACTCAGCTCCCTCTTTTATTCTTTTTAAGAGATGGGGTCTTGCTGTGTTGCCCTCGAACTCCTGGGCTCAAGAATTCCTCCCACCTCAGCCTCCCAAGTAGCTGAAACTAGTTAAAGAGCTGGGTACATGCTACCACACCTGGTACTCCTTCTTCTCTTTTAAACACACCTTTATACCTGTCATCAAGCCCTTATAAGGCATCTTGATCACAGCAGGAACAAATGTCTAAGATTTTTGCAAAAGCTTATAATCCAGAATCAATGTGAATCAGAAAGATGGTCATTTTGTGTCTTGAGTTTCTTCAATTCATTGTAACCCTCTCTGAATGAGATCTATTTTAAAATCTATGTAGAATCAACTCAAATGCCCATCAATGATAGACTGGATAAAGAAAATGTGGCACATATATACCATGGAATACTATGCAGCCATAAAAAAGAATTAGATCACATCCTTTGCAGAGACACAGATGGAACTGGAAGCCATTATCCTCAGCAAACTAACACAGGAACAGAAAACCAAACACTGTGTTTTTTCACTTACAAGTGGGAGCTGTACAGTGAGAATGCATAAACACAGGGAGAGGAACAACACACACTGGGGCTTGTTGTGAGGGTGGAGGGAGGGAGAGCTTCAGGGTAAATAGCTAATATTTGTTGGGCTTAATGCCTAGGTAATGGGTTGATAGGTGCAGGAAGCCACCATGGCACACATTTACCTATGTAACTAACCTACACGTCCTGCACTTGTATTCTAGAACTTTAAGTTAAATTACATTTAAAAAAATCTATATAAATGTTAGTAATCACAAACTCGTGAATAATTATGGTTTTATTAAGAACAGAGTTTTATTGAAAACTATATTGTCATTGCACCATAAGTGTTTATTAAATGTGTAATCTCAGCTGACTCAGGCAGGAATATTAGTCCTGACTCCTCACCTGCTACTGGCTAATGGAAATAAAAGCTTTGTATTTCTCCACTAGGTCAGGTCCACAGGAGATCCTGAGGATTAAATAAAAAGAAAAGAAATTCTTGATCAAATAAGTTTAGGAAATGTTGCATGCCCTAATCCCTTCTTAAAGCATCTTTGATGTTCACATTGACATCTCAAAGACTCTGGGAAGTCTTATATTAATTACAACTATTTAACAGAGCATTTCCCAAATATTGAAGCCATTAAGACACTGTTTCAACTTAGAAAATCTATTTAACCTAGCTGTTTCACCACTTTCCTAAGGTGGAAGTATTTGCCTTATTTTCAACAGAAAATGGTAGAAAAAGCCAATGAGCACAATTACAGGTTACTTAGCAATGAGAATTGCTGCCCCTTAAAAACATGAGAAATGTCAAGCCTGTGCCATATATAGATCATTGTTCCATTGATCCATGGCCTTCTGTTGGGAAAAAGCTGAGTGTTGGGAAAAATACTGAGGCAGGGCTTGTATGTCTGACATGTCCTCTGAATGTGTCTAGACTTGCTAGCTCCTTGTTCCTTGCTCTCCCAGGATCAATTGTATCTTGGGTTAAAAGAACCTGCTCTCCATTATCTCAAGTAGCAGAACATGTTCCTTATAAATGCTAAACCATCACAGCTGTAGATCATGTGCCTGCCCTTTTGACCTCCACATTCTCATCACTTGTTTCTCTGTTGGATTACCAATAAATAGTGTAGGCTCCCAGAGCTCAGGGCCTTCACAGCCTCCACAATCGCAATGGCCCCCTGGTCCCACTTTTCTTTTTCAAACTGTCTTTTTCTCAATCCTTTGACTCCACTAGACTTTGTCACCCCCACGACCTGGTGTTGGGTCTGATCACCCCAACATTCCTGGCCGCCCAAAGTGAGG
This sequence comes from Homo sapiens, assembly GCF_000001405.40. Classification (NCBI taxonomy): domain Eukaryota; kingdom Metazoa; phylum Chordata; class Mammalia; order Primates; family Hominidae; genus Homo; species Homo sapiens. The sequence continues at coordinate 136,264,373 of NC_000007.14, read as the reverse complement.
AGACAAAGACCCCAGTAAAGGAACACTAGAGCGTGTGAAAGCAGAGGATCCTTCGTCAAAGGACACCCAAGGACATCTAAAAGAAGCTCAGCGGGAAAGATGAGCTCTCAGAAGAACCAGGGTAACAATGGGACAAAGTGAAAGCAGACATTCTGCTTATTTAAATTTCTTAAGGCATTTATTACGAATAAGGGGAGTGAAAGTTAGTACTCAGAATTTGTTATCACTCTTTAGTGCAGTAAAGCAGTTTTGCCCATGGTTCCCAGAACAAGGGACTATGGAGTTGGATGAATGGGAGAGAATTGGCAGAGATTTTTAAAAAGCATATAAGGATGGAGCAAAAATTCCAGTCTCAGTTTGGTCCATGTGGGCGCTAATAAAAGCAGCTCTTGAGCCATTTCAAACAGATGATGAGGCAGATTCAGATGAGGAAGTGGAGGACAAGTGTAAAAAACTAACTTCAGATTCTGAATGTGAGGAACAGAAACTGGAGGAAATTAAAGAAAAAAAAGGGAAACAAAAAAGTATGTTTTACTATCCCCTCAGCTCCAACTGCTGGATTAAGTGAATGGCCACCTCCTCTCTCTCCCCTTAATGGGCGAGAAAATGAATTAGCTACAAAACTTACCACTCCTATAGTTACAACATTAAAACCTGGAGCAATTGGTAGTACTAAGACCCAGTGGAATCTGAGGCTTGTTTATTCAGAGAGCACCTCAATAAACTCAGGCATTTCTGGCACAGCCAGTGCCCTTACAAACGTACAACAATTGTCCCCCACCACAGCAGGCAGTGTTGCTGTAGACTTTTGCACACAATTCCCATACCCTTACTTCCTGGGGAGCCACCAAAAACGGTCCCTATGGGAGTCAGGGGACCCTTACCCTCAGGAACAGTTGGTCTATTACTAGGAAGGTGTAGTCTAAATTTGAAAGGTGTCACTGTACATATGGAAATAATTGACTCTGATTATACCGGAGAAATTCAATTCATTATTAGTTCCTCTACTCCATGGTCTGCTTCCCTAGGAGAAAGAATTGCTCAGTTGTTGACATAAAGCTGGGAAGCAGCACTGTGAAAAGAACAGGAGGCTTTGGTAGTACTAATCCAACAGGAAGGGCTGTATATTGGGTTAATAAGTGTTTGACAAAAGACCTATTTGTACAGTAGACCTGCTGTTGGATGCTTACAGATTGACACACAGGCCTGGTTGGCAGTAGTCCCCAGAAAAAATAAATCATGGGCTGCTTTGCATAGGGCAAGTAAAGTTATCTTGAAGCTTCAGTTTCATGGTTAACCTGCCTCTGCTAGAGAAAAACAGATTTAATGAGCACACAGGCATGATATGCGCTGAATGTGTTCATTGTGGTGTTTGTGGCCTTTATGATGGGAATGTTCAACCTCTACTCCTACTACCTTGGTGTAAAACAAAATGAAACCTTCACAACAGAGTTTTAAGACACTGTTCTGGGCTATATTTGGACTTTCTGAAGTAAAATCAGTGGTCATCAACTATAACCACAAATTCATTGAAAACATTGGTTGTGTTCTTTATGGAGTCTATAATGTTACAACGGTCATTGTTTTGCTAAATATGTTAATTGCTACGATCAACAATTCATTCCAGGAAATTGAGGATGACGCTGATGTGGAGTGGAAATTTGCAAGGGCCAAACTCTGGTTTTCCTGTTTTGGGGAGGGGAGAACACTTCCTGTTTCCTTCAATCTGGTGCCGGGTCCGGGGTCCCTGTTTTGTCTCTTACCAAAGCTTAAAGAGTGGATTTCTGAGCTCTACCCAGGGTCATAAAAAAGGTTTCCAGGAAAGTAAGTAGACCTAAGTAAGAAAGTAGAGTTAAGTAAATAAGTAGAGTTAAGTAAATAAGTAGAGCTAAGTAAGTAAGTAGAGCTAAGTAAGTAAGTAGAGCTAAGTAAGTAGAACTAAGTAAGCAGAGATAAGGGAGATAGAGATAGATAGAGATAGAGAGATAGAGATAAATGGATAGAGATAGAGATAGAGATGGAGATAGAGAGATAGAGATAAATAGACATAGATATAAATAGAGATAGAGATACATAGAGATAGAGATAAAGATATAGAGAGATAGAGATAAATAGAAAGATAGAGATTATTTAAATAGAGAGATAGAGACAAATAGAGAGATAGAGACTTGCAGGAACTAACAGGTACCACAGGGACAGATAGGGATAGATGAATACTAGCAATATAAGGTCAGTGCCCTAGAGAAGTACTGATCAGTGCCCTAAAGAGATACAAAAGTAGAGACTAGCAAAGACTACCAGAGATTTGCAGAGACAGATAAGAACATTCTGAATTACGGAAATTAGCTATGGCTCAAAGAGCAAATATAAAAGGAATAGAGGGGAGGGAGGTAGGGATAAAAATGCTCTTTCTTTTCTCTCCAACAGGACCTTTTGGTCCTTTAACTAAACTTAATCAAAGGGCAGATGCTTTGGTGTCTGCACCTTTGCTGATGCACAAACATTACATTCTTTAACTCATCTAAATGCCGCAGGCCTTAGAAAAAGATATGGTCACATACAAAGAGCTGGAAAAAAGGAAAGATAATTATATGTGGAAGAGGATTTGCTTGTGTCTCTCCAGGTGATGATCAGGTGCCTGTGTGGGTGCCCACCAAACATCTGAAGATCTATCATGAGCCACAGCATCTAGTGGACCCACCTGTACAGTACAAATTGAAGGTTTGAAAAGCCTCGATTTGTTTTCCTGTGTCTTCTGTTAGAAGGGGCCTGTTTTTCAATATCAGTACCCTCCCGGCTACAGCCACAAAAGTTTTTGCTTCTGTTTCAGTAGATTTACTAACGTGGGGGTGAGGGTATGCTTGTGTTTTTGCAGGAGACAAATGAATCATGTGGATGTCCTCAAGATGTGTACGACATGGAACGGGAGACTGGAGGGAGCCATGGATCCCAACTATGGACCGGGTTCCCCCAGTACAAGCCGTGAGCCAGTTGAATCTGAATGCAAAGATGGAACGAGGACCGACTGGAGTCATGATGCTTAATGGACCAATGCATTCTGACTCAGCTTCTGTCTACCCTGAATACAGGAGACCCTAATAGTTAGGCAGGAATATCATCACCTCTATTCAGCATGAAGAAGTTACAGAAGATGGACCTTCATCCTTCTGCAACCCTAGGATTAAGGGTCCTCTTGTAAAAGGGAAAGGGGAGGTATGTGGGAAGCATTCAAACCAGAGCAACTCCAGTTCGCATAAGGGGTAAGAAAAATGAATCTGGATCACCAACTGGCAATTAACGGCTGCACAGCCTGCAATTGCCTTGCTCAATTAAAAGGCCACCTTTTATGCTAGTAATAATGATAGCTAGTAATAATGATACCTTCTCTTTTACAAAAAAGAGAAAGGGTGCATGTTGGGGAAAAGCTGAGTGTTGGGAAAAATACTGAGCCAGGGCTTGCATGTCTGACATAATGTCCTCTGGAATGTGTCTAGACTTGCTGGCTCCTTGCTTCTGGCCCTCCTAGACTCCTACATCAATTGTATTCCCATTATCTCAAGTAGCAGAACATGTTCCTTATAAATGCTAAACCATCACAGCTGTAGATCATGTGCCTGCCCTTTTTGACCTCCACATTCTCACCATCTGTTTCTCTGCTGGACTACCAATAAATAGCGTGGGCTCCCAGAGCTCGGGGCCTTCACAGCCTCCACAATTGCGATGGCCCCCTGGTCCCACTTTTCTCTCTCAAAATGTCTTTTTCTCAATCCTTTGACTCCACCAGACTTCATCGCCCCCACAACCTGGTGTTGGGTCTGATCACCCCAACAGCCTTCCTGTCTCAAAATAAGTTTGTGTTGTCTCTCACATTGAAGGGATGAAATCACTCCCTGGCCATTGCAAAGTGAACTTAAGAGGGGAAAAGGAAAGAAAGAAAGAAATAGAGAGAGAGAAAGAGAGAGATCTACCCCCAGAGCAAGGTGTACTATGAGCTTCATGGGTCTTGCACCTTACAGTTCCCCATAAGGAGATCTAGCCATGCTTGATACTATCATATAATTTTGTAAATTTCCAAATGAAAGACAGTTAAACTACAGTGGTTTAGACTGCCGTCTCTTTATGCTCTGATTTCCTCTGTCACATTTTCTCCTATGTAGGGTAACTTTGGTGCAATCATGAATCATTTGCGTTTTAGGCTAACAAGAAGCTGAGCTGGGGATATACTGAGTTGGGGTTTAACAGGACATGTGTCTGTAGCTTCCAGGCATTTCTATTAAGTTGTGACCAGCCATTCAGTGTAGGAATGACTTCCAGAAATGTTTCTACAGCCCACCCTGTCAACTTACCTGGGATTTTTATCAGAAATGCCTGGCCAGAAGTTATACTGTGATGTTAACATGGTCTAGAGTTTATCCAGCACCAAAACTATGTGGATTGTGAAGGGGAAATAAGGTTTGAAATGTAGGAAGCCAAGAGCTAATTTGTGTAACATTTTGCATAGAAGATTCTGTTCTCACTGATGCATGATCAAAATTGAAGTTTCCTCCTGTCAGGAATGCACGTGATTATGCAACATACACAAATATAAATGCACCACATATTTTCCCCATTTGTATGAGAATCCTTTCTTTATGTGATATTTACCAGAATTTTTGTATTTGTAAGTCACAAATCTATAGCTGTTACATATTTTATGCATCCCAGGACAGTGGATTGTATCCTAGAATATCCAACACATGTTGTTCTGATAAAGTCTAGTGGTTCTAGATGAAATAACACACAATATTATTACCAATGCAGTGAAATAGACTGAATAAACAAGTGAAAAATATTCATTAATAAGTCATTGTGTGTAGTATAAGATTAATTTGATTACAACACTTTTAGCTGAACAAAATATAGCAGCAATTTTAGATGCACTGAACTTCTCTTGTTTATGCGTTAATTTCAGATTCATTTTAATTTTTCAGAATTATGGATAATACTAACATTCGAATGTGAGAAGAAGAAAAAAGCCAAAATGTAAACCGAAAGAGAAGATTGGCAGAAGTTTCAGTATCACCAAAATTCTTATTATATCACAATGGAAACTAAAGCTTGCAGATCAGTATCATGAACATGAGAAAAGGAATTACACCAGGACTGTTCCAAACCAAAAATAAAAAAGTAAAAGGCAGATTAATGTCTTAGTAAAGAAAAACAAAATTTGCATGAGAATGTCGACCACACTGTTTAATGAGTGTTGTCAGATCAAATAACATTTCAGAATAGATACTGCCTAAGATAACTTAAAATGCCTACAATATAAAGTTTATATATAAAGCAAAGTTTAAAGAGATTTCTTGCAGTTTGACAAGAATCCTAAACATTTGCATAACATTACCAATAGATGGTTGCTAAGCTGAAATAAATGTTGCCAAACCATCAGTAACATAAATCAATTTTGAATCCACATGATAAAGGAAAGACTATTATCTATTATCTCCATTGAAAATTATATTTAAAATTTTTTGTCATTTGAAGAAGCAACTAAAAATGTAGCAATTACAAAAGTATATCAGAAAGTTAATAAAAATATTTTGTTATTTTTCAGGATTTTGTGATGATTTCATATCTGTATACTTTTTAATGCATAACTTGTGATTTCTCATTCTAAATAAATATTCATTTTCATACCAAATGTAGCATATGCAACTATGTATTCTTTTTCTCAGAGAAAGCCCCCAAATCATAACAGCCTCAGACCCCACACAATCTGGATCTGTTCCTAAGCCATTGTTACTTAGACTTTGGCTAGTTGATTCATTCAAGGAGATTGACCAGTTGGTTATTTGATGCCATTTACATACTGACTCAACTACCAGTAAATTTAATCAAAATGGATTCCATTCTTAGATATCCCAAGAGAAGCTTCTTCAAGCTCCAATCACATCCTGATATTGAAACAATTATTTAATGGAGAGAAAGCTGGTAGAAATAAATATTGCTCTCTGTTCTGGAAATTTTAAGTTTTATACATTGGAAATGATTCCTTATCATGATTTAGACATCAGACTTTTAAAGGTACATTTATAATGTAAGGGCATATACATCTGGTCTATTGCTTATAAAACCCAGTTGCATAAGGGGAGACTACTAGCACTTACTCATGATCATATTCATAAGCAAGATGATACAAAACTGCTATTTGCCTTGTGTCCTGTTGCCATGATTTTGACAATGGATTAATAGAGGCAGCTGAAGACACTACAGGGAATCATGGGTCTTTTCCTGCTTAGAGTAATGCTGCAGACTGAGAGAAGCTCCTGGAATATACTACTCTCCCTCTCTGCCAACAACTCTACACACAGATCAATAACCCGCCTTCTGTGCAGTATTAAATAAGCTATGTGGAGTTTTAGAGATATGGAAACTCATTCTTATGGACTTTACTTTGTTCTAAAGAGGGTTGTCTGTGACTCTTACAGAAATTTAATTGCTTCCTTTCTTTGCTATCCCCAGTCTCTCCTCCACCATAACAAAAAATTAAGGAAAAGGGAAAAGTAAAAAAAGCAAACTAAATACCCAACAGTTCAATACGGATAAAAGGGTAGATGGGGTAAAATAATTAAGATTAAGATTCTTGTATTTCCAACCCTTTATCCTTCCTCAGTGCGTACAAATTATTAAAAATAGGTACAGGCACCCTATCTGCAAGAGTTAATCTTCATAATTATCTGGTAGTACATGCTACACTCACAGAAAGCTATTAAGAGATGGCGATTCAGCAATGTTGTGGTAACCCTTCCATTTTTCATTGTTATGTTGATGAGCAACTGAAATGGCCGTAATTAAAATGATACGCTGTAATTCTATTTTTAGTATATCTGTTCACTGTCAAAATTAAATATATATGGCAGTAAAAAATAACCTGACATGGTAAATAGCATAAACAGAAAACAGGTGATGCTCTCATGGTGCCATTCTATAGTCACACAGAAGAATCTCTGAAAAGTGTATGATATGGCCCATTTTTCAATAAAGTTGTTTAAATTTCCTACTCATAATATGAAGTATTTTTGAATAACTCTGAATCCCTCAGATGACACATGTATCATGCTCTGCAAGTACTCCTCCTGGACTTAGCAATAAAATCACATTAGCCATGTGGAAGCCTACAGACTTGAACCTCTGTGGCAGTGTAGGCTGTGAGCCCTAAGACTCAGAGGGATGGTGAGACTAAGAGGGAAAGGTGGAGACTGGTGCTATTTTGGGGATACTGAGCAGGTGGCCCCCTTTCCCCAATTAGGTAGAAGTGACTGGGAGCCCAGCAGTTCAATAGCTGCTGTCCAAAATATGCAGAAGAAATGACCCTTGGCATTACAGACCTGATCAGTCACTCTAGGCGGGGATCCTGGACCCAAGTCTGAAAGCCATCATCTGTTCCAAACTCCCTCCCTTCAGGCAGGTGAATCTCCAAGCCATCCAAACAGATGGCTGTCTCCTTCTCACCTCCATCTACAGAGGAACCAGGGGACCACTTGACCCAGCTGAAAGAGTCACATAACAAGACACGCATCAAAGGAAGAAAAGATTCTGCCAGTAGAAGCTAATG